>NC_000010.11:20635000-21260000 GCF_000001405.40 Homo sapiens | reverse complement strand
TCTCTTCCGTGCTGCCTCCAGTGGTATCAGGTTTACTCCAAGGTTGGCTTCTCTCTTGGTTGCAAAGTGGCTGCCAACTGCCTTCAGGGTGACATGCTTCCTCCGCCACTCAAACATGAAGCCGAAGTCTTGCACCTTCCTGTTCCACCTTAGATCCACCCCCCTGCCCTCTAGGAAGACGCTTGCAATATTGTGGCCAAGGAAAGGCAGGGGGCTGACTGGTTTAGGCCTGGATTACTACACATCCCTGAAGCCATCGCACGTGGGGTGCAATTCTGCTGATTGTTTTTGGCCGTTGGGGCCTCCTCTGGAGCTGAGGGTAGGGGCCAATCCACCCCAAACACAAGGCTTTGCCACCAGGAAGACTGGTGTTCCCTCAAAGGAAAGTTGAGGTGCTGTTAGCAAGAGGGATACGGGTAAGGGTGGGGCTTGGGGTGGAGCTGGTTAAGCAATGACCAGGTATTATCTCTAGGTGTGGATCTTTTGAGGGTGGGAAAGGCTAGAAAGAGGCACGGGATGAGGAACAGAAGGTGAAGTAACATCCCAAACCCTAGGAAGTAAGGGTGGGAATGAACTTGAAGCCTGTCTGAGTCAGTTTCATAGCTGCACCCTCACTTCCTCCTGTATCCATTCGCTCTCTTCCTCGCCGTCTCCAAGTAGGGATGGGCACAGCCTAGTGATGAAGTCTGTGTGTTTCCTAGCCTGGCCAATGTTGTGAAACTCCGTCTGTACTACAAATACAAAAATTAGCTGGGCATGGTGGCACACTCCTGTAATCCCAGCTGCTCGGGAGGCTGAGGCACAAGAATCGCTTGAACCTAAGAGGCGGAGTTTGCAGTAAGCTGAGATTCTGCCACTGCACTCCAGCCTGGGTGACAGAGAGAGACTCTGTCTCAAAAAAGACAAAAAAGCTATTAAAAAAAAAAAAAGACTGTGCGTCTTTTTTTCCCCAAGTATCACCACTACTGGGCAAACTACTTATCATCTCAGCCTTCACTTTCGTCATCTGTAAAATGGGGGTAATCATAGGATCTATTTCATAGGATTATTGTGAGGATTAAATGACCTAAACTACATAAAGTACCTAGAACATTGCCTGACCCAATGCAGGTCCTCAGTAAATATTAGCTATTATTATTCCAGCCCAGGCCAGAGTGCAGTGGCCGTGATCTCGGCTCATTGCAACCTCTGCTTCCTGAGTTCAAGTAATTCTCCTGCCTCAACCTCCTGAGTAGCTGGGATTACAGGCGCCTGTCACCACACCTGGCTAATTATTTTTATTTATTATTTTTTTTGAGATGGTGTTTCGCTTTTGTCACCCAGGCTGGAGTGCAATGGCGTGATCTCAGCTCACTGCAACCTCCGTCTCCTGGGTTCAAGCGATTCTGCTGCCTCAGCCTCCTGAGTAGCTGGGATTACAGGCGCCCGCCACCACACCCGGCTAATTTTTGTATTTTTAGTAGAGATGGGGTTTCACCACTTTGGCCAGGCTGGTCTCAAACTCCCAGCCTCAGTTGATCCACCTGTCTCGGCCTCCCAAAGTGCTGGGATTACAGGTACGAGCCACAGCTCCTGGCCTAATTTTTGTATTGTTAGTAGAAAGGGGATTTCACCATGTTGGCCAGGCTGGTCTTGAACTCCTGACCTCAAGTGATCCACCTGCCTTGGCCTCTCCAAGTAGTGGGATTACAGGCATAAGCCACTGCACCCAGCCTCAACCTCTGTTTTCTATAGCAGTGATCTGGAGTGTAGTGGTGCAATCATAGCTCATTGCAGTTGTGAACATCTGGGCTCCAGCCATCCTCCCGCCTCAGCCTCCTGAGTTGCTGGGACTACAGGCTTGAGTCACTGTGCTCAGCTTATAGCAGTGATTTTGATCATGCTTTCTTGTATTGTCATTTCCTCCTTCACACTCAGTCTCCCTGCTTTCTCACTCCTGTTTCCCGGAATCATCTTCCAAACAAAATACAACACAAGATCTTATCTCAGGCCCTGCTCTTGGGAGAACCCAAACCAAGAAAGCATGTAATCTAGACTTAAAGATATTAAAAAACAATATATGTATGTAGTGTGTGTGTGTGTGTTTTGATGTTTTTTTTTTGGGGTGTGTGTGTGTGAGATGGAGTCTCGCTCTGCCACCCAGGCTGGAGTGCAGTGGCGCGATCCAGGCTCACTGCAAGCTCCACCTCCTGGTTTCACGCCATTCTCCTGCCTCAGCCTCCCAAGTAGCTGGGACTACAGGTGCCTGCCACCACACCCACCTAGTTTTTTGTATTTTTAGTAGAGATGGGGTTTCACTGTGTTAGCCAGGATGGTCTCGATCTCCTGACCTTGTGATCCGCCCGCCTCGGCCTCCCAAAGTGCTGGGATTACAGGCGTGAGCCACCATGCACGGCGTTTTGGTGGTTTTTTACATCAACCAGATTGTCACCTCTTGTGAAAACAGACCAGGACTTAAACTTTTTTAGTGTTTTTCAGTTCCTACAGCAATGGAGGTGAGGACCAGTGCTTACTAGCTATTATGTGCCAGGCACTTTACATACATATTAAAACATAATCCTCAGGAGAACGCTGTAAGATTCTTATCATTATCTCCACTGTGCTTGAAGTGGCTTGGCTAAGCTCAGAGGTGTTGAGCTCACCAGATTCCCTGAGGATACACAACAAGAAAGTTTCCCTAGTTTACTAAGGACACAGGCTCGTAAGTGGCAGTGAAGATATTTATATAGGTATGTCTGAATCTCAGGGCCTCATAGAAATACTGAAAACAATGCTTGATGGTAAACAGTAGCCACATTGAAACTTTATCCTTTGCTTGGTAGTGTTTATTCCAGGACCCAAGTCATATAATTTTAATATAAAACACTCAATAGATAATACTGTGAGAAAGGAGCAGAAGTATGCTGATAAATGTTTAGCAATTGGCACTCTGAAGCAAAAGCCCTATTTTCAGTGATGGCTAATTTTCATAGTGTTGTTATTCCCACTATGGCCAATTTCAAGCTACCAGCATGGCAGTGGGGAGAGATGGTGGTAGCCCACCATTATATGGTATTTCTGCTTATAGAACCAGTAGACATACAAAACCTCAACAGCATAGATAGCAGTCAAATGTAGAAAAAATAATTAGGAAGAGTAAGTTTGAGTACTTACTATTATTTTTAGACAGGGTCTTGCTCTGTTGCCTAGGCAGGAGTGCAGTGCTACGATCAGAGCTCACTACAGCCTGGAACTCCTGGGCTCAAGGAGTTTCTGGATCCTCCTGTATCAGTCTCTTGAGTAGCTGGGACTGCAGGTGTGACCCACTGTACCCAGATAATACTCAAAATATTTTTAGAGACAGGGTCTCACTATGTTGCCTAGGCTGGTCTCGAACTCCTGGCCTCAAGTTATCCTCCCATCCTAGCCTCCCAAAGGGCTGGGATTACAGGCATGAGCTACCTCATCCAGCCTGTTATCTTTGTTTTTAATATAATTTATTTAATTTTAAGTTTACATATTTAGTTTTTAATAGTGGTTATGTTTAGCAACTGGTTTGTAATATCCCAGGAAATTTAACATTCAGCAGCTGTGGGACAGTATCAACTGGCTTCAGCATACCTCAGCCTATGGCTTGAAAGGGAAATAAAAAGAGGCTGGGTGTGATGGCTCACGCCTGTAATCTCAGCATTTTGGGAGGCCAAGGTGGGCGGACTACTTGAGGTCAGGAGTTTGAGACCAGCCTGGCCAACAAGGTGACACCCCATCTCTACTAAAAATACAAAAATTAGCCAGGTATGGTGGTGGGTGTGTGTAATCCCAGCTACTAAAGAGGCTGAGGCAGGAGAATCACTTGAACCCAGGATGTGGAGGTTGCAGTGAGCTGAGATTGTGACACTGCACTGCAGCCTGAGTGAGAGAGCAAGACTCAATCCCCAAAACAGGGACATAAAAATAAATTTCAGTAGTGAATTTATCATTAAAATTTGTCTCAGAAGGCTGGAGATGAATCCTTTTTTTTCTTTTTCTTTTTTTTTTTTGAGACAGAGTCTCGCTCTGTCGCCCAGGCTGGAGTGCAGTGGTGCGATCTCAGCTCACTGCAACCTTTGCCTCCCGGGCTCAAGCAATTCTCCTGCCTCAGCCTCCCGAGTAGCTGGGACCCACGCCTGGCTAATTTTTTGTATTTTTAGTAGAGATGGGGTTTCACCATGTTGGCCAGGCTGGTCTCGATCTCCTGACCTCGTGATCTGCCCACCTTGGCCTCCCAAAGTGTTGGGATTACCGGTGTGAGCCACCGCGCCCAGCCGGAGATGAATCCTTTTCAGAGGTTGGATTATTCTCTGATGCTGAAGATTTATCATAGTTAAGGGGGAATATTCTTTGATGCAGCATTGCAGTGAAATTTCCTACGATGATGTTGTCCAGTAAAGTGGCCACTAGCCACGTGTCAGCTCTTGAACACTTGAAATGTGACCGGTATAATGAAGGAACCCAAATTTACAATTTTATTTATTGTTAATGAATTTAAATTTAAATCTAAGTAGTTGCGTGTGGTTAATGGCTACTGTATTGAACAGCACAGCTTATACTTTGTCAAATGATTTTTAGTAGGTCTTTATTATCAGATCACATGTTAGATCCTCAGCTCGCAATACCCGAGTCAGCATCTCTCAGCCTATCTGCTTGTACTGACTCCTCCTCTCAACCTTGGTTCCTCCACGGGTCTTTTCTCCATCACTAATATATACACTCAGCTGCTTCTCATATCTGGCCTTAGGACATGACGTTCTCGCTCTAATTCCCATATGTGCCACTCATGGGTTACACATGTGCCTGTGAGCCATCGCCCTCTTAAACTCTCAGGGTAGCCTGGCAGGGACTGGTGTGGATGAAGCTCCTGGGCGAACCATCTTCAGACTCAAGCAGCTTTGTTTGGGGCCCTTCGGAGGGAGGTTTGCAGGGAGCAGAGTCTGATAGACTGTCCTATGGCCTCCAAGGCAGAGAACTCCAGCTACATCAGCATTCTGTTGTTACCCCAACACACACTATGTGTGGCTAATGAGGTGCTCTGCCATGTGAACTTGGACCTCAACAGCCAGCCACAGCTTGGGACATTGCCTGGTCTAGACCAGCGGCCCTGGTGTGTCCATTTAGGTCTCCAGGAAGTAAGACACAAGCCCCAGGGTCAGGCAGTCATGGGCAGGGTATGTGAAGTCCAGACAGGGGCCCCTAGTGGGTGCAGCTACTGGTGGGTGCAGCTCCTGGGTGGTCCCAAATCTTCCTCTTCACCTATTTCAGATACTTCTGTCCATTTGTGCCTGGCCACGTCCTTGCAGTGGTGCTTAAACTAGGGGCTGGTTAATTGCCCCAACAACACGTGCATGTTCTGTGAATTAAAAATTCCATTATTATTAGTTGGATGTGGTGGTGCACACCTGTAATACCAGCAACTTGGGAGGCTGAGGCATAAGAATCGCTTGAATCTGGGAGGCAGAGGTTGCAGTGAGCCAACATTGTGCCACTGCACTCTAGCCTGGGTGACAGGGTGACAACATCTCAAAGAAAAAAAAAACAAAAGACAATAAACAATTACATTATTGGGCCAGGTATGGTGGCTCATGCCCGTAATCCCAGAAATTTGTGAGGCTGAGATGGAAGATCAGGAGTTCAAGACCAGCCTGGGCAGCATAGCAAGACCCTGTCTCTACAAAAACAACTTAGCTGGGCATGGTGGAATGTGCCTGTAGCCCCAGCTATTTGGAAGGCTGAGATGGGAGGATCACTTGAGCCCAGTGGTTCAAGGCTGCAGTGAGCTATGATCATGCCGTTGAACTCCAGCTTGGGCAACAGAACAAGACCCTGTCTCTAAAAATATTTTTTCATTATTATTTTAAAATTCTACATATGAAAGGGTCTGATTGAATTAGAAATCCATCCATATTATCATAAGACATTTAAATGTTACATTTATCAATAAAGAATATGAATAATCAAGTCTTTCAATATTTCAACTATTGTACATTTTGGATAGATGTAAAAATCACTTTACATTCTTTAGCATGTATTTGTGCAAAGTTTCTTCATTTAAAACTCTCTGAAGTTTCTCATTTAAAAGTGATCTCATTGACAATGACTTCCAAGAATTTGAAGAGATCATCCTTAAAAAGTTGGCATTTTGGCCAGGTGCGAGTGGCTCATGCCTGTAATCCCAGTACTTTGGGAGACCAAGGTGGACAGATCATCTGAGGTCAGGAGTTTGAGACCAGCCTGGCCAACATGGCTAAACTCCATCTCTACTAAAAATAGAAAAATTAGCCAGGCATGGTAGCAGGCACCTGTAATCCCAGCTACTCGGGAGGCTGAGGCAGGAGAAGCGCTTGAACCCAGGAGGCAGAAGTTGTGGTGAGCCGAGATTGCGCCATTGCACTCCAGCCTCGGCAACAAGAGCAAAACTCCATCTCAAAAAAAAAAAAAAAAAAAAGAGGTTTAAAAAGTAATGACGTTTTCCCACTAAGTACTCTATAAATGGCTCCTACCCTCAATGTTGTCTAGTTTATCCCAGCATGCGAAGCCAATATTTTTCCTCTGTGTGCCATGGCTCGCAAAAATTTGGTCAGGAGCGTCCAGATTATCTTTTTCTCTTGTGCTCTGTACCTATAAATCTCTCTCTATTTGTGACTCAGGCCCCTGTTTCTTCTCAACACTCCACAGTCAGTAGTCTCTGGCTTCTGCCTTATTATTATTACTTTTGAGACAGAGTTTCATTCTTGTCGCCCAGGCAAGAGTGCAATGGCACGATCTTGGCTCACTGCAACCTTCGCCTCCCTCGTTCAAGCGATTCTCTCACCTCTCTTGCCTCAGCCTCCTGAGTAGCTTGGATTACAGGTGCCTGCCATCATGCCCAGCTAATTTTTGTATTTTTAGTAGAGATGGGGTTTCTCCATGCTGGCCAGACTGGTCTCGAACTCTTGCGCTCAGGTGATCCACCCTCCTCAGCCTCCCAAAATGCTGGGATTACAGGCGTTAGCAGCCATGCCTGGCCTCTGCCTTATTTATTTGCTTTTTTGGGATGGAGTTTCTCTCTTGTTGCCCCGGCTGGAGTGCAGTGGTGTAATCTTAGCTCACCACAGCCTTCACCTCCCGGGTTCAAGTGATTCTCCTGCCTCAGCCTCCCAAGTAGCTGGGATTACAGGCATGCGCCACCATGCCTGGCTAATTTTGTATTTTTAGTAGAGACAGGGTTTCTCTATGTCGGTCAGGCTGGTCTTGAACTCCTGACCTCAGGTGATCTGCCCGCCTTGGCCTCCCGAAGTGCTAGGATTACAGGTGTGAGCTACCGCGCCCAGCCTCCTCTGCCTCATTTTTATAGGCAAGATATTCTACTTGTATATGCTTCGATGTGGCCCCTTTTCTGTATATTTATATATATTTTTTCCCAGTAAGGTTGTGCATTTTAAAAACGTGGTATCTTTGGGCTTGCTTCTTTTGGATAGCTCAATTCCTTAAAAACTCTCAACATGAATTACAAGATCCAAAACTAATTCACCTAAAATTAGGGCATGGAGTTTGCTTTTTCCCTGCTTTCCTGTAACAAGGCTAATATAAAATATCTATCTATCTATCAATCAATCAATCAACATAATTCTGCTTTCTGCTTTTTTTGTCTGTCTTTAGTGCTTGTGTGATTTTCCACATATTCTGCCAGGGGCATTTACTTGCCTTGGGAAGGATTAGAGTTATTACACACAATTGCAAAAAGAAAGAATCAATGGTAAGTGTTAGATATCCAAAATAGGATATTTGAGTCCACAGCAAGACTATTGAAAACCAGACTGTAATAGAGGAAGTGTTTTCTAAGTTTCTTAAGCTCCCTTTAATACTTCAAAAGCCGGAGACTTTTCTATAAGCCAAGGCTATGAGGTACATGAGAAGTAGGAGAAGTTGATGCCCTTTAGTCCTGAGGACACAGAATGAAGAGAAGCGGAGGGCGGGGAAGCTGTGAGGCCTGACTTCCCTCCTTGGACTGGCATCCTGGGAGGTGGGGCTGGTTTTAGATGGGGAGAGAGGGAAGTGGAGAGCTGAGAAGGCTTTATCTTGTTCTCCATTTTGAGGTCTGTTTTAGTCTTTTTGGGCTGTGATGACCAAATACCATAAACTGGGTAGATATAAACAATAGAAATTTATTCCTCACAGTTCTTGACGTTGGGAAGTCCAAGATCAAGACGCTGGCAGATTCCTTCCTGGTTCATGGATGGCCATCTTTTCTCTGTGTCCTCATATGGCAAAAGGGGTAAGGGGTTTCTCTGGGGCCTTTTTTATAGGGGTGTTAATCCCGTTCATGAGAGTGGAGCTTCTCAAAAGCCCTACTTCCAAATGCCATTACATTGGTATTAGGATTTAACATACACATTTTTGGGGAATTGGGAGAAGAGAGATACAAACATTCAGTCTCTAACAAGGTCTCTTGGAGAAGGGACATCTGCAGAGACCTTATTTCCTAATAAGGTTACATTCACAGGTTTCAGGTGGAATTTTGGGAGAACACCATTCAACCTACTACATAGCCTGAGAAAATCTTAATATTAAATACTGAACATTCATCTGAAAGAGATTGACCTAACTGAAATAGACTATTACAACCTGATGAGACTGAGATACCATTAACTGGCTAGTTCAGATAGCCCTACCCCGACCTGGCCACAGCTACCAAGAGGGATGAGGGTCATAAGATTAAACTGTTCCAGAAAATGAACAAGCTATGTTTTTTATTTCTATCTTACTAATTTTGAGGTTAAAATGGCCACATCACTGTGTACCTGGCTAGCTCCTACTCCAAAAGGAAGTAAAAGAAACAGCTACTACCAGATCAGTGTAATCAAGGTAAAATATCACAAGCAAAAATAATACAATCTTGGGTAGTGTAGAAGGGAGAAGGAAGATGAGAAAATGATTATACTAAATAACTAGGTTTAAGAGGAACAATTGCAATTCATCAAAAAGTACTTCTTCTTAGTTCTGAGTTTCTTCTCAACCCAGAAAATAAAGGAAAAATGAAAAATGACAAGGACTTCATTACTTAGTAAAAAGAAACATACCATATTGCCAAAAGATTATTATTATTATTTTTTGAAATGGAGTCTTGCTCTTGTTGCCCAGGCTGGAGTGCAATGGCGTGATCTCAGCTCACTGCAACCTCCTCCTTCTGGGTTCAAGTGATTCTCCTGCCTCACAGTTGCCTACCACCATGCCTGGCTAATTTTTTTTTGTATTTTTAGTAGAGACGGGGTTTCACCATGTTGGCCAGGCTGGTCTTGAACCCCTGAACTCAGGTGATCCACCTGCCTTGGCCTCCCAAAGTGCTGGGATTACAGGCGTGAACCACCGAGCCCGGCCAGGTTTTTTAAAAGTTTAAAAAGTACTGGATATGAGAGGCTCTGTCATAAAGGACATTTATAGAGGAAACATAAATTGTATTAGGGTTCTCTAGAGGGATGGAACTAACAGGATATGTATATGTATATATATAAAGGGTGGTTTATTAAGTAGTATTAACTTACACAATCACAAGGTCCCACAATAGGCTGTCTGCAAGCCAAGCTGAGGAGAAAGGAAGCCAGTCCAAGTCCCAAAGCTGAAGACCTTGGAGTCTGATGTTCCAGGGCAGGAAGCATCCAGCATGGGAGAAAGATGTAGGCTGGGAGGCTAGGCCAATCTAGCCTTTTTATGTTTTTCTGCCTGCTTTATATCCTGGCCGAGCTGGCAGCTGATTAGATGGTGCCCACTCAGATTAAGGGTGCATCTGCCTTTCTCAGCTCATGGACTCAAACATTAATCTCCTTTGACAAAACCCTCACAGACACACCAAGGATCAATACTTTGTATCCTTCAATCCAATCAAGTTGACACTCAGTATTAACCATCACAGAGATCCATTGTGAAATATGATTTCTTTTTTTTTTGAGACGGAGTTTTGCTCTGTCACCAGGCTGGAGTGCACTGGCGTGATCTTGGCTCATTGCAACCTCTGCCTCTAGGGCTCAAGTGATACTTGTACCTCAGCCTCCCAAGTAGCTGGGATTACAGGTGTGTACCACCACACCCAGTCAATTTTTATATTTTTATTAGAGACGGGATTTTGCCATGTTGGTCAGGCTGGTCTCAAACCCCTGACCTCAGGTGATCCACCCACCTCAGCCTCCCGAAGTGCTGGGATTGCAGGTGTGAGCCACTGCACCCAGCCAGGAAACATTTTAAAAGGCTTTTATTTATTTATTTAATTTATTTCTATTCATTTATTTTCCCCACTTAAAGAGCTTTTTAAAGATACATGTAATATTTGAATCATGATTCTAAATATGATATTAAATAAAATAATAAATAAATTTAAAAGTAAATAAAATAGATAAAAATAAAATATAAAAAATAAAATTTAAATAAAATATTTAAATAGGACCCTTACCTTACCTAAGATCACTATTGAAATTAACTCAAAATGGGTGAAATAGCTAAATGTAAGAGCTAAAACCATAAAACTCTTGTAGTAGGGAAAAGCTTCATGACACTGGATTGGGTCATGATTTTTTGGTTGTAACACTCACAGCATGGGCAACAAAAGAAAAATAGACAAATTGAATTTCACCAAAATTAGAAACTTTTGTACATTGAAGGACACTATCAGCAGATTTGTAAATATCTTCTCCCATTCTGTGGGTCAAATGGAAGAAAATACTTTCAAATCACGTATCTCATAAAGGATTAATATCCAGAATATATAAATAACTCCTAAGATTCAACGACAAAAAGTACCAAACAACCCAATTAAAAAATGGGGCTGGGTATGGTGCTCATGCCTGTAACTCAAGTGCTTTGGGAGGCTGAGGTGGCAGGATCACTTCAGATCAGGAGTTTGAGGCTGGAGTGAACTATGATCATGCCACTGCACTCCAGCCTGGGTGATAGAGTGAGACCCTGTCTCTCAAAGCAAAAACAAAAACAAAAACAAAAACACCCAAAAATGAGCAAAGGACTTAAATAGATATTTCTCTAAAGAAGATCTACAAATGGTTAATAAGCACAATGAAATGATGCTCAATGTCATTAATCATTAGGGAAATGCAAATCAAAACCACAATGAGACATCACTTCATACCCATTGGGATGTCTATTGTCAAAAAAAAAAACAAAACAGAAAACAACAAAGATTGGCAAGGTGGAGAAATTGGAACCCTTGTGCATTGCTGGTGCAAAGGCAAAATGGTGCAGCCGCCATGGAAAATGGTATGGTGGTTTGTCAAAAAATTAAATATAGAATCACCATAGGATTCAACAACTCTACTCCTGGGCATATACGCAAAAATATTGAAGGCAGGGACTCAAACAGATATTTATAACCTCATGTTCATAGCAGCATTATTCACAATAACCAAAAGATGGAAACAACATGAGCATCCATTGATAGATCAATGGGTAAGCAAAATGTGATCTACATGTATCGAATGTTCTTCAGTCCTAATAAGGAATAGAATTCTGACACATGATACAACATGGATGAATCTTGAGGACATTATGCTGAGTGAAATAAGCCAGACACAAAGGGACAAATTTTGCATGATTCCACTTATTTTTTTAAATACATTTCTTCACTGCAAGGTAATTTTTTTTTTTTCTAGTGAGTTTGGCTGTAGTGATAGTCTCAAAAGTTTCAAAAGTATGAGCAATAGAAGGATGCTTTCCCAGCCTGGGCAACATAGTGAGACCTCATCTCTACAGAAAAGAAAAAAAAAATTAGCAGGGCATGGTGGCATATGCCTGTAGTCCCAGCTACTTAGGAGGCTGAGGTGGGAGGATTACTTGAGCCCGGGAGGTCGAGGGGGCAGCGAGCCATGATTGCACCACTGCATTCCAGCCTGGGCAACAGAATGAGACCCTGATCAGTTAAAGGCTGCCCATTTAAAGGGTGCCGTCCAGACTTGAATCCAGAAGTTTCTTGGGATGGTTTTTTTTTTTTTTTTAATCATAATTTCCTTCCTCAGAGTTGCTTCTGAATCTTGGGTATCCTCTCTGCTGGTGATGTCCATGAGCATTTGATTGCTGTCTTGAAGGTGAATCCTTTTTACTATGGTTCTTTTATTCTTTTTCAGCGTTTATCTCTTCTAACTTTTTATAGATTATAATGTCATCTAGAGACATATCTAGGAAATTAAACTTTGTCCAGCTGGGATGATTTGTCAGCACTTTTTCAGAAAGTGTTAGGTTATGAAGTGAAGCCATCTCCTCTGTGTCACAGCACCACACTCTGCATGATTTCACATGTATGAGGTACCTAGAATAGGTAAATTCATACAGACAGGAAGCACAACAGTGGTTACCAGGGACTTGGGGAAGCAGCAAATAGGGGAATTATTGCTTAATGGGAACAGATTTTCAGTAGAGGATGAAGCAGACCAGCCACTTGCTGAGGATGATGAGGTGAAAAATTAGAAAGACCCCATGTCTCTGGCTATGTTAGGGAGTCCCTACATCAATCCTGGAGCTGCCCTACTCCTGTGATCTAAATTTTCTTTGCTCCCCCAACTCCAACCCCAGACAGCTACCGATCTGGTTTTCATCATTATAGTTTTGTCTTCTAGCGAATGTCAAGTGAAAATAATCATACAGTAAATAATCTTTTGAGACTGCTTCTTTCACTTAGCATAATGCCTGAGATTCATCCAAGTTGTTGTATCAATAGTCTGTTCCATTTTATTGCTGAATAGTATTCCGTTGTACGTATATTAGTCTGTTCTCACACTGCTATAAATAACTGTGAGACTGGGTAATTTATGAAGGAAAGAGGTTTAATTGACTTACAGTTCCACAGGCTACACAGGAAGCATAGCGGGGGAGTCCTCAGGAAACTTACAATCATGGAGGAAGGGCAAAGGGGAAGCAGGCACATCTTCACATGGTGGAACAGGGGAGAGAGAGAGTGAAGGGGGAGGTGCTACACACTTTTAAACTGCCAGATCTCATGAGAACTCACTCACTATCACGAGAACAGCAAGGGGGAAATTCACACCCATGATCCAATCACCTCCTACCATGTTCCTCCCCCAACACTGGGAATTACAATTTGACGTGAGATTTGGGTGGGGACACAGAGCCAAACTATATCAGTATGGATATACCAATTTATTTTTTTTCTTCTTTGAGATAGAGTCTCACTCTGTCACCCAGGCTGGAGTGCAGTGGTGTGATCATGACTCACTGCAACCTCAAAACTCCTGGGCTCAAGCAATCCTCCTGCTCAGCCTCCAGAGCAGCTGGAACTACAGGCATGCACCACCACGCTCGATGATTTTTTTATTTTAATTTTTTTGTAGAGACCAGGTCTCTACAAAAACTTCTGGCCTCAGGTGATCCTCCTGCCTTGGCCTCCCAAAGCACTAGGCAGGCTGGTCTCAGACTCCTGGCCTCAAGTGATCCTCTTGCACTGGCCTCCCAAAGTGCTAGGATTACAGGCGTGAGCCATTGTGCCTGGCCCAATTAAAAAAAAAGGACTCACTTATCCCTTGAAGGATATTTGAGTGGTTTTCAGTTTTTGGCAAATATGAATAGAATTGCTATAAACCTTCACGTCCCAGTTTTTGTATGACGTAACATTTTCCTTTTCTAAGGTTAATACCCAGCAGTGGGATTACTGGGTTATATGGCGAGTGTATGTTAAATATTGTAAGAACTGCCCAGAGGGGCTATACCATTTCACATTTCTACTAGTGAAGTTTTAGTTGCGTCACATTCTCACCATCACTTGGTAGAACAAATATTTTTTAAACACTTGGCATGGTGCAAGGTGTTGAGGAAAGGCAGAGAAGACACAGTCCCTGCTCTAGAGGAGTTTGTGGTCAAGTTTATCAAAAGTCTGTAGAGTAACTGCATCAAGGTCACACAGCGCACTCCTCCTGTTCACTACCAAGTTGTTCTGATGAAGTGAATGTAGCTCTGTGTGGGGACACAGAAGGAAAAAAGTATATAAAAAAGTAATATATGGCTGGGTGCGGTGGCTCATGCCTATAATCCCAGCACTCTGGGAGGCTGAGGCGGGCGGATCACGAGGTCAGGAGATCGAGACCATCCTGGCTCACACAGTGAAACCCCATCTCTACTAAAGATACAAAAAATTAGCCAGGCGTAGTGGTGGGCACCTGTAATGCTAGCTACTTGGGAGGCTGAGGCAGGAGAATGGTGTGAACCCAGGAGGTGGAGCTTGCAGTGAGTGGAGATTGCACCTCCAGCCTGGGCAACAGAGCAAGACTTCGTCTCCATGCCCAGCTAATACAAAAAATTAGCCGGGCATGGTGGTGGGCACCTGCAATTCCAGCTACTTGGGAGGCTGAGGCAGGAGAATCACTTGAACCCAGGAGGTGGAGGTTGCAGTGAGCCAAGATCGTGCCATTGCAGTCCAGCCTGGGTGACAGAGGCAGACTGTGTCTCAAAACAACAACAACAACAACAAACCCAAACAGAACCTAATTCAAGATCAGAAAATATGAATAAATGCAAGGATAAATCCCTACTTCCCTACCGGGGCAGACTTCTTATAGTTAAATAGTTAATTTGATAGATAACATTTATCATTAAGCTTATGTAATGTATTCAGTATGATATTCAAAACAGAATAAAACATACCATAGTTTAACATGCACCTTGTCTGAACTGAGAAATTCTCTGATGCTTCTCAGAAGCATTGGTCAAACTCACTGTTTCTACAGGTGTTTAAGATTTCTGCTCTCTTAGGTTGAGTATTCTCTCCTTCTTCCCAGATGTTTTCTTTCAGGATGTGGACCTTTATAAATGCTGACTTTTTATTTTTATTTTTTGAGAAAGAGTCTTGCTCCGTTGCCCAGGCTGGAGTGCAGTAACATGATCATAGCTCACAGCAGCCTCAACCACCCAGGCTCAAGTGATCCTCCCACCTCATCTCCTCTGAATAGCTGGGTCTACAGGCTTGTGCCACCATGCCTGGCTAATTAAATTTTTTTTTTTTTTTTTAGAGACAGCATCTTGCTGTGTTAACCAGGCTGGTCTCGAATTCATGGGCTCAAGCAATTCTCCCATCTTGGCCTCCTGAAGTGCTGGGATTACAGGCATGTGCTATTGCACTTGGCCTGACTTTTAATTTTTACTTTTATTTTTTAGAGGTGAGGGTCTCACTGTGTTGCTCAGGCTGAACTTGAACTTCTAAACTCAAGTGATCCTCCTGCCCTCAGCCTGCTCGGTAGCTGGGACTACAGTTGTGTGCCACCATGCCTGGCCTAATTTATTTATTTTTTATTTTAAGTTTTAATTTTTAATTTTTTAAAAAAATTTTTAGTTTAATTTTATTTTTTTGAGACAGAGTCTTGCTCTTTTCGCCCAGGCTGGAGTGCAGTGGTGCAATCTTGGCTCATTGCAACCTCTATCTCCCAGGTTCAAGCGATTCTCCTGTCTCAGCCTTCCAAGCAGCTGGGATTACAGGCGCCGGCCACCATGCCCGGCTAATTCTTGTATTTTTAGTAGAGATGGGGTTTCACCATGTTAGCCAGGCTGGTCTTGAACTCCTGACCTCAGGTCATCTGCCTGCCTCAGGCTTCCAAGGTACTGGGATTACAGGCATGAGCCACTGCACCCAGTGAAACCAAGTCTCTACTGAAAAAAAAAAAATACAAAATTTAGCTGGGCATGGTGGCAGGTGCCTGTAATCCCAACTACTCAGGTGGCTGAGGCAGGAGAATCACTTGAACCCAAGAGGCAGAGGTTGCAGTGAGCCAAGATCGGGCCACACTGCGCTCCAGCTTGGGAGACAGAGTAAGACTGTCAAAAAACAAAAAGAATAAGCTTAGGGAGTGGAAAGTTGTGACATTCAAGATTTGGCCTGGGGAAAGATTGAAAGGGGTGAGATGAAGAATTGCTGATTTTCATTATTATTTTTTAGTTTAAAAAAACTTATTTAAAAATAAATCACATCTTGATAAAAAACATGCCTTTCTTTCCTTTCTTCCCTTTCTTCCCTTTCCTTCCTTCCCTCCCTTCCCTCCCTTCCGTCCTCTTCCCCTTCCCCTTCCCTTTCCCTTTCCCTTTCCCTTTCGCCTTCCTTCCTTCCTTCCTCTCTCTCTCTCTTTCTTTTTTTGCTCAAAAGTGTATTTGGACCTGGGAATAAACTTTTCTTTCGCTGTTTCTACTGTGCTATCTGTACGCCTAGGGGAATGTGTGCAGAATGTCCCCATTGCCGCTGTGTGTGGGGAGAATGCGGAAAGGAAGCGCAGGTTGAAATTTGCAAATGTTCAATCCCCCTACCTCATGGGGATAAAGCCTTGGCACCTCCCTCTTACAGTTACTGAAATTTTTAAAGAAATAATGCTTGTGAAATGACTGGCATGATTCCTGGTGTGTCATAACGAGCCAATACACATAATTAGTTAATGATAATATGGGCCAGGCATGGTGGCTCAAGAGGATCACTTGAGGCCAGGAGTATGAGACCACCCTGGCCAACATGGCAAAACCCCATCTCTACTAAAAATACAAAAATTAGCGAGGCGTGATGGCGTGCACCTGTAATCCCAGCTACTTCAGAGGCTGAGGCAGGAGAATTGCTTGAACCTGGGAGGCAGAGGTTGCAGTGAGCTGAGATTGTACCACTGCACTCCAGTCTAGGCGACAGCATGCAACCGTACCCTGACTCAAAAAAAAAAAAAAAAAAAAAGAATGCTCAATCACCCAGGGGAATTTGCCTACAGAGGGGCTAGGTCATGCTTGGTCCTGCGGGTTGACAAGATGTCCGCAAAGGTCTAGATATCTTGAATGGATGTCTACCATGATTTTAATCTCACTCAGTAGACACTTCCCACTCCCGGAACAGGAGCAGTGGCAACAGGTTCTAAGTGGAGACTCATCAGAGTGTAGCAATCAGCTTTCTTATCAGCTTCCCTGATCATGCATTCCTTCAGGTGGGCATGGCTGCAAAAGCAAAGGTCAAAGGCTTCTGAGACCCTCATAAGATCAGAAACACTATTTACCCAAAACCCTGCCACCCAAAGGAGACTGCCTGATTTCCCAAGGCAGGGGTGTGCTTGGGGCTCATTGTGGCTTTTTTCTTTCTGTTCTTCTCACCCCCAAACATTGCTTGTTGACATTTCATAGCTCACTCTGCCTGAGACTTGGTTTACAGCTTCCTTAGATAAAGGTGTTTGGACAAGCTAGCTCTTTTTCCAGTCCTAGCTTGAAAAACAGTCAATTCTTTTAGCCACTGGGTATATTGAAATGCTTCCAGTACTTTGTAAATACAAACTACCTATAGGATTATTAGTGTAGTGGCTCCTTCCTCAATTTACCCAAGTGAGTTGTGCACCTCTCGGCCAGTACAGCAGGATGTTTCTTTTTTTTAAAAAAACTTTTATTTTAGGCTCAGGGTACATGTGCAGGTTTGTTTTACAGGTAATTGTGTGTCATGGGGGTTTGGTGTACGGATTATTTTGTCATCCAGGTAATAAGCATAGTACCTGATAGGTAGTTTTTCAGTCCTCACCCACCACCCTCATCAGGCCCCGGTGTCTGTTATTCCCTTCTTTGTGTCCGTGTATTTTCAACGTTTAGCTCCCGTTATACGTGAGAACATGCAGTATTTGGTTTTCTGTTCCTGCATTAGTTCACTTAGGATAAAGGCCTCCAGCTCCATCCATGTTGCTGCAAAGCACGTGATCTCATTCTTTTTATGGCTGCATAGTATTCCATGGTGTGTATGTACCACATTTTCTTTACAGAACATTTCTTTTCTTTTCTTTTCTTTTTTTTCCTTTTGAGACAGGGTCTTGCTCTGTCACCCAGGCTGGAGCACAGTGGTGGCGTGATCTTGGCTCACTCCAACTTCTGCCTCCCAGGCTCAAGTGATTCTCCCATCTTAGCTTCCCAAGTAGCTGGGACCACAGGTGTGTGCCACCACACCCAGCTAATTTTTATATTTTGTGTACACATGGGGTTTCACTATGTTGCCCAGGCTGGCCTTGAACTCCTGGGCTCAAGAGATCCACACACCTCAGCCTCCCAAAGTGCTAGGATTACAGGCGTGAGCCTCTGCTCCTGGCCTACAGAACGTTTCTTAGATGAGCTGTGGGTCCATTCAATGACCAAGATGTACTAAGACAGAAATGGAATCCCAGGTCTATAAAGAACTTGATGACTTTACAAAGTGTCACCAGGTTAATGTCTTTTAATTCCTCTTTAATGCTGATAGCATTGTCACCACCCTGCTGACCACGCTGAACTCAAATGCCCGGGTGGTGGCCTGGTTTCCGTATAGGCATAGGAACCTCCTTACCTAGGCTCCACATCTGGCTCTCCAGATGTGGAGAAAAATCTTGCATGTCTTTCTCCCTTTTTCAGCCTGTAGCAAATGACTTATTGAGAACATGACAATGAAGCACAAACAGAATGTTCTGGAAGAGTATACACTAAGAACATTTTTCTGGCACGAAGGCAGAAATGTCAGCCATGGTTGTGTTACTGCTGAGTTGACTTCATTGCAAAACATACCATCCCTCTAGGGGAATGCTTGAAGTAGGAGAGATGTTTCCAAAAGCTACAGGAAGCAGAACAGCCACAGATGCGCCGCCTGGAACGGGAATGCAACCCAGGGGGCCGAACAAGCTCATCCCGCAGGCGGCCCCCTGGTGGCCTGGCTCAGGCTGGCTCTTGGTCCTTTTGATTGATTTTTATTTTTATTTATTTATTTATTTATTTATTTATTTATTTATTTATTTTGCTGGCATCGGGGTTTTCTAGCTTCTGGACTCTGTGAAGGAGCTCATTCCATGTTCGAGAGATATAACACAAACCTGAAATCAGGACATAAGCCTGAATGTAAGCCAAGAAATAAACACGTGAAAGGGTAGTGAAACATATTTCAATCTGGGAAGAACTCCTCTTTTCACAAATCTGTGAAGCTGATAAAAATAAAGCCACAGAAGAAACAGGAAATATGATCGTGAAAGCCCCAAAAATGGGGCTCAGTAGAAAATTCTCAACATGCCAAAAGTTGTAGACAGTTTGATACTGGTTTTGTGTGTGTGTGTGTGTGTGTGTGTGTGTGTGTGTGTGTATGTGTGCGTGTTTTGCCCTGTTCTGTTCTGAAAATGAGTGTTCCTCCTCCTTTTCTTCCCAGGAGATAAAATTCTATTGTAACTATTTTCTTCTAAACTTACAATTTTACTTACTTATCCTAACCCAGAAAAAAACTAAAAGATGGTATATTATTTTATATTCTGAACTTGTAACATCATTTGTTAGAAATGTAAAAACATTAAAAACCAAATCCCAGAATAACTTGTAACGATATTAAATATTGCTTTTATATTTCACACATCTAATATCATGGCTTTTTTTTGTGTGTGACAATGTGTAGCTCTGTCGCCCAGGCTGGAGTGCAGTAGCGCGATTTTGGGTTTAAGCAATTCTCCTGCCCCAGCCTCCCAAGTAGCTGGGATTACAGGCGAGTGCCACCACACCCAGCTAATTTTTGTGTTTTTAGTAGAGATGGGGTTTCACCATGTTGGCCAGGCTGGTCTCGAACTCTTGACCTCAGGTGATCCTCCTGCCTTGGTACCCAAAGTGCTGGGATTACAGGCGTGAGCCACTGCTCCCGGTCACATCATGGCTTTTTAAAAAAATGAACCAAGCGATTGATTTTCCTTAGACTATACTTACATGCAACGAATCTCTACGATCCTAAACTAACAAAGGGATTTTCAGTGTGTAAAATGCACTGAAAAGCTAGAAATACAGGGAGAATCCAATTTGTGAATATATTAGGTTCCAAGAGTTTTGTCGGTAACTTAGCTGGTTTGAACTAAGAAAACGTTCCTGCTAGAAAGAGATATACCAGCTATGTACAGGTTGTTAGGCTAGTTTACAAAATTCTGTTTTGCTTCTATTTTATTGTACCAACAGGAATACAGATATTGACTACCGTTTACTGCATTTTTTTTTTTTTTGAGGCAGAGTCTCGCTCTGTCACCCAGGCTGGAGTGCAGTGGCGCAATCTCGGCTCACTGCAAGCTCTGCCTCCCGGGTTCATGCCATTCTCCTGCCTCAGCCTCCAGAGTAGCTGGGACTACAGGTGACCGCCACGATGCCCGGCTAATTTTTTGTATTTTTAGTAGAGATGGGGTTTCACCATGTTAGCTAGGATGGTCTTGATCTCCTGACCTTGTAATCCGCCCACCTCAACCTCCAAAGTGCTGGGATTACAGGCGTGAGCCACCGCGCCCTGCCACTTACTGCATTTTTTAACAATAAAATCTGTTCTGAGTTTGGACGAGGCTGGCTAAGATCACATTTGCACTGGCAGTCCCAAGGGAGAAGGGTCAAGGCCCCGAATGTTCTGGCACTTGGGAGAGGGATTCAGAGGCTGGAATAGAGTACAAAGAAGAGACCTCCCAGAGCTTTTAGGGGAGCAGCACTCTAAAAATTCTGGGTTTGGGGGTCTTGCAGATAAGTCCTTTCAGTGAGCCTGACAGGACTGGAAAAGACTAAGGCAGGAGTGAGAAAATGGGATGTGGGGGTGCAGAGTGGGACAGCATTTCAGGGTATCTGTTTCCCTTGGTATCTAGTCAGCAGCAGCTGACTAGATCCCTGAAAAAATAATTGGATCTCTTCAAACGACTATTTCTTGGCATTTTTATGTTTAATGAAGAGTAAACTATTCAGCATCTGAACATCAGGCCAAAGCTCATTTTCACGTGTTTGTTTAAAAAAAAAAGTAAAATGCACTATGTTTGCCACCTCACCAGGACGAGTTGGAACAGACTTGGGACTATTATTCAGGGGCTTTGGGCAGTAGAGATAACCAACCCAGGCAATTCAAGATAGAAGACTTGGCTTATCAGAATTATTAAAGCTGTGTAGCTTTATCATCTATGAAACAAAAGATGTATTTATCTTGAAAACCATTTCTAGTGCAGTTTTAATTTATCACAGAAACAAGAGTTTCAGGCCTGGCATTCTTATAAAATGGTACTCAGTCTACAAAGGGTTTGAAAGGGAATTTTGAGTCAAACACGCTGTAGCCCTGAGTTTCCTATGTTGTCAAGGTAACCAAAGCGTCTGTTTTCTTGGTAACTTGAACCTTCCAAATCAACATCAGACACACCTTGAAAAGTAACTAGTCAGACACCTGCCACTGAGTTATACAGGCTTTTGGGGGGGATCTTAAAAGAAAAGAAAGAACCATTTCTTCTTTTCCTCCTCCTCTCCCCTCAACCTTCTCTTTTTTTTTTTTTTTTTTTTTTTTTAATTTTTTTGAGATGGAGTTTCGCTTTTATTGCCCAGGCCGGAGTGTAATGGCGCGAGGGCTCACTGCAACCTCCGCCTCCCAGGTTCAAGTGATTCTCCTGCCTCAGCATCCCCAGTAGCTGGGATTACAGGCATGCACCATCAAGCCCAGCTAATTTTGGTATTTTTTTTTTTTTTCAGTAGAGATGGGGTTTCACCATGCTGGTCAGGCTGGTCTTGAACTCCTGACCTCAGGTGATCAGCCTGCCTCAGCCTCCCAAAGTGCTGGGATTACAGGCGTGAGCCACCGGGCCCGGCCCAACTTTCTTAACTTTAAAGGAAAAACATCATACTCACTTTTATGAAATGCAAAGCTAGATTATGCCTCTGAGCTCTTAGGAAAAAGTACAAACTATTTTAGACATTCACCTGGACATTGTTACATGATAATTGTCAATCTATAAAATTACCCTTTCCCCTGAAATGACTCACTTTACGGAAAATGTGTGTATACTTCCTTGACTTTCTCCCAACTGTTGTTGAGGGTGACATAACACAAGGCCAGGACACCTGATACCACACCTGAAAGTTGAGACTCTATTTTTGCTTTGCACCCCAGGTAAAATCAGACCAGAACAAGGAAGAAAGCATTCATTAGGTGAACATATTTATTAAGAGCTCTCCGTGTTCCAGGAATTCTGGTAGCTGCTGCATGGGCTGTAGGGATGAAGACACTTAGTCTGTTTGCTCAAAGGTTTATAGATCACTGAGGGGTCTAAGGCAAGAAAACTAACAATAAATTAAGGTAGAATAGAACATCAGGGAGATATGGCTGGATGTGGTGCCTCATGCTCGTAATCCCAGCACTTTGGGAGATTGAGGCGGGTGGATCACCTGAGGTCAGGAGTTCGAGACCAGCCCAGCCAACATGGTGAAACCCAGTCTCTATTAAAAATACAAAAATTAGCCAGGCTTGGTGGCATACACCTGTAGTCTCAGCTACTCAGGAGGCTGAGGCAGGAGAATTTCTTGAACCCGGGAGGTGGAGGTTGCAGTGAGCTGACATGGTGCTACTGCCCTCCAGCCTGGGTGACAGAGCAAGACCCTGTCTCACAAAAAAGAACATCAGGGAGATAGAAAGATATGAGGGAGATGCTGTATGGTCTCCAAGGAAGACCAGATGTCAATTAGATGTTAACAGAAAAAAAGGCTTCATGAAAGATGTCATATTAGGCAGGGCGCAGTGGCTCATGCCTGTAATCCCAGCACTTTGGGAGGCTGAAGTGGGTGGATAACCTGAGGTCAGGAGTTTGAGACCAGCCTGGCCAACACGGTGAAACCTCGTCTCTACTAAAAATACAAACATTAGCCAGGTGTGGTGGCTTGCGCCTGTAATCTTAGCTACTCGGGAGGCTGAGGCAGGAGAATTGCTTGAACCCGGGAAGGGGAGGTTGCAGTGAGTTGAGATTGCGCTACTGCACTCCAGCCTGGGCAACAGAGTGACACTCTATCTCAAACAAAACAAAACAAACCAAAACAAAAGCAAACAAACAAAAAAAGAAAGATGTCATATTTGAAACAGGCTTTGACAGGATTTTGACAATGGATTTTTTATGGAGGAGGTTATTTAAGATGCAGAGTAGAGAGGGATCTACAAAACACGAAAGTTCAAGGAGTGTAAGTGATCAAGATCAAGCATTTGGGCTTAGGTGTCAGGCTGCCTGGGTTTAAATCCCAACTCTACTGAATTCGAGTCTGTGACTTTGGGTCAGTTACTAACCGATGCCTTGGTCCTCTCTCTATAAAGGGGGAATAATAATAGTACCTATCTTACTAGGTAGTTATGAGAACTAATTTATTTAAGATGTGAAACTCTTGGAACTGTTCCTGACTTACAGTAAAGGCTTTAGAAATGTTAGTGATTGTTGTAGTTGTTAGTGGAGTTTAGTAGGTGGTGCAGTGTTTATGAGTCTAGAAAGAGTTTGGGGTTCATTTTGGGGCCTAAATTACGTCAGATTTAAATTTATATTTAATTTGATAGGCCATGGGGAAATCTTCAAAGATTTTATTTTTTCAAAGTAGGTGAGTGGCCTGGCACAGTGGCTCACACCTGCAATCCTAGCACTTTGGGAGGCCAAGGCGGGCAGATCACCTGAGGTCAGGAGTTCGAGACCAGCCTGGCCAACATGGCAAAACCTTGTCTCTACTAAAAATACAAAAAATTAGCCAGGCGTGGTCGTGTGCACCTGTAGTCCCAGCTACTCGGAAGGCTGAGGTATGAGAATTGCTTGAACCTGGGCAATGGAGGTTGCAGTGGGCTGAGATTGCACCACTGCACTCCAGCCTGGGCAACAGAACAACACTCTGTCTCAAAAAAAAAAAAAAAAAAAATTAAAAAAAGGAATAAAATAAAGTAGGTGAGTAACAAAACCAGAATGACAAAACATGAGGAAGCAACATTGTAAAATTCAGTTGTTAAATTCTTTGTAGGCTTTTTAAAGATTTCTAGCTATAACTCCAAACTGCTAACCATGCTAAGATTTCCCTCCCATGATTGAGACTGTGAGCTATTGTGAATTGATTTGATATGAAACACCTGTAGAAAGAATTACTGAATGCTAATCTTGTACAGTGAAAAGAAAATCATTCCAGAGGGGAACGACTTCTGTTTTGTCATATAAATAAAGACTACGGGGGTTATGAATGTCAAAGCTGGTGGCCTTGAACCCTTCTCAACCACAAGGGGCCATAAGACTGTGCAACATATCATTTTTTAAAAAGTCGTTTCTTTTCCATTTTGTAATATGTTCTCAGAGATTTGACTGATGACCTATGTTTCAGGAAGCATGAATGATCGCCACATCTCAGATGAGATGGGTGTGTCATAAATCGATGCACAATGTAGTAAAACACTTTTTCTGTCTTGACACATCCCTGATCCCTAATTATAGTTGAAAATCAAATATATTTTTTAAAACAGGCAGAAATCTATAAGAATGTTATCAAGTTTTTATTTGCTATTCCCAGTTCATAGGTGCTAGTTAATCTGCTGCCCCCAATGACTTATGCCATCTCATATTCACTTTTGGGAGAACAACTGTTGAATTCTAAAAATGCTTATGGGCCTGGCGCAGTGGCTTACGCCTGTTATCCCAGCACTTTGGGAGGCTGAGGTGGCTGCATCGCTGGAGGCCAGGAGTTCGAGACCAGCCTGTCCATAATGGCGAAACCCTGTCTCTACCAACAATACAAAAATTAGCTGGGCGTGGTCTCAGGCACCTGTAGTCCCAGCTACTAGGGAGGCTGAGGCAGGAGAATCGCTTGAACCCGAGATCGCGCCACTGCAGTCCAGCCTGGGTGACAGAGCAAGATTCTGTCTTTAAATAAATAAATAAAAACACTTATGTTTTTGGATTTTTTAACATTTGGATTTTTTTTTAAGAGATAGGGTCTCACTCTGTCATCCAGGCTGGACTGCAGTGGCACAGTCGTAGCTCACTGCAGCCGCAACCTCCTGGACTCAAGTGATCCTCCCGCTTCAGCTTCCCGAGCAGCTGGGACTACAGGCGCACACCACCATGCCCAGCTAATTTTTGTACGTTTTTGTAGAAATGGCATCTCACTATGTTGCCCAGGCTGGTCTGGAACTACCAGGCTCAAGTGCTCCTCCTGTCTTGGCCTCCCAAAATGCTGGGACCACAGGCGAGTGCCACCACGCCTGGCTACTTTTTGTTTTGTGATTGCTTCCTGGCTCTTGTTCTATAATCTTCTTAGGTCCTCTCCTTTCTCTCTGTTAAAGAGGCCTTGGGTGTTGGTTATATCTCACCGTTGAGCCTTGTTTTGGCCTGTACCGGAGGAAACCAGCTGTTCCATATAACTTCCCTCCAGACAAATCAATGACCTTAAGTGTTCTGAAACTTCAGGGCAGAGTGCTGCTGAGTGACGGTGAACTGGAGGTGGCCACTGTGGGTTCAGCTGGCTTCTCTGCAGACATTAAAGCTGATTTGGTCTCTGTTTAGGAAGCCAGATTTCTGATCCCAGTCGGCTGAGGTTCTCTGGGAGATGGATAGCAGTGTGGGCTGGAGCAGAGAGAGGGGGATTAACAGCACGTCACTGCTCAATGGAAAGCAGGGTCTGTGTTAGTCAGTTTTACACTGCTCTAAAGGAACACCTGAGACTGGGTAATTTATAATGAAAAGAGGTTTAATTGACTCACAGTTCTGTAGCCTGTACAGGAAGCATGGTGTTGGCATCTGCTCTGCTTCTGGTGAGACCACAGGGAGCTTTTACCCATAGCAGGTGAAGTGGGAGAGGCAGGTGAATTACATGAAGAGAGAGGGTGCATGAGAGAGAAGGTGGTGGCGCCAGGCTCTTTAAACAACCCGCTCTCTGGTGAACTCATTACTGATAGGATAGCACCAAGCTGTTCATAAGGGATCGGCCCACATGATCCAAATTCCTCCCACCAGACCCCACCTCCAACACCGGGGATTACATTTCAACATGTGATTTGGAGGAAACTACATCAGGTCCAGCGTCTCTGAATCCAAATCCACTTTGGCATAGGAAAGTCAAATCCACTCACCCCCTTTTCAACAAGTAGCTCTTTTATAATATTTCCAGTCCAGTCCAGTCCAGTCCAGTCCTAAAAATAATACTTTCCTGGAGTGTTTAGCTTTCTTGGAGATATCTATCTATCTATCTATCTATCTATCTATCTATCTATCTCACAATCTCCTAAATTATACTACTTATAATTTAGGAAGGATGCATCTATACTAACGCACATCCAGCATATATATATATATGTAATATATATCCATATATATGCATATATATGTAATATATATCTATATATGCATATATATGTAATATATATCTATATATGTAATATATATCCATATATATGCATATATATGTAATATATATCTATATATGTAATATATATGCATATATATGCATTTATATGTAATATATATCTATATGTAATATATATCTATATATGTAATATATATCCATATATATGCATATATAAATATGTCTCTATATCTAGATATACATATATAGATATATATCTATATATGTATATATAGATAAGTCTCTCTATATAGATATATATCTATATATGTATATATAGATACATAAATATGTACATGTGTATATATATCCATATCTATATATGTATGTATATATGCATATATATCTATAGAGATATATATGATATAGATATAGTTATGTATGCATACATTTATCTATATCTCTGCTGGATGTGTGTTAGTATGGAAGAGTCCTTCCCAAATTATAAGTACTAAATGTCAGATGACCAAATATGCTCTTACAATTCTGAATAGTGTGCCAGAGTTTGGAGCAAGTCAAGAGAAGTGGTTGAGGCTGGGTGCAGTGGCTCATGCCTGTAATCCCTGCACTTTGGGAGGCCAAGGCGGGCAGATTGCTTGAGCCCAGGAGTTCGAGACCAACCTGGGCAACATGATGAAACCTCATCTCTACAATAAATACAAAATTTAGCGAGTGCCTGTAGTCCCAGCTACACAGAAGGCTGAGGTGGGAATTGCTGGAGCTTGGGAGGTGGAGGTTGCAGTGAACCAACATTGTGCCATTGTACTCCAGCCTTGGTAACAGAGTGAGACTCTGTCTCAATAAAAAAGAAATGTGGTTGAACCTAAGATAGGAAAAGGCATTGTCCTTGATTCCTGTTTTTCCTTCATGGCTCATCTTCAATTGCTCAGCAAGTATTTTTGGTTCTGTCTTCAAACTATACCCTGAGATTGACTACTTTTCACTTTTTCTAATGCTACTGTTCTAGTTTGAGTTGGAATCATCTCTCCTGAACTACTGCAACTTCTGATAGAGCTGCTGCTTTTGCTTTTGGCTTTTTGTGGTCTAGTTTTCTGTAGAAACTTAAGTGATTGTTTGAAAATGTAAGTCAGACCATGTCACTCTTTTGCTCAAAACCCTGTGAAGCAGGGGTCTCCAACCCCCAAACCCAGGCCACTGACTGGTACCTGTCTGTCTCCCCATCACTTGAATTACCACGTGAGCTCCGCCTCATCAGATCTGCAGCAGTGCTAGATTCTCATAGAAGCGCAAACCCTATTGTGAACTGCTCATGTGAAGGATCTAGGTTGCATGCTCCTTATGAAAATCTAATGCCTGATGACCTGTTACTGTCTCCCTGCATCCCCAGATAGGACTGTCTAGTTGCAGGAAAACAACCTCAGGGCTCCCACTGATTGTACATTATGGTGAGTTGTACAATTATTTCCTCATATATTACAATGTAATAATAACAGAAATAAAGTGCACAATAAATGTAATGGGTTTGAATCATCCTGAAACCACCCCCCGACCGACCCTTGGTCTGTGGCAAATTTGTGTTCCACTTAACAGGTCCCTGGTGCCAAAAAGGTTGGGGACTGCTGCTCTAAAGCTTTTCTGGACTATCTAAAGTCAAATCCAAGTTCTGTATTATGGGTTGCAGAGAATTGCATGGTCTATGGCTACTTTGCTCTCTAACCTTGTTTCCTATGCTTCTTCTTGCCTCCTCCTGCTGGCAAGAGAAAAAGAAGAGAGAGAGAGAGAAAAAAAAACAACAACCCTGTGGCAGTTGGAACATAGTTTATTCTCGAAGCGTAGGGAAGTGTGACTTAACCCTTGTCTGGCATGGCTTTGGGTCCTATTTATAATTTGATATCATATTGTCATGAAGAGCATTTTTTGGTTTTATGATCCCTATTTTAACACTAATGCTGATCAGTTGTGTATAAACCGCAAAAGGGAGGGGGCATAGCGAGGTGTGTCTGGCCTCCCATCCTGCCATGCCTGGGAATTAAGTTTTCAAGTTTTTTTTCTGAAGTGTCCTTGGCCAAGAGGGGGTCTGTTCCATGGTTGGAGGGCGTAGAATTTTATTTTTAGTTTTCATCTTGTTTCCTACCCTTCTCCCTACCTCCTCCTGCTGATGCCTTTCTATTCTTTGAACTTGGCAAATTCGTTTTGCCTCGGGGCTTTGACTGCCTTATTTGGCTTTCAGGAACGTTCTCTCCCCAGATCTTCATGCCCCTGTTCACTGTACCTTCCTCTGATGTTCTCTCCTGACTGTAATACTGTTCCCTTGCCCCACATTGTTCTGTCTCATTATCCTCTTTTCTTTTTCTTTTCTTTTCTTTTCTTGTTTTTTTTTGAGACAGAGTCTCGCTCTGTTGCCCAGGCTGGAGTGCAGTGGCGCCATCTCGGCTCATTGCAACCTCCTCCCCCGAGTTCAAGCGATTCCCCTGCCTCAGCCTTCCGAGTAGCTGGGATTACAGGCGTGTGCCACCAAGCCTGGCTAATTTTTGCATTTTTAGTAGAGATAGGGTTTCACCATGTTGGCCAGGCTGGTCTTGAACTCCTGACCTCAGGTGATCTGCCCACCTCAGCCTCCCAAAGTGCTGGGATTACAGATGTGAGCCACTGCGCCCAGCCTTTTATTTTTCTTCACAGCACATGTTTGCTTGTCTCCTCCACTGGAATGTAAGTTCCATAAAGGTGGCTCTTTTGGCTTTCTTGTTCATCACTGCATCCACCAAGCCAAGAAGTGCTCGCACATCGCGAGGACACAGCAAGAACGAATGAATGAATACATCAACTTGTGTCCTTATGCCTCTTAGCAAAGCATGATTGTGAATCAATTGACTTTCTTTTGGTCCATGGATCGTGCTTCATTTGGACGGAAGACATACAGTAAAGCAGAATTTTAATAGCTTTCAGTTTAATTAAATGATTAATAAGAAATGGACTGGCATGGGGGTTCCTTTTCGTTTCTTAAGACTCTTGGTGGCTAGGCACAGTGGCTCATGCCTGTAATCACAACACTTTGGGAGGCCGAGGACAGTGGATCACTTGATCCCAGGAGTTCAAGACCAGCCTGAGCAACATGGTGAAACCCCATCTCTACCAAAAATACAGAAATTAGCTGGGCTTGGCGGTGGGTGCCTTTAATCCCAGCTACTTGGGAGGCTGAGGCAGGAGAAACGCTTGAACCCAGGGGGCGGAGGTTGCAGTGAACCAAGATCACGCCGCTGCACTCCAGCCTGGGCGACAGAGCGAGCCCCTGTCTCAAAAAAAAAAAAAAAAAAGGTTTCCAGTTTGCAGATGATCTTAAGCTTAAAATTCAAGTAGAGTTCCTCCATTTTCTCTCAAAACAAAAGGGAATAGAAAAAGCTCTGAGAAAGTGAGATTGTTGACACATTCATCTTGAAACCATAGTAATTTACATTTTAATAAATCATGTTGAATTCTCAGAAGCATGACATGGGAAGGAAACTAACATTTTTCTTTCTTTTTTTAAGTGAGCAGTTACTTTCTCCCATGTAATGTGCTTTAACATGCATGCTCAGCTCATCCTAGGACAGGTGTTGTTAGCCCTTTAGAGATAAGGAAGTTGAGAATGAGAAAATGTACATGGTTGCCATAGGTCATAGTGAAGATCAGAAGGGAGATTCAAATCCAGCTTGACTCACTCCCAAGCCCATATTCTTTATATTTCTTTAGACCCCCTCACATGTGGAAAACTAGGGTGAGAATCTCACAGGTATATTTGAATTATTTTTATGGGCTGTCAAAATTCCAATTTAAAAATGAAATGGAATGTTTGCATCTGAAAACACCACAGCAGGAATCTCTAACCCAAGAGATGGAATTATCTGATGAACCATGAACTGGAGAAAGAAGAGTTGATTCATTTTGAAAAATAGTGCCTGCCAACTACATTAGCGGAGTGGCCACCCCATGCAGGGCACCGAGCTAGGCAACGTGGGTTACATATAAAAGGAAAAGCTTCTGCTCTGAATGATTTCTGATAATGTCAGGCTCCCACATGAGGTTTACCAGGTCAGTTCACTACACGCCAGACTCTGTGCTGGCACATGTTATCCCCATTTTACATACAAAGGTATGTGACGTGGTCAAGGTTACCAGCTGGTGTGTTACAGAGACGTGACTGAAAGCTAGGCCCATCTGCTCCTGTCGACATCTTTATTCAGTTGGATATATCCCCTCCTACCTTCTTGAGAGATACAGAATAGAAATGAAACAAGTGGGAATAAAAACTGTTGAAAATAACACCACTTACTCTCCAGTCAGATGAGAGCTGAGGGAGTTTCAGTAGAGGGTGAAATTCATGGTAGACAGTCGTAAGACATAACATGCTCTTCTTAAAACTTCTGAGATTCAGAGAAATGACTAATTCATGCTGCCTTTTTAAACATTATTCCAAATTGGTAACATTTTATTATATTATTTCCCTCCCCCACTTTTTTCTGAGACAGGGTCCCCCTCTGTTACCCAGGTTGGAGTGCAGTGGCATGATCACGGCTCATTGCAGACTCAACCACTCGGGCTCAAGTGATTCTCCCACGTCAGTTTCCCAGGTAGCTGGGACCACAGGTGCACACTTCCATGCCTGGATAATATTTATATTTTTAGTAGAGGTAGGCCTTTGCCATGTTGCCTAGGCTTGTCTGTAACTCCTGGGCTCAAGTGATCTGCCCGCCTTGGCCTCCCAAAGTGCTGGGATTACAGGTGTTAGCCATTGCACCTGGCTTTAATTATCTTATTATATGGAATTTATACTACTCAGTACAGATTAGAGTATAGGGAGGTAACAAATAGTCCCAAATTGTAACAGATTTTTTTTTTTCCCACTTACACTCTATGTCCACTATGGGTTGGTGGGAGCTCTGCTTCATGTCCTAATTTATCCTTACTGGGATGCAGGCTATGACAGAGGAAATAGAGAGCTCTGGAGAGTCCAACAGTTCACTTCCACCTCAACCCATGGGCTACTACTAACTCTTGGGTCCCATCCAAGCACAAGGGCAGTAAGAAGTGCAGGGATTTAGAAATAGTCCATGAGTAAAATGAATGACTGTAACAGGCCTGCAGTTGGGGCAAAGGTTTCATAAGGTACAATTACATTTCTTGAATCTAATATCTCCATTATGGTTATATTTTAGAAATTTTATTTATGGAAAGTAATTTAGGATAAAATTCAAGTTAAATGTATGATGACTGTTTTTAATTTTTAAAAATGACTGTTTTTATTAACCATTTAAAAGTGATTTAATAAAATTATTTTGCTTTTCCTTAGATTCTAATCTGTAAAAATGTACCTGTTCTTTACCTGTCTTTAGAGAGCAACCCATGTGGATGATAGATCTGCCAGGGAGCAAGATGGTCTAATTGTCCCTGGCCAATTCAAAAAAATCACCCATTAAAAACTTTGGATTGGCCAGGCACAGTTGCTCATGCCTGTAATCGTAGCACTTTGGAAGGCTGAGGCGAGAGGATTGTTTAAGGCCACAAGTCTGAGACCAGCCTGGGCAAAAAGTGAGACCCCATTTCTATAAAAAAGTTTAAAAATGACCTGGGTGTGGTGGTTTTTACCTGTAGTCCCAGCTACTCTGGAAGCTGAGGCGGGAGCATTGCGTGACTTCAGGAGTTTGAGGGTGTAGTGAGTCGTGATTGCCCCACTGCACTCCAGCCTGGGTGACACAGTGAGATCCTGTTTAAAAAACAAATAAGCAAACAAACAAAGAAATAGCAACAACAACAACTCGAAAAAAAAAACCCAAAAAACTTTGGATTAACTTTTTTGAACTTCAAGTAAGCCAAGTTGAAGAAAATACTCCTTCATATGGGAACACTATCATTCTCTGTTATTCTAATTCTGGTTCTCAAAATCAGACCATTTTGGAACTGCCTTTTAAGAATGTAAATGTAAATATCTATTTTAAAAATCAGTGCTTGCCACAAGATTCTGAACGTTACCATTTACATTTTTATGAGTGCTCTTTCTCAAGGTATCCTGAGATAAAAAGAAGAAGAAGAAAGAAGAAGAAAGAAGAAGAAGAAAGAAGAAGAAGAACAAGAAGAAGAAGAAGAAGAAGAAAGAAGAGAAAGAAGAAGCAGAAAGAAGAAGAAGAAGAAGAAGAAGAAGAAGAAGAAGAAGAAGAAGAAGAAGAAGAAGAAAGAAGAAGAAGAAGAAGAAGAAGAAGAAGAAGAAGAAGAAGAAGAAGAAGAAGAAGAAACTTCAAGTGCTTTTGAATTCCCTTAGTGCAATATTTCCTGGCAAAGTAAAATGCACCTTGAAAAAGTATGTAGCTTTTCTCTGACCTGGGGGAACTGGCTTACAGCCAGAGAGGGTGGAAAGTCAAACACCTTCAAGAAAAAGTGTTTCCTTTTATCGGGAAACCATTTCTGGTGATCACAGGGAGAATCAACATTTTCAACACAAAATTATTGTTCACCTCCTTTAAATTAGAAATGTGCCATATGGCATTTTTAAAGTAGAATTTAACATTACTTATTTATATATCTGGCAAGTAGGTATATAAATGGTATACACTAATGCTAAAATTCCCAAAACTTTGGGAGCTCTTGCAGTAGACAAACAAGAGCCCTAAAATATGGAATTAACTGAATGGAGGCAAGGAGGATGTCCTGAAAAGGAACCCTCTATCCTGGGCAAAGGAAGATGCAACGAGATCAACAAACTGTCCCATAAGTGGGTTTTTAAGTTCACAGATCAGAAAATTTCCAATTAATGGGGGGAAAAAAGCTTAAATCTAGCCATCACTGAACAATAACAACATTGTTACTGATTTGAGATTTCAGCTATTTTATAAGAAAATATATTAAGAATTGAATTGGTGAAATCTTACCTTATTCCAACTCCAGAGTGATATTCTGAAGTGGGGAAATGTAATATTAAAAAAAAATAGTAGTGGGGAGGTGGACAAGATGGCTGATTTGAAGCCTCCAGTGATGGTCCTTTCCATGGGAGCACCAAATTGAACACTATCCACACAAAAAAGCATAGGACCTAAAAGTCAGGTGAGAGAAACAGTACCTGTGTCTACCTTCATATCACCAAAACAGGCACTGAAGAGGGTGGGAAAGACAGTCTTGAATTGCTGATACACTTTTCTCCCATTCCCCAGTAATGGCTGTGTGACACAGACACAGAATCTGTGTGCTTGCAGGAGGGAGAGTAAAGTGATTGTGGGATTTGGTATTGGAACTCAGTGCTGCCCTGTCACAGCAGAAAGCAACATAGGCAGATCTCAGTCAGTGACCACGGAGGGAGCATTGAGCCCTAGCCAGAGGGGCATCACTCATCCCAGCATTTGGAACTTGAGTTCTGGCAAGCCTCACTACCATGGGCTAAAGTGCTCTGGGGCTCTAAATAAACTTGAAAGGCAGTCTAGGCCACCAGGACTGCAATTTTTGGGCAATTCCTGATGCTGTGCTGGGCTCAGAGCCAATGGACTTTGGGGCATGTGAACTAGTGAGATGCTAGCTGGGGTGACCAAGGGAGTGCTCATGTCACCACTCTCATAACCCCAGGCAGCACAGCTTGAAGCTCCAGAAGAGATCCTTCCTTCTGCTTGAGGAGAGGAGAGGGGAAAGAGGACTTTATCTTGCAATTGGATACCAGCTCAGCCACAGTAGGATAAAGCACCAGGCAGAGTCCTGAGGCCCCAATTTCGGCTCTAGCTCCCTGACATTTCTAGACACACTGGGGGCCAGAAGGGAACCTGCTGCCTTAAAGAGAGGGACACAGTCCTGTCAGGATAATCAACTGCTGACTAAAGAGCCCTTGGGCCCTGGATAATCAGCAGTGAGACACATGCAATACTTGTTGTGGACCTCATGTGAGACTCAGAGATGTGCCGGCTTCAGGTGTGACCCAGCACATTCCCAGCCGTGGTGGCTACAAGGAGAGATTCCTTCTGTTTGAGGAAAGGAGAGGGAAGAGTAAAAGGAAGTTTGTCTTGCAGCTTAGGTACCAGCTGACCACAGTGGGGCAGGGTACTAAGTGGGCTCCTGGAGGCCCCAATTCCAGGGCTTGGCTCTTGGCTAGCATTTCCCACCCTGCTCTGGGCAAGAGGGACATCCACCTCCCTGAAGGAAGAGTTCCAGGCCTTACAGCATTCACCACAAGCTGACTGAAGAGCGCTTGGGCCTTGAGTGAACATCGGCAGTGGCCAGGCAGTACTTGCCATGAACCTGGGGAGGTGGTGGCCATGGGGAGACTCCTCTGCTTGTGGAAAAGGGAGAGAAGAGTGGGAAGAACTTTGTCTAGTGGCTTGGGTGCCAGCTCAGCTGCAGTAGCACAGAGCACCAGGTAGATTCCTAAGGTTTTCAATTCAGGCCCTAGCTCCCAGATGGCATCTCTGGACCTGCCTGGGGTTGGGGGAACTTGCCACCCTCAAGAGAAGAACATAAAGCTGGCTGGCTTCTCCACTTGCTCATTGTAGAGCCCTAGGTCCTTGAGTGAACATAGGCGGTAGTCAGGCAGTGGTTACTGTGGACCTTGAGTGAAACCCTGTGTCGTGCTGGCTTCAGGTCTGACCTAGGGAAGTCCCAGTCATGGTGGTCACAGGGGTGCTTGTGTCACCTCTCCCCCAGCTCCATGGAGCTAAGCACAGAGAGACTCAGTTTGGGAGAAAGTTAAGGGAAGAGAAAAAGAGTCTCTGCCTTGTCATCTAGAGGATTCTTCAAGATCTTACTCAAAACCACTGTGGTACCTCTACAAGTCTGCAAGAGCCACAGTATCATAGCGAATGGGGAAAAACTGAAAGCTTTTCCTCTAAGATCTGGAACATGACAAGGATTCCCATTTTTACCACTGTTATTCAACATAGTACTAGAGTCCTAGCTAGAGCAACCAGACAAGAGAGAAAAAAAAAGGGGCAGCAAAATTGGAAAGGAAGGAGTAAAAGTATCCTCTTTGTAAATGATATGATCTTATATTTGGAAAGACCTGAGGACTCCACCAAAAAACTACTGGAGATGATAAACAAATTTAGTAAGTTGCAGGATACAAAACCAACATACAAAAATCAGTAGCATTTCTGTATGCCAACAGTGAACAATCTGAAAAAGAAATTAAGAAAGTAATCCCACTTATAACAGCTACAAATTAAATTAACTACTTAGGAATCAACTTAACCAAAGAAGTGAAAGATCTCTGCAATGAAAACTGTAAAACATTAATGAAAGAAATTGAAAAGGACACAAAACAGTGGAAAGATATTCCATATTCATGGATTGGAAGAATAAATATTGTTAAAATGTCCAAAGCAATCTGCAGAATAAATGCAATCCTTATCAAAATACCATTGACATTCATCACAGAAACAGAAAAAAAAATCTTAAAATGTATGGAATCACAAAAGACCCAGAATAGCCAAAACTATCCTGAGCAAAAAGAACAAAACTAGAGGAATCACATTATCTGACTTCAAATTACACTATGGTGCTATAGTAATCAAAACAGCATGGCACTGGCATAAAAACAGACACATAGACCAATGGAACAGAAAAGAAAACCCAGAAAATAATTCATATATCTACAGTGAACTTATTTTCAACAAAAGTGCCAAGAACATGCATTGAAGAAAACACAGTCTTTTTAATAAACAGTGCTAGGAAAACTAGATGTCCATATGTAGAAGAATGAAACTAGACCCCTATCTCTCACCATATACAAAAATCAAATCAAAATGGATTAAAAACTTAAATCTAAGCTCTCTAACTATGAAACTACTAAACGAAAACATTGGAGAAACTCTCCAGGACATTGGAGTGGCAAATTCCACATGCACTGGCAACCAAAGCAAAAATGGACAAATGGGATCTCACCAAGTTAAAAAGCTTCTGCACAGCAAAGAAACATTATCGAAGTGAAGAGACAATCTGCAAAATGGGAGAAAATATTTGCAAACTGTCCACCTGACAAGGGATTAATAACCAGAATATATAAGGAGCTCAAAACAATAGGAAAAGATATAATAATTCAATTAAAAATGAGTGAAAGATCGGAATAGACATTTCTCAAAAGAAGACATACAAAGAGCAAACAGATAAATGAAAAGGTGCTCAACATCATTGATCATCAGAGAAATGCAAATCAAAACTACAATGAGATATCATCTCACTCCAGTGATCCAAAAGACAGGCAATAACAAGTGCTGGTGAGGACATGGAGAAAAGGGAACCCTCATACACTATTGGTGGGAATGTAAATTAATACAACTACTATGGAGAACAATTGGAGGTTCCTCAAAAAACTGAAAATAGAGCTACTATTTAATCCAGCAATCGCACTGCTAGGTGTATACACAAAAGAAAGGAAATCAGTACATCAAAGAGATCTCTGCACTCCATGTTTATTGCAGCACTATTTGTAATAGCCAAGATTTGGAAGCAACCAAAGTGTCCATCAACAGATGAATGGAAAAAGAAAATGTGGTACATATATACAATGGAATACTATTCAGCCATAGAAAAGAATGTGATCCTATCATTTGTAATAACATGGATGTAACTGGAGGTCATTATGCTAAGTGAAATAAGCCAGGCACAGAAAGACAAACTTCACATATTCTCACTTATCCATGGAAGCTAAAATTTAAACAATTAAACTCATGGAGATAGAAAGTGTAAGAATGGTTACCAGAGGCTGGGAAGAGTAGCAGGGATGGGGGAAAGTGGGACTGATTAATGAGTGCAAAAATATAGTTGGATAGAATGAATAAGATCCAGTATTTGATGGCACAACAGAGTGACTAAAGTCAACAATAATTTATTGTACATTTAAAAATAACTAAAAGAGCCAGGCGCGATGGCTCATGCCTGTAATCCCAGCACTTTGGGAAGCCAAGGTGGGTGGATCACCTGAGGTTAGGAGTTCAAGGCCAGCCTGGCCAACATGCTGTAACCCTGTCTCTACTAAAAATACAAAAATTAGCCGGGCATGGTGGTGCATGCCTGTAGTCCCAGCTACTTGGGAGGTTGAGGCCAGAGAATTACTTGAACCTGGAAGGCAGAGGTTGCAGTGAGCTGAGATCGCACCATTGCATTCCAGCCTGGGCGACAAGAACAAAACTCTGTCTAACAAAAAAAAAGAAAACTAAAAGAGCATAATTGGATTGCTTGTAATGCAAAGAAAGGATAAATGCTTGAGGTGATGGATATTCCATTTACCCCATGTGATTATTACACATTGTATGCCTGTATCAAAATATTTCATGTACCCCATACATATATACACCTACTATGTACCCACAAAAATTAAAAATTAAAAAAGTAACACAAAGAAAATAGTAGTGACTTGGCAGGGTTAGAAATTTTAGAATTGGCAGCAATAAGGTATTAGTAAAAAAGTTTTTCTTTAATCATATTAACCAAAAACACCATCAGCAACAATAACACCAAAAACACAGAACAAGTAAACTGTGGATTTCACAGGAGAAAATGAGATTTGAAGAGTAAAAAAATGAAAAAAGCAAAGCAAAATACGTAATTTAAAGGAATTATTCTCTAGGATATAAAAATGGTGAGAATTAAACTGAAACCTAGTTTCAAATCATTACCCTTTTTTTTTTTTTTGGTAGAGACAGGGTCTCACTGTGTTGCCCAGGCTGGCCTCTCAACTCCTGGGCTTAAGCGATTCTCCCACCTCGGCCTCCCAAAGTGGTGGGATTACAGGTGTGAGCCACCGTGCCCAGTCCAAATCACTAAACTTTTTGAAAGCACCTCTTCATTTTGGGTATACCATAATTTCAAAATATAAACTTCAAAATGAGATAGTGGTATAAAACCTGTTGAAATGAACATGGCAGAGTTCACTGCAGCCCAATGACAGGCTCCCATTTGGTTCTCGGGGGCACCAAAGAGAACGGGCTTGCTCAGAGCCTCACTACCTCCTTCTAGGGGGTCTCATCTTTCATCACTCAACGCCATGCAGTCAGGATGGGCACCTAGGTCTCAGTGTTTATGTAAAAAGGAACAATACAAAGATGAATGAGAGAGGACAGAAGCCAGGACTTTCTTAATTTCCCTGATGTAACTTGCTAAAAAGTTTTTATTTTTAAGTGAAAAGAAATCATGCCTGTAATCCTGGCACTCTGAGAGGTCAAGGCGGGCGGATCACTTGAGGTCAGGAGTTCAAGACCAGCCTGGCCAACGTGGTGAAACCCTGTCTCTGCTAAAAATACAAACATTAGCTGGGTGTGGTGGCATGTGCTTGTAGTCCCAGCTACTCAGGAGGCTGAGGCAGGAGACTCGCTTGAGCCTGGGAGGTAGAGCTTGCAGTGAGCCGAGATCGGGCCAGTGCACTCCAGCCTGGGCAACAAAGCAAGCCTCTGTCAAAAAAAAAAGAAAGAAAGAAAGAAATCAGACATCTGTTTTTCTTGTAGAATAGGTAGGACTTGAAAGAATGCACTGAGAAGATGAAGGCTGACTTACGTGTGTCTCATTGAATGATAGTTTAGCATGCTGTGACTGCAGGGGCTTAGCTCTCATCAGAGTAGCCTCGCACATTTGTGTCAGTTATTTTTTTATTCTTTATTTTTAAATCCCCATCCCTCAGCTTTGTTAAGGTACAATTGACAAATAAAAGTTGTATATATTTACAGTGTACAACGTGATATTTTTATATATGTATACATTGTGAAATGCATGAGTCAAGCTAATTAACCTATCCATCACTTCATGTAGTTATTTTTAAATATGTTTTTTGAGGTAGAGTCTCTCCCTGTCACCCAGGCTGGAGTGCAGTGGTGTGGTTATAGCTCTCTGAAGCTTCCAACTCCTGGGCTCAAGCAATCCTCCCACCTCAGCTCCTGACTACTGGGACTCCAGGTGCATGCCACTACGCCTGGCTAATTTTTAAAATTTTTTGTAGACATGGAGTCTTGCTGTGTTACCCAGGCTGGTCTGGGACTCCTGGCTCAAGTAATCCTCCTGCCTCGGCCTCCCAAAGCGCTGGGATTACTGGCATGAGCCGCCATGCCCAACTGTATGTCTTGTTTTGAGAAGAATCTATTCAGGTCCTTTGTCCATTTTAAAATTAGGTTATTTGTTTTGTTGATATTGAATTGGTTGAGTTCCTTATATATCTTGAATATTAACTTCTTATCTGATGTATGATTTGCAGATTATTTTCTCCCATTCCATAGGTTATCTCTTCACTCTGTTGATTGTTTCCTTTGCTGTGCAGAACCTTTTTAGTTTGATGCAATCCCATTTGCCTATTTTTGCTTTTGTTGCCTCTGCTTTTGGGGTAACATCCAGAAAATCATTGTCCAGATCAATGTCATGGAGCTTTTCCCCTAAGTTTTCTTCTAGTAGCATTATAGTGTCTGATCTTACATTTAAGCCCTTAATTAATTTTGAGTTGATTTTTGTATATGGTGGGAGATAAAAGTCCAATTTCACTCTTCTGCATGTGGATATCTAGTTTCCTTAACACCATTTATTGTCAAGATTGTCCTTTCCCTATTGTATGTTCTTGGTACTTTTGTCAAAGATCAATTGATCATAATAGTGTGGATTTATCTGTGAGCTCTCTGCTCTGTTACATTGGTCTATATGTCTGTTTTTATGCCAGATGCAAGCTGTTAGAACTAATAAATGAATTCAGTAAAGTTGCAGGATACAAAATCAACATACAAAAATCACGCCGGGCATGGTGGCTCATGCCTGTAATCCCAGCACTTCGGGAGGCCAAGATGGGCGGATCACTTGAGGTCAGGAGTTCGAGACCAGCCTGGCCAACATGGTGAAATCCTGCCTCTACTAAAAATACAAAAATTAGCCAGGCATGGTGGTGGGTGCCTGTAATCCCAGCTACTTGGGAGGCTGAGGTAGGAGAATTGCTTGAACTGGGAGGTGGAGGTTGCAGTGAGCCGAGATCGTCCCATGGTACTCCAGCCTGGGCAACAAAGCAATACTCTGTCTAAACAAACAAACAAACAAAAATTAATAGCATTTGTATACACTAACAATGAACTTTCCAAAAAAAAAAAAAAACCCAAGAAAATAATCTCATTTACAATAGCACAAAAAATTGAGGAATAAATTAAACCAAGGTGAAACATCTGTACACTGGAAACTGTAAAATATTGATAAAGGTAGTTGAAGAGAACACAAATAAGTGAAAAAACATCCTATGTTCATGAATTGGCAGAATTAATATTGTCAAAATACATATACTACTCAAATCGATCTATAGATTCAATGCAATCTCTATCAAAATTCTGATAGCATTAGAAAAAAACAGTCCTAGAATTCATATGAAACCATAAAAGACCAGGAATAGTCAAAGCAGTCTTGGGCTACAGGCATCACACTACTTCATTTCAAAATGTTCCACAAAGTTATAGTAATCAAAACAGCATGCTACTGGAGTAAAAATATCAGTTGTTTTTTAAATGCCAAAATGAGCTTATTTGAGGAAAAAAATGGTAATAGAGTCTAGGAGTACAGACACATTTACATTTGCTTCAATACTCTTGAATGTCAATAGGTTGGTTTTAGCCTCCGAAATATACATTTTAGTAGCAGAAATTCTAGGCTTTAAGTCAGTCCTGACTACTTTGTAATTTATATAGCCCTCACTTATAAAAAATACATTTTTAATTTCATTTATTACTTATAATTAATACCTTTTCTCACTTTATTCCTAAACCAAATACACATCAAACACACACCCAACTCACATTTTTAGAAAGTTTTCATTTATAACAAATCAAAGGCTGATGTCTTGGCCTGACCACATGCTCCTGCAGGGGATTGGGGTATGCCATCCCAAAATATGCCACTGTGGCATGAGGATTATTTTGAGCTGAAGGCAATGAGAATCAAATAGGAAGCATTCTCTTCTCTCCTCTTTTCTGCCTAAAAGCAGGGCATAAGGTTCCGTCTGTGAAGGTTTCCCCTGTCCTGTACCAGGAAGAGGAGAGCAAATGTACCAGGAAGTTGGAGGGTCAGCAAAATGAATGTGCATAAACAGATTTTACGAAAATAACCCTTATCTCCCGTTAGCTTTCTCCATATAGTTCCTACTCACTTTGCTGCAATTTATTTTCCCTTGAAGCCCAAACCCTTTTTCCTTTGTTACAATGGCATGTGTCCCCAAGTCTGATCACTTCCTTGGGTTCTCCTTCTTTTCTGTGACCTCCCAGTGCATGTAGATATCGATAAATTGTGTATTCCATTTCTCCTGTTTAATCTGTCTTTTATCAGTTAAATGTGAAGGACCCAAGTCATGGAACTTTTGTGTTCCATGGGCAGAGGAAAAGTTTTTCCTCCTCAACACTCCTGCATTTTTTCCTCTTTTAAATAATTTATTTTACATCTATTATACCACACAGCATGTCTGATATATAACTCCTTTATAAGATAAAGCAAAGATAAAAAAATTTTATCTTATGAGAAAGAAGACACACCATCACATAGAGTCTTCAAATATCATTGCATTGTAACTTTTGTAATCTGACAGTCATGAAACTATCTGTAGAATGGTTTAAACAGGCAAATTAAAGAACACTATCAAGCAGACCTGAACTGTCCTAAATTGTTAGGTATGCATTTTGCAAACATTACTTTTATCGATGGTAACGGTGGGGCTGGGGAGTGTTGTGTCTTTTCCCACCTGCCTGGTGACGATCGCCACAGGATGTTGGGATGAGTGGCCCTTTCCAGGGCCAAGGCTCTTGCGCCTACAGATAGCAGCCCATATCTGTCCCTGTACTTGTGGCCTGGCTTGGTGATTGCCTGGGTGTCAGGATTTCTTCCGGTAGCTTTATGAAAAGTATCCATGAGGCCAAAGAATTTGTATGTGGAATATTCGTACACTAGCTCACCGACCAGGTCAGAACTCAAGACTCTCAGAGCCCCAAATGATGTCCAGCTTGTCCCTCCGCAGCAGACTGAAAGCTTGTAACAAACTTTAGCTGGCTAGTACTGTGATGGACAGGCTTGCTGTAGGTTGCACCCTTAGAGTAAGTCGCCATCTTAGCTGACTTGTTGGTTGCTGCCAGATGGAAATGCACAAATTGCAGATGAGGTTTGAATCATCTTTGTGCCAAGCCAAAATAAATGGAAAATACAGCTTTATAATAATGACTACTATTTGATGAAAATTTCATTTGTGGCAGAATTGTCACAAATACCATGAATCTTCAAGTAATACTATAGAGTAAATATTGTTAAACCCATTTGCAGGTGAGAAGACCAAGATTCCAAGCAGCGAAGTATCTTATCTAGGGTCATATAGCTAGTAACTAGCAGAGCCTGGATTTGAATCCACAGTTGTGTGGCACCCAAAGCCTACACTTTTTTTTCTCAACAGCAGATGCTATCAATGTTAAAGTTTTCAAATTATTGGAAGCCAGTCGTATTTAGAACTTGCTGGCCACCTGGCAATATTTGGGAGAGCTGTTCACCACCTTTAAATAAATAAATAGCTGCTGCTCCCCACTCCGAAACAAACCAGATAGAGTTTCCCCTGTGAGAAGCAGCTCCTTGGCAAGTCTATGCCTGTAATTTGGAGCACTGTCCCTTGTGACTTGGGCTCATGATTGTTTTGCTTTCTCTGTCTCTGGCTGTGGCTCAATTTGGAGGAAACTTCTGGATTCCTCTCCATGACCTCTTAAGTAAATTCTGTATACTTAACCTGATAACTACCCTCTCATCTGTTTTAGATTTTGGGGGGATGCCAGCTTCTCTGGGTGCTGCTGAAGAAGTCTTCCCCAACAACTGTGCGTGCAGAGGTGGACTTACCTTGAAGCTAACGACACTCACATCAGGTCCCCTCAGTGCAGAGCCCCTTCCCAGGGGTATTGTGTTCCTATGGTAGTAGTTTAGTAAAATTAGCAAAAGTATGATTTTTTTTTTTCTTCGAGACTGAGTCTTGCTCTGTCTCCCAGGCTGGAGTGCAGTGGCGCGATCTTGGCTCACTGCAACCTCCACCTTCTGGGTTCAAGCGATTCTCCTGCCTCAGCCTCCCAAGTAGCTGGGATTACAGGCACGTGCCACCACACCCGGCTAATTTTTGTATATTTAGTAGTGATGGGTTTTCGTGTTTCTTTTCTTTTTTCTTTTTCTTTTTTTTTTTTCGAGATGGAGTCTTGCTTTGTTGCCCAGCCTAGAGTGCAGTGGTGCGATCTCGGCTCACCACAACCTCCATCTCCTGGGTTCAAGCAATTCTTCTGCCTCAGCCTCCCAAGAAGCTGGGTCTACAGGTGTGTGCCACCATGCCCAGCTAATTTTTGTGTCTTTAGTAGAGACAGGGTTTCACTGTGTTGGCCAGGCTGGTATCGAACTCCTGACCTCATGATCCGCCTACCTTGCCCTCCCAAAGTGCTAGGATTACAGGCTTGAACCACTGCGCCTGGCCCAAGAGATGGGTTTTCATCATGTTGGCCAGGCTGGTCTTGAACTCCGGACCTCGTGATCTTCCCGCCTGGGCCTCCCAAAGTGCTGGGATTACAGGCATGAGATACTGCACCCGGCCAAAAAGTGTGATCTTTTAATTGCAGCTGGTTAGGACCACTGTGTCTTCCCCTTTTGACTTCTCCTTGTCTTAATTCTCCTTGAGTTGGGTGGCATTGAAGTAGCCACAGGCACTTGGATATGTGGCTAAGGGGAAGTCAGGTTGGGGGTGTATATTTAGTGAGAGTTTAGTGGGATGTGTTCTGGTGGTTCAGAGTCACTCTGTAGACAACTCGTGGCTGGCTTTCCCACGTAGGATGGGTTTCAGCAGTACCCTACTGCATACCGTGGCAACTTGACTGGAATTATGAATGACGGCCTAGAATCAGGGGCGGAACTGTGATGTGAACCTGTCTTAGGATACTGACCCTGCTGGGAAGTAGGAAGTGAAGGAGGAACAAGTAGAGCTGGAAACTAGTTTGGGAGGGCAGGTGCGGTGGCTCACGCCTATAATTCCAGCACTTTGGGAGGCTGAGACAGGAAGATCACTTGAGCCCAGGAGTTTAAGACCAGCCTGAGCAACATGGCAAGACCCTGTCTCTATAAATAACCAAATCAAAAACAAAAACTGGTCAAGCATGGTGGCACATGCCTATGGTCCCATTTACTCAAGAGGCTGAGGTGGAAGGATCAACTGAGCCTGGGAGGTTGAGGCTGCAGTGAGCTGTGATTGTGCTACTGCGTTCCAGACTGGATGACAGAGTAAGACCCTGTCTCAAAAACAAAAACAAAACAAAACAAAACAAAAAAAACTAGTCTGTGGAAAATATTATGGTAGTGGGTCAGCCAGTTAATAAACAGATTATATTTTTTTCTTTGCCTTTTGTGGCACTTGCAGTATTTGTTAGTTTTAAAAGATATGTTATTTGTTGTGAAATCTTTTCTCATTCTGAATATTTACTTTTGTGCTACATTTTGCATTCATGAGTTTGTATTGTTTTGCTTAATTTGCTCCCTGAATACAGATGCTACAGAGAATCCTCCCAAATGTGAGTTTTATGAGCACCATGAAATGCCCATAATAAGACAGCCCATTGCAAACACATATTCTTCATTTGTGCAGATCTTTTAAAAACTCTTTTTAAAAGAGATAGGCTCTTGCCCTGTCACCTAGGCTGAAGTACAGTGGCGTGATCATAGCTCACTGCAGCCTCAAACTCCTGGCCTCAAGAAATCCTCCTGCCCTACCTCCTGAGTAGCTGGGACTGCAGGTGCGTGCCACCACATGCCACTAATTTGTGCAAATCTAACCAAATTGTATGTTAGGTAAGAAGACAGAAACTAAAAGTTCATTTTAGTTATTTCGCTCTAATCTTCAAGTTTTGTGGATTTAAAACTCTGGCCAAGTGGAAGTTGACATCTCTTCATGGGGTCGGAGGGATCAGGGTGGGGTGAGGCAGGTGGCACAGGGAGGGCTTCACAGTTTATTGCTCCTCCCCGGCAGGGAAAAGGGAGCTAGATTCCAGGAGATGGGGGCAGAGAGACACAGCAGGGCCTGTCCTTTAATTTATTTCCTATTCTTTTCTAAAAGAACACAGGATATTCTCTTTAAAGACACTAATATTAGGAGTGTAGCCAAAAATACTGACAATGATTAATTCTGGGAGCTTCAATTAAAAGTGATTTCCATTTTTTCCCTTTTTACATACTATATATTTTCTGACTTTTCTGTAAATACCATGAATTAGCAGTTAAAAAAGAAGCACCTGAAAAACCCTTTCCTCACTGTACCCAACAATCTTGCATGTGTGCATGTGTGTGTAATGTGCATATGTGTGCATGTGTGTGCATGTGTATATGTGTGTGTAATGTGCATGTGTGCGTGTGTGTAATGTGTGCACATGTGTGTGCATGTGTGTATGTGTGTGTAATGTGCATGTGTGCATGTGTGTGCATGTGTGTAATGTGCGCGTGTGTGTGCATGTGTGTGCCATGTGTGTGCCATGTGTGTATGGGGTAGTTATACTGAGGAGATCCTTTTCCTTTCTTCTCTTCTTGTTTCTTTCCTTCCTCCCTCTCTTCCTTTTTCCCTTAGCACAAATGCATAAAGGCTTACTAGTGTCTTAATAAATCTTCAGAAAGTACAAAGAATGCTTTATTTGATACCACTAAAAATAAGTGCAAGATACAAATTTTTAATTTGAAAAAACATAAGATAGAAAGCACTTTTCTTTGCCTTTTGTGTGTGTGCATGATATACATATATGATATATATACATCTATATCATATACTTATACATATATATTATATACATATATATACATGAAATTCATGAGTAAATTACCAATTCATTGTTGAGAATTGAAGAAGACTAAGACAGAAGTTAAGATTTAATTATCTGTCTGTATTATCATCATTCAAGACACAAAACTGCTGAGTTTTATAATTGTGGGGAAAATCTATTGTCTGTGACAACTCCCTTTACCAGCCGATACTTACATAAAAGTCCAGGAGACACAGTTTATTGCTTTTAAGGAAGACCTTGTCCTTTCCCTCGCAAATGATGTGTGGTGTCTCGAGCTTGTTGGACTTCCTCTGGGCACAGAACATGGAAGATGAGCAGGTATATAATGTGTAGATATTCGTTGGTCCTTTTAAGAGAGGAATATTTGCAGTAAAAATAGAATAATTTATTTAAGATATAAACTCCACTTACATTATAGCTAAAGGCTGCTATAGAACCCATTTCTAAGGTTTTTCTCTATTTACTCTACTCCTCAAGCCCAGGTCGCCCCAGGCCTTCTCCTGCCCTGGTTCCCTGCCTCGGGACATTCTCATTGCTAAGTCCTGAGAGCATCTTCATGAATGCCTCATTAACACTTCCTGGCTATTCATTAGCAAAGTTAGTGTCTTCTCCTGGTTACTTAAAAATCTCTTGGTCAGCCCTGTAACTTGCACACAAGGAGGCATTCAGACAGTGTTGTTTTGAAAGTGCATTTTATAGACACTGTTCTTTAGACTGAAGCTTCCCCCGTCCTCCGCTCCTCTCCGGTTTTCCTCCGCCTGCACTCAACCAGCTCTACATCTCCATCTGTTTTGAATCTTCTCTAATGTCCTTTCTCTGGGCACAGGAACCCAGACACTCTACATTCTGATTTTTTAAAGGGAGTCAAATCAGTCTGCAACAAGACCAAATACAAGTTCAAGGAAACTGAACCATCAACTGAAATTTGCCTGTCAAGCTTATCTTTTTCTGCATTCTTTGAGTATTAGTGAGTAAACAGAAATGGCATAATAAACTATCATTTCAATCCAACTTTGGGCAACCATCAGCTTGAAGGGCTTGGGTTATTGTGAGATAAAGTGAGATGAGACATGGCTAAATTCCAACCGGTGCCTGGCACATGGTGAGCACTCCGATATTAATTCATTGCCTTCGTTTTGTCACGGTGGTCTGGTTACATTTGTAGCTGCTACCGTGTAGCTCTGCACCATGAAGAATCACTAAGAACTTAATGAGCTGTATTTTCTCCAAAGCCATAGGCTTTGTCAACACAATGCTAAACATTGTGACAATTTTTGACTGAATCGAGTTAACTGACTGAATGTTTTGAAGTATTGACACAGCAGCTAAAGGAGTGAGAACGGTAGTCAAGCCAGCTATTTCCTATGATGAAAAGTGGCAAGTATTTCAAAAATAAAACTAGTGTCGAAACACGAGAAGCCAGTGGAAGTCGCAAGTGGCCACAGGGCCTTTGGAAAGCACTCACTGAAGGACCTGGCTCAGGAGCCAGGTGTGGTAACAAAAATCTGAAGATGTCCCTGGTCATCCAACAAGCTAAGCAAAGCTGAAGAACCGGGTGATTCCACCCCTTTCACCGAAGCTTCTGTAATTTACTTCCTTAACAGAAAATGGGAAGTTTCACAAACTCTTGAGAAATGACGAGTGTTGGTTTATTCCTTCCATCTTTTCAGCCGTTGCTTGCCTTTCCTTCTTTCCTCCCATCACTCTGAGGAGGGGTAGGCGCTGTCCAGACGTTAGCGCTGGGTGTTCGAAATCTTTGCAAGGAAAGTTGGGGCCAGGATTGCACTAATTGGGAAATCTTTGTTTGTCAGTTTAATTTTCAGTGAATTTCCTGAAAGATTAAAAAGATTGTGTTGTACATTACAGATATATATACATTTACAAGTTGTTATATATGTATATTATATGTAACATAATAAATCATATATTTGTATTATCTTTCTGACATATTATACATATATTGTACACAGTATTATATGTAGTATATATAGTGTTGTCACTCAGATGTAGCGATAATACTGTATATATACTGTATCTAACATAGTATATATTATATGTATACTGTGTAATAGTTGTATAATATGTAATAATAATATATGCATAACATTTACATATGTACATATGTTTATAGATATATATATCTGAAGAGAGAGAGAGAATTGAGTGATTTAAAACCCTGAAATGTATTTACTAGCATTACATAAGAGCAAACACACTTGATAGTAACTTGGTAGGTCATTTATGAAAGATTTCTGACCTCAGCATGAGTGAGAAATTCTGTGCTTCTCCAATTACCATTGGAGAATGAATGAAGCCATGACGACAGATCCGTTTCCATCATCACAATCACTGCTGGTTTGAGGATCCTTCCCCAACAAAAGGATCTCCCTTGGCAATGGCCAACTTCATTGACACAACAAACATTTGTCACAACAAAATTTTACCTTTACAAAAGGACTCAGACGGGTTTTTGAAGTTGACGTAACTGGGTTTGGCATCTCTGTTCAAGAGGAGATGGCAGCTCATTGGCTTTCCTCATCAGGGAAGCAAGATCTTTAAAGGGGCCAGTCTTTTCTCCAGTTAACTGGAGAGAGGGTTTTTGACTGCACACATCAGCTAACTCAGGAGAAAAAAAACCTTAGGGTTTTGTTTTGTTTTTTGTTTGTTTGTTTTTCTTTTGTGATAGAGTCTCACTCTGTTGCCCAGACTGGCAAGGTCACAGCTCACTGTAGCCTCCACCTCCCAAGTTCAAGCGATCCTCCCACCTCAGCCTCCCTAGTAGCTGGGACTACAGGTGTGCACCACCACACCCAGCTAATTTTTCTTATTTTTTTGTAGAAACGCGGTCTTCCTATGTTGCCCAGGCTAGTCTCAAGCTCCTGTTCTCAAGTGATCTTCCAGCCTCAGCCTCCCAAAGTGCTGGGATTACAGGCATGAGCTGTTGCACTCGGCCAATGACTATTTTTGATTGTTTTCATGCCAGGATTTTCCTTTCCTTTCCTACATAGCATTGATAAGGATGATCAAATCGAGACTTAGTCTATCTCCTCTTTCTGCGAGTGGCCTTTATTCCTACTGAATCTGTGACATGTTGCCCATGTCAAAGAAAACGTGACTGAGGATATGGATCATGGTTTTCTGTTTTTGGGTCATAATATTTTACAGTGTTTCCAAAGAACCTAGAGGGCATGCATGAAACAATAGGTGCAACCCAGCTAAAATTAACTCCTACTGGCTAGGATAGCTGTAAATGTAAAGCTACAGGTTTTTTAAAGACTTACAGTAGCTCATACATAGCGTGTACATTTATAAGCATTATTGAGTTGGAAGATAATGACAGTCACATGTTGAGAATAGAATATGATATCTTAACGTATGTTCCTCCTCTCTGTGAGTCTCAGGAGTCCAATTATTGAAACTTAAAAATGCAGCACTTTAGTGCATGACTCCAGAACCAGTGGGAATAAGTAACAACAAAAATTTTAATCTATTTACAGGCCTTACAAGATACATAGAATGATATGGAAAAAACATACTTGACACAAACATTTAATTGTATGATTTTGCTTTGAATTTTTGTTTGTAAAAATATACATATTCCTCCTTAAAAATGGCAGCAATGTTATATTGCCTAATGTTAATTTTCTTTCTGCATATTTGTATAATGAGATAAATGTCAAATCTGTTAGAAGTATATGTATTGGACTGGAGAGTTTGGTTTTCTTAGTTAGGATGTTTTTCTTTCTTTCTTTTTTTTGAGACAGAATTTTGCTTGTCACCCAGGCTGGAGTGCAGTGGTGCAGTCTCGGCTTACTGCAACTTCCGTCTCTCAGGTTCAAGTGATTCACCTGCCTCAGCCTCACTAGTAGCTGGGATTACAGGCGCCTGCCACCACACCCAGCTAAGTTTTTTGTATTTTTGGTAGAGACAGGGTTTCACCATGTTGTCCAGGCTGGTCTCAAATTCCTGACCTCAGGTGATCTGCCTGTCTTGGCCTCCCAAAGTGCTGGGATTAGAGGTGTGAGCCACCATGCCCTGCCCATGATGTTTTTCCTACAAGGAACAGAAACCTTGCTTCAAATGATCTTAAACAATAAGGACATTTTGAGGCTCGTGGAACTGGAGGTATTGAGCAATTGGGGCTTTAGGGTCAGCTTAACCAAATGGGTCTGGTTTTGGGGAAATTCTATCAGCTGTATCCTCTTTTTGGTCTTGGTTTAATTCTAAGGTCCCTCATCCTGACAAGCGTGACACCAGTTCCTGGCTCCACAAGGATAATCGTGGAGTGCAAGGAAAGACAGTGTCAGCCTGGATAGCCTTCCCCAGCAGGGCAACAATCCCTTCTGGACCCAGGCACTGATTATCTTTCTGTTTCTCCATCTTTGACGTGTAGGCCTCTGTTCTCATGTTTGTTACCTCGTGATCTCAAGATGGCTCCTGGTCCTCCAGGAGTCACAACTGTGGTAAAAAAAAGAAAAAAAAAAAAAAGAAAAAAAAAAAAGGTCAGGTGCCTAATTGTATCAGGAGATAGGAGAAACTTCCTGGAAGACACATCCTGCAGACTTCTGCTTATGTGCTATTGGCACGTATTGGGTCCTGTGGTCACTGGGACATATACTTCCAGCTGCCTACCTGAAGTCCATTTTCCTCTCTTTCTTTTCAACAGAATCTTGACTTTTTTCAGAGGGGCAATGTATCCATGAAAAAATACACATCTCCCGAGGCTAGACTTTCCAGATTTAGCAAAAACAAACAAAAAACAGGATACCCAGCATGGGACATACATACTTATACTAAAAATTATTTGTTGTTTATCTGAAATTCAAATTTAACCGAACGTCCTGTGTTTTATCTGGCAACCCTTCCCTAGGTTTTCTTAAGGCAGTGTAGTCATGAAAGAGACCATCCTATGAGAGGGGGGCTTCCAGAAAAGTCTTTTTAAAAAGCGACTAAACTTGTCAGACACATTCCTTTTGTCATTTGCACTTTGCCCTTTCACCTTTCCCCTGCCTGGAATTTGGGCAGAATACCTGGCACCATCTTGCAACTGGGAGACAGAATTCATACTTTAAGGATTGCAGAGAAAGAAGGGAGGAGAAGCCGGATTCCTTAAACATCTCTGAGTTACCTACTCCCAGATTCCTTGCTGTATAAAAACAAACAAAGGGCACCCTTATTTGGCCGAGTCACCATAGTTCAGTTCCTATCACATGCTACCAGGAGCAGTCTTGACTTATCTAGCTACTCCTTGCTGGAAGGGTGAGGTGCAGACTGGCTGGTTGTTTACCAAACTGTTCTGTTTTCTTTTTCCCTGCCATGCTGTTGGACTACGTTTTCCCAGGCCCCTGCAGTTAAGTGGGGTTGTAGGGCTGAGTTCCAGCCCATGGAATGTGGGTGGAAGGAATGTATGTGACTTCCAGGCCTGCTCCTTGCTCGTGCTCTCCCCACCTGCAGCAAGAACAGGGGCCATAGGGAATAGTGGAGACATTGGAAGAAAGCAGCCTGGGTTCATGGTGACTTCTGGAAGTAGATCCCTCTCATTTCATGCTGACCCTCACTGTTCTGTAACATGAGCAAGAAATAAACTTCCCTTGTGTCAGCCACTGAAACTGTCCCTATAAACTTTATAAAATTAATTAGAGAAGGAGGGAGGGAGAGAAACAAAAATAAACCAAGTTTTAGCATATTCAGCATTAATCATGAGGTCAGCCTGCTGTCTGACCTCTTCCTTGTAGTTGTTCAGTACCTATTGCCTCAGAATTGCTAGAACCTGTTACAAGATTATAGTTCCCTTAACTGCCCTAAAGACAACAACTTGCACATTATGAGACATTAATTTTTCCTTTTGAGATACTCTTTCAGGTCCTGCATACTAGTGAAACTAGACGTTAGCTGGTCTGAAGGACCCCCATGAGCTGAGTCATCAAAGAATGCAATTTCTATGTCCTGATGATTTCATCCATCTTACCTTGACCAATCAATGACCCCAATTTCCTAGCCCTTTATCCTCCACAATCTTCTTAAAAACCCCAGCCTAGAACTCCTCAGGGAAATGGATTTGAGGTTTTCCTCTCATATCCTCACTTGGCACCCTGTGATCATTAAACTCTTTCTCTGCTGCAAACTCTGCTGTCTCAGTGTAGTTGGTTTGTTACTGTGCAGTGGACATATGAACCTGTTGGTCCTGTGACACCACTGAGACGCTGGATTCTTTGGGATCAACTAATTCAACAGTATCTGTCATAAGAGAGACTGCTTCGGGCCTACGTTCCAAGTTAAGAATCCTGAGATTCACCCCATTGGACCCTGTATCTTCTGTCCACTTTTTAAATGAATGGTTTCTAGAACCTAGAGACAGATGTTCCATAGGTATAGCTAGTCTGTGGGTAGAGGGCTGCTTTTCCAGTGCTAGGACCTTAGGCTGAGAGATGCAACCAGTCTGTAAGGAGGGAGCCAGGGAAAGAACTACCCTGGATTTACCCTTCCCCTGCTCCATGATCTCCTGCAGGGGCTCCCATTGGCCAAACCCAACCAGAAGCTCAAGGTCATGAGAGCCCATGATGTAGTCCAGCAGGGTCAGGCTTCTAGGGCAAAGTAGGGTGGAGAAAGGAGGGGACAACAGGCTGTGTGTGTGTGCACAGTCAATACAAAAACCAAATCTGGGTTTTGTTAGGATGTTGGAAAGGGGACAATGATGCCATCTTTATAGAGTTAATAAGAATTCTGGGCAGAAATATTGTTATAATTAAGCATTAATCAGGCTGTACTTTGACTCACTTCCTTATGACTGAAAGTCACATAGTACTAGATATAGACCATTCACATCCCCATCATTCCTATAGATAGGATGTCTGACATTAGAATTATATGGCTTTTGGCTGGGCGTGGTGGCTTACGTCTGTAATCCCAGCACTTTGGGAGGCCAAGGCAGGTGAATCACCTGAGGTCAGAAGTTTGAGACCAGCATGGCCAACATGGTGAAACCCCATCTCTACTACAAATACAAAAATTAGCCAGGCGTGGTAGTGGGTGTGTGTAATCCCAGCTACTGAGGAGGCTGAGGCAGAAGAATTAGTTGAACCTGGGAGGCAGAGGTTGCAGTAAGCCGAGCCTGCACCACTGCACTCTAGCCTGGGCTATAGAGCAAGACTCTGTCTAAAAAAAAAAAAAAAAAAAAAAAAGAAAGAAAAAGAAAATGATAATATGGCTTTTGCTTAAGATAGGATCCCCAACATTGGAATTGTAAGGCTTTTATTTAAGAATTACTTAGTTATGTTTTTTTCTGGTCCTGAATTCCAGTGAAACAGCTGATGACAACCAGCTGGAAAATCCCCACAGAGGAATGGGATTGGCGTGGGAATACAGCTTCTTCATCTCCCTGTCCCACGACTTCTTCTGGCACTCTTCTACCAGTCAACGATCTCTATACTTCAGCCCACTCCCAAACTCTCGAAAACCCTAGCCTCAAACTCCTTGGTGAGATAGATTTGAGGTTCCTCCTGTCTCCTCATTCAGTGGCCCTACTACAAAACTTTTTCTCTGCTGCAACCCAGTGTCTAGGTATGTTGACTTCCCATAAGCAATGGGCAGGCAATGAACCTATTACAGTTACAGTAAGGGAGGGTGAGGAGCAATCCACAGTTTCTACCCCCCTGGTTAGATCTCAGCCCCTGGGGGCTAAATTCATGGCTACAACTTATTTTTGAGATAAAAATATTTTGGCCATGTGACAAGCATGTAAAAGGAACGACTTCTGAATTTTCACTAGCACATGTTAAATTCCAAGTTCTGTAAGATGTTGAGTAACTTATTTATCAAAGCATTAGAGTTGCCAGGACAAAATAACTTATTTTAGTAGTATTCAATGTATACATTTGCTTTAATTCTTCTGCCAGAGCTCCTTACTTAATTCTGTCTCCTTAGGATTTAAAAGTGTTCCTGCTAACAGCGATTAGGATATTAGCAAGATGCATTGCGTTACTAATATTTTATATAATCCAATGATCATTTTATTGGCCAGGACTTTTTGGTCTCTTGTAATTGGTTTTATTCCAGAACATCCTGATGAAGCTGATGCTGAAGACAATCTTAGGTTTGTACTTTTAGTACTGAGTGAATTCCCATATTAATTGGCACCTGATGACTAATGGTTCATGCATAATCTTAACGATATTTTTGTGCCTGCTGATACTAATCATAGCAGTCCTACTGATGCATTGTGAAATTATATGCTAAATTGTTTTGGAGATTATCATATATCTTATTCTATGGAGGCTTTCCTTAGCTGCATGTTTATGAAATTTTTAGTGACAATCACACTTTCCTACCTATCCCTGTGAATGAGGTAGAATAGGTATTATTATTATTATGTAAAAATTTGGTTAGTATCTAATACTTATTATAGAGCAATCATAAATATACCTAAATATAAGGTGAAAATAAAAATCACCTTTGTTCTACTACCCAAATTTAGCTTTGATTAATAGGTTGGTGCCAAAGTAATTGTGTTTTTTTCCATAATATATTGGTATATATTCTTTCAGAATTTTGTCCAAGATGTAATAAGTTTTCTTCTTACAAAAATGGGATCTATATTGTTCTGTAATTTGTTTTTTTGCTTACATCATGAGTATTTTTTCATATTAAAAATATACTTCTGCAATGTCACTTTTAATAGCTGCAAAGTATTCCACTAAAGATACACTGTAATTTGTTTAAATATTCTCTTGATTTTGGACATTTGATTTCTTATTTTTGACATTATATACATTGCCCTAAATATCATTATGTGTTCATCACAATACACATTCATTCAGCTCTTGTCCAATTATTTTAGGACAAATTAGCTAGAAATAGAACTGCTGGACTACATGGTAAACAAAATGTTAAGGCTTTTGCTACACATTTGGGGCAGATATTGTAATCTTACTTTGTAAATAGTATCCCTTCAGGGTCATGTACCAATTTGCCTTGTTTCAGTCATGAATTAGACACCTTTATTGTTGTAATATTGGGTTGGAAGATGCAGATAACACTGATAAATTCTTGTTTTCATGCCTAGATGCAACTTGGAGTGCACAGTGAGCATTCTTAGTTGCAAACAACAGAAATGGACTCTGACTGATTGAAGCAGGAAAGTAGTTTATGAAATAGTAGCTCTTTGAATCCTTGGAGGGCAGGACCCTGGTGCAAGGCTAGGCAGCCAGGAAAAGGGATGAAAATGATGCAGCAGAAAAAAACCACGTCTGCTGCCCCAGAATGCTAAATGTCATGGTTTCATGACGGGGAGTGCAGCAGGCTCTGTCAATGCCCCACCTGCAGTTGCTTGGCACCCACCACTCCTTCCTCAGTCACCTGTGATTCTGAAAGTACCTGTGATTCTCTCCTGAGGGCTGCCTCTGACAATGCTCTGCCCACCCCAGGCAGGGCAGGCTGGGTGTCATGGAGTGATGATGCCCTCAGGACAAAAGAGAATCACAGGATGTATTCCTCTGCTAGGGCTTCCTTAACAGAATCCCACAGCCTGGAAGCCTTAAACGATAGAAATCCATTTTCTCACAGTTCTGGAGGCGGGAAGTCCAACATCAAAGTTCTGGCCCGTATAGTTTCTGGTGAGGGCTCTTTTCCTGGCTTGCAGACAGCTGCCTTCTTGCTGTATCTTTATATGGTCTGTCATCATGTGCGCATGGAAAGAGAGAGAGAGAGAGAAAGAAAGAGAGAGAGAGAAAGGTCTCTACTGTCTCTTCTTACAATGACATTAATCCTATCGGATCAGGGACTCACCCCGATGACCTCATTTAATTTTAATTTAACTACTTCCTTACTCCAAATACCGTCACACTGGGGTTAGAGCTCCAACGTATGAATTTTGAGGGGACAAATATGTTCAGTCCATAACAGAAGACAAGCAGTTTGGATTTCTCCCTCCACAGTGGGGGTAACTAATTCTGAGGCTTGTTCTAAGCCATCTCCCAGAGGACCCCAGTAGGACTGAAGTTCAGGTGCTCACAGGGGTAACCTGTTCATTGAAGACCCCTACTGACATTTTTCTGTTCCCTGACTTTTCAACCCATGTTTCCTGAGCTCACATCTCCGATAAACAGCTTGTCTTCAAAGCCTGATTTCCGGGTCTGCCTCTTGGGGAATCTGACTGGGTAGATAGGCTTATTCCAATGGACTTATTCCTGAAACAAAGCTGCTGTTGACGTCAGGGAAAGAGCACACTCCACTGACCCTGCTTCTTGTGCTCTGAGTCAGGTCTGGTAGGGGTGGGCAATAGTACCTGCCTGCACACGGGCTGCAAGGGGGCCTGGAAAAGCAAGTCTCTGGCACAGTCATCCCGAGTTCAGACCCATCAGGTGGGAAGGTCGTCAAATGCAGGAAGGAGCTTTCGATACTGTGCAGTCCAAAAGAACAATAAATGTCCTTTTCGAGGGGCCATCTGTGTATTTTTATTGGGTTACTCCATTTTCCCATTACAGAAACAGGTTGCATTCAGACCTGTTGCAAAAGCCATTGTTAACATATAAAATACTGCTGTTATTTTCTCCTTTTATTCTTCTTTATCATTCGGCCCCACTCGTCTATTCCAGTTACAGAGGGAGTAATAAAGCATTTGCTGCTGTTCCACCAAAATAGAAAATTATCTGCTGGCCACTCTTAGACTGAAACAGAAATGAAGTGAGAAATTCTACTGCCTGGGTAAACACCCACGGGATTTCAGTCCATAAGTTGGAGAACTTTTTTATAAAAGCAATTTCTCAGTCTTTTTTACACTAACTTATACAGATAATTGTGGATCCTCTAGGGAAAATACTTAGCTCAGGAGTTCTGAAATTTTGATATGGGAGCTTGTGGCCATCTGGGCTTGGGAAATGACTGTACAGAGAACGTCTTGGGAGAGAGAGAGATGATTTGGTGATAATGAGGGAACAGCTTAGTCGTGTTCTTCTATCTCATCAAGAATCCTGTTTGCAGGAGAACAAGCAGCATATTAATAAAGGCTGATTTTTAAAAAGTACCTATATAGTAATAAGTTGATTCAGGAATCTCCAAGAGAATAGAAACTTTATTTCCAAGGACTTTATTCCCCATCTTGCAGCATTAAGTTTCCTAAATGACTATGCAAATATGCTTTAAATAAATGCGTTGCCAAACTTGCTAACTCTAACATGCCGTTCCTAGTCTGTCAGGAATTTTCTGTGGTCTGAGCAGAAATTCTTAGGAAGCTGGATAAACTGCTCCAGGTTTACATTCTGATGCTACTAGTACTTAGTATAGAAAATATTTTCAATCTTTTAATATGTATTTTACAAAGTTCAAAGCAAAATTAGTCTCCATTTTTGGAGCTGGTAAGAAAAGAAAGAATAAGAAAAATTAGAAGGTGGAAGGCCGGGCGTGGTGGCTCACGCCTGTAATCCCAGCACTTTGGGAGGCCGAGACGGGCGATCACGAGGTCAGGAAATCGAGACCATCCTGGCTAACACAGTGAAACCCCGTCTCTACTATAAATACAAAAAATTAGCCGGGCATGGTGGCAGGCGCCTGTAGTCCCAGCTACTTGGGAGGCTGAGGCAGGAGAATGGCGTCAACAGCGGGGCGGAGCTTGCAGTGAGCTGAGATCACGCCACTGCACTCCAGCCTGGGCGACAGAGCAAGACTCTGTTTCAAAAAAAAAAAAAAAAAAAAGAAAAAGAAAAGAAAAATTAGAAGGTGAATCAACTCTATTCTGTCCAAGCTTCTATCAGTGGTTCTGTTATGTGTATTTCTAGAACGCAGGTGAGTCAAGAAGTGGGCACAGAGAATGTAACAGGAACTTTTAGGAGATCTTTTTTTATCTCACAAAAATAATAATCATGATAAAAGTAGCTTGCATATATAATACTTAAAAAACACAATGACTACTCATTTTTAAAATTACCTATCATCTATAAAAAGTGCTGTTCACATCTATTCACATTTAATCTAGACATTAAAAAAACCCCACCTAACTTTGTGGGGTGCATAGGGCAGATCATATTCTCTCAATATGACCTGCATAGATTTTCTTTTATTGCCAGCATTGTGGATTACCTGGTGTCATGTCATCAAGATGCAGAGACAGATGTTGTATCACGATAGGAAATCAGACTACAGTGCAAAATACCCAAAGGATGCCAAGAGAGGAAGAAAAATGTTGAAATGCGTGGAGCCACAAGCTCCTCCATAGAATATTCTTTCAAATCTACATGAAAAAAGAAATCTGATAGAGTTTATTTTCCCAAATTTGATTCCTAAAAATTGTGCGTGACATTACGAATAGCAATTTGTGAAGCTGAAAGAAACTTTTCCAAACCATCCATAATAAAAAAATAAACAAAGATCAACCATGCTAGAGGAAAGACTGAAATATTTGTAATATTTTCTATGAAAATATTACCAAAAATGATGCTATCAAAGAATATGCAGGCATATTGTATTATAGAGGTGTGTCAGTTAATTAATAGGAATACTATTTTAATTTCCAGATTTTGTGATGTTTGCAGTAATTGTCACTTTTTGAAATATGTTGTAATTTTATCTTTTTAAAAAATACATATTCAGGTTCATAGCTAGTTTTGTGTTTATAATTTTTGTATTCCTTTCCTTAAGGAAGTACTCCAAAATTGTATAAGCTTCAGGACCCACAAAACCTGTATCCATCCCTGCTTCCTACCTCTGAATATAAATGTGCTAATCATGCTTCACAATAAATTCTGATGCACCTAGGAAAGATTCTTTTTATGTTAGGCTTTTGGAATTCTGCCCCTGAAAGCATAAAGATCACACTCTGTTGTTCTGGCCACCATGTAAGAAACTACTTTTTGTTCAGTACACACTTACTAGAGAAAGCCCGACACAGGCAGGGAGATGAGACCCATTTTCATGAAGAAGTGGAAGTTGTATTCTTTTATCCTGAATTAGGCACATAGTTGAAGTAATAACCATTTCTGTCTTAGCACCCCAGCTTTGGCATTGTCCTTTTTGTTATGGCAAACAAAATTCTGCAGAAGGAGAGAATTGGATGGTTGCTGAAAAATCTTTTTTTTTTTTGGACAGAATCTGGCTCTGTCACTCAGGCTGGGTGCAGTGGTGTGATCACAGGTCACTGCAGCCTCGATCTCCTGGGCTCAAGCAATCCTCCCTCCTGAGTAGCTGGAACTACAGTTTTGTGCCACCACATCCAGATAATTTTTTATTTTTTTAGACGGGATATCTCTCTGTTGCCCAGGCTGCTCTCAAACTCCTGGGCTCGCACAATCCTCTCAAAGTGCTGGAATTACAGGTGTGAGCCACTGTGCCTGGCCTCCACTTTTTAAATCATCTCCATCACTGTAACCTTAGGTCACCAAAATTCAAAATGACATTCAGCTGGCCTACATTGGTCCAGGTATGCCAGCTGACCACAGCTCGCCTCTGCTCTGACTCCAGGATGCTCATGTTCTAACAGGTGTTAAGTATTTTGAATACCACCTTGCAAACATCTCTGGAATTGTGGCCATCTTAAAATTCCCGTGGGGTTGGGCGCGGTGGCTCACGCCTATAATCCCAGCACTTTGGGAGGCCGAGGCAGGTGGATCATCTGAGGTAAGGAGTTCGAGACCAGCCTGACCAATATGGTGAAACCCCATCTCTATTAAAAATACAAAAGTTAGCTGGGCATGGTGGTGTGCACCTGTAGTCCCAGCTACTCAGGAGGCTGAGACAGGAGAATTGCTTGAACCCAGGAGGTGGAGCTTGCAGTGAGCCGAGATCGTGTCACTGTACTCCAGCCTGGAAGACAGAGCGAGACTCCATCTCAAAAAAAAAAAAAAAAAAAAAAAGTCCCTTGGAATATGTCACTTCACACAACCAATTTGGATGAAAACAGTCAATAGATGTAGTCAGCTGTCGTCTTAGGTCAGGTTTCCTCAGATGCAGACTCTGAGACCCTGAGTCTGAGTAGCGAGTGGGGGCCGCATGCTCTTTGGTGCAGCACCTGTAGGGTAGCGAGGAATGCAGGGTTGGGCTGGGGCAGAAATGGAAACACCATTAAGTTGCAGCTGAGACCTCAGCTGATCCCATGGGGTGTTCTGGAGCTAGGATGGCCCATCCCAGAGTTGTTTGGACTGAGACAAGTAGATGATCTGTGGTTGCCTGCTTTAACCAGCCATGAGATGAGGGCTATCTCAGTGCAGTTTAGAGCCAACAGTGTACAGTCTCTCCCCAGCTCTGTGTTCAATAATGCCACATTGCAGCTTCAAATTCACATTGACTGGAGTCTTGATACCTTGACAAGCTACAAATCAGGCTTTCCATAACCTCCAGCCAGTTGTCAAAAAATTCCTGGCACACACTGGGTGTGAGAGCCTCATCTTGGGGAGGGTAGATTTCTCTGGCCAAGAGTGACTTCTGGAGAGGGACTCACCAGTGAGCCTTAGCTGCCAATGTCCCCAGCAGCTGGAGAGATGTGTGGCTTATCCTGAAGGATTATGTGGGTGGCCACCCATGCATTGCCTCCTGACAGCACAGTTCCTTCTCAGATCAGTCCAAGCAGTCACTTCTCTGAATCACCCTTGAGCTGTGTTCATGTGCCCACCTGTGACTGTGTACTATCTAGTTTTAGTCAGTTGCCTGATACATACATTTAAGGGGGCTTCCACTTGAATAGGAAGAATTCAGATATGCCACATTCAAAGATCCTAATATGCAATTGGTAAAGACTTTGGGATTTTTCAAGAGGTTTGTGATAGGACTTTCTGTTAAATCTTTCAAGAGTCCAAAGAAACATAATGATTTTTTAAAAAATTAATTATTCCAATTGGGATGCAGTGGCTCACTCTTGTAATCCCAGCACTTTGGGAGGCTGAGGTGGGAGGATGGCTTCAGTCCAAGAATTTGAGACCAGCCTTAGCAACATAGTGAGACCCCCCCCATCTCTAAAAACACAAAAATTAAAATTTGGCCAGGTGTGGTGGCTCACACCCGTCGTCCCAGCAACTCAGAAGTCTGAGGTGGGAGGATTGCTTGAGCCTAGGAGTTGGAGGCTGCAGTGAGCTGTGATTGCACTGCTGTACTCCAGCCTGCACAACACAGCAAGACCCTGTTGTGCAGGCTGGAGTGCAGTGGTGCAAATAAATAAATAAAATAAAAATAAAAATAAATAAAAAGTAGAATAGAATAAAAAATCAAAAATTAATCTCTTTTAGGCCCATCCCTGTAAGGTAATTGGGTACCAGTTTGATGGACAGAAACAATTTAGCTTAAAAGCAGGTGGTAAAATTCCCGAGAAAGAGAAAATGGTCACTTTCTGATTATTCAATAATTAGACAGTTTTGGGAGAATAATAGGGGAAGGTCTGTCATAGGGCAGGCTCTGGGCAGAAGAAGAGCTAAGTTACTCTGCATGGGGAAAGTAGCTGGCACTAGTGGCTGGTGCTGGCAGTGGGAGGGGTATGTATGGAAGACTAGGCAAGTAACCTAGCAATGGGGAGGCTCTTTATGGAGGGACAGACACAAAGGGACTTCTGGAATAAGAATGGCCAAGGGATTTCTACAGCACAGATTCTTAATATTAAACTTGGAGTTTTTAGCTGTTCTATGCTCTGAGTAGCCCACCTCTATTGCCTAAACCTACATTCCACATTTGCTAGCATCCTCCTTTTTGTGATGGTGGTGCTTTGGGAAGGAGGGTGTCAAAACTTTATTCAGCAGGATGCTGTGTGCACAGAGGCAAAACCAGGAGGCACAGAGAGGGATTTTAAAGGAAGCAGCAGCCTGAAGACCAAAGAGCCCAGAAAAATGACAGTTCCACACTTCCTGTTCTTCTTCCTAATACATCCTAAAGATATGGAAAAGGTCTTTGAATTTCCCCCAGTTAATGAAATGGGGTTTACATCAGTTTTCTCATGAGCTAAGAGGACAAGGTGACCTAGCAGGCTGAAGGATTTAGGAATATCCAGGCAGCAGACAGCTGTGAAATACAGGGAAGAAACTGGTATTCAGAGGAGGCTGGTGAAGGCTGTGATCACTGTAAGGTATGATGCTACAGACGTTACATGACCAACAGGTTTGTTTTCTTGCTGTGTAATTTACCAACACACCGAGACAGCAGGGTTTGCAGCAGAGACAGAGTTTCATGATTGCAGGGTGGCTGAGGGAAGAGATAGGAGGAGACCCTCAAATCCATCTCCTGGAGGAGTTGGGCTGGGTTTCTTAAGGGAATCATGGAGGGTGAGGGGCTGGAGGAATGGAATTATTGATTGGTCAGGGTAAGGAAGATGAAATCATCAGGACATGGAAACTGCGTTTTTTGGTGAGTTAGCTTCTCATGGGGTCTCAAAGACCAGCCGACATCAGTAGTTTCACTGGTATGTAGGACCTGGAAGAATATCTCAAAGGGAAAACTTAACATTCTGTAATGCTCAAGTTGCCATCTATGGAGCTGTAAAGGGAAACCATAATCTAGGGTCTATGTGTTTCTAGGAGAATGGTCCCCAAAGAGTTATGAGGAAGGAGGCCAGAGAGAAGGCTGACCTTGTGATCAATGCTGAGTGTGCTGTAAGCCTGACTTATTTTCATTTTTGTTTCTCCCCTTCCCCACTTCTTCCCTGATTAAATTTTATACAGCTTCTAGGGATGGTTTCACAGGGGGACAAAGCTGTAATCCTTTTTCTCTTTATCTCACTCCAGCCCCCTTCTCTATTTGAGTCACAATATACAAACATGGATCAATGTTTAATTGCTGCTTTCAAAATTTGGGAATTAATGCAACTTTATACTCCATTCTCTGAGAAGAAAAACTTCTAGACATATTGTGGAACAGCAGTTCTCAACCCTGGCTGTCCATCAAGATTACCTGTGGAGCTTTTAAATATACAAATGCCAGCTACAGCTTCAGAATTCCTGGCAGCAGGGCCCTGGGCATCTGTATGTTTAAACAACCTCATAGGGATTCTGATGCACAGCCAGGGCTCAGTGCCATGGCTAGAGAAAATCACTGGATAAAATTCACTAGAAGAGAAGTAACCATTTTTTTCACAAGTGGAAGAGCAAAATTAAATATGCCACGATTTGTCTGAGGAATCTGTGCCAATGTATCTTCATCATGCTTTTAGTTTGTAACTATGAGATCCATCACAACTGCTAACTGGGAATGTGAGAAAACGAAATAACATCCGAGAAAAAAAATTCGCACTTCATGAAAAATGCTGTCATGCATTTCCTTCGCAGCAAAGCTTGGACATGTATTAGAGGAAAGATAGCATTATACAGAAAAAGTTTAGAGCAAAATCTTGAGCTTTTAAAAGAATGCTTAATGATATTGACATAGACTGGGTCAAAGTGATACCAATGAGTGGTTAAAACTATTTTTTTGTCAAATGAATTGTTCAGAAGAGTTCTGGTACTGCATACAAGCTGAGTAGTGTCCTTGAAGCCAGTCAAGTGGAGAGATTCAGAAATAAAGAGCTGTCTCCAGTATCAATAGTGCCAAAATAAAGCTAGTGACAACTGGGCATGGTGGCTCATGCCTGTAATCCCAGCACTTTGGGAGACTGAGGCGGGCGGATCACTGGAGGTCAGGAGTTCGAGACCAGCCTGGCCAACATTGTGAAACCCCGTCCCTATTAAAAATACAAAAATTAGCCGGGTTTAGTGATGGGCGCCTGTAATCCCAGGTACTTGGGAGGCTGAGGCAGGAGAATCTCTTGAACCCGGAAGGCAGAGGTTGCAGTGATCCAAGATTGTGCCATTGTACTCCACCCTGGGCAACAAGAGCAAGACTCTGTCTCAAAATAAATAGATAAATAAATAAATAAATAAATAAATAAATAAATAAAAATAAAAATATAGGCCCGGCGTGGTGGCTCACGCCTATAATCCCAGCACTTTGGGAGGCTAAGGCAGGCAGATCACGAGGTCAGGAGTTCGAGACCAGCCTGACCAACATGGTGAAACCCTGTCTCTACTAAAAATACAAAAATTAGCCAGGCATGGTGGTGCGTGCCTGTAATCCCAGCTACTCAGGAGGCTGAGGCAGGAGAATCACTTGAACCCGGGAGTCAGAGGTTGCAGTGAGCTGAGATTGTGCCACTGCACTCCAGCCTGGGCAACAGAGTGAGACTCCATCTGAAAAATAAATAAATAAACAAATGTATAAGTAAAATAAAATAAAAGCCAGTGACACAAACAAACAAAACTCTTTGGAGGGTTTTGTGTTGGTATAATCAATTGCTTTAATTTTGGTTGTGGGAATATACAGCCCTTATGAAATGAATAAAAAATATTTACAGAGTGCTTGTAATTAATATCAAATAGCACCAATATTTCTGTTGGATTGTAGTATATTTTGGTAACTTTGAATTTACTGAGAGCTAATTTACTATCCCTAGAGTATAAAATATACATGTGATTATTTTAAACTTGACTAGTTCACATGTATATTTTAAATTACTTGCATGTATACTTTAAACTCTAAGGAGAGAGAGGGAGGGAGGTATGTGGTTACATGGTATAAAAACAGTGAAGATGAGTTTGTTTTTCAACTCTTGGAATGACAGTTATGCAACTAAATGGCTGACATCCAGTATTTAGCCAGTCATTGAAAGCACCTGTCTCATGTTTTGAGCCGGTCTGGCAGGTTCATGGATGGAATATATTCAGTGGGAATAAAAGTCCTTCCTGGTGACAGATAGTCAATTTAATTACTAGAATATACTGTACATCTGGATATGTTGTGATGTTTAGGCTGAACATCACCCTGACAACTTGAAGATTTATGTTTTTAGAAAACACCCTAAGTAGGGTTAATTTTATGGCTGTCACTCAAGTTGAGCTAGGTGTATTTCCTCCTTTATTATCATTTGCTGTTTCTTCCTTGTGGTTTAGTCTTGTTGAGTGATGTCTCTCCAAAAATTTGAAGATCTTCCTTTCATAAGGATGACTGTATCTACTGACATTTCTAGGGTGACTGCTTGGATTGATTTGACAGTCATCTAGATAGGAGAAAGGAGGGTTGACAGGGCTAGGAAATTATCTAATTTTATTAGTTAATAATTTGTGAAATTCTAAAATGTACTTAGAAGTGGGAGTCGTTTCAATGACTCCCGTGCACTTCTCTCCTGTGTCCCATTCGTGTTCAAGTTCTCTCTATCCAGTCTGGCTTTGATCACCTCTTGAATCTGTCCCCACTACAGGTGCCTTATACAAACAGTACCCATTTTTCCCTTGATCTACATCATTAGCTTCCTTTCTGATTTCCCTGAAGTGAGTCATGTCAGATTACATCTGACTACATAGCTCTGTGTATTAGTATTTTTTTGCGGCAGGGGGTGGGGGTCAGGGCGGCGGGGCGAGGGGTAGCAAATGATTGAAAACTTGAACCAAAGTAGCTTATGCAAAACTGAAAGGAATTTGTTGGCTGATGTAATTGGATTGTGCAGGACAGATCTGGGGAGAGGCTCTGTGTGGCCTCAAAGTACGGGTATAGGACTTCCCTTTCTCTATTCTTGGCTCCACTCCCAGGACAGCTGCTGGCCCATATAGTGGCTTTGTGAGACTTAGAAAAAGGTGCCCTTCCCTTAAGTAAACAACATTTAAGTGAGTACACTGTATTTCTCATAATAACAAAGATTACAAAATAATTCTTTAAAGGTGATCAGTTATTGAACTTGAGGTCATAAAAATTAGTAATTAGTTCCAAATGAACAGTTAGATAGTCAAAGTCTCTATGATTTAATGATTTGTTGTTAAACAGTTACGTGGCTTGCTTTTGGTATCAATGCTTACTTCAATAACTTTTTTTCTATTAAAAAAAGAGTTGCTAGACTTGACAGTATTTATTGTAACTTTGTAGAATCTAAATATTTTAAAATACACTTAAGGCTGGGGGCAGTGGCTCACACTTATAATCCCAGTACTTTGGGAAGCTGAGGGGGAAGTATCACTTGGGGCCAGAAGTTCGAGACCAGCCTTGGTAAAATATTGAAATCCCATCTCTATTAAAAAAAAAATTAGCCAGGCATGGTGGTGCATGCCTATAGTCTCAGCTACTCAGGAGTCTGAGGAGGGAGGATCACTTGAGCCCAGGAGTTCGAGACTGCAGTAAGCTATGATCACGGTACTGTACTCTAGCTTGGGCAACAGAGCAAGACCTTGTCTCAAAAAATAATAAATAAATTTTAAAAATACATTTTAGTTTTGGGAAGCTACATTCTTCAATGGGAGAAATATCATGATAGTATTTTATCTTTGAATTTGCAACATTTAAAAATAATATGCATGTGAAAAGATGCTGGATTTCAACAGCAGATAATTCTTGTGCTGAAGAAATCTCCACAACAACAAATAAACATGGCTACACTGTAAGTGACAGTCCATTACGGGCTTCCTTACAAGACTGTATAAAGAATCAAGGGCACAATGCAAGGAAAATATATGGTACTGTGCTTGAGTAAGCCCTCAATCAATATCAGCTATAATTATTATCAATTATTACTCAAAATGAGGTTGTGGAATTCATACCTTTTTCTCCCTTTGTCCTTCTGTTGCTCAGTGGTTGCTCTAGAATTTCTATAGAGGAGGGCTTTGGACAAGCAATCTGGTTGGAAGGAGCTCTGTAGGACTTGGCTTGAAATAGTGTTTGTACAGCTAGTGTAGCCCTTAAAACTTGGATTGTATCATCCAAGCGTGGGTGATGAAGGGATAGATAATGGTGATTTCAGTGGGGATGGGTTTTGAAGCTTCCCCAACTCATCACTCCTGCACCCCTGCTGGTTTCCGACCATTTCAGGCTTTTGGCTCTGGCTCTCAAATTTCTTTGCAGCCACCAATAATCAACTTTCTGTCCAGTTCCAGCTACTAGCTGTGTGAGCTCAGATCTCTGGCTTCCTTGAATCTCTTGGCTGCTGTAGCTTCCAGGTCTCCAGGTGCTCACCCACGTCTTCCCCCATATTTCTACCTTCTCTCTCCCATTCTTCCTCCCTGTCAGCCTTCCACTCCACCCCATCCCTGTGATTGGGTTGCTACATCCTGGGAGCATTGGGAGCTTGTTCAGTGCATTTGAACACGCTCTTCCCTCTGTCTGCAGTGCTCTGTTCCCTCCTGACTGCCCAGCAAACTTCTTATCGCTGAACATTCAACATCGAGTCAGTCCTGGAGATTTTCCACCTCTGGAATAAAGTGTGCCTTCGGAGTCAGTCTTTCTAGGGACTCTCATCACGTCATTGGTATTCAAGGTGTTTGTATATTTTTTTATGTTTCATTGTTTTTAGACTGTGAGCATCTTGAAGTCAGAAATTGTGTCCTCTTTTTTTTTTTTTTGAGGCCTGTCACCCAGGCTGGAGTGCAAGGCATGATCTTGGCTTACTGTGACCTCTGCCTCCTGGGTTCAAGCAATTCTCCTGCCTCAGCCCCCCTCGTAGCTGGGATTACAGGCACGCACCACCATGCCCAGCTAATTTTTGTATTTTTAGTAGAGATGGGGTTTCACCATATTGGCCAGGCTGGTCTCGAACTCCTGAACTCAAGTGATCCACCCGCCTTGGCCTCCCAAATTGCTGGGATTACAGGTGTGAGCCACAACGCCTGGCCAGAAATTGTACCCTCTTATTTTATTCCTGATGTTTATCACAATGACTGGCATTTAAAAAAAAATGTCTATTGGCCGGGCGCGGTGGCTCACACCTGTAATCCCAGCATTTTGGGAGGCCAAGGCAGGCAGATCATGAGGTCAGGAGATTGAGACCATCCTGGCTAACAAGGTGAAACCCCATCTCTACTAAAATTATAAAAAAATTAGCCAGGCGTGGTGGTGGGTGCCTGTAGTCCCAGCTACTCAGGAGGCTGAGGCAGGAGAATGGTGTGAACCCAGGAGGCAGAACTTGCAGTAAGCCGAGATCGTGCCACTGCACCCCAGCCTGGGTGACAGAGAGAGACTCCATCTCAAAAAAAAAAAGAAAAAAAAAGTCTATCAAATTAGGAGAGGGAATGAGTGAATGAATGAATGAAGTGTCTAGAAATTGCATTGCCTAGAAGAGTTTATCTACTAAGAAGCAGATTTTTTGAGAACCTGGGAATGATGGATTACCCATAAGATACCCTCTACTGAGTAGGTCATTAAAGAAACAAAAACCTTGGGACCCCTTTGAGAAGAGCAATCAATAACCCTTTAATACTCCTGCTAAGCCTGTAAAAGAGATATTCTAAAAACTTTGTTTTACAGATATTTGACTGTCATTCTTTCATGCCTCCCACTGTCTCTAGGTCTCCTGCATCATTTCTAGTTTTAGAAGTTGGGGAAGCTTTTGATCATCAAATGCTTTGTGGGAAAGCATGTCATATTTACAAAGGGAGGGGCTGGGAAAATGATTCTGAAATTGATGAGATTTGGTTTTTGATAAGAGTGACTCACCATATAGAATGCCTTCAGCTAAAAGCAACAATATTGTTATAATGTACCTATTGTTAAAGCCTTTGGGCGTGTGGTCAAATAATTACATAATGGAATCACAGAAGCCAGTAGCAAATGCTGGTTTCACTCTTTCCTTCTGAATAGGCCTAGCAAAGTAACAACAAACTCAGGTGTTGTCCTGGCAATACGATAGGACATTCCAAAGATAAGAACTTCCATTGATAGGAAAAATTTTGACTCTGACTTCCTAACCTGGTATCCATGTACTATAAAGAAGGCTCAGCTCATCCTAATATCGAACGGTGGGTGAGAATTCAACTCCAAAGCCAGATGGTCTGGATGAAAATCCAGATTCTTGCCTTACTAGTTATGTGATCTTGGGCAAGTTACTTATACACTGTGTGCCTCATTTTCCTCATCTATAAAATGGGGTTATCATAATACTAGTAGGGTTATTGTGAGGCATAGTCAATGCATGTGGAGTGCTTAGATTACTGCTGGCATATCATAAGCTCCTAGGAGTGTTCATTAAAACTATATCAGATTTAAGAGTACTTGGGGGTGAGATCCCAGGTGGGAAATTGGCAAATTGAGTAAGAACACCTGTGGATGCTCCTAAGCCCAACACAGAACATATTGTATATGAAACTGTATCCCTTTATTCTAAGTAGTTTAAGGTTCCTCCATCAATAAAAAATACTTCAGGCATTATTAATTATAAATGGGGGAACACTTCTAAAGGAACAAATGAACAGAAAGCAATGCCTAGTTCCTTTCTGGAAATGTTCTATTCTTGGTCCTCAGAGAGAGGAGGAAGATGAATTATAAGAAGGTAATTTGGAAGCCCTCAGATATTACTTACCTCAAACAATAAAATACAGTTGGTTAATAAAAAGGACAAATCTATTACATAGCTTTATGTACTTGCTGGTTAAATTAGCATTTTGTTTTATTCTACAAGCATAATAATCATTTTTCTGTGTTCTACAAGGACATTTCAATATCAGGAAGAGTTTGGATCTCTAGATCTTGTATTCTTAATAAATCTATTCTTAATGATCCTTTAAATGTTTGGTATAAGCAGATTATAACACCCAAGTTGCATTAAGAGATTAATTGCATTGTATAATTCACTTCTAATAATCAACAAGTAGAGCATCTACTTTAAATTATCCTTGGACGATTCTGCCTTCCAAGTTCTTATTAACTACTCAGAGATGTACCAGATCCAGGATGGTTTTTTGGTTGTTTTTTAATTAGAGACAGAGTCTCGCTCTGTCGCACAGGCTGGAGTGCAGTGGTTCAATCATAGCTCAATGTAGCCTCTACCTCCCAGGCTCAAGCAATTCTCCTGCTTCAGTCTCCTGAGTAGCTGGGACTAAGGCATGCACCACCATGCCTGGATAATTAAACATTTTTTTTTTTTGTAGGCACAGGGTCTTGTTATATTGCCCAGGCTGGTCTCAAACTCCTGTCCTGAAGTGATCCTCCCACCTTGGCTTCTCAAAGCATTGGGATTACAGACGTAAGCCACTAGGCCTGGCCTAATCCAGGATCTTGTGTTGTCTTTTCAGTCAATTAATAACCACATATTGAGTGCCTATAATATGTCAAGTTTTGTGCTCGGGTAGCAAGATGAATTATCCATGATATCCTAGCACTTGAAGAATTTATAATTTATTAGGGGAGACCGATTCCTTCTTGCCCTGAAGCAAAAAGGCCACTTTAATCCAAAACACCTCAATTCTGGGATGATGTCTGAAATTCTGAAACATTTCAACAGAGTCATTGAATTGAAGCTGTTATTTTGCATCAGTCAGAGATGAGATGCTGTGATGCCCAGAAGGATTCTGAGCAGGGGAGCAGAATGAGAAAAATGGACACTTTAGAAAACCTTTCCAAATTGTTGGATTAGTTTCTCAGACCTCCCTTAACAGATTACCGTAAATGTGGTTGCTTAAAACAACAGAAGGCTGGGCCAGGCGCGGTGGCTCATGCCTGTAATTCCAGCACTTTGGGGGGCCGAGGTGGGCAGATCACGAGGTCAGGAGATCAAGACCATCCTGGCTAACACAGTGAGACCCCCGTCTCTACTGAAAAATACAAAAAAATTAGCTGGGCGCGGTGGCGGGCGCCTGTAGTCCCAGCTACTCGGGAGGCTGAGGCAGGAGACTGGCGGGAACCCGGGAGGCAGAGTTTGCAGTGAGCAGAGATCGTGCCCCTGCACTCCAGCCTGGGAGACAGAGTGAGACTCCATCTCAAAAAAATAAAAAAACCAAAACCAAAAAAAAGCAACAACAGAAAGCTGGTCTTCCATGGTTCTGGAGGGGAAAAGTCTGAAATCAAGGTGTCTGGATACTCTGGGGGAGAACCCATTCTTTGCTTTTTCCAGCTTCTGGTGGCTGTCAGCATTCCTTGGCTTGTGGTTGCATCACTCCAGTCTCTACCTGTGTGGTCACATTGCCTCCTCCTCTGTGTCTCCTCCTCTTCTGCCTGTCTTAAATCTCCTTTTGCCTTTCTCTTATGAGGACCCTTGCCATTTGATTTAGGGCCCACCCAGATAATACAGGGTGATCTCCTTACCCCAAGATACTTAATTAAATCTGCAGAGACCCTTTTTATGAATAAGGTACCATTCCATAAATGTTGGGGATTAGGACATTGACATACTTTTTGGGGGCCACCATTCAATCTACTATAGTTATTTTACAGTATGTATATTTCCAATATTTTTATTTAAAAAATCTTCAGAAAAATCTTATATATATTGTAGGTGACAAAGTATGTCCCCTAAAACAATAGTAATTTTCATCCACTCTATTTCTTCATTTATGTGGATAATTAAGAATTCACAGCCGAACGTGGTAGCTCACACCTGTAATCCCAGCACTTTGGGAGGCTGAGGTTGGTGGATCACCTGAGCTCAGGAGTTCGAGACCAGCCTGGCCGACGTGATGAAACCCCATCTCTACTAAAAAAACAAAAATTAGCCTGCTGTGGTGTGGGGGCCTGTACCCGGGAGGCTGAGGCAGGAAAATTGCTGGAACCCGGGAGGCGGAGGTTGCAGTGAGCTGGAATTGTGCCATTGCACTCCAGCCTGGGCGAAAACAGCGAGACTCTGTCTCAAAAAAAAAAAAAAAAAAAGATTTTACTATATATCCAATTGCATGTTTAAATTTCATTTTTGCATGTTCACATTTTGCAACTATTATACTTAGGCATTTTGCTCTTATAACACATGTTAAACTTTGAGAAGAAATAAATCAGACTTATAATTAGTATAGGAAATATAAATTCCCAAACTGTGACAAGTCTAGCTAGAAATGACAACTGTTTTTATATCACACTTGTGAAAATGATGCTGAGGTACTTGGATTTTCTTAGTGTTCCAGATCTCATATGAGCTGTCTGGTCACGGGGAACTAGAACATAAGCCATAAAAAGTGTTACACGACAACTTCCGATTTCTGATTGGGCATGTAGGGAGCTTGAAAGTTGCTACTCCCGTCCACAGAAGAAGAAAGCTGAATAATTTTAAATCAGCAAATCTTCTTAGGTCCATGAGAGAATTAAGGGCACAGGGCAAACCACTGACCCCAAAATTAGAGAGACAGAAATGTAGGTAAAGAGAGTGACAGCATACTGGAGCAGAAGCCCATAAACAGAAACCTTCATGATAACTGGTATTGGGGTAGGAAAACCTTAACTGTAATTGATGAAGGCTCCGTGAAGACAAGCCCGAGAGAGAAACACTCCAGAGGGGCCTAGTTTTACAGCAGCCCCACACTTAGCGAGTTTTACTTCCAGGAGCCCTACCAGTCTCTCACAATGAAGATGGGAGAAAAATCCCATCATACTTCTGGCAGGCAGAGGGGAAAAAGGAACCATTGTGAAATAAGCAGAGCATTCTGTTTTTCTTAACAAGGTGTGGCCAGGTGCTGTGGCTCACATCTGTAATCCCAGCACTTTGGGAGGCTGAGGTGCGAGGATTGCTTGAGCTCAGGAGTTTGAGACTAGCCTGGGCAGCATGGTGAAATCCCCTCTCTACAAAAAATACAAACATTAGCAGGGCATGGTGGTGCACACCTGTAGTCCCAGCTACTCAGGAGGCTGAGGTGGGAGAATCGCTTGAGCCTGGGAGGTTGAGGCTACAGCGAGCCGTGATCATGCTACTGCATTCCGGCCTGGGTGACAGATCTGACCTTAGTAATAACAATAATAATAATAATAATAAATAATAATAGTAATAATAATGATAATAATAAATTCAAAAAGCCAAGATTTGCCCTCAAAAGAAATTATTTTACCAGATGCTAGCTGATCGGGTTCGACAAAACGTCATCCCCGTGGGGGAAAGAGAAATACCCAATTTCAGGCTTCCCCCAAAAAACTTCTCTTCCTGTCTTACCTAGGAGAGTGTATTAGTCCATTCTCATGCCGTTATGAAGAAATATCTGAGACTGGGCAATTTATAAAGGGAAGAGATTTAATTGACTCATAGTTCTGCACAGCTGGGGAGGCCTCAGGAAACTTATAATCATGGTGGAAGGCACCTCTTCACAGGGCACTTTGGTAAACATCCTTTCAGACGTGTGCATGTGTGTATGTATGTATGTATATATACATAGGTACGTACTTGCATCTATGTAAAAGAGGAAGAGTGTTAGGAATAAATAAAGGTAGAATAAAAACTTATTACATATACATATGTATACACACACACACACACACACACACACACACACACACACACATACAGAGTTGGCCCTCTGTATCTGTGGGTTCTGAATCTGTAGATTCAACCAACCAAAGATGAAAAATATTCAGAAAAAAAGCACATTCCTACTGAACATGTACAGGCTTTTTTTTCCCTTGTCATTATTCTCCAATCAATACAGCATAACAACTATTTACGTGGCTTTTACGTTTTATTACCTATATATTGCCTAGAGATGATTTAAAGCAGGGGTGTCCAATCCTTTGACTTCCCTGGGCCACAATGGAAGAAGAAGAATTGTCTTGGGCCTCACATGAAATACACTAACGCTAACGATAGCTGATGAACTAAAAAAAAAAAAAAAGTCGCAAACAATTCTCATAATGTTTTAAGAAAGTTTATGAATTTGTGTTGGGCCACATTCTAAGCCATCTTGGGCTGCATGTGACATGTAGGCCATGGGTTGGACAAGCTTGATTTAAAGAATACAGGAGGATGTGTGTAGGTTATATGCAAATACTACACCATTTTATATCACAGACTGGAGCATCTCAGATTTTGGTGTCTGCAGGGAGTCCTGGAACAAATCCTTCGTGGATACCAAAGGCAACTGTATACACACGTATACACCCTCATGACCTAGTCCCCTCCCTAGGGTCCCACTTCCGAATACCATTATCTTAGGGGTTAGGACTTCAACGCATATATTTAATGGTGGGGGGGAATGTGTGTGTGTGTGTGTGTGTGTGTGTGTGTGTGTGTGTGTGTTTGTATATATAAAAATTTTTTAAAAAGGGATGGTTATGTATGTTCTCTCTGATTTCACATTTAATACATCTGTAACAGCTTTCTATGCATAAAAACACATTTTTTAAAGTTTTAAGTGTGCCTTAGTATCACCTGAAGTCTTAAAATTTAAAACTCACTTTTGGCTTTGATGTTTTATGAAGTGATGGGAAATTAGAGAGGTACAAATGGAAATGAAACCAAACAATCTTCTCATTGGGAATGGAAGCCCCAATAGCACACATCTCTGATGACTTTAGTGAGCTTCTCTGGAATTCAAGCAGCAGCAGGAATATAACTGAAATCCCTGTTCTCAGTCAAAATAGTCTACTAAAGGCAGACATGAGGATTTCCCAAATAGCAAAATCGATTGCATAAACTACTAGAATTTTATGAAGGCAATGCATGAGCCACAGGGTCTGAGGAAAAGGGGGCAGAAAGAGGTAGGGCGCAGTGGGTCACGCCTGTAATCCCAACACTTTGGGAGGCTGAGGCGAGGTGGATCAACTGAGGTCAGGAGTTCGAGACCAGCCTGGCCAACATGGCGAAACCCCGTCTCTACTAAAAATACAAAAATTAGCCAGGTGTGGTGGCATGCCTGTAATCCCAGCTACTCGGGAGGCTGAGGCAGGAGAATCACTTGAACCTGGGAGATGGAGGGTTGTGGTGAGCTGAGATCATGCCACTGCACTCCAACCTGGGCGACAGAGCTAGACTCTATGTCAAAAAAAAAAAAAAAAAAAAAAAAAAAAGGAAAGAAAATGGAACCGAAAGAGAAGTCGAAATTCTGTGTGCTTAGCTTGGTGGTGACCTCTCTCCATACAGAGGTGAGTTTTGAGAAGCCACATCCTCCTCTACTCCCTGACCCCCAGGAGTTCCAGAAATGGAAAAGACCTGGATTATTTCCCATCCACCTTTGCCCAGCAGGTCTCTGCAGTCTCTGGGAACGGTGACCTTTTCATGCCCTTTCACTCTTGTAAGGAGCCAGAACAAGGGCTGTAGCTTGGGTGTTACCAGCCGGCTGCATTCTTTAAAATGTGAACAAAACAAAACAGAAGCCACACCCTAAAATTTGTCCTGAGGACTGGTCATTACTTTCTCTTGGTTCCTTTTTTCTCTAATGGAGCAAGAGACATACCATTATGGGAAGGGCCACCATCTTTAATGGTTGTTGAATCAGATGGAGGCTGATCAGGGGAGACATGGGGCCAGGATGGGAGAAGGTAAGATAGCAATCTTCAAAACAAAGCCCTCATGCTTTACAGAAGAGTTGACTTGTTAAAATAATGTTTATTGTAGAAAATTTGGAAAACACAGGAAAATACAAAAGAACTGTATGTAATCCCACCTCTGTTAACAGTCTCGGGTACACCAGGCCAATGTTTTCTATACACATTCAGTTATATAAAATTAACAAAAAATGATATCATCACGAACAAATGTTTTTATAACCTTTTTCGCTTAACAAAGTATCAGAAACATCTTCTTATGTCATAAAATTCTATTTAACATTATGTTTTACCTTTTCACTTTAATTTTTAAGAGGCACTCTGTTCCAACATGACATCTCTGTTTTGTTTTATTTGAGCTTTGATACCTATTTTTATTGGATGAAGTTCCCCTAGCAGCAGCAGCAGCAGGGGATCAGGTTTCCTTTTCATATAATGAAGGCTCTTTTCTCCATCCATCGCCATGAAGCCAGGTTCATTCATTTCACTTAATTAATATTACTCATGCTGAAGGACACTTGGTTGTTCTGATGTCTACTGCTGATGAGCACATTGTGTACCGTGCACTTTTGTACAATATTGGTAGAAGAGCAGGCTCCATGCTTGTTTGATGAGTCATTATCCTGAAGGGAAAACCACTTTCCAGATCTTTCAGTGAAATCTCAGCCCCTTTACTGAGCAACCAGCAATGGGTTAGCATGGGTTACTTCTGTTGTTGATTGCCACAGGACATTTTTGTTGCATTATCTGAGACAAGAAAACACCTTTGGACAAGCTTGCACCCATATTTCACTGGAAAATGATCAGAGAAATAGGAAAACAAAAGTAATAGTCACGTGGACTACTAGCTTAGTTTTCATTTGGGCCAGGCTTCCCTTTTTCACTCATTAAAAGCTTGGCCTGTGTATTAGTTTTCACACCACTGATGAAGACATACCTAAGACTGGGAAATTTTCAAAAGAAAGAGGTTTAACGGACTTCACAGTTCCAAGTGGCAGGGGAGGCCTCACAATCATGGTGGAAGGTGGAAGGTGAAAGGCAGGTCTCACATGGCGGCAGAAAAGAGAAGAGAGCTTGTGCAAAGAAACTCCCCTTAATAAAACCATCAGATCTCGTGAGACTTATTCACTATCACGAGAATAGCATGGGAAAGACCCTCCCCCATGATTCAATTACCTTTCACTGGGTCCTTCCCACAACACATGGGAATTGTGGGAGCTATGATTCAAGATGAGATTTGGGTGGCGACACAGCCAAACCATATCACCCTGCAACTATGTCCTCCTTATGTCCGGCCTGCAAGTGGGGCCTCATTCCCAGGAGCTTAAGCCATTTGCACTGAGCTTAAATGCAGAGTTAGTTGACCACAAGTAGACTAAGCAACTGAATTAATTTGTTAATATAAAACAAAACATTCTACTTTTGTAAATGATGTGGATGGCATTTGTCTTTGAGACTGCCCTGCTGATTTTTTCCAGACTCTTGGTTTTTGTTCACTTCTGGGCTCAGAAAACCCTGCAGCCTCCCTGAATTCATGGGGCCCTTTCCTTGTTTTCTCTTCTGTTTGCCCTGTTAAGTTTGCTGAGAGGTCCCTGCATCTGTGCTCTTTCTGGTGGTGTCCAGACGCCCTCTTGTCCTGTGGTTGCGGCTCTCCCCTCTTCCAACCCTGTCTATTTGTCCTCACGCCTTTCTTTCCTTCCCTTCTTCACTTTATTTCTTCCTTCCCCATCTTCCTCCCTCTCTGCCCTCTTCTTGTCTCTCTCTCATGGTGACTCATTCATTCATCTCTGCTATTTCTCTCTCGTTCATGCTGCTGGGCAGAGATCTGGGAACAGAGAGGGAGGTGAGTGTATCAGCGGTTTTCATGTCAGCAGAATTTGGTGGTGTCCCTGCTTGGGGGGCCCCTAGTGTGATTACTCCTGCCTGGAACCCTTCAGAGTAAGCAGATGCAAATCCTGCCCAGTTCTTTGACCCTGGCCCTGTTCATGCCACCTGCTTTCTGTCTTAGGGTGAATGAATATTATGCTGTCCAATGGGCCATCGGTGGCTCTGAAGCACTTGCAATGTGGCTAGTCCAATTTGAGAGGCGCTATAAATATAAAGTGGGTACTGCATTTTGAAGCATTAGTATGAGAAAGCCAATGTAAATGATCTCATTAACTTTTAAAATACTGATCACATATTGAAATAATATTTTGGATACATTGGGTTAAATAAAATATATTGCTAAAATATCATCACTTGTTTCTTATTACTTTTTAAAATATAGCTACCAGAAAATTTAAAATTACACATGTGGCTCACATTTGCGGCTCTCATTATATTTCTGTTGGACAACACATGTGTGGATCTTTGGACTATTCCTCAGAACTTGCAGTTTTCTAGTTGCTAAGTCTCAGAGCTTTCTTCTGAGGACATCATGGCTTTCTTCTTTTTATTTACTTTTACTTCTTGGAAATGGGAATATTTGTCTTAAAGACAAGAATATACGCACTTCTACTAATTTATCTTAAAATTATATATTTTTTCTTTTTAGAGATAAGGTCTGTTTCTGTTGTCCAGGCTGGAGTGCAGTGGCACGATAATACCTCATTGCAGCCTAGAACTCCTGGATTCAAACGATCCTCCTTCCGTAGCCTCCTGAGTAGCTGGGACTACAGGCACACACCGCCACACCTAGTTAGTTATTATTATTTTTTTTGGTAGAGACAGGGCCTTGCTTTGTTGCCCAGGCTGGTCTCAAATTCCTGGCCTTCTTTGATCCTCTGGCCTCAGCTTTCTAAAGTGCTGGGATTACAGGTGTGAGCCACCGTGCCCAACCCTAAAATGAATTTTTAAAAGGAAAAAAAAAAAAAGCCAGCAGCCATATCCTGTCCGTGGTTAAATTTTAGTTTATAATGATATCCAGATTTTTTAAAATGAGTCTTAGCCCTCCGCCATTTTTGTTCTTGAGTTTCCCTTAATATTCTGGATCGGTTAGGCCATCAGATGCGTCTGCTGATGGGCGGTCCCTGTGCCCCATTTGGTCCTGTCCAGTCCACCTCCTCACTTCCTCCAGAACTGCTTAGGCATGGCTGCAGGACAACCCAGACATAGATTCATGACCCAGAGATGTGCAAAAGTGAGCTGGGCCAGTCAACATGTTTTTCTTTGGAATACTTACTGGAAATAAGAAAGAATAAGGCTGTTGTTTGTGGGAGGTGAAGATGAAAAGATGCCAAGAGAAGCAGGAGGGCCCACGTGTGGTCACGGCCAGCCAACATTATAGAGGGAAATTGTGGGAAAGTACGCTCTGTGGGCAAGGAAACCTGTGCATGAAGAAGCAGGTATGATTGGCAGATGAGGGTGAAAAGCAGCACGTGGTGTCGCAAGAAGCTCACCCGGAAAGGTCAGAGATGTTATGCTAATGCAGGCCGCTCAGCTGAAGACCCTTGAATTGATCCTATTACAGAGGGGGTTGTTTTTTTCCTCTGGTGGCCCAGTTTTACAAAGATTTCTTCCTTTTTGAAGGTGGGTTGTTCAGTTTTTCCTGGGTTCCTGCATATGGGGAAAATGATCATGAGTCTCCCTCTTACCGACAGTATATGATAGCTCTCTGTTTTTTTTAACCAGTTTACAGAAAACGCTACCTTCACTTTGGTTTTTTTTTTTCATCTCTGTTTATTTTTTCTTATTATTTTACTTTAGGCTCCGGGATACGTGCGCAGAACGTGGCTACATTCACTTTGGATAATTTTTTTTTTTTTTGAGACAGAGTTTCACTTTTGTTGCCAAGGTTGACATGCAATGGCCCGATCTTGGCTTACAGCAACCTCTCCCTCCTGGGTTCAAGCGATTCTCCTGCCTCAGCCTCCCGAGTAGCTGAGATTACAGGTGTGTGCCACCATACCTGGCTAATTTTTTGTATTTTTAGTAGAGATGGGGTTTTGCCATGTTGGTCAGGTTTGTCTTGAACTTCTGACCTCCAGGGATCTGCCTGCCTTGGCCTCCCAAAATGCTGGGATTACAGATATGAGCCACTGTGCCTGGCCTACATGAATTAATTTTTATTTAAAAAAAATACAGTGCAGAGGTCCCAGGCCTGCAGGTAATGATTTTCTAATCTACCACATTTCTACATCCTGTCTAGGAGAGTAAAATCCTACCTCCCTTTCTTGCCTCCTATGATGATAAGACCTCAGAGAGTCTTATCATTACAAAACCAACCAGGGAAGACATGAGAAATTGCTTAGCTAAGGCAGTGGCATTGGGTCTGGGTGTGGGGATGATTCAAGAGCTTTTTTTGGAGATAAAATTGGCAGAATTAGATAGCTGGACAAGGTGGCTTAGGGAGAGAGGAAGGAGTTATTGTTGATTTTTAGGGTTCTGGATCAGAAGATGAGGATGCTACTAATGGAGTTGCTCTATAGAGAAGGAGGGGGAATTTGGAAAGAAATATGTTGACTTTGCAAACTACCTAGAATGCTTGTGTCTACCTGTGCAAAATTAAATGGAGAAGTGAGGCAATTATCTGAAGACTGCAAGTAAAATAAGCCCTTTCATTTCGATGGGGCGGAGAAAGAGAATGACACTTGTTGAAATTTTACCCACTTTGTTTTAAGGTCTCTTTCATGGAGGACAACAACGAGAAGGAATCATACCATCTCCCTTTCCAACTGATTATTTTAGAAGTCCCAGAACGTCATTATTTCCCTAAAGAGAGATCAGAATTCACACAGAGAGGGTGTATTAGTTTCCTTTTGCTGCTGTGACAGCACAATTAATTGGCTAAAAGCACACATTTAGTATCTCACAGTTCTGAGGGGCATGTTCCTTCAGGAGGCTCGGGGAGATAATCTGTTTCCTTGCCTTTTCTTTTTTCTTTTTTTTTTTCTGAGACCGAGTCTCACTCTGTTACCCAGTCTGAAGTACAGTGGCACAATCTCAGCTCACTGCAACCTCCACCTCCCAGGTTCAAGTAATTCTCCTTCCTCAGCTTCCTGAGTATCTAGGATTACAAGTGCATACCACCACACCCAGCTAATTTTTGTATTTTTAGTAAAGATGGGGTTTCATCATGTTGGCCAGGCTGGTCTCAACTCCTGACCTTAAGTGATCTGCCTGCCTTGGCCTCCCAAAGTGCTGCAATTACAGGTGTGAGCCATCCCTCCCAGCCTCCTTGCCATTTCTAGTTTCTAGATGCTACCCACATTCCTTGTCTTGTGGTCCCTTCCCCTTCCTCCGTCTTCAAGGCCAGCAGTGTAGCATCTTCAAATCTCTTTCTCTGATCTCTGCTTTTTTTTTTTTGTCACATCTCTTTCCCTGACTCTGATTTTCTTGCCTCCCTCTTAGTGTTATAGGACCAACAGATGCAAATGCCTCACTGCACAGTAATGGTCCAATACACTGAAACAGTAGGGTTTGCAGCAGAGAAACTTTAATGATCGCAGAGCACCGAGTGAGGAGGTGGGAGGAGATCCTCAAATCTATCTCCTCAAGGAGTTTTGGGCTGGAGTTCTTAAGGGGATGATGGAGCGTGAGGGGCTGGAGCGGGGGGTCATTGATTGGTAGGGGTAAGGGGGATGAAATGATCAGGACATGGACGCTGCATTCTTTGGTGAGTCAGCTTCTTGTGGGGCCCTTCAGAGCAGCTGGCCTCAGTGGTATGCAGGACCTGCAAGAATATCTCAAAGGGAAAACTGATGTCTCATAATGTCCAAGTTGTTATCTATGGAGTAGTTAAGGGGAACTATAATCTTGTAACAGGGTCTATGTGATTCTGAAGCAATAGGCCCCAAATAACGATGAGGCAGCAGGTCAGAGAGCAGGCTGACCCTGTGATTAAGGCTGCATGAGCTATAAGCTTGGTTTATTTTTGTTTCTCCCCCTCCCTTCTTCCCTGATTAATTTTATAGAGTTTATAGGGACAGTTTCATTAGGAGGCCCCTTGTGATTACACTGGATCCTCCTGGATAATCTGGGATAATCTCTTCGTCTCAACATTCTTAACTTAATCACATCTGCAAAGTCCCTTTTCCTGTGTAAAGCAATATATTCACCAGTTCTGGGCATCAAAATGTGGACATTTTAGGGAGTGGATTATTTTGCCTGCCACAAAGGGTCTGTCTTGTCCTTTATCCCAAGAGACTCAATCCCAGAAGGGGCAAAACAAGGGTTGCTTGTCCTCCTACCTTTCTTTTTTCCTCTTTCCGAGTCTAGAAAGGTTTTAGCTCACACTTGCAATTATGAGTTGATATCTACAGATGCTTTTGATAAATTGGAAGTTTGGGACTTATTTTGATATGTCATCTACCAAGGAATGTTTCATCATTATTTGAAGTTTGTCACTGTGCTGTGCTATGTTGGGGCATTGAAGTGATGTAATTAAATTTTCAGCATGTATGCCAAAGCAGAATAATCCCCAAAACAGGAAAAATAGTAAACACCCAAACCCTTCACTTTAGGGGGTCTTATATTTTCTGTGGGAGAGGAAATATGGTAGCTCCAACTCCTGGTGAGATGTGTAGTAATGACGACTTCTTCTAGCTGTCTTTTCCTGACTTCCCGGTGTGAATTAGAAATTTCTCCTCTGTTCTTCCATGGTATCTAGAGTAGAGTTTTATTTTAGAGCATTTATCATATTGTATTATAATTCTTTGCTTACTTATCAGTCCCACTAGATTTTATTATAAGCAGAGATCATGTCTTATTCCCCAATGCATTTCCTGGTGCCTAACATCCTGCCTACCAATAACTATATGTTGAATGGATGAAGGAAGGTAATTGTTTCTGTAATAGCTTCTGAATCTTGAATTTCCCCTAATGTTTGTATTTTACATTTCTCATTGACTTGCAGAAATATTATAATGGCAAATGAGATAATTTTTCTACAGTGCTTAAGATCTTTGGAGAAATGCTTCATTAGGTTAAAGCTCATATGTGGATATCAAATGAAACTGTGAGCTAAAATTGACCTTTTTCCTTTCCTTTTGCCACCAAAGTTGTTGGTTGCGAAAACTTTCCTCCACGGTGAATTTGAGTCAGCTAGGAACAACATACACAATTTTATACAATACCTGACAAATGGAAAACATGCAGTTGAGCTGTATAAAATGAGATGATGAAATAATTAATAATAAGAGCTCTATACTTTATTGGCCACTACACTTCTAACGGCTCACCTTTTAGAAAAATAAAGACTGTAGGCTGGGCACGGTGGCTCACGCCTGTAATCCCAGCACTTTGGGAGGCCGAGACTGGCAGATCATGAGGTCAGGAGATCGAGACCATCCTGGCTAACGCAGTGAAACCCCATCTCTACTAAAAATACAAAAATTAGCCGGGCGTGGTGGTGGGCACCTGTAGTCCCAGCTACTCGGGAGGCTGAGGCAGGAGAATGGAGTGAACCCGGGAGGCAGAGCTTGCAGTGAGCTGAGATCATGCCACTGTACTCCAGCCTGGGGGACAGAGCGAGACTCCATCTCAAAAAAAAAAAAGGAAAAATAAAGACTGTATACTGAATCTTTTATGTAAATTCATTAGTTTCTTGTTGTTGATGAAGTGGAAAACATTTCTCTTGAAGTCTCATCATTGACATACTAGTGAGCTTTTGCTGCAGTAACAAAACAATCCCCCAAATCTCAGTGACTTATAACAATTATTTCTTACTCCCGTCATGTGAAGGCTGTGGGCTTGCTGTGGCTCTGTTGGGCATGATTCAGCCCGTCTCATTCTTGAACAAAAGTCAAAGAAACAGTCACCTCCCTGCAGTATGATCTTTTCAAGGCCAAGGGCCAAAGCCCAAAAGGTGGGAGAACAGGGGCAAACTATGCAAGCGCATTTGAAGCTTCTGCTCAGATACGACATATGTCATGTCCACTCACATTCCATTGGCCGAAGGAAGTCACACGGCCAAGCTCAGTGGGGAAAGGCACACTGCCTATAGGAAGTGTGCCAGAATAGAAGGAAAAAAAAATTGTGAACAAATCATACTATCCATCACACTCTGCATCCAAACTGGTATTAGTCAAAGCCATTGTTTGGCCTTTTGTGATATTAGTTATGCTTTAAAACTTTTATTTGGAGTTCAATTTATGTAGCCTGAATAATAAAGGTGATTATAATTGATTTTGCATAAATAGGGCTTTCATAAATAGGAGGAAAAAGTAAGGAGATTTGGGGATTTTAGCTAAAAAAAATTCAACTTTATAAATACAGAAGTGTTTTTAGGATAGTGATGAAGGTCAATTGTTTTGTATATCTGTGAGTGTCCCTGTCAGCGGAAAAGGATTGAAATTAAAGTAGAGATATTGGGGTAGAGTTAACACAAGGAACAATTTCTTAACCAGTCGAGTGAAAAAGACATGGAAGGGCAAAAGTTCTCCCCAGTAGACAATTCAATCATTATTGAAGAGAGAAGACTGGCTAGAGGACAGGTTTCTGCCAATTCTTTGTTTATAGTACTTTGAATTTGAAAATAAAGGAGTCCTTTTAAGACAGATGGTATTAAAATTCTTCTTACATCAGTAAAATGGCATTAAGAAACTTAGAAGCTGGTTTGATGTAGAAAATGAGAAAAAAATGAGAGAAAAATGTAACTCTGAGCATGTATCGCTTCTTCAGAGAATAAAATATCACATGAATATGGTTTTAATGTATTTGTTCATTTCATTCATACTGTATGTCAGGCACTGTGATCATTGCTGGTTTGGTAAGAAATTATAAAATGTATCTGGGTGTGGTGCCACATGCCTGTAATCCTAGCACTTTGGGAGGCTGAGGTGGGAGGATCGCTTGAGCCCAGGAGTTTGAGACCAGCATGGGCAACACCGCAAGATCCCATCTCTACAAAAAATACAAAAATTAGCAGGGCATAGTGGCATATGCCTGTGGTCGCAGGTACTCAGGAGACTGAGACGGGAGGATCACCTGAGCCTGGGAGGTCGAGGCTGCCACTCACTGAGGCAGTGAGTCATGACTGTGCCACAGCACTCCAGCCTGGGTGACAGAGTTAGACCCTGTCTCAGAAAAAAAAAAAAAGATTAAACATAACTTAAAGTTCAAAGGTTAGATGTAATCAGCTATAATGTCACATATCACCAACATTCTTGCTCTGAATTTTGTGCTTACAATTTGAAAAAGAGAATAAGATATTCAAACTATATTTCATGATCTACAGTTATGAAAATGTAAATGTTTAAAAAAAAACTACTGCCTTTCAGGCGATCACATACTTTTTTTCCCCTCGTCATACATTTCTAATGAGCTCTGAAATATTTTTAAAAGACAGCTGATCCTCTCTGACAGCAAATTCTCATTTTATTTGCTTTTGAGGTGGACTTGTGAACATGGCAGTGAGTGAGTGGCTCAGGGGCTGTTGAATTTGGTGAATCCTTTAAAGAAGTTACATCTTCTGGAAAGTCAAACAGTACAGCATTATTATGAATATGTCCATCAGTGCAGCTGTTTAAGAGGCCCAGAAACCAATGGTTTTCTTTTGTCATGAAAAGCTGCAGCCATGATATTTTTTTGAAATGACAGAAATATTTGTCAGAGCAGTGGCAGTTGGTATGTGGCATTATTGAGTCTTAATCTGTGCGCTAGCAACGGAATGTGTTCGCTTCTTTGTTATAACCAATTTATAATAATCCTAGCTGACTCTTCCGTGGAGCTTCCCTTGAGCCAGGCCGATTGAAGCAGTTCGGAACTGCTGACTCATTTAATCCTCACAGCAGGAGAGTAGAAGCTGTTCGGTAGCTGCGTCCTTATTCCCATTTTGTAGATTAAAGAATTGAGGCATAGAGCGACTAAGAATTTGCAGAAGGTCACATCATTAGATGGCGGGGTCAGGCTTTGAACCCAGGCTGTGTTCGATTCATTTTGCTGCCTCTCATCAAGTGAGTCCAATAACCTGACATCTTATTAAAAGGAAGAAACGATTCCTGTTCCCTTTGGTTTCATCCTACCCTGAGCCTTCTACTTGATTTTCTGGCTCTTCTGGTTTGGACTACGAGTTTGTAATTGCTTTCCTTAATGCAGGTGAAGAACTTTTCCCAGATCTTTGCGGTGTTGAATTGCAAAACAATACAACGTATACATCCACGCACACTTAAAACAAAACGAGCCATATTCATTTATTAATCAAGAGAGGCTCGACTCGGGCCTAAAATGACCAGTCGCTCTGCAAGGACAGGTATTAAAAAGCGCGGGGTCTGGGAGCCGGTGAGAGAAGGCTCTTTCTCATCCAGGATCCGAGGACTTCCCGCGGACACGAGGGAGAAGCGTCCTCTCGGAAGAGGCCCGTGGGAGCGGGCGCGGTGCAACCCTCGGCCCCTCTGGGACGCAGGTCTCCGGGTTCCCCGCGGATCTCCCGGCCCTTGGGCCTGGGTGCGTCGCTGCGCGCAGCAGAGACGGCCTCCGCCCTGGGGCTGGGTGCCGCTGTCCCGGGTTTCACTGGCTGGAGGAGGAGGGAGGGCGCACCCTGGCCCCGCACTCCCCGCGACATTTGGGTGCCAGGGACGTCAGTCAGCCTGGGATGAGGGTGCCCCCGGCTGGGGAAGAGAAGAGGGAGGGAAGGGAGTACGCGGGTTTGAGCACTCTCCCCACCGGTGTTTGTCACCTCCCCCGCCTGGATCCCTCCCTCCCCAGCCGCCGCCCACCTGGGCTCCCCGGCCTGCAGCGGCGGTGGCGCGAGGCTCACTCCCCAGGCCGCACAGTCGCACCCACGGCGGTCTGCGGAGCTTTCCGGGTCTCTGCCCGCCCCCTCCCCCGCTGCGCCCTCCCTCCCAGGGTGCCCGACGTGCACGTTCCCTGCCACTTCGGTCCGGGCGCGCCGGTGGGTTTGGCCTGCGCGGCGGCGGCGGCGAGGCGGGGGAGCGAGTGAGCGCGAGGGGCGGGCGCGAGTGACTGTGTGAGTCACCCGTACCTGGAGTGCGAGCGACGCAGAGCCAGCGGCGCGGAGCCGGAGCCGGAGCCGAGACCCAGCGCCTGCGAGCCCGAGAGCGCGGCCGGCCCCAGGCGCCAGGCCCCGTCGCCCTCCCCGTGCACTCACCCGTGGCCCGGCGCCGACTCCCTACCCGGCGCCCGCCGCCCGCAGCCCTCCCGCCTGCCAGGAGGCGGTGCGGGGCTCGCCGGGGGATGTCACAGCGGCTCCTGGGAGCCAGCAGCCGCCGCCGCCGCCGCCCCCGGGAACCGCGATCATGAACCCCCAGTGCGCCCGTTGCGGAAAAGTCGTGTATCCCACCGAGAAAGTCAACTGCCTGGATAAGGTGAGCGAGGGGGCGCCGGGCCAGCCTGGACCTGCCGGGCGAGGGGCTGCACCTGCTTCGAGAAGTTTTGGCACCTGGGATGGAAAGCAATGAGTGGGTCGGTGCGTGTGCGTGTGCCTTGGCACGGGGGGAGGGCGCGCGAACGAAGACGCCAGCGGGAGTGTCAGAGACCACGCTTGGCGATTGTGATGTTGGAACCGGGAAGGGCTTTTGTCGCGGTGCGGGGCGGTGCGACATCGGCAGAGCCTCTGCGGAGGGCGCACGGCGGTGCGCAGCCCCGGACCCCGGAGGGACCAGGCTGGGCACCCAGGGGGGCACTTCGGCGAGCCGCGCCCCCTCCACCTCCACTCGTGTTCCACAATACCCCCGCCCCCCGCCCCACAGATCCGCCCGCGATCCCACCTCACCGCCCACCCGCAGCGCCTCCTGTGACCGCGGCGAGGGGGAGAGGCAAATAGTAATTAATATGTCATGGGGCGGCCGCTGCCGCATTGCTAAGAATAATCCCTGCTGGAGAGCTCCGGCTCAGCGCGGCAAGCCGGACCCACGGGTGTCTAATCCACCGGGTGGGGAATTCCAGGGGAAGTAGTTCTGTAGCCGGGCCCCTCCAGCCCTGCCCCCTGCCCTTCCCGGGCAGGGACGGAGATGAACAGCCCGGGAGAGAGACACCCAGGAGCGATCCGGAGTGACTGACAGTTGAAACCAGCCAGGGGCGTTCTGGGGAAATTTGCGTCTGAAGATACAAATGCTTCCTTAGAACAAGCTGCCATCCTGACAGTCATCCCGGGCAGAGTCCGAGGTCCAGCATTTTAGTGGAAGCTGGTCAGGTGTAGGGGTACTTACATAGCTCTCGTGCAGCCCCCTCAGCTTGCCTGACTTCGGGTGAACACATATTTATTGAGATCCTACAAACCCTGCATTTAGACACTTTGAACTGGATTCCTTTTGGTTTCGAAGCCACTCTCTGGGCCCCGTTTCTTCATTAACCGAGCTCAGAAATCGTTTCTGGCTGCTCAAAGAAGTGCTGTTTCGACAGAACCTTGACAGTTCGTCCATGGTGCGTCTGTGTATTGCGGTGGGTTTTCCTTTAAGACTCCATTTTCAGAGCTGCCTGCTTTATTTACTTAGCTGAAAGTAGGTAAACACATCCCCAGTTCCCTACACTCTTTTTGTTGTAATATTTTCAGCTACAGGGACTGTGATGCACTAAAAAGCCTTCCTTCTGTGCCCATCCTGGTGAGAACTGGCATTGTACTGTATTTTTAAATGTTTTTTTTTTTTTTCCAGTATTGGCATAAAGGATGTTTCCATTGTGAGGTCTGCAAGATGGCACTCAACATGAACAACTACAAAGGCTATGAAAAGAAGCCCTATTGTAATGCGTAAGTATTGTCAACACGCTGTCCAGGTGTGGCACAGCCTCAGAGCTTGAGAGCCAGTGGACCTGCCTGTTTTGAAGAACTGACTCACTGTGTCACCCAGGTGTGGCAGGGGCCAGTTACCTGTTTATATCACAGACTCTGGGGCCATGTACTTTGTTGACGATCACTGCTTTTTATACCTTTCTAATGTGTTGGGTAACGTCTATGCATCTTCAATCAGGTTAGTTTTTGAGGTTCGCAGTGTTACAGCCTTAGGGACACTTATTAGAAGCTGCTGAACTTCCCCACTGAGAACGTGTGGGCTCTGAAGTGCATGTCAGGTAGATTTCCATTTTAATCCTGTGTCAATTTCCATTTTAATCATAGGATGTTGCCATACTGCAATTTCATACCTGAACCTAGTTGCTATGGAAAGGAGTCTTGCTCATTTGGTCTTAGCTGAGACCACTGCAGAGATTCTGGGCTTAAACAGGAAATCAAAGAATGGTTTGGAGAATGGAACCAAAGACATGGGTATTCCTGGCTGGTTAGTAGTAGGTCGTTTGTAGTAGACCGACTGAAGTAGACCGGGTACTTCCGACTGGTTAGTGCTGTAGTAGGTGGGGATTAAAAAAGGTAAGCCTTCTTTGGAAGGCTTTTGTGTAGGCATGCTGCTAGCCTAGAATAGCAATTAGCTAGCATTTATATCGCGCTCACCGTGTGTCAAGCTCTGTTCTAAGCACTTTATGCATACTGATCATTTAATCTTTACAACGACCCTACGAGTTAGGGGACACTATTATTACCCCCATGTGGCGGGTAATGAAATTGCGGCCTTGAGAGGATCAGGCTCAGGAGGGGGCTCAGATCACTCCTGGAGGCTACTGGTGGTTTGATTTGGCTAGTGTTTCCAAATGTCTACCTTGCTGCCCAGGGGCATATGTTTCTCCACTCCTGTGAACATCCCCCTACCCCAGACTGCTTTCAACTGTAAGCTCTTGGCCCTGATGGTTAAGTTTTCTCTTTCTTTTCCTTTCTTTCTTTTTTTTTTTTCTTTTTTTTTTTTTTGAGACAGAAGTTTGCTCCTGTTGCCCAGGCTGTAGTGCAATGGCATGATCTTGGCTCACTGCAACCACCACCTCCCAGGTTCAAGCGATTCTTCTGCCTCAGCCTCCCGAGTAGTTGGGATTACAAGCATGCGCCACCATGCTCAGTTAATTTTGTATTTTTAGTAGAGACGGGGTTTCTCCATGTTGGTCAGGCTGGCCTCGAACTCTGGACCTCAGGTGATCTGCCCCGCTCGGCCTCCCAAGGTGCTGGAATTACCGGCGTGAGCCACCGCACCTGGCCTGATGTTTGAGTTTTCTCACCAGTTCCCCTGTGTGGTTGGCATAGTCTGGAGGCAGCAAAGGGGCCTTTGGACCCCTGGCCTTTTGGCTGGAATGTTGCCAGAGATTCATCCTCCCTACAGTTTTTGAAGTAGGTTCATCATTCAGGTCTCCTAGAGATGGAGGGCCCTTGGTTAATTCATGCTTCATTACATACTGACAGTATGTTATCATAGACAGTATATTTTTGGTAAGCAAATGGAATCACTCATACCTCTCTGGCAAATAACTTAAAAAAAATTTTATCTGGTGAAGACTGTTTAATATGTGTTTTTCCTTACTCCTTAGTGCTTACAGGTAGACCAGAAACTTTTCAAGAAATCAGAAAATGGGGGCATTGAACAGAATTCAGGACTTTCTTGGAGAGGGGAAGTCCACAGATATTCCCCAAACTTTCTGATGTCTTCGATCCTCCTACACCGTGCTTCCTATTGGAATAGCGTGAAGCAAAAATGAGGTTTCAGTATCATGATTTCCTGCTTCCCTTCCAGAGAGCCATAAATGACTGGTTAAAGATCAAAGGCAGGCGTAAGGAGAAGGGAAAGGGCCCCAAGCACCCATAAACGGGATAATTGTTCTTTGGTTAAAGGAAAGTGAACCATTCTTCCTGTAACTGTTTCAGTGGGCAGCCTGTTTCCATCAGGCTTTATGGACCACATCAGGATTCAGGATTCTTTACAGGGCAGGGCCAGGAATTTAACCCCAGTGATAACAATGCCTTTGGGTGGCCCTGGTAGGCCTGAAGGGATTGGGAGGGAAGGAGGAAAGAGACAGAAAGAAAATGGGGAGAGAATAGCAATTACAACAATGAGAGAGAATTGGATAAGGGAGAAAAAGAAATGATCAAAAATAAAAGGACAGAAAAAGGTTCTACTGAAGTAGAGTCATTGACTGCATTGGGATACTTGAAAATTATTTAGTGCTTATTGCTTAGTTCGAGTTCAATCTGATTTAAAAAGTTTATGAGATTCTGGATGAGTTGGGAAGAGCTATTTTGCACTTTGACTTGATAGTGATGAGTGCCCAGAAACGTTGAGATGTGGGCCCCAAAAGGAAATGATTCTACTTATGAAAAAGAAACATCCCGTTGTTTTGTTTCATAGGTCTTAACCTTATTTTTAATACTCTCAACATACCTGTATAGAATGTTTATAGATTTTTCTCTCTAAAATTTCTCATATGATTCCAGTACATTATTTTTAGTTTTAAGTTGAATTCTGAGGGTAGCACCCTAGGATTTTTGCCTCATTTTGAACCTGGAAGTCTACTTGATTGAGCAGATAAATAGGGGGAAATAGGAATTCATCCTTAGTGAATGAATGTGTAGACAGCTGATATTTAAAATTTAGCTTTAGGTTCATGTCATATGCTAACTCTAGAAAATGGAGCCTGGCAAAGTTTTGGATTCTGTCTGCTAAGAGGGTTCTGGGCTCAAAGGTCCCTGCTGTCAGTCTGTAGTCTGAAAAGGATACGTGTTGCCATGTAAACTGGCTGGGCAGTATGGATTGCCCTCTGGGGATCCTGACTCATTGGCTCTAATTCACGTGGTGCATGTCAATCAGCTGCTCCCTGTGGTTGTGGCCAGAGGGCCGCCATAATTTCTCCGGGTCAATGGTAGAAAATTGATTTTCTTATGTATACTGCTACCAGAAAATGAAACATTTGCTTTCCATGTAATGCAATATTTTATCTGTACCTGGTTTGGTTCAGGAGTCAATGTATATACATGCTTAAATGAAAACAACTCTTCGTCTTCCCCTGTCACTTTTTATTGTGAAAATTTTCATACATGAAAAAAAAGTAAAAGAATAATACAAGGAACATCTCTATCCCCTCCACCGACATTCAGCTATTATTAACATTTTGCCATGTTTGCTGCTTCATATTTTGATCTAATTATATGTCCAAATATATATATATATATATATATATATATATATATATATATTTTTTTTTTTTTTTTTTTGTAGACGGAGTCTCACTCTGTAGCGCAGGCTGGAGTGCAGTGGCTCAATTTCAGTTCACTGCAAGCTCTGCCTCCTGGGTTCATGCCATTCTGCTGCCTCAGCCTCCCGAGTAGCTGGGACTAGGGGCGCCCGCCACCAAGCCCGGCTAATTTTTTGTATTTTTTAGTAGAGATAGGGTTTCACCATGTTAGCTAGGATGGTCTCGATCTCCTGACCTTGTGATCCACCCGCCTCAGCCTCCCAAAGTGCTGAGATTACAGGCATGAGCCACCGCGCCCGGCCACTGTTGAGCCATTTTTCCATTTCATACATCAAGTTGGTTTCATACATCGTGACATTTCATCCCTAGAAACTACGTCATGCATGCACTAAGACTAAGGACATTTTCTTCAAGAATCATAGAGCTTTTATTACACTTAAGAAAATTAACAAATGCATTATTATAACATCTTATATCCTGTCTAATTTTACATTTCCCCCATTGTCCTAAGAATGTTCTTTACAGTTTTTTTTAAAAGCCAGGATCCAATCAGCGCTCATACTTTACATTTAGCTGTTATGAAAATGACAACTTTTCTTAGCTATTAGAGATTCAATATCAGTTATTCAAGTTCTGCTATTATTTCTACTGATTTACAGAATCTCTCACAGTTTTCAAGAAAAGGGCTTAAGTAGCATTTCTTATGAAAAAACATCCATAATTAAATGAAGAACCTTTAAAATAAATATTAAGAATATGCTTAAGAATTGGAAACCATGAGCATAGACATTTGGAATTATTGTAAGAAAACATAAAGATTTCTCATTTTAATCGCTACCTGAGGGCATTCTTTAATGGAATGAAGTAGTGAGTGCTTCTTCAGTTTAAATATGTTGCTTGTTTATATTCTCATGTGTTTAGAGAAGAAACAAGTATTCTGTTTGATTTCATGCAAAGGAGAACATGTATAAAATATAATTTACATGATATTTAAATTTTGATCTTTTGATAGAACGATCAAAGTATAGTACACACTAGATGTAAGATTGGGCGTAATACCCATTTTGCTCCTAACGCAGCAGTGCACACTATTAAAATATTTAAAAACAAACTGGTGTACTTGAGTGCGTGCCATGTTTTCATAAGCTTTTATGTTTCATAAGCAGGCAATGGATTCTTTAGCACATTTGGGATTTTTTTCACCATGGAACTTGCAAAGAAATGAGGACTAGGCAAAATTGTTATCACTAAGAGGTGCCGAGAAAATAACACTTGATGATTAGACAAAAAACATAGCTAATATTTCTATGTGAATTTATATGCCAAGCTAAACTATAAACATTTTGCTACCCAGCAAGCCACACAATGAGTATAAACCCTAAGACCATTTGTCAAATAAATTATTTAATTTGTTGTGTGTATAAGTCAAAATTGCATTTACTATGTCTTTTTAAAATATACGTCGGTTCTTAAAATTTCTTGAGAGGTATTACCACTTAGAAGTAGCATTGCCAAGACTGACCAGCTAATGTGTTCTCACCAAATGTCAAGTTATATTAGGTCTGGGGTGCCACCAAGGAACGACGCAATAGTTTAACATGACCTTGCCAATAATTTCCCCAGAACATTATTTCGGCTGAACATTATTCACAGACATATTTTTGGGCTGAACATTTCCTCTGACCTGCCTACATTTACTATACCTTGTATCTTAGTCAAATGTATCTTTAATTATGGGGCTAAAAGAACAGAAGTATCCAGTGAAGTATCTTTAGTGATCCAAGTAAGATTCCCTCTCATCAAAGAGTTTCACTTAACATGGTTTCCGAAGACTTTAAAAAATAAAACAGCAGGCGCTGAGTGTTGTGTTTACTTTCGGTCTGCCTGTGTTCACATTCCCTCTCGTGAATATTTATTGACTTTCTACCGCCTGCAAGAGGCTGGGCTGGGTGCATCTCGTGACGAGTCACCCAGAACGGTCAGCACAGTTCTGCCGGCCCCTGTTGAGTGTGATTATCGAGGCCAGTGCTCCGCTGCCTCTCACGTACCATTTCGCTGCTGGTCACTCCTCATTAGTGCCTTTCCTAAGGGTAATCAGAGGACACAGAAGGAAATTAAATTGAAACCTGAGAGTATTCCCACCATCTATTTTCCTTATCTGTAGTTGGGCCTCCTGAATTTGGTTCTAGAACACTCCAAGGACTTGAGTTATCTCAAGGAGATTGATGAAATTCCTGCTATGAAGTTAGCTTTGATTACAAAACAATGTGTCACAAAGTACAACATGTTCTAATTGGAGTTTTGGAGCTAGATGGAGCTGGAGTTGAATCCTAGCTCCATCCTGGCCTACTGAGCAAGTCTCTCGATTGCCAAGCATCAGTTTCTCCATCTGTCAAATGGGCACAGTAATACTAAACCCACAGGGCTGTATGAGAAGTAACAAAACAACACTAGGATAGGCCGTAGCCTGGTGTCTGGCACATGGCAGACCTCCAGGAAACAGTAGTGTCCGTCTTTCCTCATTGGTACTTTTTTGAGGGGTGAAGAAAGAGTGGGGAAGAGAGAAGAGGAAGTACATCAATAAATGATAAGAACTCACTCACACCTATTAAAAGGTTTATACCGAAGTTTTTCGCACTATGGGCTGCTACCCATTAGAGAGTTGTAACCAGAATTGAAAGAAGGAAGAAAAGAGAATGAGAAGAGAAAACATCAGAATTCATTTAAGTACTAAAAAGAGAATTCTTTCGGCAAACTTTTTTTTCAGTGATACGGGTACATATGTGTACTGGATCATGATGTAGAAAATTTTTTTTTCTTTTCTTTTTTTTTTTTTTTTTTTTTTTTTTGAGACACAGTCTCGCTCTGTCGCCCAGGCTGGAGTGCAGTGGCTTGATCTCGGCTCACTGCAAGCTCCGCCTCCCGGATTGACGCCATTCTCCTGCCTCAGCCTCCGGAGTAGCTGGGACTTCAGGCGCCCGCCACCAGGCCCGGCTAATTTTTTGTATTTTTAGTAGAGACGGGGTTTCACCATGTTAGCCAGGATGTTCTCGATCTCCTGACCTCGTGATCCTCCCACATCGGCCTCCCAATAGAAAATATTTTTTATTGGAAGTGGTGATTGAAAGATATGAGAAACACTAGTTTAGTTCCATATTGTTAATGCTCCATACATCAGAGAGCACTGAAAGTTACCTGTAACGTACAATGACATGCAATAAGTTTGTGAATCATAACAGCCACTTTTCTGTTTGTGCCCATCACACCCGACCCCACACCTTTCCCTGGGGTTCAGTCCAACACAGTCACCACATAGGTCTCAGCTCAGCAGTAAGAGCCCACACCACCCTGTGCAGGAACCATGAGCTTATCTGTCTGTATCCTCCAAGGGATCTGTCCCATGTATCTGCATATGCCCCCAAGCCTGGCACGTAGACGAGATTGGGCACGTCCAGGGTGGTATGGCCGTAGATGAGCCTGGCATTTAGAAGGTACTTGATAATATTAGTCACCTCAGGGACTGCGAGGACTGTGTGTAGCCTCTGCTCTTAGCCCCTAGTTTAGGATAAGGCCCAGGCTAGTTTCTTTTGGGAAGGCAGACAGAGCTTGCATGATCCAGAAGAACTGGATTAGGATGAGGCTTTGAGGAGCCTGATCTGTGGGGACTGGTGACTAGGGTTCATTAAGCCTGAATTCCAAGGGATAATAAAGTATCCTGCTGTTGGGATAGTCTCACGTTTTCTGATCTGTAATGAACGTAGTGGGAATTTACTTTCACTACTTAGAGGTCTGGTTTCAAAATGTGACATCTTTCTAAAAACATTTCTTATGAATGCTCATTTATTTCCTTCTGGGTTAAATTGTAATCTGTACAATGGGAAAATAATTCCCACCTACCAGGGACTTTATAGAGATTAAATGGGGAAATGTTTGTAAGCTTGAGCCCATCAAATAACACTTCAGGACCCAAATGTCAGTCCACTCTTTTACTTATAATAGTGAATGGAAAATTGTTGTCTCCTATTTCTCCCTTAAAGACAAGAGAAAAGGTCACATTGTTAAAAGTGACTGTTTCTATGGAAGGATATTGTGGCATGTTAGAGTTCTAGTTAGCATCCACTGCAATGTGCCCTGCCTGACTTTTTAGTTACATACCTCATGGAAAAAATTAAACCTTTGCCCCTTGACACAGTATCTGACGTGACAGGATGACAGTTTTCTTTTTTCTTTTTGGGTTATAATTGGATGATTGAAAACAAAGGAAGGAGATACTTTGAGCCAATAAAAAGGTTCCAGTGTATATACAAAATGATCTGGTTCTCAGTCACCGTATTGGACCGTTGGCAACATCTAATGCATTTTGGTATCTTTTAAGTCATTGTAGGGAATCATATTTACAAACCACACTCTGGGTTCTCTGTCCCATTTGCAATGTTTCTGAAAGGTGCCTTTGATGTGTAAGTTCTGCCTGTTTATGATGATGTATTTATTATGGAATGATGTCAGATTAGAAAAGATTTTGAGATGAAGCTCAGCAGATCTCTCCTCAATCATGGTGAAATGCAAGGTTAATGCAAGATATAGATATGTGTGCTTAAAGGTATATTGATTATGTGTCAAGGGCCTGTGCGAGAGGACATTTCAGTGGGTCCTCTTTAAATGTTTTCAGACGAGTGCTTTACAGAGTGGTTCCTAGGACATCAGGGAGTAAGAGAGATACAGACATAGCCATGCATGACACCCTTGTCCTCGAGGGCTTAGAACTCCTTTAAGTCTCTAGAGGAAGGAGAAATCAATTACGTTTCTGTTCTGTTTCAGTTCTTATAGTTAGTGTTACTAGGAAGACCTTGGCTTTTAGCCTTAGGAGACCTTGGCTTTACCGTGGAATCTAGAATAATATTTATGAGCTGAGTACCCAGAATGTTTTAGGAACTAAGTAAAATGATTATTATTGATTTCTTCCATGCTCAGGTTGGCTATTTGAATTCAGCAAAGTCCTGCTAATGGGTCTAACAGTTCTTCAGGCCTCTCTGGTCGAACCTAGATAGGGCACAGACCTAACCATGAAAACAGGAAGTTGTGAGAAGGACCAGGTTTAAGTGGCAATGATTGTTTCTTCCATCACTGGAAATCCCGTATTAATTTTATTTATAGTTAGCTGTGCATTTTTCTTAGCAGAGTCTTGGAGGATGTTGCTTCGCGTTTGACTTCTGTTTACTTTTTCACACTCTCTGTTGACTCATTCTTATTGAATTCTAGGAGGAGCCAGAAGAGAACTAGTTCGATGTGTGCATTCTTGAATAGCATCTGATCAATAACCAGACTGGTGGTCTGTTGTACTTCTGCATCAGCTCAGCGGTCTAAAAAGCCATTTGGATAAAAATCTTTGATTAGCACTCTGAGACTCATTATCCATCAAAGGCAGGTGCAACCAAACACAGAGAACTTGGAGAAATAGGATGACTGAACTCAGCCAAGGGTCTATAGATCTGGGATGTGGAGCGGGAGTTAGAAGGTTGCCTGCCAATGTTGGATTTGGTTTTTAAATATGACTCTGTATCCATTAATTGATCCAGAGTGTGAATTCCAGCAAATTCAGGCAATGCGTGGGAGTGGCAAGAACACTGCAGCAAACGCATACCTCAGTGCAGAAAGACGTGCCCTATAAGTAGATGTATTTTTGATGGCCTGTTTGGATAACCTGCACTGTCTTCTCCTGCCTACTCTCCCCACTATCTGCCCAGTCTCCTGAGCTTCATGCATTTCCTGCCACCACAGTTATTTTCTGAAAACTTGGTTCTGAGTATACTACTCTCTTGCTCAAACACCTGTGATGGCTCCCTATTGCTTATAGGAAAAAAAACTGGGTTTCTAGCAGACTTTCAGAGCCTTTCACAATCTACCTTCTTCTATCCACTTCCATTTAACCTCCTTCTCTCCAGCCACACTGGGCTGCTAGCTTTGAATCCTTCACCAAATTTCTTAACCTAAGCCTCAGTATCCTCATCTGTAAAATGGGTATAATAGACTCTATCTCTTAGGATTAAGGATTCATTGGAATATCCAATCTAATAATGAGCTTAGCAGAGTTTCAGGCACATGGTAAGGAATTAATAAAATTTAGATATATTTGTAATTTTCCTCATTATTAACTAGACACAGTGATTTGACCCTTTACTCATGCTGTTCTTATGCCCTCTGGCATTGGAGTGACTTTGATCCTTAAGGCACATCTGTAAGGCTATGCCTACCTTTGTGAAGATATTCTGAATCTCTCAATCAATTACTGAACTCTTTCTTTGTCCATCCATTGTACTTTTTATGCCTCAATTATATCACCTATCAAAGAGCCTGCTTTGTATGATGGTCGTGTTTGTCTTCCCATTTGAGTTGGTTTCCTGCTGAAATTGGACCATAGATATTCTCAGCCTGGAGTGGGAGGTGAGTTGGGATAGGCGAGGTCAAGTCAGCCTGCAAGAGCTTTGCTCCTTGAAGGGACTACTTTACTTTTTAAAGAGCAAGTGTGTAAGGAATTGAGAATGGGTGTTACAATACCGCAATGCAATTCTGATGCCAACCATGTGGAGTTAGCATCAACTCTGCAAATGAAGGGCACAGATCCCAACAAATTTGCTCTCACTTCAAGCCCAGGAGTCCCTAGGTCACCTACAGTTTGGACCAACTGGCTGCAAATTTGAGAGTTCCCACGACCCCCTCAGATTTGATAATTAGCTGGAACAATTCACAGGGCTCAGGACAGTGCTCTACTTAAGATGATTGTTTTAGCATAACAGATACAAATCAAGACCAGCCAGATGAAGAGACACTTAGGGCAAAGTTTGAGAGGATCCTGGATATGGGGCTTCCCTGTCCTTGCTCTGTGGGATCAATATGTGTTTTCTTCCTGGCACATTGGTGCAATCATCAACCAGGGATCTCCACCAATCTTTGGTATCCAGAGTTTTTATTGGGGTTTCATTATGTAGGCATGATTGATTGACTCATTGGTGATGTGATTGTTCAATCTCCAGCCCCCTCTCTTCCCTGGAAAAGGTCAGCTGATCTCATCCGGCTCAAAGCCCCAAACCTCTAATCACAGAGTTGGTTTTTCTGGTGCACTGAGCCACCTTGATCACATCCCCTTAGATATGGTCCAAGGAGCTCATGAATAACAAAGACATTCCAATTACTTGGGAAATTTCAAGTATTTAGAGTATGCCTCCCAGGAACCAGGGACAAAGGCCATTCAAATTCTTTATTATACAACAGGCATGCTTCACACTGTCGCCATCAAAGCTACCTTTGATGGGTTGCCTCTTTACATCCTGAGCCTTCCTATTCCATCAGGACATGAATGAGGGCCTAAAATCCACCATCCCCAGTCAGTCAATAGAAGTTGGGGAAGATTAGAAATAGTTTGCTGCCTGTGAACAGGAACAGGGGGTGGGGGGTCACTAATTATGGGCGGATTCTTAATATAACTCTCTAGATTTTGTTTTTATTGATACACGAGTCTGTCCTATTGGCAAATTACATTCTTGAGGTCAGGAATGGTCTAATTGCCTTTGTCTACAAGCACACGTGCTGTGTGCTCAGAAATTGTCCCTCTGTTGGAACAGATTGCCCATCTAGCTTTGTTGGGGGCATGGTGAGTTCTTTTGGCTGTCTGAATGATACAGCTTAGCCTTATTCTAGGCATCCCCAGCCAAGAAAGCTGACTCAATGAGAAGGAATAGAGGACGAGTATGGTGGCTCAAGACTGTAATCCCAGCACTGTGGGAGGCTGAAGCAGGAGAATCACTTGAGGTCAGGAGTTCAAGACCAGCCTGGGCAACATAGCAAGACCCTGTCTCTAATAAAAAATAACAAAAAATAAAAATAAAAATAAAAAAGAAGCAATAGACATATCTTTCTATAAGGATCTGTGTGGCGATCCTAGATGTTGCTGGCCATGCTTGGACTGATAATGCACATGAACAGTAGCAAACACTTCCTCTGTGTAGGTGAAATATTGAAATTTGCAGCTGGATTACGGGTCACTGACATGCAATGGAACAAATGATGACAAGAATAATGTCTACAAAGGTAGTTTATAAAAATCACTTTGTTATGACTCTGTTTTTCAAAGTCCTAGGAGTGAACCATGTGTTTGAGACATCAGACCATATACACATTTACTTGCATATCATGTTTTTTTTTTTTTTCCCCCTGGAAATAAGTTTGATGGCTTCATTTCCTGAAACTAAATTTAATCAGGGATTAATGGTCAATTCCTGATGAATAAAAGGTCTTAACAGGCTCTTGTGGAAGAATCTTCTTTTCTCAAGTGATTTTTCTTCAATGTTCTGCCTTTTCTCCCACATTTCCAGAACTTTAAAAATAACTCTGTAGGATCAGTGCTTCTCCCCCAACCCACCCTCCCCAACCCCACTATCTCTCCGTTTCTCTTTCTCTCTATTTGAAGTCTTTTCTGTTGCCAGTGACGTAGTTCTCTGATTCTCTTAACATTAAGGGGAATTCTATTTAAAAATTTCTAGATGCTTAAGGCACGTGATAATTAAGGGTTATTCCTATCAGGAATAGAAACACCATATTAGAACAGTTCTTCCTCAGAGGCTACTAAAGAAAGAAAATTCTGTTTAGAGGGTTTGCCTCTGTGGTCTTTTTTTAAAACAGCAGTTATGTAATGTCAGGTTTAATTGGCTGGGAGTCAGGAAGCTGGCTTATTTGTGCGCCTCTTGTGTCATATATACCTGCAGGGCTGAGTGGCCCGTAAAAAGCACTCAAGATTTGCACACGGGGGCTGCTGCCCAGGAAGTGTCCTGCAGAATGGCAGTTTGGCAGACGTTGAAAGAAAAGCATATTAGTTTTTTTTTTTTCTTTATACAGTGATGAGTATATAACAGGGACTGAATAAACATGTGTTGATTGACTGTAAAAGAACCTTTACTCTGAATGGGAGACAGCAGTCGCTGATCTGATAGCAAGCTTCCCAAGTCTGGCTTCTTTCTCTGGGTCTATACTGGTGGGTCAGGAACAATTGTTACCGAGGATTTAAAAATTAATTCCCTAGCAGGAGAAAACAGGTGGTAACATAAAAGAAGTCCCTGAATGGAGGAAGGATCAAGTAATTCTCAGAAGAGACCAGCAGGGGAATATTTATGACCTCACCTGTCTGTACCAATGCATAGCCACATTATGAGATACGTAAGATCCAGGAGTTTTGCCAACGTGGGATGGGGACAGGCTGATGATTAAATTGTGACAGTGGAGAGGCTTGGTATGCTAAAAGAGAAACATGTCTAGGAGGTGAATCCATGAATAGAAAGAATCTTGAAGGTGAAAAGATGATGGAGAACATTTGAGTGAGAAGGAAAAGAAGGGAAACAGGTGGCCCCGCTGCATGGCAGACCATGTGCCTCTTGTCCAGATTGGAAATGTCATGGAGGCTTTTTCAATGAGTTATCTGCTGAAGGTTTAAGAGAGAATACCAGTTGGTTTCTTGCTTTGCTTTTGTGGACAACGTCACTGCTTTCAAGCTGCTTTGCGCTTAATTTGGAAAAGAATTGGTCGATGGGGTAGCAGTTGTGAGGACTTTAGAACACGTAGTCTCTGTTATGTTGAAGTTCAGGAGAGCAAAAGAAGGAGTCACACCACACCTAGCCTTTTAAGAAAACCTTCAAACGGTGTAGGGGAAGAAGGAAAGGCTGTGCTTGTTCAAGAAATCTTAGGTTCTCAGAAACTCTAAGATAAACGATGTGTGCCATACCCCTGTGACTGGTCTAGTCATTAGCTCACAGTTAGCTTTTAATAAAGATTTGCTGAACAAACAGAAGAAGGAATAAGAAAAAAAGGTGGCTCAAGTGAGATAGAAGACTTTGAAAAATAAAATCCTGATTGAAAAAGTGTTAATTATTTCAGAGAGAGAAAGGGGGAATACATCTTTAAAAAAAGGGTGGAGGAAAAGCATCATAGGACATACCTTGGGAGCTTTCTAAGCTCAGATTAGCCTAACACACAGTTTAAAAGATGGATCACTGAGTGTTCAAAGATGGCAGACACAGTAAGAATGGGATCAGAAAAGCTCAAAACCATGGCTTGTGACAATTCTAAAGACAAAGTGGGTTTCAAAAGCACTTATATTCTAAGAAAAAAGTGGAACCCTGGCTTGGGGAGGATAATTGTGATAATAAACGATGACAGAAAAAAATCCTATTTAGCTTTCATGCAATTCCTATTTAGCTTTTATCCTTTCAACTGAGAAGAACAGATTTACAACTAGAAAAGATCCAAAACGTCATTAAGAAATTAAAGTAAAAATTAGGAGAGCCAGTAGTCAGACATCAAGTCGTTTTGCGTTGGATTAAGGAAATTGGAATCTGTCCATCCAGAGGGTGGCATCTTAGGGACCTGAGAAAACCCTGTAGATGTGGTCCTGGAACTGAAACACTGGAATCATGTCCCTTAGCAGTGAGAGCGGATGTGGTGGGGGAGTGAAGGGACCATTCCCTTCTGGGGCTGACGTTGAGTTACTTTGCCTCACCATCCCTCGGTTTCCTCACCTACAAAATGGTGATGTTGTCTCAGTTATCCCATCTGCAAAATGGGCATTCTGTGTCTCAGTTGCTGATAATAATAGTATTTGCTACCTCTTCTGGTTACTGCAAGGATAAATAAGATAATCTATGTAAATAGTTGACATAGAGTAGACACTGTATAAATGTTGGCTATTATTACTATTGCCTATTCTCTTTGAGAAATTGTCAGCAAAAGAAAGCTTTGGGGATGAGAAAACATCCCAAGTTTTAGAAAGGGGAAGAGACAGATTGTAGAAATTACAGCCTAATTAATGTGACATTAATTCCTGGCAAAATCCTCACATGGATGAGTGCAGAATGGTTTGTAAAGACTTTAAAATAAAAAGTCCTCATAGGTTCTGTCATAGTTTGCTAGGCTTGCTGTGACAAAGTACCATAAACGGGGTGTCTTAAATAACAGACATTTGTTGTCTCACAGTTCTAGAGACTAAAAGTCCGAAATCTAAGTGTCTGTAGGGTTGGTTTCTTCTGGGGCCTGTGAGGGAAGACTCTGTTTCAGGCCCCTGTCCTTGGCTTATGTTGAATAGATGGCTAGCCGTCTTCTCCCTGTGTCTTCACATCAACTTCCCTTCATGTGTGTCTGTGTCCTAATCTCGTTTTCTAAGGACACCAGCCATCTTGTATTAGGGCCCACACCTATGACCTCATTCTCACTTGATTACCTCAGCAAAGACCCTATCTCCAAATAGGTCACATTCCGAGGTCTGTGGGGTTAGGACTCTAACACACTTTTTGGACTCCAATACATATACAATTCAACTCCAACAGGTTCACTAAGAAAAGTCAAGCAGAGCAAAATTAACTGTGTTTTTGATGCTAGAGAAGAAAGGAAATATATACACAGTGAACTGAAGAATTTTATAAAACAAATTCAATGCTGTCAATTTTTTTTTATTTTTTGAGATGGAATCTTGCTCTGTCACCCAGGCTAGAGTACAGTAGCACCATCTCGGCTCACTGCAGCCTCTGCTTCCCAGGCTCAAGTGATCCTCCCACCTCAGCCTCCTGAGTAGCTGGGACTTTCAGGCACGTGCCACCATACCCAGCTAATTTTTTGTATTTTTGGTAGAGACGGGTTTCACCATGTTGCCCAGGCTGGTCTTGAACTCCTGATCTCACGTGATCCACCCACCTCGGCCTCCCAAAGTGCTGGGATTACAGACATGAGCCTCTGCACCTGGCTTAAATGCTGTTAATTTTTTGTATATCAATGACACCTCAATAAAGCTTATAAAAGATCAGTGTTAAAAAAAAAAGTGAAGGAATAATGGAGACTTTTTCTGAATTACGAGTTGACCACAGTGTCTGTTTCTTCCTTTGACATGCATATCTTTGTGATTTCACTAATATTTTCAAGGAGTAATAACCTTCTCTTCTTTCACCCAGGACCTTTACTTTGTGACATTATGTGCTTTGTAAGCTTGTAAAACAATTAGAAAATTGTTCTCTGATAGATTGTTCTTGCTTGTAGGAGAATGGTATTGAAATATTCATAAGGAAATGAATTTCAGTTTCAAATGGCAAGAAGAAATATGGTTTAAATTTTTATAGAAAATGACATAGTTCTTGTTTTATTTTAAAAAGAAGGGGGAAAAACTCATGATTGTGACCTTGGCTGTAGTTCAATGTAGAGATTCTAGTGTGAAGATTTATAATCTTAATATTCCTACGATTTAGGATTTATATTTCAATTTCAGAATTTAATTATTAATTTTCTCATGAAAGTTTCTCAGATAGCTTCACTTTCTTAAAACTTCTTTTATTATTTTATTAAGCAATGAAGGATTGTATCTGTATTTCAAGAGTGAGTGAAATAGACTTTTGTAATTGCCATTTTTTATATATAAGTAATGGGCTCCTAAAAAAAAAAAGCACGAAGGCAGCATAGTTATGTCCTGTGATAAGAAATGGGTTGGTCTTGCTTTGTTTCCAGTAGACATGCTCCCTGGTTAGCCTATTCTCCCAGGTGAACTTTATTACCTGATAGAAATCTTATCCATCAATTGAATTAATGTGTGTTTTGAAAACACCATTCTTCTTCCATGTTTGCTCCTGACTTTGAAAACGAATCCCAAACACACTGCTCTCTTTTCCTCCTCATAATCAGATCCTAGCTTTCAATGCCTCCTAAATACTGTTGAGTTAATTTTTTGATAACTCTTTGTCCATTTGTACAAAAGCACATTTGTACTTTTTTGCCCCGTGCTTACAACCACACCAAAAAGATGCCAAATGGAAAACTCTCCTGGTCTTTAAAGAAAGGGCAAAGCTACTTCTCGCAAATTACATGAATAGAATTCCTCCTGTCCCCCAATAAATGAATGCCAGCAGTTTTTTCTTTCCTTGGAGTTTCTACTGATTCTTTCTATTTTACCACTTGAGTGGCCAGAAATTCAGCACTTGTGGTGTGATGGATGTTTTTAACTTTTCTATGAACCGTTGTTTTGAAATATGGGGTCTGGGCCCTGCTGGAGACTGTAGGGCTGTTCCCAATATTGCTTTTGAGCGGTGGCAATAATCAGTAGGTGGGGGCCAACTCCACCTCTTGGGGCCTCTGTTCTTGTCATGCAGTGGGCGTTAATCTCTGCAGAGGAATTGATTGTGAGGAGGAAAAGAGAAAATGGATAATTATAAAGAACTGGGCACAGCTCAATAAGTGGAAACACGAATGACCATGTGATAGTGCTTTTCCAACGCACCTCCCTTGCCCAGTCAGTTTTCTCTCTGGAACCAGGTAATGTTTTCCCTATTTCACTCTTCTGGTCTTTTCAGGTGTGTCAATTGTTTGAGCTGTAGCAATGCAGTGATTACCAGTGATTACTTGGGTTTTGAATGTGAGTTTGAAAGTTGAAATGTTACCTTATTATAGGCACAGTACTCAAGATTTCCGAAGTACTTATGTATAAAGTGAAATGAATCAGACACAGAAAGAGAAACACTGTATGTTATCACTTATCTGTGGGATCTAAAAATCCAAACAGCTGGACTCATGGAGCTAGAGAGTAAAAGGATGGTTACCAGAAGCTGGGAAGGTTAGTGGGAGGGTGGTGAGGAGGTGGGGATGTTAATGGGTACCAAAAAAATAGTTAGAATGAATAAGACCTGGTATTTGATAGCACAACAAGGTGATTATAGTCAATAATAATTTAATTGTACATTTAAAAATAACTAATAGAATATAATTGGATTGTTTGTAACTCAAAGGATAGATGCTTGAGGGGATGGATACCCCATTTTCCATGATGTGATTACTAAAAAATTTTTTTGTGTGTGTGAGGGAGTCTTGCTCTGTCGCCGAGGCTGGAGTGCAGTGGCGAGATCTCAGCTCACTGCAACCTCTGCCTCCTGGGTTCAAGCAATTCTCCTCCCTCAGCCTCTGGAGTAGCTGGGATTACAGGTGTGCACCATCACCCCTGGCTAATTTTTGTATTTGTAGTAGATATGGGGTTTCACCATGTTGGCCAGGCTGGTCTCGAACTCCTGACCTCGTGATCCACCCGCCTCGGCCTCCCAAAGTGCTGGGATTACAGGCGTGAGCCACTACGCCCAGCCTATGATGTGATTATTATGCATTGTATGCCTGTATCAAAACATCTCATGTGCCCCACAAGTATATACACCTACTATACACCCACAAAGGTTAAAATAAAAAATTCAAAAAGTACCCCTGTATATATTTCAAATTGGAATGCATTTTCAAATTATTTTAGATTTTGTGTAAGATTTGGATTTGGAGTAAGAGTTAATAAAGGCAATAAAGAGATTCCAGGCTGTGAAGATTTATTTTACAATGTTGATAATTGAGGAAAGTGCACATCCAGCATCTCTTTAGCATTTTGGATAATGTGTAGAGTTTGTGCTGCTGGTTTTGAGTGCTGTGCTACCTTTCTCATATTCTGTTTCATATTGTGAATTTCTAAACACAGGTGTTATTGAGACCCACGAGCACAAAGTCATGAAAATTTAATGTTATAGCTTGTTTACATTGTGGCTCACTTTTTTTTTTTTTTTTGAAGCAGAGTCTCACTCTGTCACTCAGGATGGAGTGCAGTGGCGCGATTTCAGCTCATTGCAACCTCCACCTCCCAGGTTCAAGTGATTCTCCTGCCTCAGCCTCCCGAGTAGCTGGGACTACAGGCACATGCCACCATGCTTGGCTAATTTTTGTATTTTTAGTAGAGAGAGGGTTTCACCATGTTGATCAGGTTGGTCTCGAACTCCTGACCTCAGGTGATCTTCCTGCTTCGGCCTTCCAAAGTGCTGGGGTTACAGATGTGAGCCACTGTGCCCAGCCAGTGGCTCACTTTTAAATATGACTTTAGTGTTTGCTTTAAAGACAATTTATTCTCTGTATGGTATTAATAATATGAGAAGTTCCTTTCTGAACTGGAGAATCATTCTCTTTATGATTAAGCTGATTTTTAGGAAACAGTTTCCCAAAAACACTGAATCAGGTGGAATAGATTTCTGAAAAATATGTATATCATGTCTGTGTTCATTATGAACTTTTCTATTTTGCCCATTCTATTTTGTTCATGTGGTCTTATTTCATTTTGCATCATTTAACAAATATAACGAGGTCCTACATCTTAACTTTTAAGATGTAAAGACTTACGTTTATTTCCGTATATACTTTTATTTTAAGAACTTAATTTATGGCCGGGCACGGTGGCTCACGCCTGTAACCCCAGCACTTTGGGAGGCTGAGGAGGGAGGATCACGAGGTCAGGAGTTCGAGACCAGCCTGACCAACATGGTGAAACCCCGTCTGTACTGAAAATACAAAAATTAGCTGGTTGTGGTGGTGTGCATCTGTAATCCCAGCTACTCAGGAGATTCACTTGAACCCTCGGGGTGGAGGTTGCAGTGAGCTGAGATTGCATCATTGTACTTCAGCCTGGGAGATACAGTGAGACTCCGTCTCAAAATTAATACATATATAATATATATATTTGTTTTAATATATATAAAAAATTAGCCAGGTGTAGTGGTGGGCACCTGTAATCCCAGCTATTCAGGAGGCTGAGGAGGCTGAGGCTGGAGAATCACTTGAACCCGGGAGGCGGAGGTTGCAGTGAGCTGAGATCTCACCATTGCACTCCAGCCTGGATGACAGAGCAAAACTCCATCTTAAAAAAAAATTAATTTATAATACAAGGGCCTTTGCAGCCCTGCTGTATAGTGTGGGCATTAAGAGCCAGACTTATTTCTTTTTGACCTCTAGATCCACATGGGGAATCACTTCATCTCTCCAACCTCAATTTCATTATCTGTGAAATGGGAGATAATATTGAATAATAGCATCTACTGCCAAGAGTTGTTGAGAGGTTTACATGAGATAATGCATATAAACTGCCTGACCCATAAATATTACCTATTTTCACGGTCATTGCACATTTGTGAGCTAGAAGGCTCGTGATGTGGGGTGGACAATTTTGGCCTAGGAGACTGGAGTTTCTCAGCCAGATAAAATCCACCAAGTCTGAAAAGGGAGGTTGAGACCAAGGAGACCAAGACTTTGGTTCTAAGTACATAAGGTGGTGCTGGTTTTCTATGGGGTTATTCTATTATTCATGTTGCTACAAACAAGGAAATTGATGTACAGTTGTTTTTTTCAAGGTCACTCTTTATTTTAGAAGAATAAAGAAGGAAAATAATGCAGTCATTGGATTTCTGGACTACAGCTTGACTCATTAGTCTTTCTTTTCTCTCCAAACAGAAAGTTAAATTACTGTTCTGAGGTTCTTAAATTCAGAGTGGAGTTTGTGCTTGAACCAAGTATAATATTACTTGATGTACAATTGGGCAGAATAGTTAGAAGTTTGGATGAAATTTTGTCCTCTTCCTGTTTCTTTTTGGCTTTTGTTGCTCTGGATTTTTTTTTTTTCTTTTTTCTTGGACAGGGTCTTGCTCTGTTTCCTAGGCTGGAGTGCAGTAGCATAATCATAGCTCACTGTAACCTTGAACTCCTGGGCTCAGGTGATCCTCCCACTTCAGTGTCCTGCGGATTTATGCTGAGGTTTGTCAATGTTGGATACTATTGTCCTTGTAGCCTGTGATGTGAGGAATAGCCCAGGGGCATTGTATAACTTTGGGAAATGGAGGTGGGGAGATGCTCATTGGATGCCTTTGGAATTCTTGGGACTAACGGATTTAAAATATTACACTGGCGTCACTGTCCTTGGGGTCCAATCTATGAGATTCGTTGATGATCATTGGAAGTCAAGGGGTGGCCAGACAGATGAGCACGAAAGAGAATCCATCATGGATTGGGCTGTGTTGGGTGGAAGTAAGCTCAGACTTGACTCCGCCTGCATTCCTCGCAGGCCCTGGAAGACTTGCCTTCTCTGTCCCATTTCCGGATAGCGGAAATGCACTCACTCCTTCATTTATTATTCAGTAATGATGGAATTCATTTGTTCATTTACTTAATATTGAAAGAGCCTGTCCTATGAACCAGGCGCTGTTCTAAGTACTTGGAATGTGGCAGTGAGCAAAGTAGAGGAAAATTCCTGCCCTCGTGGAGCTTCTTAGTGGAAAGAGGCAGACAAAACCCAAAACCAAACAATCAGTAAAATATTAGAAACGGATATGTTCTATAGAGAAAAATGGAGCAGGGGAAGAGATAAGTTTCACTTGGTTGGGCAGGGGGTTGGAGGAGAGTTTGCAATTTTGCATAAGTTGGTCAGGGAAGTCTAGTTTTCACATTGGAGCAAAACCTGGTATAGGCAAGGGAATAGCAAGGGCACGGAGTGAACCTGGGGCGTGTGGGAAAAGCAATCCAGGCAGGAAGCCTGTGTGGAAAGGAGGAAGGGGCCTGGGGACGGTGGGGACCCTACAAGGCCTGTAAACCATTACAGGGACTGCAGAATCTGGGCAGCTCTGACTAAGGGGGGCAGTTGCTGGGGTGTTGAGCAGAGGAGTGACGTGATGTGTGATTTAGGTTTTAAGTTTTTTTTCACTTTGGCTGGTTGTAAAAATAAAGCACTAATGGGCTAGAAAAGGACTTTTGTGTGTGTGCGCTTGTGCTAAAGGGACAGTCACATATTTACTGTAATGATATCCCATTGGGTGTAAACAAGAGTGCATTTTGTCATTAAAATGAACCAAGAGTTATCATGAAGCCATGGTCCTTGAGGGAGTTGGACCCCCTGGAAGTTTCACCACATGAGTGGTGACGCAGGAGGATTCTGTCATCATCAGTGACAAAGTCATGACTGTTGACTGAAGCAGGGTGAATTACATGGTGTGCGTTGCTATATGTGCAAAGACATATCTTTTGTTTCCTGAATATAATTTTGGCCTAGATTGCTTTAAATGGAACTTGGAAAAATCCTGCAGAAGAATCGAGTCTTGTTTATTTCTCCAAAAATGACTTCAGTTCCTTTCTTTGCTCTCCCTCATTTCATCCTTCCCGTCTCTGCCTTTCAGTGATGCTCAGAGGTCAGGGAATTGCCCTAACAATCTGTATATTTCTGAGTGGTGGTCATTAATTTTCCTTGGCTTGGCTGAGGAAACATTCCTCTCACCTCTTTTGAGCATCGAGCACCACCTTGGTGTGAATGAGTTTTGACAACGGAACCTTGTTCTTCAGCCAGGGTTGAAGAAGTTGGTGAAATTCCACTTCCTATTAATTTTCTTGTACAATTTGGACACCTAGGAAAACATCTGAAGAAAGTTTTCATTTTGTGAGCTCATAATAAATGCCATAACATGGTGTGCCATGCTGTTGGCTTCGGGTGTGACTTTTGTACAGAAGGTGTGCAAAGAATGATTACTATAAAGATTAATTAGGAACATGTAATGATTCTGTCTTTTAAACTTTTGAAATATGGAAATGGATTTACACAGATAATAATTCTGAAGTTTTCACATCTCATTTTTATATTTGCCAAACAACCCCACGAGTTTCTTTTCTTGGCAGTGCAAATGTTTGGAGATATATTGTATGTTCTTCAGCACATGTGACTTCATGTTTTTCTTCACATATTGTAGTTGTGCAAGCCCGTGGTTGGAGCCTCACTGGGTAGACTCCCAGCCATCATTTCAGCTTTAATTGGTTGTAAAATATTAGCAGGAAGGCAAAGTTATTTTACACCAAAGTGACTTTTTTGGGAAGTAGCAAATTAAATTTTATGGTAGCAGCTGTTCTGAGCAGAATTTGTCAGAAAGTTGATGAGAAGCGAAAGCTTCCAACCGTTCGATATAAATCCTTAGTTTAAAAAAGATGCAAGCCGCACATAAATGAGGCTATGGAAGTAGAGAAAAATATTTTTGGTCCATATTTTATTTATTTATTTTGTAAATAATTTAAAAGTGAGGCCTTCGTTATTTCATACTTCAGTCTTAGTCTTTCAAAAATAATTGTTGCTCTGATTTTGCAATGGGAGCCTTTATTTAGTTTAGAAGTCAATAATAATATGCTAAAAAAGGAACATAACTTAAGTAGAGAACCTCTCTAAGGGGAGAGTTCTGAGTGGAAAAAACACAAACTGTTTTTCCTCTGCTTTTACCCCACAGCAATCAACACAGAAGAATTCTGTGACCAGATGTGTGAGGGATTTTCCCACACATACCAAGCAAGTGATCAGTTCTGCAGTGGACATCAGCTGGGTGTCCTCTAATTCAATTCCAACCCTATCTACCTGGACATAGCACCAGATCCCACAGGTTGAGGGCTCAGTCCTACAAGACCGCCCCCGTCACCCACTTCCAATGCCAATCGCAAGCTCCAGTTGGCTTTATCTGTGCTTGTGACCAACGGGCTATTAATCAGGGTTCCCAGAACTCTGTCCTTGGATTCTGTTAATTTGCTAGAGTGGCTCACAGAACTCAGGGAGACCCTTGCTTATGTTTACTGGTTTATTAGAAAGACTTACAGGTCGGGCGCGATGGCTCATGCCTATAATCCCAGCACTTTGGGAAGCCAAGAGAGGCGGATCACTTGAGGTCTGGAGTTTGAGACAAGCCTGGCCAACATGGTGAAACCCCGTATCTACTAAAAATATAAAAATTATCTGGGTGTGGTGGCAGGCACCTGTAGTCCCAGCTACTCAGGAGGCTGAGGTGAGAGAATCGCTTGAACCCAGGAGGCGGAGGTTGCAGTGAGCTGAGATTGCACCACTATACTCCAGCTTGGGTGACAGAGACAGACTCTGTCTCAAAAAGAAAAAAAAAGAAAGACTATTGCAAAGGATACCGACGACGAGGTGCGTAAGGTGAGGAAGGGTTACAGAGCTTCCCTGCCCTCCCCTGCTGCACCCCCTCCAGGAACAGCTGCCCCGAAGTTCTCACTACAGTGTTCTCTTGGGCCTTTTTGGGACGCTTCACCGGATAGGTGTGATTGAAGCGTGGACACCCATGGAGAAATGTGATTAGACACAGAGGGAATGATCTAATCCTAACAGACGAGTGGGGAAACCCAGCCAGTCCCGTCCTTTCAGGTTCTTCTTGGGCTCTCTGTGCAGGATTCCTTCCTCCTGGGTATGGGGCAGGACCCCTTCTGAAATGGGGGTCTTGTGACCCACAGTCAGACAATGGACATCAGAGAATTTCTTTATGGAAAGGTAGGGGAAGGTGAGAGCATATTTTTAGTTTCTATGGCCTGTCTTGGGGAGAAAAAGGAGCAGACAAAAGGAGGACAGGGGCCGGGCGTGGTGGCTCACACCTGTAATCCCAGCACTTTGGGAGGCTGAGGCGGGTGCATCACTTAAGGTCAGGAGATTGAGACCATCCTGGCCAACATGGTGAAACCCTGTCTCTACTACGAATACAAAAATTAGCTGGGCATGGTGGTATGTGCCTGCAGTCTCAGCTACTCGGGAGGCTGAGGCAGGCCAATCGCTTCCACGCAGGAGGTGGAAGTTGCAGTGAGCTGAGATCACGCCACTGCACTCCAGCCCGGCAACAGAGTGAGACTCTGTCTAAAAAACAAAAACAAAAACAAAAACAAAACAACAACGACAACAAAAAAGGAGGGCAGGATAAAACTCTGCCTGAGAGGTTCTGTTTTCTGAGGCCTAAAGAATCCCAACATTCTACCACAGGGCTGTCTTTCACCTTCATCACTGATGCTATTCCAAAGCTGCTTTGGGAACCACGGACCAAAGTCCACATACTTTAACAGAAGAGATACTTATTGTTTCAGTCACTTAGGAAATAACAAGCGTCCTGGGAGTGATGAGCCATGAACGTGGATGGAAACCAATGTACATGTTTCATAATATCACAGGAGTATACTGGATAAATCATTTGAGAAGAAGCTGGGACATTTGCACGTGTTATTCCCTTTCTGGAACTTTCTCCCACCACACATCTTTGTCTTGTTGATGACTTTTTGTCCTTTAGGCCTCAACTGTCAACAGGGATGGTCTGGCTAGTGCTCTCTACTGTAAATTCTTCTAGCCTTGTATAGTTCTTCTTAGCACTCATTTTATATTTATTTGAGTAATTCTTCATCCTGTGAACTCCATAAGATAACGAAGAGTTCCGTTATTTTTTCTGGACATTATTGTATCATCACTGCCTAAAGACAATGCTTGGCATGGTGATAAATATCTGTGATTGATAAATATTTGTTTCATGAAGGAACCTGTGAGTGAATTGAATTTGGTTGGCGACAGGAAGGCCAGTACAAAGATTCCTGCCTGCAGCCTCAAGTCCGAATGCTGAAGGGGCTGGGTAGCTAAGGTAAATGGGTGAAGCAGACTGTGAGGAACATGAGTTGCTCTGGGCAACCAGATAGAATGTTCTGGACAGGTGCTCGCTTGGTGGATGTTCTCTTGTTCCTTCCGTGGAGGCGGATTCTTCTTACTCAGGGATGTAGGCTTGAACCGTGGTAAATATCAAGGACTCCCTGGGAAGAAAGGACTTATGGAGTAGAGAAGACTGAGGAAACTTACACTACTCTTCATTGAAGTCTTTCTGGAATCCACAGCAATGGTGACTGAAAGAGGAAATCAGGAGGTAAAGTTAGCCTGCAGTGGGTTGAGGACTGAGTGGGAAGTGAGAAGGGAAAGCCAGTGAAGGGAGGCTCCTCCTTTGAGAGGTTTGTCTAAAAAAAAAAAAAAAAAAACCGGAGGAGAAACAGGGTCAGAGAAGAATTCCAGAAAGATACAAGGGAGGAGAGGGACTTTCTCTGCTGATGAGGACCCCTTCTTCTGAGAAACTGGGCGAAGGTTCCTAGTTTTTGAGGTGAAAATGGCTAACGTGCAATGAGACCTTGTTGAGAGGCAGGAGGAGGTCCCAGGCTCAGAGAGGGGAGTGTGTGTGGGGTTGGGGTTTTGCTTTGGGGAAGATGTGCGTGGATGTAGTCCTAAACGCATCTCCATTTCTACTTTTTATCACAGATTTTATTAATAGGTGCTGAAGAAATATTATTGGAAAGATGGAGGCAAAGCTTTCCTTGGTTTTTGCTTCTGACTTGAAGAGTCACTAGAAGCCTCAGGCCCTTCAGAAATCTTGAGTGGGAAGAGGCGTTATGGCAGGGAGGACCTTGTGAACCCGTGGAAATCAAGAAGCCATTGATTTTCTGTGCAGAATTCTGCATTGACTAAAACCCTAAGGCCTATCTCCCAGAGCTTCGACAGCTGTTTAGTCAGATAATTGTGTCCGAATTGATTATGAAAATAATAGACCAGCCATAAAGCAGCATAAAATATTATGAAACTATTCCAGAAGTTCAGTAATATCTTTGGGACCTGCTCATAGCCCAAGTTTTGTGAATACTTTTGTAGTTAAAAAAAATTTTTACTTTACCAGGGCATTGCAATTCTTTTCCATCAGTGAATTTCATTCTACAGACTTTTCAGAGCATCTCATAATCAGTCAACAAATCTATTTCAAATGTGTTTGTTACTAAGCAACGGTTGCTAAGAGCTTCTGTAATTAAGATGAAAGTTCCAAGGTAACAATGCCCAAACACAGCACCATTTTCACCATTTTCTGATAATGCAGGAGTAGGATGGCTAAAAGTGAAAGAAGAATCTACTCTATGGAAAGCATGGCACCTGAAATTTCTGAAGATATTGGCTGTCCTCTAGCTTATATGAGAGAGAGTGTTTGTGCTTTACTAATCAACCAGTCATTTTTTTCTTGTGTGGCTGAAATGTACATTCCAGACATGAACAGGTAGAGTATGTGTTGGGGGCAGGTTTATACTGCATGGGTGTGCTGAGACAGGGCCACGTGGTGATGTAAATGATGCTGCCTGACACGTGCAGCTGTAAGAGGGGTGAACGGAGTACCCTCTGCATGAAATAAACTTCCTTTGCAGTTATCACTGACCTAGATTAAGCAGCGACGCAGGCCTGTTCTGTACTTTGTTTAACAATGCACAGTTTCTTTTTCTTTTGGAGATTTGTAAAGGAAGACTCAAATGAATTTTTCCCTATTCATGGTGCCTGGCTCATAGCGGGCGCTTAACAAATGCTCCTCTTTGCCTTCCCACTCCATTTTGTTCCAGGGGCGAGGAGGGGGTTAGGGTTTCCATGGTGACCTGTTGTTGAATGACCTCCTTTCAGACCTGTTGTTAGATGCCCAATGGGCCCGAGCTGCGGTCCAGAGAGCCGAGCCTCACCTAATGGAGGGCTTTGCTGGTAAAAGAAGATTCAGTCAGTCCAAATCAGCAAGCAATTACTGAGTTACTCTCCAGCTGCCGGAGCCCTTGGCATTTCCCTACAGGGTTTGCGTGCAGGTTAGCCTTGTTGCAGGCAGAATGGATGTCAGCCACCAAAGAGTACTGACCGGTAGATCTGATTCTGTTTTGGTTCCATACTTTATGTTTGGGATGTTCGGCAGGTCATAACCTCCTTGGATTTTAATTTCCTCATCCTTACAGAGTGCACAATAACAGCCACTTGGCTCATATTGTAGGGTTGGCATAAGAATGAGAGGAGATAGATTATGTAAAGTGCTATGAAAAGGTGTATACATATTCATTTATTCAACAGATACTTACCGAGTGGTTCCTAAGTGTCAGGCACTATTCTAGTTCCATAATATAGTTCATGTCAGAACAAATCAATAGATCTATTTAATCCTTTTTAATGGCATTTTGATATCCTATAAAATAGGTGTTCCATCATTTATTTAACCATTCCCCAATTAATGGACATTTAAATAAATAGTGCTGCATTGAACAGCTTTATACAAATAACTTTGGCATATGTGAGAATATTTCTGTAGGGGAGTACTGAAAGAGATTTTGCCAAGCCAGAAGGCTTATATATTTCATATTTTGTTGGCCACTATCAAACACACCAAAGGGCAATAGCAACCTACTGTCCCAGACAAAATGTAAGAGAATACCCATCTTTCCCTATCTTGTGAATCTAATCTTTCCAATTTTACCAGTTTGCTGGATGAAAAGTAATATCTAATGGTTGTGTTATTTTTGGTTTCTTGTTCTATCCACGAGCATCTTTTATTTTATTTTTTTGCCATTTTTACTTCTGTGGTTAGCCTTTTTATCTACCCCTTTTTTGTGCTTGGAGAGATATCTTTTTTTTTTTTTTAATTTGAAGGGGCTTTTTATATACTTGAACATGTTTAATACTTTTTCATTTCATTTTATATACTTTTTCATTGAGAGGAGAGAGCCCATGCTAACCACTATTTTACAGAGGAGATGAGAGACATATGACGTGAATAGCTAGTTACAGTCACTTGGCCTTATATGATGGGGCTTGGGTTGGAACCTGGCTCTTCCTATTCCAATCTGCCTTTTTTTCTTTTTTCATTTTTTGAGACAGAGTCTCACTCTGTCTCCCAGGCTGGAGTGCAGTGACATGATCTCGGCTCATTGCAACCTCCAACTCCCCGGGTTCAAGTGATTCTCGTGTCTCAGCCTCTGAGGTAGCTGGGATTACAGGCACGTGCCACCACACCTGGCTTATTTTTGTATTTTTAGTCCAGACAAGGTTTTGCCAGGTTGGCCAGGCTGGTCTTGAACTCCTGACTTTGGGTGATTCCCCCACCTCGGCCTCCCAAAGTGCTGGGATTACAGGCGTGAGCCACAGCACCCGGCCCCATTCTGATTTTATTTGAGCAAGAGGGGGTTATTTGGGAGGCTCAACTGGCCAAGGAGGGTGCGTTACCTTGTAGGGCGATTTGGATGGTTGAATGCAGTACCAGGGAAGCCACTGGGTTAAGGAAGGGGAACGGTGCCCAGCACAGGTTTCTTCTAGTACCAGCAGCCATCCAGCCCCATCTGCAGGTGTTACCTAATCCTGGGAAAAAGTGAAGGTAACTGAGGGCCTGAGGGCAATGACTGTGTCTTTGTTCCTTAGGAGGTGGATACAAAGACAAAGGAGGAGTAGAGTGACAGCCCCTTGGCAGTGCCACCTTTCTGCCCTCCAAGGGCACAAACAGTGCTGCAGATGCCTCTCATTACAGAGACCAGAGAACATAACTATTGTCAGTAATCACAAAATACTTGAAGCAAAAATCCTTCTCTCCTTGTTGGAGTTTTCAGTGGTATCTTATTCGAATAATCATCATTTCTTTTTTTCTGATTGAATAATTACCATTCTCCTTTTCTGTGTAAAAGAGTAAACTTGATATAAAGTTTTTCTGGAATGGTCTTATTTTAAGCTTTTTTTTTTTCTTTTCTTGTCTTATCCTGATCTGGCTTGTGATGTTTTTTGATGGGGCTAAGTCCTAGAATAGAAAATCTAGATGTATTTATTTGTTCGTAAAGGCTGGAAGCAACCTTCAGAGCTCTCTGGTTCAAGTCACTTATTGAACACGTAGGGAATCTAAGATCTGGGGAAGTGGGGTGGTTTGCCAAGGCACTCAGTTATTCCAGATTGAAGACTAGAATTTGGGGTCCTCTTCAACTGTTTTGGGACTTCTGATTGGGCCATTTTATATCTTTCTGATATTTGTCTATGTTCTCCTTTCTTTTACCTTAGGATTTCTTACCTTGAAAATGAGTCTGGTTGTACTTATTGCATTGAATTGTTGTGCTAAGTAGTTGATAAAGCACTTTTCACGTTTGATTTTTTTTTTTTTTTTTTTTTTTGAGATGAAGTTTCACTCTTTTCACCCAGCTGGAGTGCAGTGGTGCTATCTCAGCTCTCTGCAACCTCCACGTCCCGGGTTCAAGCTATTCTCCTGCCTCAGCCTCCCAAGTAGCTGGGATTACAGACACCCACCACCACGCCCAGCTAATTTTTGTATTTTTAGGAGAGACAGGGTTTCGCCATGTTGGCCAGGCTGATCTCAAACCCCTGACTTCAAGTGATCCGCCCACCTTGGCCTCCTAAAGTGCTGGGATTACAGGTGTGAGCCACTGGGCCTGGCTTCATGCTTAAAGTTTAACCTCCCTTTGAACATGTTTATGAAAACTCCTCTTTTTCTACATTCACATTATGCATATAACATGTACTTAGTTGACCCTTGTTGAATTAATAAAAGGATAATTGTTAGGTATTTCTATACTTTAATCACACATACCCACACACACACACACCCCACACACACTTAAGTCTCAAATTCACCACTGTATAACTACCTGAAGATTATAAAGTCCAGCCATCCCCAACCTTTTTGGCACCAGGGACAGGTTTTGTGGTTTCCACAGATGTTGGGGGTGGGGGGCAGGAGGATGGTTTCAGGATGACACTGTCCCACCTCAGATCTTCAGGCATTAGTTAGATTCTCATAAGGAGCACAACTGGGATCCCTCACACGCGCAGTTCATAGCAGGGGCCATGCTCCTGTGAGACTCTAATACCACCGCTGATCTCAGAAGGCAGTAGCAGTAATGCTCGCCATACCGTCTGCCGCCCTGGGGGTTGGGGGCCCCTGATATAGTCTATCTCCTGTTTTCAGGCATGGAGTATTTGAAATATTAAAAGTAAATCATTTTTCCATGATTTTAAATAGAGAAAAGGATCCCACAATTTCCCTTAGATGCTCATTTTGATTTTTCATAACTGACGCTGTTGGAAAACTTCTTTGTCTTGTTTAGTTTGTTTCACAGGTGGCTGTTGACTCCTGTGCTCGCTTGTTTGCCCAAGTATTCTCTTATACACCCTGAATGGGTAGTTTTGCCATGGACTGAGTGGTAAGGTGATCTGGAACTTCTGGGGTGGTGTCCTGTGGTGCTGTCAGAGTAAGCCAAGCTGGAGTCTGTGTGGCTGCAGTACATAGGTGGCTCAGGCTGTGCTAGTAGACAGGGCTGGTGCAACCCAGGGTGAAGTCATAAATATTTCTAGGCTATTTGGTTGGTCCATGTGGTCATGGTCTCTGAGAAAGGCTGGCATATTTTAAGTCAGATGTCTGTGTATTAGGAATACCACCAAGAGTGAATGCTTAGGAATAGTGGGTTATATTACCAAGGAGAGTGCTAAGAGAATTGTTGTTCCTACAAGTTTTGCCACTGAATGAGGTCTTTTGTCCTATTACAGAGAGTGATTCAAAACCCTTTAATCCCGGCCAGGCTGGAGTTGATGTTTGGATACCAGGGGCAGGGCCTGTCTTCTACCTAGAAGGATATAGTATTATGTCAAGAGGAAGATTTTCTAGAACAGGAGTTCTGCTGAAGGCGTGGGAGGTGGAGTGGGAGAATAATCCTGGACCTCAGGCACCCTATGGGTAGAACCTTGGGACAGGTATTTGCCGTGAACATCTCACATGCTTTGCATCAGAGCTTCATCCAAAGGGATGTTATCAATTTTGGGTTCAAGGCAGAGGAAAGATTAACATACTTCAGATAACACACTCTGAGATTTTCTGACTTTTATTAAGAATGGGAATTTTCCCTTTTGTTCATTTTATTCAATCTTGTTCTAGTCTCTTAGTTTTACTTTTTCAGCTTTTAACCATCTTTTTTGTGTTTCTCTGTCAATGGGTGATTTTTGATGTTCAAGGGTGGCATTAAATAAACAACAACACTTTTACTTTAAATATTAGTTTTTCATTGTTTCAACTTTTATTTTGATGTAATATTAGACAAACAGAAAAGTTGCAAGAATATCATGAAAAATTCTTGTATGCTTTTTTCCAAATTCTCCAAATGGTCATATTTTGATACATTTGTTTTATCCTTTTTCTCTATATGCTATTTTTTTCTCCTGAAACCATTGAGGTAAGTGCAGATAAGATGTCTCGTTGCCCCTAAATAATGCACTGTGTATTTCCTAAAAACGAAGGCATTCCCTTACATAAATACCATATAACTTTCAAAACTGGGAAATTAACATTGATACTGTCATATTATCTAATCTACAGACCTCGTTCAGATTTCACTAAATGAAACAATAATGCCATTTTTAGCAAAAGAAAATCCAAGATCATGCAGTTTATTGTTTCATGTCTTTTTGGTGTCTTTAATCTGGGACATTTCTTTCTTTTCTTTCATATAGTGAGATTTTTGAAGAGCATAGAGCAGGTTTTTTTTTTTTTTGTCGAATACCTCTTGTTTTATATTTATTTGATGTCTCCTCATGATTAGATTCAGGGTTTCCGTTATTGATGGGACCAAAATTGATATTAGCTTTTTTTTTTAATTTTACTTTAAGTTCTGGGAAACATGTGCAGAACATGCAGGTTTGTTACCTAGGTATACATGCGCCATGGTGGTTTGCTGCACCTATCAACCCACCATCTAGGTTTTAAGCCATGCATGCGTTAGATATTTGTCCTAATGCTCTCCCTCCCCTTGCCCTCCACTCCCCGACAGGCCCCCATGTGTGATGTTCCCCTCTCTGTGTCCATGTGTTCCCATTGTAATTCATATTAGTTTTAAATTGATATTAGTTTTTAATTAGTATTGATTTATTCAAGTTGAAAACTATATTTTTTCATTGTGTGATTTTATTTTACCGTAAATGTCTTGTTATTCTATATATAAATCTAGAAAGTAGAGTAGGAAATAAGAACAAATCATTTATGGGTGTTTGCTTTAAATGATGCTTGATAAACTCAGGCTGGACAGACTATATTCCCATTAATCCATTCAATTTGTAACTTAATTACATCTTCTTAAACATTTAAAATTGTATTTGTAAATAAATATGTCTAATCTTCTTTTTAATCACTTTAAATGCCTGATAAAGCAAACCTGAAGACCTTAGCAAACACTTTCCTAAGTATTTGAATAATTCTTGCAAATTAAAAATGAAATGTATAAATACGGTAGATTCCTCATTCTTCCAGACATTCTAATATTGTTTGAAAACGCTCATATTTTCACTGTTTACTCAATCACATCTAAAATCAATTCAAATCTGGCACATTTTCAAAGATATCAGATTCTCAACCATTCCATACACCTTATATATTATTATTATTTTACATTTATTTTGAGACAGAGTCTCGCTCTGTCGACCACGCTGAAGTGTAGTGGAGCAATCTTGGCTCACTGCAGCCTCCACCTCCCAGGTTCAAGTGATTCTCGTGCCTCAGTCTCCAGAGTAGCTGGGATTACAGGCACCTGAAACCACGCCTAATTTTTGTATTTTTTTTTTTTTTTTTTTTGTTGAGACAGGGTTTCAACATGTTGGCCGGGCTGGTCTCGAACTCCTGGCCTCAAGTGATCTGCCTGCCTCAGCCTCCCAAAGTGCTGGGATTACAGGCGTGAGCCACCAGTGCCTGACCATGTTCCATATACTTTAATCCCTAATGTACGAAGATTATTCTGAGCTTCACACAAAGTTATTAATACTGTGGCTTTCATAGACTTCGGCATTTCTATATTTAATTCCGTACCTTCCCAAGGTTGCCAAGACAAATGTGCACTGTGGAAAGCAGGTCTATAATGGGAGTTGGGTTGAGGTTACCATGCTAATAGGTGCGACATGTGCTAATACGTGCCTCTTATACAATTGTTTATCTGGCAGAGATTTGGGGTTGAGGAACCATATGTCCACATTCTTTTTGGACAGATAAATCCATTTCATCATTGCTATGACAACATGAGGCTAAACCTCATATAATTTCTTTGACAACAGATAGTGGTCCACACCCTTCAGATGCGATGGATTTTCAACCTTGGTCTCCTGGGTTGATATCCTTATGTTCTTCTTTCCTCTGATTTGAGTGGACGTAGGGTATCCTCATCCAAATTGTAACCGATTTCCCCTCCTGCTTGATTACATTCTGCATTTCTTTTGCTCTTGGCAGGATTATATCATCATTTTATTCTGTCTGATTGGATTTTACATTTTCTTTCAAAACCTTTGGCCACAACTCCAAAGCTTCATGCTAATGAAAATGCCCTTCTCTAATTTCTTCATGTTACTTTGAATTATAGGCTTTAGAGCTTGACTTAGATTCCCAGAAAAAGTTCCACTAGTGCTATGTAACTTGATTATAAAAATTCCTAGGCCAGCCGTGACTCTTAACATCTGAGAGCTCTGTGTACATATTGTAACTAGAGATGACTGAGCGTGTTCTCTTTTGTTGTTGAATTGCTTTCAAACAGATTTGAAGGCTAAATTACAAATGAACAATCAAAGTAGGAATAGATCACGTATAAGAACATCATGAAGTCATGGATAGTGGCTGTTATTTATTACGATGTGCTATTTACTTTTGGTAATTTAATTTAATTTTGCTTACTTAGAGTGTCTGGAATGATAGTAATCGCTCTCTGTTTTCTTGGCAGATATTCTGTCCCATTAATCTTTTTTTTTTTTTTTTTAAATAGTTTAGTTTGGTGTCGTTACTAAAAGTACATGTTTTGGAATCAGCTGCACTTGAGTTCAAAATGGAGTTTTGCAGTTTTTTAGCTGTGTGACTCTGGGCAAGTTACCAAACCTCTCGGAGCCTCCTGTGGGTACCTTGCAGGGTTGTCATGAGGATTAGGCTGATTTTGGAACACATAACATAGCACCTGGAGTATAGTTTTTTTAAAATAATGTTTATTATTCACACTTCCCATTTTTGTCGTGTTTCTGTCCTCATCCATTGCTTCTGGTCTTCCTCACCTCTCCCGATGACATTTTATTGAACCCTGACCCCTCTTTTTGTTTCTCTAATAGCTGTGCATTGCCTCTATTCATTATATATTTCTTCTAGCTTGTAATCATGGTAGAGGCAAAGTGGACAGTCCATTTATTATAAAGATTTCTTCCCTCTGTCTCCTGGGAGAGCCCCTCAGTTGTACCTTCTGGGCTTCTTTGTGTTGAGCTTGGTGGGAATCCATAAGCCATCATTCCGCTCCACCTCAGAGGCCATTCCTTGGATGCATCTGTTTCTCCTTGATCTTGGAAATTTCCAGTGGAACATGCACACATTTTGCAGTGTTTACGGTGAGTTGGGACAGTGCTGTCCGTTGTCCCAATAATATAAGACTGTTTTGGTTTCTACTGTTTTCGGAAGCCAGATTCATGCTCCCTCCTACCTTGTTCTTTAGGGTTATAGATATCATTACCCTCTAGGTGGAGGACTTGGCAAGGAGGAGTTGACCACTGACCATTGGAAATCTCGATACCCACCATTCGCAGCATGCTGGGCTCCTCTCCATCCACTTCCAGTTCCTTCCTTTCTTCCTTTCCATTCCCTTCCCTTCCCTTCCCTTCCCTTTCCTTTTTTTTTTTTTCAGGGTCTTGCTCTGTCACCCAGGCTGGAGTGCAGTGGTGTGATCCCAGTCTCCCAGGCTTAAGTGATACTTCTACCTCTGCCTCCCGAGAAGCTGAGATCACAAGCACATACCATAATGCTCAGCTGGTTTAGTTTTATTTTTTTTGTAGAGATGGCAGAGGGGTCTCACTATGTTGCCCAGGCTGGTTTCAAACTGCTGGCCTGAAGCAATCCTTCTGCTTCAGCCTCCCAAAGTGCTGGGATTACAGTCATGAGCCACCATGCCTGGCTCACTTCCAGTTTCACTTAGCTTAGGTTGTGCCACCTATCAGAAGTGGCCAAGGAGGTAGTAACCTCAGTGACCAAGACCTTGAGTGGATTTCAAAGACTGAAAACCTAATGGGGCAGCAGTAGCCGTAGTGTTCTTAGACACGGAGCAGGAGCAAACTGGAATAATTCTACAGATGTCTACTTGCCCAGGGCAAAACCAGATTGGTCCTGACTGATGTTTTCTCAGTTTTTCAGAGTTATAAATGAACACCAAGGCTATACGAACAGTTAACAATGAAGACTAAGCATGCAAGAATAGCTGTGGCTAACTGAATACCGCAGTTGTTTGGATGGATATTTGTTATATACAGACTCTTATAATGCCAATTACTATTAAGTACCAGATGCCAGATACTTTGAAAAAATATATTTCTTTGGATTTTAACAACCCTTTGAGACAAATATTCTAATTATCTCCACTTTTACAAGTAAAAGGTTAAATTCATTGTCCAGAGTCACATGGCCAGTAAGTGATAGAGTCAGGACTAAGACCCATATCTACCTAAGACCAACGACCATGCTTTAATCACTTCCCTGTAGACAAATGGCATAAGGAATTTTCTAACAACTAACTTAGTGGGATTTTTCCTTGCCAAATTAAGAAAATGCTATGCCAGTCAGGGAAGTCACCAGAAAGCACTGATTTAAAGAAGAACCTATCAACTCCAAAAATATTGTCTCTAGATGTCCATTAATTCTACCAATCCATGACTCATTGGGGGCAATAAGCAACTCCTCCATCCAGAGACGAGTAAGAAGTTATGTCAGTCATTTTGCTCTAGATAGGAATTAATTTACCCAGATTGCTTTCCTAACAGCAAACTGCAATGTACTGTGTGAATAAAATATTTGCTGGTTTGGGAAGGAGAAAGTGGAGGTGGTTTTGGAACATGGAGACCCTTTAGAGTAGGGTAGGCTTTGGCGAGCTTTGTCCAGCCGTAGGGTAGAAAGCATAGAGGAAGGCAAAAGGGAACTTGGAAGGCTGAAATAGGACAGGGATACAGAAGGAGAGGTGGGGAAGCTCCAAAGACAAGTTCACCTCTCTCCTGCTTTTGCTGACTCTGAGGATTCTTGTTGGTGGGTGATGAGGGTGAGGGTTTGAAATAAGAAGTAAAAAGGGCTGGGCATGGTGGCCCATGCCTGTTATCTCAGCCCTTTGGGAGGCTGAGGTGAGAGGATCGCTTGGACCCAGAAGTTTGAAACTGCAGCGAGCTGTGATGGTGCCACTGCACTCCAGGCTGGGCAAGAGAGTGAGACCCTGTCTTTAAACAACAACAAAAAAGTAGGAAGGAGAGCAGTCCTTGGATTTCAACAGTCGCCAGTTGTATTTGGGGCTTTCTTAAAAATGGAGATTTTGGAAATATATTACTAGAGAATTGGATCCAGCAAGTGTGGAGTGGACTGAGGAACTTGGATTGTATCAGTCTCACTAGGTGATCTTAATGCAGATGCCTTGAGGACCAAACTTGTGGAAAGTTTGGGTTAGAGTATCTTCCACTGGGCTGGTAGGCAAGTCTATACCCAACCCAGAATGTGATCCTGTGGCTTCTGTGAGGTTGGGGACTCCCTGGTTGAACAGCTGAAGGTGTTTGAATTGAAGAAGGGCTTCCTCTCTTTGAGAAATGTGCTTAATCAATCCAGGCAAAGCTTTTCAAGTTCCAGAAAGTTCTGCCTCAGGGATAGGCTGCCTTTTTCTTCCTTGCCTCTTAGCTAATTAATTTCTGGCTCCATCTCTCATCCTGGCCGGGTTTGAGGAGGAAGAGCTGGATTTCCAGCTGCACGGAGAGCCAAGAAAAGTAGGGTGACCACTGAAAATAGGACCTTCAGCACTGAGGCTGGGACAGTCCCAGACCCACTGGGATGGTGAGTCCCCTCCCTGTACAGAAGCCCATGTGGTGTAGACCCCTCACCAATTCTACTCAGCTACATAAAGGCTGTGCCATGATGTCCCAGGCCGGGGGAATCACTCACTGAGTAGATTTGGTGCACCCATAGGAGCTGTTTCTTTTTTCTTTAGCAGAAAAGCGCTTTTCAGTTTAGTTTCTTTGGCTTGTTTCCTGGAGTTGCAGGAGGCTGATTGTTGGCAGCGTCACCTGGCCTGAGAAGTAACTCCTCAGTGCTTCCTTTTTGTCAAATATTATGATGTCAAGCATCATTGCCAGATTTTTTTTTTTTTTATCTCCACTGAGGCTGTAACTAGCATGTAAGTTCACTGAGACTAGAGAAATTAGATCTTCAAACAGCCCTTTGGAGGATACGGATGGGGAAGTACCACACAAAGGAGTTAAGGGAGGACGGGCTGTCCTGTCAGCATTGGCCCTGTGGCCTCGCCCCACCCAGTGGCTTTACTATTAGCCTAGAGAGATTGTACTATATTCTTACTGTATTCAGTTTGGAAGAGGAAAATGTGTTTTCTTGAATGAGGAATGTCCCCAAGGTGGAGTTCAGGCTGTTTTCCTCTCAGCTTGAGCTCTGGGATGAAATAGGGCCTGTTACACACAAAGCTCTGTTTGAACTAAAATGACTCACAAGAGGTGTCCAGAGGAAATGAAAGAGTGTACTGGAACCTGGACAAACGTTGCCCTCGATGGAGGGTGGAGCGGGTGAATAATCGAGCTGAATAATCCCATGTCTGGTTTTTTAAAAAGGCATAAAATATTAAGTGTGTGTGATGTGTGTACATAGACCACAAACGGATTTTGAGAGGAATTCATAAGAGAAATTCTGAAAACTGTTTTAAGCACGGCAGCATTGCAGAGTAGCGTACCTTCCAGGGGAAGAGAACAATGTTCTTACAGATGAATGAATACTGATGTTTGTCAGAACTCAGTAATCACCCAAGACGTGATTTGATCCCAGAAGGTTTCCCCATCTAATTATATTGCGCATCTGCTAATATTAAAAGTAATTTGCAATTGCTAAACATACACTAATTGATGGAATAGTTGTGAGAGTAGGAAGGAAAATGTTCTAGAAGCTTTCTAACTGGATGGACATCACTTTTGAATGGAAACTTGTCCAAATCCGGAAAATTAGGGATCGACCGTGTAAAAGGTAGTCCTTGGAAGAAGACTTAAAGTTGCTTATAATGTGGGTTTACATGATTGAATAGTGTCTTCTAAAATTTAGGAAACATATGCAGAAAATTCTGGAAACAAATGAGACTAAGAGAATTAATCCTGCCCTCTGTCTTTAGCATTACAAAAGGTTTTTAACACTGTTGCTAAATGATCTGGAAACAAAAATACTGTAGAAAATAAGAATACATTGTCTTTATAAAGCAGCTTTGAGTCTAGGAGAGTAGGACATGACTTAATTCAACTGTAGTCTTATTTTCCAGTGGGATGGAAAATTTGGCACCTACTTAGATTTTTTTTTTTTTTCTTGAGATGGAGTCTCACTCTGTTGCCCAGGCTGGAGTGCAATGGCACAAGCTTGGCTCACTGCAACCTCTGCCTCTTGGGTTCAAGTGATTCTCCTGCCTCAGCCTCCTGAGTAGCTGGGACTACAGGCACGTGACACCATGCTTGGCTAATTTTTATATTTTTAGTAGAGACCAAATTTCACCATGTAGGCAGGCTGACCTCGAACTCCTGACATCCAGTGATCCGCCTACCTCAGCCTCCCAAAGTGCTGGGATTACAGGCGTAAGTAAGCCACTGTGCCCGGCCCTTTTAAGAATTTGCCTTTGGTAAATGTGTAGGTCTGTGGAAAACAAAACAGAGATTGACTTATACACAGGACAAAGATGACCATCAGCATCAAGTGGTTCCTAAGCTCCTTAAGGTTCTCGGATTTGAGGCAGCCACCTGGTAGAATCAGAGATGTCATCATGACAGCCACATCACCCAACCAAACCCTACACGGCTATTATTTTGAGACATAGGTTTCCTTGGAAACTATTCCCTTAGGATTGATATGATGGGATCTTTCCTGATAATAACAGCTAATATGTACTGGGTGTTCACAACGTGCCATATGCTGTTCTGAGTGCTTTGCCTTATATTCATTCACATAATCCTTCCAACTCTATGAAGATTCCCTATGTTTTCTCTTCTTAGTTTAAGATGGGGAGGATCTGATACACAGAAAAGAGAATAACTTGACTCAAAGGCACACAGCCTGTAGAATTAAGATGGAATCTGGCTTTGGGACTTGCTCTTCATCAACCCCTTATGGACTGCCCCACACTGATTGGGGAATCATAGAGAAATTGTAACAGGTCACATTTCACCCACAGTAAGGAGCCCCCTCCGCTAAGCCTGGCCTCCCAAGACACAGTACATTTTCCCTTTCGTGATTTAACTAGTAATTTCATTAGGTTAAAAACATCATCTCCTTTTCTTACCTTGAAGCCAGGACTTCTACTGAGGTAAATGGTGTGAGGGCTGCAGCTTCAAGAATCAAATTGAAAGTGTCACAAAAAGAAAGCTGGTAAAAGAGTAAAATTGGACTCCCACCTCACACACATACAAAATTAACTCAAAATGGGCTAAAGACTTAAATGTGAAAGCTAAAACACTCTAAGAGGAAAACAGAGTAAATCTTTGTGACTTTGGATTAGGCAGTGGTTTTATATATAATGCCAAAAAACACATGCAATAAAAGGAAATACAAATTAGACTTCATCAACATTTAAAAACACCTGTCCTTCAAGGACACTCTCAAGAAAGTGTAAAGACTACCCGTAGAATGTAAGAAAATATTTGCAGATCATTCTTCTGATAAAGAACTAGTACCCAGAATCTATAAAGAATGGTTACAACTCAGTTATTAAAAGACAAGTAACCCAATTAAAAATAGGCAACAGATTTGAATAGACATTTCTCCCAAGAAGATTCACGGTCAATAAACACATGAAAGAAGGCCTGGTATCATCACTCTTTAGGGAAATACAAATCAAAACCACAATGAGACACTTCATAACTCCTAGAATGGACATAGTGAAAAAGGTGGACAATAACAAATGTTGGTGAGAATGTGGACAAAATGGAACTCTCACACATCGCAGGTGGGAGTGTAAAATGGTGCAGCTACTTTAGAAAATAGCCTAGCATTTCCTCAAAATTTAAACAAAGAATTACCATATGATCCAGTAATTCTACTTCTTGGTATATATCCAAGGGAATTGAAAACATACATCCATACAAAACCTTGTACATGAATGTTCACAGAAGCATTATGCATAACAGCTAAAAAGTGGAAACAACCCAAATGTCCACTAATTGACGAGTAGATAAACAAAGTATGGCACATCTATACAATGGAACACCATTCACCCCTTAAAAGGAGTGAAGCACTGATCATGCTGTTAATATAACATGATGAATCCTGAAAACATTAAGCTAGATAAATCAGACACTAAAGGCCACATATGATATGATTCCATTTATATGAAATGTGCAGGACAGGCAAATCCATAGAAACAGAAAGTAGGTTAGCAGTTACCAGAGGTTCTTGGAGAATAGGGATAATGGGGAGTGATTGCTAATGAGTACTGAGTTTCTTTTTGGGGTGATGAAAATGCTCTAGATTTATATAATGGTTATTATTGCATAACTTTGAGAATATACTAAAACTGAATTATACATTTTAAAAAGATAAATTTTATGGTATTATGATTACATGTCAATGTAAATATATGCATACATATACAAAAATAAAAAAGAAAGCTGTATCTGCCTTTTTGCAGAAAGTAGGAAGCAAAGTTAGCATTGACCATTCAAAAAATACAACAGCAGGAAACTTTTACCAATTTCACTTTGGGCACCCAAGGGCACTGGGACCCAGCTCCTTGCCAAATGAACCTTTCATTTTCTTATTTTTTTCTTCTCCTTATTCCTTTTCCCAAACTTTGTGGTTGGAGGAAATAACTAGTTCAGCGGGGAGAAAAAAGATGCTGCTTCTGTTTCAATCTTGAAGCAGTGTTCTATGTCATGACCTGTCATACACACCAGAGGTTCTACATGGATTTGAAAACAATAACATATGGAAATGTTGTCTCTTTCCACATTGCTTTTATTGGTTTTCTGCAGTCCTGTGCTTTTCTCCAGCTGGGTTGCTTTTTGCTTTGATTTTGTTACTTCTGTTTGTTTATTTATTTATTTGTACAGAGAAAATTATCACAGTGAGCAGAGTACAGGCCCACTGAGACTCAGCTGTGGAGGATACAATATGGTCAATTTCGGTCTGGTTTTGGCATTAGGGCAATGAGGGTGTCGTAAGAATGAGTTAGGAAGTATTCCCTCTGCTCTTATTCTCTGAAAGAGATTGTAGAGAATTGGTATAATTTCTTCCTTAAATGTCTGGTAGACTTCACCAGTGAACTAATCTAGGCCTTGTGCTTTCTGTTTTCAAAGATTGTTAATGATTGATCCAATTTCTTGAACAGATATGGGCTTCTTCAGATTGTCTATTTCCTCTTGTGTGAGTTTTGGCAGATTGTGTCTTGCAAAGAAGCAGTCTATTTCATCTTGGTTAATAAATGTGTGAGCATAGGGTTGTTTGTAGTATTCTTTTATTATCCTTTTAATATCTATGGCATCTGTAATGATGGCCCCTCTTTCATTTATGATATTAGTAATCTGTGTCTGCTCTCTTTTTTTCTTAACCTGGCTAGAGGCTTATTGATTTTATTATCTTTTCAAAGGACCAGTTTTTGGTTTCATTGACATTTTTTTCTGTATGGAGTCCCTGCTTTTCAATTTTATTGTTTTCTGCTCTAATTTTTATTATTTCTTTTTTTCTGCTTACATTGTATTTAATTGGCTCTTCTTTTTCCAGTTTCTTAAAGTGGAAAGTTAGATTATTAATTTTCAATCTTTTTTCTTTTATAATAAGTGCATTCAATGTTATAAATTTCCTTCAGATCACTGATTTCGTGGCATCCCACAATTTTTGACAAGTTGTATTTTCATTTTCATTCAGTTCAAAATATTTTATAATTTATCTTGAGATTTATTCTTTGAACCATGTGTTATTTAGAAGTGTGTTATTTAATTCTCCATATATTTCAGGATTTTCCTTTTTGTTATTGACTTCTAGTTTAATTTCATTGTGATCTGAGAGAAGACATTGTATGATTTCTATTATTTTAAATTTGCTAAGGTGTATTTAATGTGGTCTGTCTTGGTGAATGTCTCATGTGGGTTTGAAAAGAGTGTGTATTCTGCTGTTGTTGGGTAAAGTAGTCTATACATGTCAATGATATGCTGTTGATTGATGCTGGTGTTGAATTCAACTATGTCCTTGCTGATTTTCTGCCTGCTGGATCTGTCTGGTACTGATAGAGGGGTGTTGAAATTTCCAACTGTAAGAGTAAACTCATCTGCTTCTGCTTGCAGTTTTATCAGTTTTTGCTTTGTGTAATTTGATGCTCTGTCATTAGGTGCATACATGTTAAAGACTGTTATATCATCTTGGAGAATTGACCCCTTTATTATTATGTAATGGCTTTCTTTGTCCCAGATGACTTTCCCTGTTTTGAAGTTCTACCCTGTTTTGAAATTAACATAGCTACTCCTGCTTTCTTTTGGTTAGTGTTATCATGATATCTTTTTCTCCGTTCATTTACTTTAAATGTATATATGACTTTGTGTTTAAAATGGGTTTCTTGTAGACAAAATATGGTTAGGTCATATTTTTTTGATCCATTCTGAAAATTTCTGTCTTTCAGTTGGTGCATTTAGATCACTGATGTTCAAAGTGATTATTGATATAATTGGGTTAATATCTGCCGTATTTATTACTATTTTAAATTTTTTGCCCTTGTTCTTTCGTTTCTCTGTCTTATACTCTTTCTAATTTTTACGGTTTTAATTGTGCATTTTATATGATTCTATTTTCTCTCCTTTCTTAGCATATCCATTATACTGCTTTTTAAAGTATTTTTTTTTTAGTGGTTGCCCTGAGGTTTGCAATATACAGGTAATCCAAATCCTCTTTCAAATAGCACTATGCTACTTCATGGGTATATGAGTACCTTATAATAAAATAATTCTAATTCTTCTAATTCCTCCCTCTCATTCCTTTTTGTCATCCATTTCACTTATACAAAAGCATATATGAGTGTGCCTGTACATAGATATTTATATACACATATATACATATGTAAAATATCTCTATATAAGCATATATAATTGAATACATTGTTTCTATTATTATTTTGAACAAAATTCTGTAAGGTCAATTAAGAATAAGAAGCCAGGCATAGTGGCACATGCCTGTATTCCTAGCCACTCAAAAGGCTAAGGTGGGAGGATGGCTTGAGCCCAGGAGTTTGAGGTCAGAGCCTGGGCAATATTTTATTTTTTATTAAAAAATAAAATAAAATAAAATAAAAAAGTTAAAAAATTTTTTAATTTTACCTCTACTTACGCCTTTTAAAAAAATGTACTTTCTTTCTTATGTAGATCCAAGTTCCTGACCTTCATCATTTTCTTTCTTTAAAGAGCTTCTTTTAACATTTCTTGCAAGGCAGGTGTATTGGCAACAAATTCCTTTAATTTTTGTTTGTCTGAGAAAGTTGCTATTTCTCCCTCACTTCTGAAGGATAATTTAGCAGGGTACAGAATTCTAGAGTGGTGGCTTCCAAACTGCTTACATGTGGAACCACACACTGAAAGTTGTGCACCTGTCATTGTTTCTGAAACTTTGTTGTTTCTAGTTTATATGCATGTGGCTTATATGATATTCGGCTCTTACTTAGCCCACTGACAGCCTTAAACCCTGTATGTCCTTCTTTCATGCTGTTCATTGAAGATGGAGATTCAAGTGGGAGTTTGAGGACCATCTTTTCTGGTTTTTTTCAATGTTATATTTTTATGCTTTGAGTACATTTTCACTTTTGTCACACTTTTAAAAAATGTGTTTTAACAATTACGGGATAAGTTGAGAGTTGAGATTTGGAAAAGGTGTTGATGATGTTCTCTTGTTGGTCTTCCTTTTTTTTGCTTTTGTTCTCTCGCCCTTTCCATTCTGAACTTTCTTTTCTAGACACCCATTTCTTTTATATCTTTAATAATTAAGGATCCTTACTGTGGATTTTTCAGCTCTGTATGTTTACAGATTCTTAGTTGTCCTGTGTGTTATCTCTTTAGATTAAATTTAATCTGATACAGTAATCAAGGTTATGTGGCTCAGTGTGTCATTCCTTCCATATCACATGTGTAAAGTGTACATGAGTATTTGAAATGCTCTTGGGGGTGTGTGTGTGACATTTTTGGTCTGGAGAGCCTCTTCTCCTTTTTTACATTTAGGTTAACTCACCCAGTGCAGAAAACCTCACTGTAATTACTGTAATCTATAAGATTATTATGTAATCCTGTTGATTTGTTTTTGTTGTTTCAAGAGGAAGAAAATGTCTATGGTCTTCAAACATACATGTCTTACTAATGGAGGGAAGAGAGAAAACAAGTGATGGTTGGTGTTGCTCTTTTTTAAGAATTAAAAAAATTTACTGTTTGTGTTTCCTTTGAATTTGGTTATAATGAAATGAATGTGTGCTGGGTACCATAAGAGCAGATTCTAGTCCCAACCGAGTCATTAACTTCCTTTTTACAAAAATATAGATGCCAAAATATTTTAGTATGCTTTCCTAACAAATAAGTACCTAGTTGTATGTATAAATACCTACAACATCAATATTGCAAAACATTAATAATAATTACTTAATTCCTTTTAACACAGTTCATGTTCACATTTTATTGGTTATCTCTTTCAATTGCAAATTGCAAAGTCTTTTGTTTTGTTTTGTTTTAGTAGTTGCTCAAGTTAAGAGCCAAATTAAGTACATTTATTCAATTGGCAGCTTTGTCTCTTAAATATTTTTAAATTTATAATAGTCCCCTTCCACTCCTTTCCCCCTTTTAATTCCCTTTATTTGTTGCAGAAATCAGGTTTTTGCCTTATAGCATGTCCCACATTCTGGATTGGGCTGATTGCTTCCTTCCAGTATCATTTAATTTGTGCCTCTATCCCCATGTTTCATATAAACTCATAGATCAACAGGCCTGATAATATTCTGGCTCAAATTTTCTTTTTTTTTTTTCTAGGCAAGATTGCTGTATAGTTGGTGCTATGTACTTTCCAGTATATCTCATTGGGAGAGACATAGTATCTGTCTGTCCCAACTTCAGTGAGTTAAGATTGGTCAGAAGATTTAGCTGTATACCTGGTCCACCATTTATAAGGTTCCTCATCAGCCATACATTACCTTAAGTAATGGTTTTTGCAATGGACTTCTCTAGAAGTCACAAACTGGAAATTTTTTAATTCCATCATTCTTTCTGCATTTAGTAGTTGGAATTCTTTAGTAGGGATCAATTTTTCATCATTATGTATTTGATATCTTGAAATATAGTTTGAAAAGAAAAAGCAAGATCCATTTGTCATTATTTTCTGTTATTGATCCATTTTCTGAATAATGAATTGGGGTCCTGGCAGCCTCCCTCGGTGGGGATCAGGAAATTGTTCTCTACTTTTTTGGGAAGAGGGAAAGGAGTGGGAGGAACATCTTATCAACTCATTATAAAACCATGGATGCGTTTGAGTGTATTGAATCAGTTGCAGTAATTCCTTTTGATATTCATATTGTCCCATCTTTGGCCAGTGGAGTTTTTTTTTTTTTTTTTTTTTTTGATACAGGGTCTCCCTCTGTCACCCAGGCTGGAGTGTAGTGGCTCGATCTCTGCTCACTAGAACTTCCCCGCCCTGGGTTCAAGCGATTCCCCTGCCTTAGCCTCCTGAGTAGCTGGGATTACAGGTGTGCACCACCATACCTGGCTAATTTTCTTTTGTTTTTAGTGGAGACAGGGTTTCAGCATGTTGGTCAGGGTGGTCTCAAAGTCCTGACCCTCATGATCCACCCGCCTCGGCCTCCCAAAGTGCTGGGATTACAGGCATGAGCCACCGCACCTGGCCCAGTGGAGGCTTCTTCTAATTGGCTTGTGTGTCTCTTTGACACTCTTAATCTGAGCCATTAACTTTTGGGCAGCAGTTTCCTCCTCTTTAAATAATTGGGTTAGTTGGTCTTTATGATTCCTTTTAGTTGTAGCTTCCCTTCCAGAAAAAAAGATGGTGTATGCTAATATTCTACGACTAAATCTCTTATGCTAAAAATCTACTATTTTTGTTTTTTTCCCTCTTTAGAGTCCACACACTGGGTGAACTAATGCATTTGAAAATATGGAATGCTTTTGTTTCTCTCTCTCTCTGATCTTTGAGCTCCTAGTTATGTGACACTGGCTTGAGAGGGGTCCACACTCTAATCTCAGTATCTAGGTAAGAAACCAAACAAAGCAAACAATATAAACATTTCTATACTTAAGGCTGTAATGAGGCTTACAAAAGAAGTCCCTGATTTTGAAGATGGATTGGTTCTGAAACATAACCAGCAATGTAGTTGTTATTATTCCAAATGTGGTATTTTTTTTCCTTTCTATGGGGGGTACCAGGCTTGAAGAACGGACAGCTGCACTTTATCCCATAGGCCTGGTAAGGCAGAACGGAGAGCCGAGAAGGGCCTGAGGCCTCCCAGGAAGCTGGTTGGGGAGACCAGAAGGCTGCAAAGCTGGCCAACGCTTGCCAGGTGGCTGCGGAGAGTCAGCTTCAGTCTCTACAAGCCGCCCATCCAGGCAGCTCCTGAACCAGATCCAGGCAACTGGGCCAAGTCCCCAAGGCTGTCTCTGGGACCAGAAGGTATAACCAAAGGGAAGCATGGATTTAAATTCCAGGGCATAAAAGAAAAGTTCAACGTATCTAAGAAGGTGCTGAAAATGACTTTTTTGTAAATGTCTGAAGGACACTGTCTTATACCATACCATATACAATAAAATTTTAAATGAGCCTGAGTTCTGTTTCCATCCGTGCCCTGTGGAGCACATGTGACTTCAAAGGCAGCTCTGTAGGGTGCAGGGAGGAAGGAGTGTGCTTTTATTTCTCATTTTGGCACAAATCCATCAAACTATTTTTGATGGCTGGGAAACAAAACTTACATTCCCTCTAAATTCATTGCGTTTGGCAGATCCACCTTTGTTTTTCTACAGTGATGGCTTCCACTTCTTCAACCTTTGCATTCCTCTTACTTTGAGGCTTTATTTAGCAGGAAAAAAGGCAAGAATGATGCTAGATTTCGAGGGAAGCCTTAAATAGCCCAGTTCATTAAGTAGTCCCCTCCGCAACTTCCCATTTCTTCTCCCCAACCCCCAATTTAAAACAGTTGTTTGGAAGACTTTTAAACCTGAAACATCCCTTTCATAGGAGTCTTATGATGTAAAAAGGAGCTCGTGGTTTCATTTCAATGTGATGGGACCCCTTGGTGATGAGCAAATGTAGCTTCAACCTAATGAATGTGCACAGTGGCTGTGTGTGTGTGTGTGTGTGTGTATATGCATGTGTGCATGTGTGTGCGTGTGTGTGCCTGTGAGCTTCTAGAGACTCTGGAATTCCATTCATCATAAGAATTAGAGATGTTAGCATTGCTTTCAGCAATTCTGTCTCTTCTTTGCCGCCATAGGACTGTTCCTTATGGCTTGCTTTTGAGATGTTTCCTTCATGATCTGTGTTTGTGCTGCCTTGCCCCGTCACCTCTCAACACTGCACTTCAGTGGAGACTGATGCAGGCTGTGCTGTTTCTATTTCTTTTTCTTTTTTAGAGATGTAGTCTTGCTCTGCTTCACAGTCTGGAGTACAGTCCTGTGATCGTAACTCACTGCAGCCTCAAACTTCTGGGCTCAAACATCCTCCTGCCTCAGTCTCCTGAGTAGCTGGGACTACAGGTGCATGGCACCATGCCTGGCCAATTTTTAAAACGTGTATTTTTGGTAACAATGGGGTCTTGCTATGTTGCCGAGATTGGTCTCAAACTCCTAGCCTTCAAGCAATCCTCCCACCTCAGCCTCCCAAAGTGCTGCGATTCCAGCTATGACCCACTATGCTCGGCCTTGTTTTTATTTCTTTTGGACTATTTATTTCTGATCATTTTTATTGCTCTTTTCCAAACTCTACATTCCCCATCCTCTTTGAAACTTTGAATCCTGATGTGGTTGGGTGGTGGGTTCTGCTTAACTTGTTAAAAGTGACCCTAATGAGCCTGAAGTGGTTGGTTTCATTGCATTAGGGTCTTTAGACAGCTCAGGGAGAAACTGCCACTCTGTAAGCATTTATCACCTCTACTAGGGAAAAAAGGCCCAGGCCTGATTATAATGGTTCAGCAAGTGGAGGAGAAGATATTGTTAGCTTCAATGTCTTTGGTATTGGATTTCTTTTCGTTCCTGCATTAATAACTCATAATTTATTGATCTTTTCCCTAATCTTTGTTAGTGATGTTGCCTTAAATTATAAAGGACAGTAATACAATATTAGTAACAGTTCTATCAATATGCTAAAAGCTTTACCTCCTCCTACTCCTTCATTTTTAATCAAAATAGGACCTTCCCTGAAGGATTGGGTTATGAGTACAATGAATTTATGTTGGTCTAGTAGGCAATATTATGATTTAAAAGCATTTCTCAATGGCCAAGTAGATAAGGAATTATATGAAATTCTACAAATACCAAGAGGTATTTCAGTGGTTTACAAATATTGTCTACCTTCTGTATGCATAAAATGTCATAGATTGGTGCCAGTGAACACACACACGTATCTCAGGTGAGGATTGGCCTCAGAGAAATTACTGGTACATTCTAGAAGACAAAAATTAAAAAAAAAAAAGAACTTACATGAAAAATTTACTAAATAACATAAGCAAACTTCAATGTTAGATTGGTTGGAGATATACATATACATATACAACCAATTGGAGATTATGTATATTTATATAATATATAAAATTATATATGTTGAAGATTTTATGAATATATTAGTTTGAGATGATATATATATATATATTCTGATGATATATGATCATCAGAATTCAGAGAAGGGGAACTATAGACTGGATGAAGTTGAAGATGCCAATATGAAGGGGAAGGAAGAATTTGGATAATTTGGATACAGGGGAGCCAGGTGGGGAGAAGAAGAGTTCCAGGCATGGGAAATAACATCAGTAAATTCAAAAAGAAGGACTAAGTGGTGGGGATTTATGGAAGGTCAGGACGACTTGAGCTCAGGGCTCTCGTGACATAAAAGACTTAGTGAGCTTTTTACTGATATCTTCAGTGTATGAATAAAGTTGATGATAAAGAACTTTAAGAATATGCAGTTCTCTGTACAGATATGAAGTAGCGATTATCCTCAAATTATATTGTTGCTAGCTTAAGTAGTTTAGTCTATTTGCCAAAATTGAAAGAAAATTATGAAATCACAAGTACTTATATTTGCAAATACACTGGAGTGTCCCAAAATGACAAAAAGCACAGATTTATCTTTGACTTTGTACAGAGTAAGATCTAGAACAGTGAGAATCTTGGCACTTGCTGGATTTTTAAGAGTTGCATGGATTTATTATATAGACATCCTTTGGTATCAACCTCAAAGGGATAGTATATGTGACTTTCCAGGCCACCTGTAGAAGGCAGTCTTCATTGTCCAGGGAAAGTGTTAAGCATGGATGAAATCCCACTGATATGAGATATTTCAAAAAAATTTCTGGCTTGTTATTAGAACCAGCCAAAATGATTTTACTGAGTATCTTCTATGACCCCAGCAGCCTACAAGGAAATATGTGGGACCCCTGATTCTTGATCCTACAGAACTTAGGAAGATGAGAGTATTCACTGGAGGAAAACTAGGAAATAAAGGCATATACAAGGAGGGAATACTTGAAGGGGGTATAAGTGGATGTCTTTGCTGCTGTTCTTTCTCTCATTTCCCTTTTCCTTAGGAAATTGATCTGTCATATTTTCAACTGCTATCTCTACTGGTGACTCAAATAGATATCTCTTCTGGATCCGCTACCCAGACACTGAGGATTTTTGCACCATCCTAAACTTCAGATCTCCAAACCCAAACTCTGTCTCTCCCAACCAGATTAAGTCTCATTTTCTGCCTTTTATAGTACCCTTCTTCTAATCACCCAGGCTCAAAATCATTGACTATTTCTGCATATCTGTACATCTTTATATTTATCACTCACCATGGCCACTTATTCTGGATTGTGAGTAGATCAAAAGAATAGAGAGATTTTTAATCAAGTGAGCCTAAATATGCAAAGCAAGTATGGAGGAGAGAAGGAAATGAAGTGAGACTCTCAGGTCACTTCCATGGAAGACACAGATGGTAGAGTTTTGACTTAGTGGCACCGAGATAGATCTGTTTCAGGGCAAGATAGAACAGTGGGAGAGATCCCGGCTGGGCGTGGTGGCTCATGCCTGTAATTCCAGTACTTTGGGAGGCTGAGGTGGGCGAATCACCTGAAGTCAGGAGTTTGAGACCAGCCTGGCCAACATGGTGAAACCCTGTCTCTATTAAAAATACAAAAACTAGCCAGGCATGGTGGTAGGTGCCTGTAATCCCAGCTACTTGGCAGGCTGAGGCAGGATAATTGCTTGAACCTGGGAGGTGGAGGTTTCAGTGAGCCGAGATCGTGCCACTGCATTCCAGTCTGGGTGATAGAAAGAGACTGTGTCTCAAAACAACAACAACAACAACAACAACAACAACAACAACAACCAGGAGAAATCCCCACATTCCTTGGCCTGAAAATGTATTTGTATGTACATTACCTGTTAACTTCCTTAATATTGGTATATCAAATTTTGATAGCGTTTTGCTTTCAAAGTTTTAGAAAAGCTTAGTATTGAAAGGAATTTGCATCTTCAAATTTGCATTTTCTATCACTTCATTTTGGTATCCTGGTGGGTTTACATGCAAAACACATCTATCTCCAGGCTGTCTAATGTGCTACTGTCAATTAGGGGAGTTAACTGTCATGTGTTGTGGGCTGTCTTTCCCCGGTGACATTTAAACGGAGATGGCATCGCTATTTCAGATACTGAAGTTGTGAGCCTAGCATTGGGTAGGAGATTGGATTTGCTCTCTACGACTCATTCTAAGATTAGGATTTTCTAACTTGATAGTGATTCATAAGACAATTATTTCATAATGCATTTCTACTATTATATAGTGTGCACGTGATAGGCATACATTGATTTGGACTTTTCCTATGACAACTTGGAAGGCAGAAAGTTAAGCACTTAAAAATGATGTCCAAGGGTGGCAGGGTATTCATGAATTATACTGTGATTGTTGAATTAAGCTAAAATAAATATTATCTTGATTTTATTTACCAACATTTTTGGTAGGATGGAACTCAAGAGGTAGGGACTGAACCTTGGAAGAACGGGGATTGGCATGACCGTGACATTAAAGTGATCAATCCCCTGACAATTAGCCTAAGTTTATACAGTTATACAGTGTTAAGGGCTCAGGTTGTCTCTCCATAAGCAAGATAGAAAGGGATGGAAAGAAATACCATTTCCTTCTTTGAACTGAAGCCATTTGAGATAAGGAATGAAAGAGTATAATTTTAAGGCATTTGGTAGATACTGTTAAAAAAAGTTTCAGGGCCAAACATACTTTAGAATTGATCTCCTGGGGTTTTCAGTCAGGACCAATGTTCCCAGTGTGATGTTTTCAGATGCCTCCTCTCTACTCCAGGGAGGAAGTCAGAAGTTATTGTATAAAGCCTGAAAATGTAGTTCCTTTAGATCCTGTGCCAGTATCCCATCATCATCTTGGGACAAAGAATATGGTAAACATCCACAGCTTACACAATAGAATGGAATAATTCCTTTGAACCAGATTAACCATAGGGAAAATGTCTTCATATCTTCATAGCAGCCGACGCAGAGTTGTGTGTATTTAGCACTGACTTCAGACCTCACTTGGGCGTGTGTTCTTCCTCAGCAGGGCTTAGTTCTCCACAGGGAACTTCTTCACTCTAACACTCTTGCATAGGTGGTCCTGGGTTTTTTTTTTTTTTTTTTTTTTTTGCTGTCATGAAATACTTTTGAAGAGTGCCAATCCCCAATAAATATAGAAGGATGATGGGAGAGAGAACCGGTATTTTATGACTGCCCTAGTAATTAATAAGTGACCTAGGTAAGAATGGCCAGCAGGTGCTAAAATCAGTGAGTGAAAGATTGTTGAAGAATAGAGTATTCTCCAAGTATCAACCCTTGGACTACTTAGTTACAAAGATGAAATGCACCTTTATGATGGGGAATACTTTAAACCAGTGATCAAATTTATATATATATATATATATATATATATATATGTATTTTTTTTTTTTTTTTGAGACACAGTCTCACTCTGTTGCCCAGGCTTGAGTGCAGTTGTGCTATCACAGCTCACTGTAGCCTTGACCTCCTAGGCTTAGGTAATCCTTCTATCTCAGCCTCCAGAGTAGCTGGGGATATAGGCACATGCCATCATGCAGGGCTAATTTTTAAATTTTTGGTAGAGACAGGGTCTCCCTATATTGCCCAGGCCAGGCTGGTTTCGAATTCTGGTCTCAAGGGATCCTCCTGCATCAGCCTCCCAAACTGCTGGGATTATAGGTGTAAGCCACTGTGCCTGGCTAAATTTAAACAATTTAACATCATTACTAGAGTAACAAATTGACATCATTTACCCATTGACTTATTCTCTGCCCATCACTTAGCATTCCTCTGCACTATGTTCCACCTGAATCGAATCATGAGGAAACAATTAGATAAATCCGCAAATGAGGTGTTATCCTCTTAGGAAATATCAGTCATTATAGACCAGAAAGGCTGGGGAGCTGTTTAAAGGAGATTGAAGAGATATGACATCTAAATGTAGGATGTGATCCTGGATCCCATCCTGGATCAGGGAAATAGCTATCAAGGACATTTCTTGGTCCATTTGGGGAAATTTGAAAATGGACTATATAATAGATAATGATATTGTATCAATGGTCAATTTCCTGAGTGTGATAATTATGCATATATAAGAGAATGTTTTTGTTTTTGGGAGATTCATGTTGAAGCATTTATGACTTAATTGTCATAATGCTTGCTACTAACTTTCAAGCAGTTCACATTTATACATGTAAATTATCTAAAACATGTATGGTAATATTCATTTATAATAAAAATAAATGTTATATATGTTATATTCAGTATATTACTCAATATAACTATATATGTTATATTCAGTATATTAATATAACTATATATGTTATATTCAGTATATTAATATAACTATATATGTTATATTAAGTATATTACAAATATTTGCTTTATACCTGCACATATACACGTTTGTGTATGTATATAAAGCAAATATGCCAAAATGTTGGTGATTGGTGAATCTAGATGAAGGGTATCTTCATCACACTAGTTTTGAAGCTGTTCTGCAGGTTTGAAATTTTTCAAAATAAAAAGTTAGGAAGAAAGAACTTTGTGTTAGAGATGAGGTAGTGGAGAAAAATGTTGAGCTGTTAAATTCAGGTTCATGAGAAAATGACATGTTATTATTGTCGAATAAAGCAAAGCTAGAAGACATAGTATCCACAAAAATAAACTGTAAAGTGAGATTGATTTAGATCATCCAGAATTAACTATTTTTGGAGTAGAGAAAGGATTGCTGTTGGGCATCTTAGTCTCTCTCTTCTTTTGTTTCCATGATATTAGCTTTCTCATGTTGCAAGTCCTTAGCTCACAAGATTGTTGTAAGAATGATTGAGAAGATGTGTATGAATGTGCCCTGTAAGCGGTGAAAGTAATGTCTCTAAGCTTCTTTGTGTTTAGGATGTCACTTGTGCTGAACTGTAACACCCAATGTTGTATTTTGGGTTGTAACTTGTGCTGAAGTACAACATCCAGTGTTTGTATTTTCTATAAATGACTATGCATTCATAGGAAAGAGAAACTTAATCAGTGGCTTTATTAAGACTCATTTCGCACATATGTAATTTAGAAAAAGAAAACTGACTCTGTTTCACTGAGATTAATATAGTTCTGCCCATGGCATATCTAAAACAGTGTCTAAATACATCTAACAAATAATAGTTTTTTTTTTCAGTAAAGAAACAAAATTTCACTTATTTTTAATGCTCATTTAGCCAGTTGCATTTATGGAAAATCTTTCCCCAGAGGTTGGAAAACTAGCAAACAGCAGCTTTAATATAAGTCAATAGAACATTAAGTAGAGAAAAGCTCGGAGTTACATACTGTGCTATTATCTTGTGATAATTTCAATTTAGGTTTCTTTTTAAGTATGCGTTCAGGATTTTACTGTTAGACTAAATGTAAAATGGAGTCAATGTCTGTGGAGTACTGACATGAACCTGGAGAGTGAACATTTTGCCCCTTCTCAGGGAAGCAGGCCAGAATATCTGTAAAATGGTGACACTTTGATCCTGACTGGAAGAAAACCATGTTGAAAGAACGATAAGGAAGGGATTATGGAACAACAAACATAAGTTGTCAGCTGGAGGAGATGTTCCTGTCAGGCATTGAACTTGATGAATTTCTTCAGCTGGTATAGACAGTTCAGGTGTAGGCTGTAGTTTTCATTGGTAGTGGCTGTGGGGTGCTGCACCAGCCAGACTGACACTAGGTTGCCATCCTTCTCAGTGGGCACATGAGGAAATCATAATGATGGCTATGTTAGCAACCACTGGGTAATTATTCTGTGCTAGGAGTGATGTTCAATGTTTTCTGTGTATTTTCTCAGTTAAACCTCACTATATCCCCGAGGTAGGTAAGAAATATTTCTAATATTCTTTTTTTATAGATCAGGTGGACTCAGGTTAGATAACTTATGTAAGGTCATAGAGATAATAGCGGCCGAGTTGCTACTTGAACCCAGTTTGTCTGACTCTAGAGCCTGTTTTATAACCACCACGCTATACTCAACTGATTCTCTAAAGTTGATATTTGAGAGAACAGCCGAAAAAGATGTGGAAGCTTTTTAGCTATAGAGAGATGCGTTCAGCAATGATTGAGTAAAAAGGATTGAAATTACTCTCTCAACGTAACATACTAAGAATAACTAGGCAATATATAGGACAGAACAGTTGTCAGACATTAGGCAAGCAGCACAGACAGTGACCTTTCAGAGAAGGCAAACAAACGAGATTGTTGCAGCTTGCTGCCTGGAGAGAGTTCTAGGCTGAGGCACAGGAATAACGTATTATATTCCTAGACATATAACAGAGCCCAGGAATTACCCTAAGTTGAGGAGACAGAGTTCAGAGGTTGGAGAGGCTAAGGCTGCTAGAATTCACAGGGCCAGATCTTGGTTAGAAGAGATCTAACCAAGGTTAGGAGAACAGAGAGGTGACTCTGGAGATCTGCTGAGTTTTCAGTGAGGAAACTCCTGAGGCTAGAGAAAGATGCAGGAGAGAATCAAGAATTGGGTGCAGTCATCCAGGAGCTCAATAGTTTGTTTTTTTTTTTCCCCTATCACCCAGAGTAGAAAGGCCCTGGTTCTCAGGGAACCATTGTCTCCTGGTGGGTCTCATGGTGGAGCCAAATTTGCCCTTGACCAAAAGTTCTTCTGGTCTTACTTGGCAGAGCTTAAGAGCAAGCCATGGAAGGAACAGGTTGTATCCAAGTAACTTTATTGCACCCAGCTCAAGCTCAGCAATATTTAAAAGAATAAAAAGCTCCAGCACCAACAAAGTAACATGTATATTTCTGAAATCCAATAAAAATTACCGGTCATTCAGGTTGGGTGCTGTGGCTCACACTTGTAATCCTAGCATTTTGGGAGGCTGAGGCAGGAAGATTGCTTGAGCCCAGGAATTCATGACCAGTCTGGACAATACAGTGAGACCCCCATCTCTGGAAAACAATTTAAAAAGTTGCTGGGATTGGTGCGGCACACCTGTAGTCCCAGCTGCTCAAGAGGTTAAGGTGGGAGGATTGCTTAAATCCAGGAGTTTGAGGTTGCATTGAGCTATGATTGTGCCACTTCACTCCAGCCTGAGTGACAGCAAGACCTTGTCTCCAAAAAAGTAAAAAGAAAAAGAAATTACCAGGCATTCAAAGAAGCAGGAAAATGTGACCCATAATGAGGAGAAAAACAGTATATAGAAAAAGGCCTAGAAATGACACAGATGATAGAATTACTAGACAAGGACTGCTATGGACTGAATTGTGACCCTCCTCATCTTTACCAAATCCGTATGTTGAAGTCCTAACTCTTAATGTGATGATAATTGGAGATGGACACTTTGGTAATTTGGTAATTAGTGTCAGGTGATGTTATGAGAGTAGGGCCTTTATGATAAGATTAATAACTTTATAAGAAGAAGAAGAGAGAGATACAGATTACCTTTTTTGCGTGTACCGTGTGAGAACACAGTGAGAAGGAGCAATGTGCAAACCAAAAAGAGGGCTCTCACCAGGAAATGAATTGGTTGGCAGCTTGAGTTTGGACTTCCAACCTACAGAATGGTAAGAAATAAATATCTGTTGTTTAAGCCACCCAGTCTATGGTATTTTGTTATAGCAGCCTGAGCTAATACAAGGACATTAAAAGAACTATTGTAAATATACTGCATATGTTCAAGTATGTAGAGGAAAAAAAAAGAGTATGATAAAGAGAGTCATGGAAGATATAAAATAGACATGCATTAAATTTCTAGAGTTGAAAAAATATGATACAGAAGATACATGAGAGGGATAAACAGCAACCATTAGTAAACTTGAAGATATAGCAATTATCTAAAATGAAACATGAAAAAAGAAGACTAAAAAGAATTAACGGAGCATCAGTGAGTAGTGGGACCGTAGAAAATAGCCCATCATGTTTATAATTATAGTCACAAAAGGAGTGGAAGGAAAGAAACATACCTTAAAAAATAATGGCTAAAAAATTAAGAGCGGATTGGGAAGGAACAGAAAAAAATCTAAAGAAATAGTGGCTGAAAAATATCCAAATTTGCTGAAAATCATCATCCCACAGACCCAAAATTTCAATAAGCTCCAGTTAGAAGAAAGTGAAAAAAACTACACCAAGGCACATAATAATCAAAAGCAGTCAGAGACAAAGGACATTATGCACAGAACAAAGGTGATATTGAGCGAACTCCTTGTTGGAAACAATGCAAGTCGGAAGACAATGGAGCAGCACCTTTAAGGCACTGAAAGAAAAAAAACTCTCACCTAGACTTCCATACAAAGTGAAAAAAAAATTAAAGAATAGATGAAATAAAGACCTTCCCAGACACACAAAAGCTGAAAGAATTTGTCACCAGCTGACCATCAGTACAGGAAATGTTAACAGAAGGCTTTTAGACAGAAAGAAAATGATACCAGATGGAAACTGAATCTGCACAAAGAAATAAAAAGCACTAGAAAAGGTAAATATGAACATAAATACAAAAGACTTCTTGTTTTTAAAAATATCTTTAAAAAACAATTAACTGTTTAAAGCAAATATTATAACAAGGTATTATGGTAGTAAAATCTGTGACAATAGTAGCACAAAGGCCAGGAAGGGGCAAAAGGGAAAAAGTGTCATGAAGTTATTATAATATATATAAAGTGGTATAATAAAACTTGAAGGTAGACTGTATTAATGTAAAGACGTTTATTACAAAACTTAATGAAATGCCTAAAGAAACAATATAAAGAGATATAGCTAATAAGCCAATAAAGAAGATAAAAAGGAATCATAAAAAACACTTAATTAAAAAGAAGTTAAAAATGAGCAAAAAGGAACAAAGAACAGCTTGGAAAAATAGAAAACAAATAGCATGACGATATATTTAAACTCAATCATTTTAATAGCCACATTAAATGTAAATGGTCTAAACTCTGTCAATTAAAAGACAGGCTCTGTCAGACTGGATTAAAAAAAAAAAGCAGGACCCAACTTTCCACTGGCTAAAAGAAATCTATTAAATATGAAGACACAGATAGGGTAAAAGTTAAAGGACGGAAAAAGATACAGCATGCCAGCGTTAATCAAAGAAAGGTGGAGTAGCTGTATGCATATGGGACAACGTATATTTCTGAGCAAGGAATATTACTAGGAATAAAGAGGGTAATTTCAAAATGATAAAGGAATCATTTTCTCAAGAAAACATAGCAATCCTAAATGTGGTTGAAGTTTCTAATCCTAAACTGAAAGAAGAAATAGCCAGACCACCATTTAGGTGGAGATTTCAACACCTTACTCTTGATAATTGGTAGAACAAATAGACAGAAAATCAGTAAGAATACAGAATAATTGAACAACACTATAATCAACATGATCAAATTGACATTTATAGAACGTCCTATCTCACAACAGCAGAATGCAGATTCTTTTCAAGTGCACACAGAACATTTACCAAGATAGACCATATTTTGGGCCATAAAACAAATCTTAATCAATTTAAAAAGATTTAAGTCATTCAGGGTATGTTTTCTGACCACAGTGGGATTAAATTAGAAATTAATAACAGAAAGATATCTGGATAATCCCCAAATATTTGGAAACCACACAACACACTTGAATAACTTGAATCAATACAAGAAAAAATCACAAGTGAAATTAGAAAATATTTTGAAGTAAATGAAAATTAAAACAACATATTAAAACCCACAACAACAATTTGTGAGTTACCAATAAACAATGCTTAAAGGGAAATTAATAGCATTAAAAGTGTATTATATTAGAAAACTAGAAGGTTCTAAAACCAATGACTTAAGCTTCAACCATAAGAAACTAGAAAAAGAAGAGCAAGTTAAAGCAAAAGTAAGCAGAAGAAAGGAAATAATAAACTATAGGAGCAGAATCAATGTCATAAAAAACAAAAATAATAGAGAAAATCAGTGAAAGCAAAGGCTAGTTTTCTTTTTACTTTATTAAAATACTGAGCTTATTTTACATGTATATTTTTGTCTTCCCACTATTTCCATGTCTGACCATTGGTACTACTATGTATGCAGTACATACATACTTTAAGCATGTATGGAATGTTAACATTCCATACAAACTAAAAACCAAGGAAAGGGAGGAGTTCCATTTTTACAAACTAAATGACATTTTGGACAACACATTCTGGGCAATGGGACCTGGGCAACATTTATCAAACATGGTAAGGAAAGTTCTCACTCTGCATTATAAAAAGGACAGCCAGATATCATCTGTTACAGAAACGAAATAAGATGGAAAATTTTTAACAAACTGTTAACACTATTTTCTTGAAGACACTTCATCCACTGCCAGAGATCTGAATAGCCTCCTGGTCAGTCATCCAGAAGCAACTCTTCACATAATTGATGAACTTGGCTTCCACTTTGGGAAGAGAACCACCTTTTTCTGTGTTTGTTTGCATTTTTGCTTTAATGTCTTCTACAGAATTAGGTCCTTTTGCTGTTTTAGGAGTTTTTTCCTGGTTTTTTTTTTTTTTTTAGGATTCTCATCCTTTTGATCTTGGTGTTGATGGTTTTGAGTCTTTTCCATGGTGGAAATGATTTTTGTGCATTTTTGGCTGGAGCATCTCATATAGATTTCTTCACTGGCACTTTTTCTTCAGTTTCCTCATCATCAAAATCTCCTCCTCCTCCTCTTCCCTCCTCCTCCACTTCCTCCGCCTCCTCCTTCTTCTTATTCTTATTCTCCTTCTCTTTCTCCTTCCTCTTCCTCCTCCTGCTCCCCCTCCCTCTCCTCCTCCTTCTTCTTCAGGAGTGGCAGCAAGTTTTACTTTTTTTCTGTGGAAACTTGTTACCACTTCCAGGGGCAGATCACTTTCCAGTTACACTTAAGAGTTTCACATCCTCCTCCTCTTCGTCTTCTGACTCTGCATCTTCCTCCACAGATACTAAATACTGTCTATGAATATGTACAGGCCCTGAACCACACTTCAACTGTAAGACTGGGTGGTGTAATTTCAAAGCCCCCAAGGGAAATCACTGGCTGTACAGACATTTTCAATTTTTTTCTTTTTCTTTTTTTTTTTTTATTATACTTTAAGTTCTAGGGTACATGTGCACAATGCACAGGTTTGTTATATAGGTATACATGTGCCATGTTTGTTGGTTTGCTACACCCATCAACTCGTCATTTACATTAGGTATTTTCCTAATGCTATCCCTCCCCCAGTCCCCCACCCCCCGACAGGCCCCAGTGTGTGATGTTCCCCACCGTGTGTCCAAGTGTTCCCATTGTTCAGTTCCCACCTATGAGTGAGAACATGTGGTGTTTGGTATTCTGTCCTTGTGATAGTTTGCTTAGAATGATCACTTCCAGCTTCATCCATGTCCCTGCAAAGGACATGAACTCAACTTTTTTATGGTTGTATAGTATTCCATGGTGCATATGTGCCACATTTTCTTAATCCAGTCTATCATTGATGGACATTTGGGTTGGTTCCAAGTCTTTGCTATTGTAAATAGTGCTGCAATAAACATATGTGTGCATGTGTCTTTGTAGTAGCATGATTTATAATACTTTGGGTATATACCCAGTAATGGGATCACTGGGTCAAATGGTATTTCTAGTTCTAAATCCTTGAGGAATCGCCACACTGTTTTCCACAATGGTTGAACTAATCTACACTCCCACCAACCATGTAAAAGCATTCCTATTTCTCCACATCCTCTCCAGCATCTGTTGTTTCCTGACTTTTCAATGATCGCCATTCTAACTGGCGTGAGATGGTATCTCATTGTGGTTTTGATTTGCATTTCTCTGATCACCAGTGATGATGAGCATTTTTTCATGTGTCTGTTGGCTGCATAAATGTCTTCCTTTGAGAAGTGTTTGTTCATATCCTTTCCCACTTTTTGATGGGGTTGTTTGTTTTTTTTCTGGTAAATTTGTTTAAGTTCTTTGTAGATTCTGGATATTAGCCCTTTGTCAGATGGGCAGATTGCAAAGATTTTCTCCCATTCTGTAGGTTGCCTGTTCACTCTGATGATAGTTTCTTTTGCTGTGCAGAAGATCTTTAGTTTAATTAGATCCCATTTGTCTATTTTGGCTTTTGTTGCCATGCTTTTGGTGTTTTAGTCATGGAGTCTTTGCCCTTGCCTATGTCCTGAATGGTATTGCCTAGGTTTTCTTCTAGGATTTTTATGGTTTCAGGTCTAACATTAAGTCTTTAATCCAACTTGAATTAATTTTTGTATATGGTGTAAGGAAGGGATCCAGTTTCAGCTTTCTACACGTGGCTAGCCAGTTTTCCCAGCAGCATTTATTAAATAGGGCATCCTTTCCCCATTGCTTGTTTTTGTCAGGTTTATCAAAGATCAGATGGTTGTAGATGCATGGTGTTGTTTCTGAGGCCTCTGTTCTGTTCCATTGGTCTATATATCTGTTTTGGTACCAGTACCAGCCTGTTTTTACTGTAGCCTTGTAGTATAGTTTGAAGTCAGGTAGCACGATGCCTCCCACTTTGTTCTTTTTGCTTAGGATTATCTTGGCTCTGTGGGCTCTTTTTTGGTTCCATATGAACTTTAAAGTAGTTTTTTCCAATTCTGTGAAGAAAGTCAGTGATAGCTTGCTGGGGATAGCATTGAATGTATAAATTACCTTGGGAAATATGGTCATTTTCATGATATTGATTCTTCTTATCCATGAGCATGGAAAGTTCTTCCATTTGTTTGTGTCCTCTTTTATTTTGTTTAGCAGTGGTTTTTAGTTCTCCTTGAAGGGGTCCTTCACATCCCTTGTAAGTTAAATTCCTCGGTGTTTTATTCTCTTTGTAGCAATTGTGAATGGGAGTTCACTCATGATTTGGCTCCCTATTTGTCTGTTATTGCTGCATAGGAATGCTTGTGATTTTTGCACATTGATTTTGTACAGACATTTTCAAAGTTGGCAGTGTTACTTTAATTGGACTGCATTTGTAATTCATTGCCTCTGCTTCAACAATGTGCAATTCATCCTTTGCATGAGTCCCTAACCTGACTGTTCTTAAAGATAATTGGTGCTCATTTTCATCAGTATCCACTTTAAAGCGATAATCTTTGTTGGTTCTGGGGCCTCAGGGGGCTCATGTCCATGTCCACTGAGCCTTCCATGGGGTGGTGGCATATGCTTAGGTAGGAGAGAAGATGGATGGAGATAAATGATTACTGCTCCAGAGAAGAGCTGTACAGGACAGAATCACACCAGGGCTAGTTATTTGAGAGTATGAAAATCGCTGAATAGGCAGAATGATTAAGAAAAAAAGATAGGGAACAAAGAACCAATACCAGGGATGACAGAAATGACATTACTACAGATTGTATAGATATTAAAAGAATAGTAAGGGAATATTATGAGTAGCTCTATACCAATAAATTTGATAACTTCTACATGAAAGAGAAAAATTTCTTGAATGCATACTATGAAAGCTCACTTAAGAAGACATAGGCCTATTAAGAAACTTAAATTTGTATTTAAGAACATTACCGTTATAAAAACAAACACCTCCAGACTCAGTTGCCTTCACTGGTGAGTTCTAACAAAGATTGAAGGAAAAAGTATCAATTCTACAGACTCTTTCAGTAAATAGAAGTGGGCACAAGGCCAGCATGACCTTGATTCTCAAAGCTAGACAAAGCAATTATAATAAATGAACATTGTCCACAGGAGAAAACAGGAAAGATCTAAAATAGACACCCTAACATCACAATTAAAAGAACTAGAGAAGCAGGAGCAGACACATTCAAAAGCTAGCAGAAGACAAGATATAACTAAGCTCAAAGCAGAAGTGAAGGAGATAGAGGCATGAAAAACCCCTCAAAAATTCAATGAATCCAGGAGCTGGTTTTTTGAAAAGACTAACAACATAGATAGACCACTAGCTGGACTAGTAAAGAAGATAAGAGAGAAGAATCAAATAGACACAATAAAAAATGATAAAGTTAATGATAAAGTTTGTATTTCCCACAGAAATACAAACTACCATCAGAAAATACTATAAACACCTCTATGCAAATAAACTAGATAATCTACAAGAAATGGATGAATTCCTGGACACATACATTCTCCCAAGACTAAACCAGGAAGAAGCTGAATCTCTGAATAGACCAACAACAAGTTCTGAAATTGAGGCAGTAATTAATAGCCTACCAAACAAAAAAAGTCCAGGACCAGATGGATTCACAGCCGAATTCTACCAAAGATACAAAGAGGAGATGGAACCATTCCTTCTGAAACCATTCCAATCAATAGAAAAAGAGGGAATCCTCCCTAATTCATTTTATGAGGCCAGCATCATCCTGACACCAAAACCTGGCAGAGACACAACAAAAAAAGAAAATTTCAGGCCAGTATCCCTGATGAACATTGATGCGAAAATCCTCAATAAAATACTGGCAAACTGAATCCAGCAGCACATCAAAAAGCTTATCCGCCACGATCAAGTCAGCTTCATCCCCAGGATGCAAGGCTGGTTCAACATACGCAAATCAATAAACATAATCCATCACATAAACAGAACCAATGACAAAAACCACATGATTCTCTCAGTAGATGCAGAAAAGGCCTTTGATAAAATTCAACAGCCCTTCATGCTAAAAACTCTCAATAAACTAGGTATTGATGAAACGTATCACAAAATAATAAGAGCTATCTATGACAAACCCACAGCCAATATCATACTGAATGGGCAAAAGCTGGAAGCATTCCCTTTGAAAACCGGCACAAGACAAGGATGCCCTCTCTCCCCACTCCTATTCAACATAGCATTGGAAGTTCTGGCCAGGGCAATCGGGCAAGAGAAAGAAATAAACGGTATTCCAATAGGAAGAGAGGAAGTCAAATTGTCTCTGTTTGCAGATGACATGATTGTACATTTAGAAAACCCCATTGTTGGTAAAGGGATCGATTCACCAAGAAGAGCTAATTATCCTAAATATATATGCACCCAATACAGGAGCACCCAGATTCGTAAAGCCTTAGAGACCTACAAAGAGACTTAGACTCCCACACAATAATAATGGGAAACTTTAACACCCCACTGCTAATATTAGACAGATCAATGAGACAGAAGGTTAACAAGGATATCCAGGACTTGAACCCAGCTCTGGACCAAGCGGACCTAATAGACATCTACAGAACTCTCCACCCCAAATCAATTGAATATACATTCTTCTTAGCACCACATCACACTTATTCTAAAATTGACCACATAATTGGAAGTAAAACACTCCTTAGCAAATGTAAAAGAACAGAAATCACAACAAACTGTCTCTCAGACCACAGTGCAATCAAATTGGAACTCAGGATTAATAAACTCCCTCAAAAGCGCACAACTATGTGGAAACTGAACAACCTGCTCCTGAATGACTACTGGGTAAATAATGAAACGAAGGCAGAAATAAAGATGTTCTTTGAAAACAATGAGAATGAAGACACAACGTACCAGAATCTCTGGGACACATTTAAAGCAGTGTGTAGAGGGAAATTTATAGCACTAAATGCCCACAAGAGAAAGAAGGAAAGATCTAATGTTGACACCCTAACATCACAATTAAAATAACTAGAGAAGCAAGAGCAAACAAACTCAAAAGCTAGCAGAAGGCAAGAAATAACTAAGATCAGAGCAGAACTGAAGGAGATAGAGACATAAAAACCCCTTCAAAAATCATTGAATCCAGGAGCTGTTTTTTTGAAAAGATCAACAAAATAGACCACTAGCCAGACTAATAAAGAGAAAAGAGAGAAGAATCAAATAGATGCAATAAAAATGATAAAGGGGATATCACCACCGATCCCATAGAAATACAAACTACCATCAGAAAATACCATAAATAACTCTATGCAAATAAACTAGAAAATCTAGAAGACATGGATAAATTCCTGGACACATACACCCTCCCAAGACTAAACCAGGGAGAAGTTGAATCTCTGAATAGACCAATGACAGGTTCTGAAATTGAGGCAATAATTAATAGCCTACCAACCAAAAATAGGCCAAGACCAGATGGATTCACAGCTGAATTCTACCAGAGGTACAAAGAGGAGCTGGTACCATTCCTTCCAAAACTATTTCAATCTGTAGAAAAAGAGGGAATCCTCCCTAACTCATTTTATGAGGCTAGCGTCATCCTGATACCAAAGCCTGGAAGAGACACAACAAAAAAAGAGAATTTTAGGCCAATATCCTTGATGAACATCGATGCAAAAATCCTCAATAAAATACTGGCAAACTGAATCCAGCAGCACATCAGAAAGCTTATCTGTCATGATCAAGTCGGCTTCATCCCTGGGATGCAAGGCTGATTCAACATATGCAAATCAATAAACATAATCCACCACATAAACAGAACTAACAGCAAAAACCACTTGATTCTCTCAATAGATGCAGAAAAGGCCTCCGACAAAATTCAACAGGTCTTCATGCTAAAAACTCTCAATAAACTAGGTATTGATGGAACGTATCTCAAAATAATGAGAGCTATTTATGACAAACCCACAGCCAATATCATAGCGAATGGGCACCCTTTGAAAACCGTCACAAGACAAGAATGCCCTCTCTCACCACTCATATTCAACGTAGTGCTGGAAATTCTGGTTAGGGCAATCAGGCAAGAGAAAGAAATAAAGGGTATTCAATTAGGAAAAGAGGAAGTCATATTGTCTCTGTTTGCAGATGATATGACTGTGTATTTAGAAAAACCCATCGTCTCAGCCCAAAATCTCCTTAAGCTGATAAGTAACTTCAGCAAAGTCTCAGGATACAAAATCAATGTGCAAAAATCACAAGCATTCCTATACACCAATAACAGACAGAGAGCCAAATCATGAGTGAATTCCCATTCACAATTACTACAAAGAGAATAAAACACCGAGGAATTTAACTTACAAGGGATGTGAAGGACCCCTTCAAGGAGAACTAAAAACCACTGCTAAACAAAATAAAAGAGGACACAAACAAATGGAAGAACTTTCCATGCTCATAGATAGGAAGAATCAATATCCTGAAAATGGCCATACTGCCCAAGGTAATTTATACATTCAATACTATCCCCATCAAGCTACTACTGACTTTCTTCACAGAATTGGAAAAAACTACTTTAAAGTTCATATGGAACCAAAAAAGAGCCCACATAGCCAAGATAATCCTAAGCAAAAAGAACAAAGTGGGAGGCATCGTGCTACCTGACTTCAAACTATACTACAAGGCTATAGTAACCAAAACAGGCTGGTACTGGTACCAAAACAGATATATAGACCAATGGAACAGAACAGAGGCCTCAGAAACAACACCATGCATCTACAACCATCTGATCTTTGATAAACCTGACAGAAACAAGCAATGGGGAAAGGATGCCCTATTTAATAAATGCTGCTGGGAAAACTGGCTAGCCACGTGTAGAAAGCTGAAACTGGATCCCTTCCTTACACCATATACAAAAATTAATTCAAGTTGGATTAAAGACTTAATGTTAGACCTGAAACCATAAAAATCCTAGAAGAAAACCTAGGCAATACCATTCAGGACATAGGCATGGGCAAAGACTCCATGACTAAAACACCAAAAGCATGGCAACAAAAGCCAAAATAGACAAATGGGATCTAATTAAACTAAAGATCTTCTGCACAGCAAAAGAAACTATCATCAGAGTGAACAGGCAACCTACAGAATGGGAGAAAATCTTTGCAATCTGCCCATCTGACAAAGGGCTAATATCCAGAATCTACAAAGAACTTAAACAAATTTACCAGAAAAAAAACAAACAACCCCATCAAAAAGTGGGAAAGGATATGAACAGACACCTCTCAGAAGAAGACATTTATGCAGCCAACAGACACATGAAAAAATGCTCATCATCACTGGTGATCAGAGAAATGCAAATCAAAACCACAATGAGGTACCATCTCATGCCAGTTAGAATGGTGATCATTGAAAAGTCAGGAAACAACAGATGCTGGAGAGGATGTAGAGAAATAGGAACGCTTTTACACGGTTGGTGGGAGTATAAATTAGTTCAACCATTGTGGAAAACAGTGTGGCGATTCCTCAAGGATTTAGAACTAGAAATACCATTTGACCCAGTGATCCCCTTATTGGGTATATACCCAAAGGATTATAAATCATGCTACTACAAAGACACATGCACACATATGTTTACTGCAGTACTATTTACAATAGCAAAGACTTGGAACCAACCCAAATGTCCATCAATGATAGACTGGATTAAGAAAATGTGGCACATATGCACCACGGAATACTATACAGCCATAAAAAAGGATGAGTTCATGTCCTTTGCAGGGACATGGATGAAGCTGGAAGTGATCATTCTAAGCAAACTATCACAAGGACAGAAAACCAAACACCGCATGTTCTCACTTATAGGTGGAAGTTGAACAATGAGAACACATGGACCCAGGGTGGGAAACATCACACACTGGGGCCTGTCGGGGGGTAGGGGACTGGGGGAGGGATAGCATTAGGAAAATACCTAATGTAAATGACGAGTTGATGGGTGTAGCAAGCCAACAAACATGGCACATGTATACCTATGTAACAAAACTGCATGTTCTGCACATGTATCCCCGAACTTAAAATATAAAAGAAAAAGAAATGAAGATTATTACAGGCCAATATTCTTCATGAACACGTATGTAAAAGTTATTAACAGACTTTTAGCCAATAAAATTCAACAATATGTAAAAAAGATAATATCATCGCCAAGTGGGGTTTCTTCCAAGAATTCAGGGTTGGCATAACCTTAAAAAAGATCAATCAATGTTTTCCATATCAGCAGACTAAAAAGGAAAAACAATATGTTTATCTTAATTGGTGTAGAAAAGCATTTTACTATGCGCAACATCAATTCTTGATAATAACTCTGAGCAAACTGGGCATAGATGGAAACTTCTTCATCCTGATATCGGGCATCTACAAAAAATGTAAAGCTAACGTCTTACTTGATGGTGAAAGACAGAAAGTTTTCCCCTGAGATGAGGAACAGGGTGAGGATGTTTGCCTCATTACTTCTATTTAACATAGTACTGGAAGTTCTTATCAGTGCAGTAAGGCAGGAGAAAGTAATAAAAAGCACACAGATTAGAAAAGAAGGATACAACTACCTTCATTCACAGACCACATGATTGTCTATGTGGATAATCGTAGGGAATCTGAAAAAAAAATCAACTGAACTAATACGTGAGTTTAGTGAGAATGCAGTATATAAGCCAATATAAAAATCATTTGCATTTCTATGTACTGGCAATAAGCAATTAGAACTTGAAACTGAAAACAATACAATTTATGATAGCATCAAAACTTATGAAATACTGGGGATAAATTTGAGGAAAAATGTGTAAAACTTCTACACTGGAAACTACAAAATGTTGCTGGAAAAATTAAATAAGGCCTAGTGAAATGGGGAGATATACAATGCTCATAGATTGGAAGACTCAATATTGTTAAGATATCAGTTCTCCCCAAATTGATCTATATATTTAACATGATTTCAATTGAAATTCCAGAAGGCTCTTTGTTTTGTAGAATTTGACTTGCTGATTCAAAAACACAATTTTGGAAAAAGAAGAACAAAGTTAGAACACTTATAGTATGTGATGTTAAACCTTATTATACAGCTCTGGTAATCAGGACAGTGTGGTAATATCATACAGGTAGAAGATATACAGGGCGATGTAGAGCAGTGATTTTCCACAAAGACACCAAGTTAATTCAGCTGGGTGAGGAGAATTCTTTCAACAAGGGGTGCAGGAACAATTTTATATCCAGAAGCATGAAAAGAAAACAAAACAAAACCTGAGCACTTACCTCACAGCTCATGGAAGAATTAACTTGAAACATATCATAAACTTAAATGTAAGAGTTCAGGCAATTAAACTTCTAGAAAAAAATGTAGACTGTCTTAGTGACTTTGGGCTAGGCAAACATTTTAAGAATATGTCTCAAAAAGTATAACTATAAATGAAAAAAATGGATACATTGACTTTATGAAAATGAAAACCTTTTTCTTTTCAAAAGATACTAATAATCGCATGTCATGACTAGGGAGCCAGAGAATAGGAGAAAATATTTGCAAAATATGTATCACACATATATAAAGAACTCTTGAAACTCAGCAGGAAGAAGACAAAAACCCAATTAGAAATGGGCAGAAGAGTTGAAGGAGCCTCTTTTTGTCAACATCATTAGTCATTAAGTAGATACAAAGTAAAACCACTTTTGTTAGGATGGCTAAGATGGAAAAGGCTGACCTTATCAAGAGTTGAAAAAGGCCTGGTGCGGTGGCTCATGCCTGTAATCCCAGAACTTTGGGAGGCCAAGGTGGGCGGATCAGGAGGTGAGGAGATGGAGACCATACTGGCTAACATGGTGAAACCCCATCTCTACGAGAAATACAAAAAATTAGCCGGGCATGGTGGCGGGTGCCTGTAGTTCCAGCTACTGGGGAGGCTGAGGCAGGAGAATGGCATGAACCCGGAAGGCGGAGCTTGCAGTGGGCCGAGATTGCAGCCACTGCACTCCAGCCTGGGCAACAGAGTGAGACTCCATCTCAAAAAAAAAAAAAAAGGAGTTGAAAAATGTTTGGAGTAACTGGAACTCTCATATGCTCCTGTACATACATTTTATTTTATAAAATAGTACAAATATTTTATAAAATAATTTGGTAGTTTCTTAAAAAGTTAGATACCATACTCCCCAGTGATTCCACTCCAAGATAGTTTTCGAAGAGAAATAAAAACATATGTGTGCCATGGACACAAGGAGGGGAACAATATGCACTGGGGCCTGTCTGGAAGTGGGGTGGGGGGAGGGAGAACATTAGGCTAATACCTGCTGGGCTTAATACCTAGGTGATGGGTTGATAGGTACAGCAAACCGCTATGGCACACTCTTACCTATGTAACAAACCTGCACATCCTGCACATGTACCCTGGAACTATAAAAATAAAAATAAAACAAACAAACAAAAAACATGTGTGCAAACATGTGTTAAAGACTTGTACACAAACATGCATAGCAGCTTTATTTCTGATAGCTCTAAACTACAAACAATCCAGAATTCCAACAGGTACATGGTTAAATTTTGTTATACTCATACAATGCAATAGTACTCATAATGAAAAGGAAATATCAATATATTTAATGACTCTCAAAAGAATGAAAATCCAAGAAATGTCAAGCATGCCAGTAAGACAACTGCACTCAAAGGAAACTCAAAGTGAGTGAAAGGAACCAGACAATAGTAATTTGTCCACACTATATGGCTCAATTTCAATAAAACTGTAGGAAATGCAATTGAATCTATAGCAACAGAAAGCATATTGTTGGTTCCCTGGGTTTGGGTTAGTGGGTAAGGATGGGGAATGCATTACAAAGAGATACAAGGAAACAGTTGATGATGAAAACGTCCATTATCTTGATTGTGGTGATAGTCTCATGGACATGCATATATCAAAATCCATTAAGTTGTGCACTCTAAATATATGCATTATATTGTGAGCCAATTATATCTTATTAAAGCTGTTAAAAAAAGAAGATATAGAGAATTTCGAGACTAAGTTTAGATTGTGCATTGGGTAAGAATCCTAACTTCTGCCTTTGGTGAAACATTTAAGTAGCTTATTAACAGTTGTGGTAGAAGTCTGGACATTTAGAGCAGATGAGACCTTAGGAATGATGTTTGACATTGCAGAGAAGTAAAATGAATTGTTCAGGATAGTTACAGGTAGTTTAATTAAGCCCTTAACGGAATGCTACATTTTGTGACACACCTATGAGAATGTTATGGAAGACAGGCCTGCCCTGTCTACCTTTGTGGCTTCTACTCTGTCTTGGACAATGCTTTGTACACAGTGGTGCTCAGTAAATAGATGCTGGCTAGTCAAAGCGTGATGTTTCCTAAACTGAATTATAGATGAGAAGTGCTTCACTTTCTTGGTATAGTGGAAAGATGCATTCAGTAAGTGGTAGATCTTATTACAGTTTCCACTTATTGAGCTCATTTGGAGTTTCCTCTGGGCACAAAGTTGTTTTAGTGGCGTGCTTGACACTCCTTGGGTCTGGAAGAGCTTCTGAAGTGGAACATAAATTGTGGGGGTACATAGTATTTAAGATCTGAGTTTGGCTGCAAGTGACAGAGAAGCCAAACAACAGTGGCTTAAACAAGGTGGAAATGTACTTCTCTGTCACCTAAGTCCTAGCTAATGCAGGGGCTCTGCTCTGGGAAACCATTAGGGACCCAGGCTTGTTTTCTTTTTTCCCCACCGTCTCTAGGTCTTGCCTTTGTCCAGATGTTTCACAGTGGCTCTTATCATGTCCACTTTCCCTCTAACAAGAAGGGGTAGCAGAAGGAGGAGTGAAAACTACTACCAGAAATTTCTACCCATCACTTCTGCGTGGATTGTTTTAGCCAGAGCTGTTACTTGACCACATTGCCTGCACGTGATCTGGGCATGAAGTCTTACCTTGGAAGAACTGAGAATCGATACTGTGAGGCTGCCTAGCAGCCTTAGCCACAGGGAAGGATTTGAGTATCACAGAAGCTGTAGCCTTACAGATGATTAGAATTCATGGAAAATGATATCATAATGTCTCCCGATTGTTCACTTCTTGCCTCAATTCAGGAAGTGACACAGAGGGGAGACTTGAGTCATGTGGCTAGGAGACAGGCTCACCTTTCTACCCCATCCCTGGTCCATCCACTTCTGCTTCAGGCCTGTGAATGAAGGAAATAACCTCCCCTGTGTCTCTAAAGTTACATTCTGGTGAGTATTTCCTTCCAAAAAAAGCCACAAAATGTTCCCGTGAAAGGTCGATGTGTGGGAATGGAAACTTCGATTAAAACAAACAAAGAAACAAAAACTGTTACAAGAGCCATCTGAGACCAATCACAGGAAATTTGTTATCATCATCTAATGGATAATAGTTTAGTCATTGCTGAGTACTTCACTTTTACAATTTTGTGAAGCAGCTGATTTTCATTTCCACTTTTTCACAGGGAAGAAACGGAGTCATGGAAGGATATAGAATGAAGTAGCTCTGTTCAACAAGGAAATCTGTAGCAAAACCAATCCTGGAAACCCAAACTAGGGGTTTGATATCCATCTCTTTGCCCATCAGGTCATATTTCTTTTGGAGAAAATTAGAAATGATCTAAAGAAAAAGGAAGAAAATTGAAGAACTTTCCTCCCCAAGCCCTGTATTAACAGAATCTACATTTTTCTGTTGATTGCACAGAGGTCAGCCCCCCAGGGTTCACGGGAAACTGGACGGCCTCATCCTCAGAGCCATGCTTTGCACTCTTTATCTTTTACACAGGGTGCAAAAGTGTTGCTTAGCAACATCGATTCTTCCAGCTCTAACAACTGCGGCAGCCCGCACAGCTGACAATGGAGCAGAGTTTGCGAGTGAGCTCCTCATTTTTCAGCTTCTTCACTGTGGCGAGAGGGAATAAAGAAAGAAAAGGCAAGTGGGATGAAAGAAACACAGTCAACAGCACAGCGTGGAAAAGGACCGGCTGATGGTGGGGAATGGTCGGGTACCACACATCCCACACACGCTTAGTAAATGCTCGCCAAGAGAATTAAAAGGGGGTGATCACAGCAGCAGAGGTTAATTAGGGAAACTAAAGAGTCAATAGAATGTGATGGCCGGGCAGTCTGGAAATGGAAGTTTTTGACTGAGTGGGTGTCTAAGCACATTCATCCCCTCCCTGTTTTGGGGTTTTGTTTCTTTTTAGGCCAGGTTATTGGGCGTGTTTTTAAGGGAAATAGAAAGGATTGAGGAGGACTTCTTGTTTTTATTTTATTTTATTTTTTTGCAACTCTGTTATTGGCAAACCTAAATAGGGGTTCAACAGTTTCTTATTGAGTTATAAGTGTTTACAAAGATGTTCAGAACAGCCTGCTTTCAAAACTTCAGTGACTGTAATATCTTGGGCTGGCTTCTTTGGCCTTGTTCAACAGAGGAGTGTGCAACAGTGAACACTTGCAACTGATCTGCAACATTCAAGGTGATTTTAATGTTGGAAATACCCTCATTTCCTGGCTCACAGTCTTTCTCCCTCCTTCCATCCTTTCATGGAGATAAAATGGAAGAACATGTGCTGGCCACTCATATGAGATATTTCAAATCTGAGAGATTACAATCTTTCATATCAAATGCAGTTACGGCCCTTTGTAGAGCAGTTTTCTGAAGTGAATCAGATGAGTTTTTCAGAGCTAAAGGAAGTCAAGATGAAATAAATAAAAGCAGAGAGGAAATTGAAAGGGGTGGTGGTTGGGGGAACATATGTTTTCAGATGATATTTTAAAATAGATGGAGAGCTGATGAGACAGAGATACTGAAAACCGACTCCAGATGGCAGGAATAGCAATGGCAAGCTGGTGTGAAGGGACAGAACACAGGCTGGCACCAGACAGGGGAGGACGCGAAAGGAGAGGAGGGAAGCAAGCTGAGCAAAGCAGCCATGTCGGTGGGTGGGCTACTCAGTGTGTGAGGTTATAGAAGAAGAAATGGGAATCATTGAATTCATACCCGTCACTTTTAGTTTAATAATTTACTCAGTAGGTTCATGTCATTTTAAAAAATGATATGTCTATGAAAAAGGTATATATGCTTCACTCTGTTTTGATTTTATTTTTATTTTTAGAGACAGGGTCTTTCTCTGTTACCCAGGCTGGAGTGCAGTGGCACGATCATGGCTCACTGAAGCCGTGAGCTCCTGGGCTCATGCCATCCTACCGCCTTAGCCTTCCGAGTAGATAGGACCGCAGGTGTGTGCCACCATGTCCAGCTATTTTTTTTTTGGTGGGTGTGGTTTCTTGCTGTGATGCCCAGGCTGGTCTCGAACTCCTGGGCTCAAGTGATGTTTCTGGTTCCACCTTACAAATTGTTGGGATTATGAGATTACAGGTGTGAGCCGCCATGCCTGGCTAGATTTATCTCACTTTGATTTCTTTGCTAAACCTGTGGCTACAGGCAAAACAACTGTTCAAGTGAGAGGCCATGGGGGAAAGCTGGCCAGAGGAGGACTTCCTTAATTTTTTTTGTTTTCTATATACATTCAGCTTATGATGATACATATGTATATAGGAGTGTATTTATGCGCTCCTGTAACAATCTTGTAGGACACCAAATGAACTGAGTTTATCTTCATGGATTGATTGGGAAGGGAGGAATTTTTAAGAGAGGGAATTGAGAAACAAGAAATTATTCCAGGTCTAGCAGTAAGATGTCCAGAATGGCTTCTCATTACTAAGGGAGGTAGAACAAGTCACCCCTATTTCTGTGTGAAAAGATGCAGTTTTATTTGCATAATAATTATTAAATACCATTGGGTTTCCTGAGTCTGCATTTGGTACCATATTTCAATTCAATGAGCATTTATTGATGACCTGCTGTGTGATAGGAAGAGTTGTAGGGCTGCAAAGAGGAAAGAGTCATAGTTTGATCTTTGTCTTTTGTGTGGATGCGTGAAAATGTCTCCTTTCATTTCTGCACTCTCTGTGTGACAGTGTGTGTGAATGTGTACAAGTGTGTGTACGTATGTGTGCACGTGTGAGTGAGAATGTGTGTGTATGTGAATGAGTGTGTGTGTGTGTTGCTATCCTCCTACATGAAAGGGCCCTGCAGCTTTAGCCCTATTGCTGTTATAAATTCATATCCACTCACATTTTTGCCTCTTTTCAGTAGACCCATTGTTACTGATTTCATCCTTTTGCAACATTTAGATAATTGTTGTTATCAGCACTTAGCTACCAGGGTTACAGAAAACATCAAGATTCAAAAGGAGATTATTACGAATGTTCATTTCACGTAGGGTCACAAATTACAGCAGTAACACTTGTCTAGACCATTAAACAAGGAAAAAAATTGGTATACAGAAGGTGACTGCCCTTGTGCTACTAGAGTCTTTCTCATGGAGCTGTGACTATTACATCCATAAAAAAGTCCAATGTCTTCATTTATTGGGCGGTTCCTGTCGTGTTTCAGGGGAATGACAATCATTTCAGTTGTGGTGATTGAAGTCGTTGCTTTGGGTAGCTTGCATTCCAGTTTCATCAGAAATTGACCGAGACTTATCTTTTCTGTTTACACTTCTCTTGGACTTCTTTCATTTGTTCTTGTAGCTTGCCATGGAAACCTGTTTGTAAATCTTTTGTGGGTAATGATGTAACCAGAATAGTACAGGCAGAGCCCAGGGCCTGGCAATATACAAAATGACTCATTTAAGCCATGCTGAAATGGAGGTCAGCCTATTGCTATAGAAAACAGAAAGGACACACCATTGTATTGAGCTCATTTTATTTATGTATTTTTTTGGGGACAGAGTCTCACTCTGTTGCCCAGCCTGGAGTGCAATGGTGTGATCTCGGCTCACTGCAACCTCCACCTCCCGGGTTCAAGTGATTCTCCTGCCTCAGCCTCCTGAGTTGCTGAGATTACAGGCGCCCGCCACCATACCTGGCTAATTTTTGTATTTTTAGTACAGACAGGGTTTCACAATGTTGGTCAGGCTGGTCTCGAACCCCTGACCTTGTGATCTGCCCCACCCCCCCCCCGGACCTCCCAAAGTGCTGGGATTACAGGCGTGAGCCACCGCACCTGGCCGGATATTGAGCTCATTTTATTTGCAAAGAGGCAATGAATAATTATTATAAATTTTATTTGGAAACAATAAAGTATTAGGAGAGTGGAGGTGAAAATTTCCAAAGTAGTGGTATCTGGGAAGGTAAAACTCCTACAAGTGTATTTAAATAAAATATAAGCCAGGAAATATTACCTTTTTTTTTTAAGGATGCCTTGGAGATTTTTGATTGAGCCTTTTTGTAATAGAGAAGGGTAGAGGAATTTGTGGGGAGCTCAGATGAAATAGCTGGGTCTAGAGTGATGCAAAAAGGAGAGATAAGTTAATGAAAGAAAGACCAATGTGATGAAACTAGCCAAAATCTATGTTAAAAAGATATACACTCAGGCCGGGCCTGATGGCTCATACCTGTAATCCTGTCGCAGCTGAGGGAGGAGGATTGCTTGAGACCAGGAGTATGAGACTAGCTTGGGCAACATAGTGAGACTTCACCTCTATAAAAAATTGTAAAAATTAGCCAGACATGGTGGTGAGCATCTGTGGTCCCAGCTACTGGGAAAACTGAGGCAGGAGGGTTGCATGAGCCCAGGAGCTTGAGGCTTTAGTGAACTATGATCAGGTCACTGCTCTCCAGCATGGGTGACAGACTGAGACCCTGTCTCAAAACACACACACACACACACACACACACACACACACACACACTCAAAACCAAGTTGCTCTAAAGCCCGTGTAAACATTCTGTTTTTTTTCTTTAAATAAACTCTTTAATAAAAGGGCTTTTAAACAACTTCTTCAGGCTAATCTAAGATACTAGCCTCAACAGTATTTTTGAGAAGCGAGTTTTATATGCAAATTGTATTATGGTTTATATTCCATGTATATCCAACAAGGGGAATTAGCTGACTGAGGATGAGAATAGGGAAAGGCAGGGAATCAAAGGACAGTGGGAAGAGAGAGGGAAGGACGAGGATCCTAGAACTCAGTGGTATTGAAGTCCACAGTAGTGTTTGTTTCTTTCCATGTATGCTTTTTCCACTCCAAGTCACAATATTAACAACAGGATTATTTTGACATATTACATTTCTCTTTAGGGGAAAATAAATGGACATGCTTATGGGATCTATTTAATCCTATTTAAAGCCTAAAGCACAGCATCACTATTGTGTGTAATGTTACATTTCGAATGTTAGAGCCAGAGGATAATCTGGTCTAACTTTTTCATTTTACTGACTAGGAAGCTGCAACCTACCAAGGTTAAATGACTTATCCAGTCTAGTTAGGGGATTTGTAGAGCTCAGAACCCAGGTTTTCTTACATTCTAGTTCCGTCATCTTTTGAACAGTACTAAGAGGACTCATGGATGAGGGAGGCATGAGAGAGATAACCCCAAGTCTTCCTTGTCATTTTCTCAAAAAGCTGAAGGGAATATATTACATCTCATTGCATCAAGATGAAGCTAACCAGTGACTAGGAGACAGATGCCACTGAGATGTCCCTTTCTCTCTGAGCACCAAGTGCCCCAAATTCAGATTTAAGATGAATTGATTTCAAAAACCTTCAAGATTTAATAGAAAATTGCCATTCTTGTTTGGACTCTACTTACATTAAAATCACATCCTAAATAATCCGATTAGCTTCAAAATCCTTAAGCTTAACAGTTTAAATAGCAGTTTAGTGATTTGGTTTTAAAAGGTACAGTTATGCTAATAGCACCGTTTAACACCCTTAACTCAGCATTTCCCAAAAGTTTAGTGATTTAGAATTTTAAAATTCTACATCGAAGGGAATCTGTAGTTGGTCCTGGCCATCTTTCCTTGTCAACGGTCATCACTCTGACCATGTTCGTCTTATCTTTTATCTGCTTTTCTTAGGCTAGAATTTCCCTGGTTCCATCACTACCTGGGCCAAATGTCTTTACCTTTTACCACTCCCTAGATAACTCCCTGTTGGATGGAACTTTTGTGAGGGTCAGCTTTCAGGGCAGGGGTTCTGAAATCTTAGTGGACTTATGAACAGTCTAGAGAGCTGATTCATGGGCCCCACCTCTAGATTCTGATATGGTTGGTTGGTCTGAGATGAGGCCTTGGAATGTGAATTGGAAACAAACCTTTCTATCTAAGTGAGTTCTCAATGGGATGCAGGTGGTTCCCAGATCATAATGCTTAGTGGTGTCAGATTTTGAATACACTACTATGGATATAGGCACACCTACACTTTGGATCCCTTCACCTAATTATAGGGAGCGTTTTCTGTGTTCTGTCTGTTGGCCCAAGGATTTTCTTCACCATCACCTGGGAAACTATGACGAGAGGGTTCTAGTCTCTCCTACGATACTGCCATTCTTCCAATTGCTGAATCTGGTTCGGTGAAATTAATTTTACAATGTGAGACTTAGAAGCAAAGAGGTGACCTTGCTTTGTCATCTGATGTTAACAGGAGTCTGTAATATTCATGCCACCACCCAAGAGTCCCATTTACAAAGGAGCAGACTTCTGGTCTTCTTTAGCCTTTTTTGTTTCTTCCAACAAAAATCCAGGCTGGAGTGGATTAGGGCAATCTCAGCTCACTGAAACCTCTGCCTCCCAGGCTCAAGTGATTCCCTTGCTTCAGCCTCCGAGTAGCTGGGATTACAGGCACTCCACCACCACATCTGGCTAATTTTTTTTTTTTTTTTTTTTTTTTTTTTTTTTTGAGACGGAGTCTCGCTGTCTCCCAGGCTGGAGTGCAGTGGCACAATCTCGGCTCACTGCAAGCTCCGCCTCTGTGGTTCACGCCATTCTCCTGCCTCAGCCTCCCAAGTAGCTGGGACTACAGGCGCCTGCCACTGCACCCGGCTAATTTTTTATATTTTTAGTAGAGACGGGGTTTCACCGTATTAGCCAGGATGGTCTCGATCTCCTGACCTCGTGATCCGCCCACCTCGGCCTCCCAAAGTGCTGGGATTACAGGCGTGAGCCACCGTCTCCGGCCTACACCTGGCTAATTTTTATATTTCTAGTAGAGATGGGGTTTTGCCATGTTGGCCAGGCTGGTCTTGAACTCCTGACCTCAAGTGATCCTCCCACTTCAGCCTCCCAAAGTGTTGGCATTACAAGCGTGAGCTACCACACCCAGCCCGGTCTTTTTTAGACTCTTAAGGACCCATAAGAACAAATTAAGTTGAGTAGTGATGCTTAATGTGTCAAACCACAGATAAATATAGTTTTCTATGGAAAGCTTAGAATGGAAAATAGTCTTTCACAAAAACGACAAAATGTTTTCTGGTTCCCGCAAAAAATATCTCTGTAGAAAAGAAGGTCAGTGAGAACTTTGTGTGATTCATGGATCATGAGTAACACATGCAATGAAGGCTAAGGAAACCAGTCTAGGACATTTTTATAAAAGATTTTCACAAGAAATGTATTGATTTGTTTACGAAGCAGTAGATTTTTCAGGATAAAATATTGTTCTCCTCTTCCAGTGGATGAGCTTAGATATACCTGAACAAGACAGAGATCTGTGGATACATGAGCTGAAGACATTCTGTATGTCTTTTCCTTTTCTTGGTTCTACCAACTCTTAATCTTGAAGAAAGCACTTAAAATGCTGTGACCCCCATCTGGTTGCATATTCTTTCTCCTGTTTCAGCTTGTTGGCAAGACTGGAAATTTGGAGATGGCATTCAGTTTACACAAGCTTAGCAGCTTATGAACACTGATGGATTTTTTCAGTGCCGATGGAGGGACTGATGAACTTGGCTTTGGGCGTCTGGTTCCCTTGACTTGATGGGTGAGAGGAGGAGACAGAGCAAGCCAAGAGAGATGACAGTCTCCCTTCTCCAGCCCATTTCTTTTTTTCTCACCTATAAAATTTTGTCCAACTCATGGTCCTATGATAAAATGCGTCCAATGCTTCTGGGCTGGTGGACCCTGGCACTACCATTCATGTCTTTCCCAAATACTTATCCTCTGAGTCACCCAGGCAGAAACAGCCAAGTGAAAAGATACCATATCTTGAAGAATCTTCATTTGGCTCTGCTAAAATGGAAAAAAAAAAAAAAAGACTTGTTGCTAAATGAATAAAAGTACTCTTAAAAAATTATTTCCTCTTTTCTCCTTGGTAGATACGCAAGAAGCCAAGAACAAAAATAAAATACAATAAATTGTACAAGGCAATTTAGATTTTCATTATTCTCTTGTCATAAACTGTTCCCACATCAGAGAAAATATACTGTGAGTCCACTTTGGATCCTGTCCATATGGGCTAGCTACTGAAAGTTCCAGAAAGACTTTAGAGTAATATAATTTCACAAGTTGCTTGGCATGGGTCTCTGATGGACAGGCTGGGAAAGCTGATAACATAAGCTGGTGAAAAGGCAAAGGCTTTTTAATGCCTTACTCGATTCATTCTTCATAAGAAATATCAGATGTGAAGGGGCCTGGAACAGTTCCCAGGTTTGATGAAAGTAGAGAGTCAAAATAGAAAAAGAGTTAAAAAGTGCTTTGAAGAACTGGAACTATTTGTATTAGTAAGGCCTGTTGGCTACTAAAGGAACTGGCAGGTGCTACTCTGGTGGTGAGCCATTATTATTATTATTATTATTATTATTATTATTATTATTATTAAATTATAGAGGTAAAAAGAAGTCCATGTGAATTAAAATATAGTATTGTGACTAGCTTATAAAACACACAGCCAGAATAGATTGACAAGGGAAATTATAGGCAGGTCAGACGAACTTCAAATACATGAAGTGATATCGGAATAAATCATCACATAATTTACTGTTACTTCTAGAGGAACATAGTAAAAAACAGGGTTTTGCACAAACTAAATGGTATTAGAGCAATCTAACTGCCTTCTATATTTAGAAGCACAGGCAAACAGTGGGATAGTACTAGATATGTTTATTTTAACTTTGGGAAGCTGGTGCTTTCTCTTGACTGTAGTAATGGCATATCAATGAATGAATGAATGAATGAATGGCACACCCGTAGAACATGTATCCTTGTTCCCACAATCAATGAAAGACCATATGAGTAGTGATAGCACATAACGACCAGTTCTGCTTAATGTATCTTTGGACAACTTGATGAAGAATTGAGAACAGAACTCTTCCATTATCAGATTGCCTGTAGTTGCTGATACTCTGTAAGATACGACATAACTAAAATCGCCCTTAACAAATAGAAGAAAAAGATATGTTATAGGGTTAAATTAGCTATGGGTAAAAATATCAATAGCAAATGCAAGATGAGAAAAAACTATCTGAAAGTGACAAGGTGGGCGTGGTGGCTCTTGCCGGTAATCCCAGCATTTTGAGAGGCTGAGGCAAGAGGATTGCTTGAGTCCAGGAGTTCAAGATCAGCCAGGGTAAGATAGCAAGACTCCATTTCTACAAAAAATAAAAATAAAAAAATTTGCCTTGTGTAGTTGCGTGCATCTGTAGTATTAGCAACTTGGGAGCCTGAAATGGGAGGATCCCTTGAGCCCAGGAGTTTGAGGCTGCAGTGAGCTATAATTGCGCCACTGTACTTCAGCCTTGGACAGAGTGAGACCCTGACCCCCATCCCCCAAATAATATAATAAAATGAAAGTAGCAATCTAAGCATGAATTAATAAGTTCAAGTGGAGAGATGAAGAACAACGACTGAATTTGGGAGAATTTCAGAGGAAACTTGAGGTACTGATAGCTAATTGGATAAAGAAGTGAAGTATTTTTGTTTTGTGTTAACAGTGTATTTTGTAGGCTGCCTATTTGTCTCATACATTTTTTTCATTGTGATAGAAAGAACATAACATCTAGCTAGCATCCTTGATGCTTTATTCTTTTTTATTTATGTATTGAAATGGCCCAGACACATGAACTCTTAAGATTTTTGAGGAAAATGAGAATCCAAGTTCAAATGTTCTGGCAGGAAAATTTTATAACCAAGATGTTTCATAAGGGGCAACCTCCGGCCCCCAACAATGGAATTGCATGTGTAGACATTTAAAGTCTTCTTAGCTAAATGTGAAACACGAACTTGTTTTCTTGACTGCAGTCAAAGGCTATGTTAGTAAGCCAGGAAAGAGATGATGGAGGCTTGAACCCAGTTCACAGTGGTAGGGAAGGAAATACACAGACGAATCCGAGAGAGGTTCAGGAGGTGGAGTTGACCTTGGGGCATGGAGGAGAGGGAGGAATCAAAATTGTGCTGAGGTTCTAGTTGGGGTGGCTGGGTGGGTGGTGGTGGGACGCTGGGAAAAAATTGGCATTTTTGGTATAGAATAATGACCTTGGTTTTGTCTTGTTGAGCCGGAAGTGTCTGCAGGTCATCTGCATGGATCTGCTGGTGGGTTGGAGATGTGTTTCTAAAGCTCAGTAGATAAATGGATCTAGACTGAACCACAAACAGGAAGTGAACAGCAGGGGCCAGCAACGATGAGCTGTGGTGCCTTCTGAGCCAGGAGGAAACTGGCTAATGACAAAACCAGGTGGCGATAGGGCGGCCATTCAGCTTCCTAATTCCTAAAGGCTGGCATTTGGCTCCAAGTGATGTTGTGTGACACAGGTCAGTGAGTTGGATAAGTACCAAAATAAAAGTGTTAAGTGTGACTAATTTGTTTATTGTATAAATATATTCTTATAATTGAGAGAGAAAACAAAGGAGGGAATACAGTCCCTCAATATCTGTGGGGGTAGGTTCCAGAACATCAAGTCCCTGACATAAAATGGCAAAGTGTTTTCATATAACCTACACGCATCCTCCTGTATACTTTAAATCACTCTAGATTACTTATAATACCTAATACAATGTAAATGCTGTGTAAATAGTTGTTGTATTGTTTATGGAATAATGACAAGAAAAGGAATTTCTACACTTTTGTTCAAATATTTTGATTGGCGATTGGTTGAGTTCATGGATACGGAGGGCTGACTGTACTTGTGCCCTTGTGATTTAGAAGATATCCATGTATCTTTGTTTATAGCAAGAATCTTTGTGTGTAGTTTTAGTAGGCAGTGGTTCTTGGGGTGATAAATACTGTTTTGCAAGCACTTCACTGGGAAGACCGTAGCTCTTGGCCTAACCGGACAGGACTTTCATTCTTTCCATTCTCCTGGAGCTCACAGTGCACCTGGAAGATGCCTTTGGCCATGTTTGGTCTGAGTTGTGAGCAGGATGTTCAATGGGACAGCTGGGACTTGGGGCAGAGATCTGGGCTGGAAATACAAACCGGGGAGTCATCAACATAGAGGCCATTTGTACGTTCTGCATATGTGACACACTATAGAAGATGATGTGTAATCATTTTTAAATTTAAAAGAAGGCACAGTGCTACAAATGGGTAATTTTGAATATTGGAACTATGGACATGTTTTTGGAAAACCCATCTGTTTTCATGTTTCTTATTTTAACTCGAATGGGGACTTTTATTCAGAGGAGGATTTGATGTTTATCTGGGCAGGGGAAGGAGGGAGAAAAGGGAGAAGATTCTGTTGTTGAAGCACATTGGTGAGTGAAGGATGCCTCTGCCTCCCCGCTTCCCATTCACCTATCAATCATTGAGAGCAGCCTCCAGTCCTGCCCCCCTTACCCAGGCTTTCACCCACTTTTTGCCAGGTACCAGTACACCACTTTTTGAGTGAATTCAGTGGCTCCCCGTCAGTCTCCTCCTTCTCGGTCTCTCTGCCCTCAGCTTCCCTCTTGCCACACTCACCCGTGTCACCCCCCACCTCTTTGGCTACGTGCTCTTGCTCCCCTTCTCCAGTAACATTCCTCCAAGCTCTGATGGAAATCCTCCATGCTGCGTGTCCCAGTCACTTTGTTCCAACGCAGTCTTGGAGTCCAGGACTTCCATGGCTAGCTCTAAGCTGATGATGCTCATGTTCATATTTGGAGTTCAGCTCTTACCTTGAGCTTCAGGCCTGGGATCCAGCTGTGCCCTGTGTGGCTCCACAGCAGCTCACACTGCTCATATCCAGCCCTGACCTCATGTCACCCCACAGACCTGTCCTTCCTTCCTCCTGCCTAGTTCCTGAATGTCAGCATCCTCTAGACTCCGCTCAAGCAGAAAACTCAAATGTCCTCTTTCACTGCTTCTTCTTTAATTCCCACACAATCCTGTCTAATCAACTTGACCTCCTTAACACCTGTTCTGCCTCCCTTTTTCTGTCTCCTCTGTCACTGCACCATCTCTCCTCATTGAGAGTGCCAGGGGACCCTCATTTCACCCATCTCCCCTCTAGAGCTTCACCTGTGCTGCTACCTCAAACAATCTTTCCTGCCTCGCGTGGTTCATTAACTGCCCATCCTCACGGCAGAGGGCAGTTCTTCCAGAAAGTCTCCAGCTCTTCTAGAAAGACTTCCCTTAACCCTGAAGCTTGGACTCTCTGACTCTGTAGAAGGGTTGGCAGATACTTCTTATCTTAGTTGCTGGCCTCTGCCAGTTGGTAGTGGTTGTCCAGAATGTTGGAGTAAGAAAGATTCCAAGGTACAGTCCATCTTCCACTGGAAGGATGGCTGTCACTATTCTTTGCTGCTAATGTGTGCATCTGATGCCTGCACTCTGTCTTTTACAGTCATTATAGTAGACTGTATTTCCATTTACTAAATATTCTAGTTTCCATCCCCGCAGGAAGTACCTGGCTGCACTCAGAGTGGCCATAGGACATGCTTTGGCCATTGAAAGAAGGTCAGAGTGATGTGTGTCACTTCTGGGCAGAAGGTTTTGTTTTGTTTTTTAAGAGACAGAATCTCACCGTGACAACCAGGTTGGAGTGCAGTGGTACCATCATAGCCCACTACAGCCTTGAACTCCTGGGCTCAAGCAATCCTGCCTCAGCCTCCTGCGTAACTGGGACCACAACACCCAGATAATTAAAATGTTTTCTCAGAAATAGGGTCTTGCTATGTTGCCCAGACTGATCACCACCTCCTGGGCTCAAGTGATGCTCCTGTCTCAGCCTCCCAAAGTGTTGGAACTACAGGTGTGAGCCACTGTGCCTGGACAGAAGTTTTGTGAGCCAGGATGTGGTACACTGTGTCCCTTTCCCTCTGCCAGAAGACTGACAATGTGGAGAGAAACAACTGGGCCCCAGGGTGAGAATGTAGACCCAGGGGTGATTCCTGATGGACATGTAGCATGAATGGTAGGGGAGGGAAACACTGTCAGGGGAAGCTTCACTTTGTTTGTTCCATGTTGTTTGTACAGCATAATCAAGCCTGTTCTGACTGATACATAATATCTCCATAAAGTAGTGTGGTGGCATTTTCGGTATTGCAAATCGTCAGATTCAGGGCAGAAATCGATTTGCCTATTTCAGAGTGTACCAAGAGCCATTTAATTCATTTTACATGTCCATTTTCTGATTCTCAGTAATTTCCACGTAAGTCATTTTCTTTTAAGGATGGATTATGGTAAATCATATCTAAGGCACTTAAATATTGTAAAATCTCAATTATACCGAGGTCAGGGCTGCAAACTAGGGTGGAGAAATCATGAAGTAATTTCCAAGACCTCAAACAGCGGAACTAATTGTCACACATTCCAAATTCCAAAGCTCCAAGACATTATTACTCGATAGGCACCAATTCAGATACTATTTCATTTTAGTCACATGAGTTTAATAAGCTTAGTTATCAAATTCCTCTGCCCTTAGCAGATTAAAGGCTGCCAATTAGGAGAGGTGGATTGTGAATTCTGTTAGAGGCAGTTTTACTAAAAACTGGGAGAAGAGAAAGTCTGAAAAAAGAGGAGAGACAGAGACTTTTTGGGATTCTAGGTGGCATTCTGTACATATCAACAGGCAGAGGTTCTCAGTGTGTGTTTTCTAAAGTGAGAATGAACTTGGGTCATCAATAAAAAAAAGCTTAATTATGTGTTGTACCCTAACAAGCCAGGCTCATCTCACACAAATTTCCATAAAAAGTCAAAACGAGATCATGAACTTGGTTTTCAGAAAAATTACTGACTCATTTATTTAGTGAGCAAATATTTATTGTTGACTAAAATAGACACTGCTAATCATTGGTGGGGGGTCTGGGGAGGAGACAGTAACTTTCCCTGTTCTCCAGGAGTTCACAGAGATAGAAAAATAAATAAATGTGACACTGTGTCATATGTTTTACTGGAAATGAATATACAGTTGGTGAGATGGAAGCTCAGAAGAGAGAGAGGCAAATTCTTGGTGAGGGAGGGTGGTAGGTTAAGAGACATCCCTTGGAAAACTAATGGTTCTGCTGAGTGTAGATGGGTAGTTGAGCAGACAACCAAATTGATTGGGATTGGTGTTGGGGTGCAGGGAGATCTTTCAGGCAGAGAACATTCCCTATGGGTGGCAGTCATAAGAGACATGACTGAACTCTTCAGCAAACTGGTATCTGTCTTTGTCATTGGTTTTTAGTTTCACTAGAAGTCTGATTTCCAGTAATTTATTTTTATTTTTATTTTTGAGTCAGGGTCTTGCTGTGTCACCTAGGCTGGAGTGCAGTGGCACGATCATGGCTCACTGCAACCTCCACCTCCCTGGCTTAACTCATCCACCCACCTTGGCTTCCAAGTAGCTGGGACTACAGGTGCACACCACCACACATGACTAATTTTTGTATTTTTAGTAAAGATAGGGTTTCACCATGTTGCTCTGGCTGGTCTCAAATTCCTGAGCTCAAGTGATCCTCCTGCCTTGGCCTCCCAAAGTGCTGGGATTACAGGTGTGAGCCACCATGCCCGACTAGACACTGATTTCTAATTTGCACCTTCAGAAATGAAATTCTCTATATCATTCATTGGCTGCAGTGTTTTTAAAGAATAACTTTTATGTTTGAGAGGAAACCTATAGGGAGCAGCTATAGCCATCTGGAAATAGCATCACCTTGTTTGAGTTATAGGGTCTTAGCACAATTGACAGAAAAATGAGAAATCTGTTATGTCATTGATTTCTCCTTACACAAATCGTGCAGTTTTGGATAAGCTAATATTTTTCTGGGATATTTCTAAACACTTCTAGAAAAGGGCTCTATTTCATGTGGGCCTAAATGATAACAACACGGAGTCGAACTCTTTAATTCCTATGGAAATTGTGAAAATGGGCAACAAACTGCATTGCCTAGTCTCTTTTGCTTGTTTTCTACATTAGTACACCAATACAACGCCAGATTCTCCTGGTTGAAAACACACATATTTATGGATTTTTTTTTCAAAGTACATCTTATCAAAGAAGTACTGTGAAGACAAGGAAAAGTACAGATACAGCCCATTTTAAGAAAATCCCAAATGAAAAAAATGCAGATTTCCATAAAAGCTCCTCCTGTATATCTAAACATTTTTAAATGTTTATTCATGATATCTGAGAGACTTGCCTGCCCTGCCGAGTGAGATGTAAATGAGAAGTGCATATTTTTGCCTCTTTTGTCCTGTTGCCATGAGGTCCTACATTTATATATATTTTCATAGTTGTGCATTTATATTAGAACAAAACTTTACTTTAACACATATACACTTCTTAATATTTATGTAGAAAATTGCTTTAATGTATTAATTAAATGAGCTTTTGTATATATGTTGTTTTATTTCTAATTTTAATTTTAATTTTTAGAGACAAGGTCTTACTCCGTCGCTGAGGCTGGAGTACAGTGGCATGATCATAGTTCACTGCAGCCTCTAACTCTTGGGCTCAAATGATCCTCCAGCCTCAGTCTCCCAAGTAGCTGGGACCATCGGTGTGCACCACTATGCTTGGCTAATTAAGTTTTTTTGTTTGTTTGTTGTTTGTAGAGACAGGTTCTCATTTTGTTGCCCAGACTGGTCTCGAACTCCTGGCTTCAAGCAGTCCTTCCGCCTCGGCTTCCCAAACTTCTGGGATTCCAGGCACGAGCCACCATACTTGGCCTACGTGCTGTTTTAAAACAAATTAACTGAAAATGCACAATTGGAAAAATTCCACATCTCTAAAACAATGAGAAGAAAGTAGCTATGACTTAGTAAAATCTCAGAAGGGCATTCTACTTTTGGAAGAAATATAAATGTTTCAAGATTAGCATGTGATGGAGCGTGAGAAATATAATGGGTCCTCACATGAAAATCAAGCGAGTTTAGAAGGCAATTCTTTCAAAATCGCTGGTAGGTTTGTCTTCCAAGTGGTATTGGTTGGTGGCTGGGAAGAAGCTATTCAGGCACAGTGAATGTGACAAGCCCAGTGACACTACCATAGGCTAGAGGAAATCAGATTGGCATAACCCTTTCACATTTTTCCGCACTAACCCACTGGTCTCTTTTCTAAAAAGCATTCATGTGCAACAGGGCTAGCCATGCGTAAACTCCCCACCAAGCTTCCTAATGAGTTGACCAAGAACCATGACCAGACCAGGTGGTAAAGTCATGTTGAGTCTTGGCAGCAACCGGGTTCTCTCTGTGCTAGTGCGTATGCCCCTGTGCTTTGGCTTGAATGTTGCTGGCAATGGAGCAGGAGGGAGAAGGCAAGGTTATTTCATTCATTCAGTATTTCTTAGACGTCCATCCTGAATTCTGTGAATTTCTAATTTCTGGTTGAACTCTTCTACTCTCTTTAGTTTTATTTCCCTCAAGAGACTTCATTGTTGCTGTTTTTTATTTTTATTTTTTTATTTTTTTTTTGGGACAGAGTCTTGCTCCGTCACCCAGGCTGCAGTGCAGTGGCACGATCTCGGCTCACTGCAACCTCTGCCTCCTGGGATCCTTCCTGGGTTCAAGTGATTCCCATGCCTCAGCCTCCCCAGTAGCTAGGATTACAGGCTGAGACTTAGTTTTAACATTGGCCTTTTATATTTGCTCTACCCATTCAATCTTGTTTATTGAGTATCTACTCAGTGATTGCAGCGAGAGAGAAACAAACTATAGACTCTTGCCCATAAAACTGTTACAGTGTAACTGAGGAGGCAAGCCATACAGACATAAAGCAATCTGTGAATGAGGCAACAATGTATGTATAGCTGCATTCAACACTCAACGCATAAACCACACACTGTGACCACTTGCGGTTAAATGAAGGGTGCAGAGAAATTTGAGAAAGTCTCAAAGCCACTCCCATCTCTCTGGACTGCAGAATTTAATACCCAATCTGGGACCACAGTGGCTGGTTTATCCAGCAGGTGATTAGGGCCTGAAAAACCAGCTTGTGCTACCCAAATACTTGGGAACTGTGCTGGAAATTCAGGTTATTTATACTAGGGTTTTTTTCCCAAGATGACAATTGTATTAGTCAGGACTCTCTGGGGACAAATGAGAGAAGCCCAGGCCATAGGCTCTTCAGTAAGAAAAGGTACGCTGCCTCTGGAAGGATGCCAGAGTATCTGTTCCAGTCATAGGCAGACCTGTAAGAGTGTAGCTTCTTCCTTCCCAACTTGCCTTTGCACATTTGCACATTTGTCACCTAGGCTGCAGTGCAGTGGCACAATCATGGCTCACTGCAACCTCCACCTCCTGGGCTCAAGTCATCCTCTTGCCTCAGCCTCCTAAGTAGCTGGGACTACAGCTGCACGCAACCACGCCTGGCTAATTTTTGTATTTTTAGTAGAGACGGGATTTTGCCATGTTGCCCAGGCTGTTCTCGAACTCCTGAGCTCAAGTGATCCTCCTGCCTTGGCCTCCTCTTTGCACACTGGCGTTATTCTCTCTCTTCCACCGAGGACTTCTCTGAGAGGAGCGGTATATAGTGGCTGATGATCTTAGCTAAGTGACTGCAGTGCAAAGAGAGAGTTTCCTTCTTCAAGCATTGCAAAAATATTTCAGAAAGAACTCAGACGGGCTCTTTTGGTTCTCAGTGTACCCCTTGAACAGATCATTGCTACAAGGAGGTGGGGTGCTGCTACTGGGGTGGAGGGACATGATGAGTGCCCAGAAGAAGGGACAAAAACTTCCTGGATAGTCAAATACAACAACTACACAGTTTCATTTTGAAAGTCCATTTGTGAAATCAATTTAAATCGACTATTGCTTACCCTGGGGTCATGCTATGCTGTCCAGCATTTTCCCTGATAGGCCTTCCTAACTTATTTGTGTTTCTATTCTCTAAAGAATCTTTAAGGCTTTTATACCAAAGGGGCTCTGATGGCATCTGGTAAGTGTAAATGTTTCTCCTCAGCACTGCGCTCCTGCTTAATGAAACAGTCACCAAAGAAAGGGTGCATTCAGGTCAAGTGCGCTGGCTTACGCCTGTAATCCCAGCACTTTGGAAGGCTGAGTTGGGTGGATCAACTGAGGTCAGGAGTTCGAGACCAGCCTGGCCAACAGGGTGAAACCCCGTCTCTAAAAAAATTCAAAAATTAGCCAGGTGTGGTGGCAGGCGCCTGTAATCCCAGCTATTTGGGAGGCTGAGGCAAGAGAATTGCTTGAACCTGAGAGCTGGAGGTTGCAGTGAGCCGAGAATATGCCACTGCATTCTAGCCTTGGTGACAGAGTGAGACTCTGTCTCAAAAAAAAAAAAAAAAAAATGCATCCCTCCTGCATATCCCATAATTTTCCCTTCTTAAATAAATGTATTTTCAAGTCCTTTGTGATAAGTACAGTACTTTTTCCATCCTTGTGATAGTTCACTGGTATAGGATCAAAATGGGCATCGGAATTAGGTGAGGAAATAGCCCATTGCTGAGTTGGACCATTTATTCCACTCTCTCTACACAGTCTTAATTTTTTTTTTTTTTTTTTTTTTTTTTTTTTAGTGGTGGTGGGGAACACTTCAAACTTACAAAAAATTTTCAGTACACTACAAAGAACATTTTTATTCCTGAAATCACTTGAAAGTAAGTTGCCAGAATGATGTTTCCTCATTGCCAAATATTTTAGTGTGTATTTCTCACAAACAAGGCATTCTCTTACATAACCACATTCTAACCATCCAAATCAGAACACTAATATTTATTTATCACTGTGATCTAATCCTCAGACCCCATTAAAGTTTTGCCACTTGCCCAAATAAATATTCTTTATTGCAAAAGGATCCAATCTAGAATGATGCCTTGTACTCAATCATCATGTTCCTTCAGTTTCCACTAACCTGCAAGAGTTCCTTCGTTGCTTGGTGACTTTCACGACTCTTTTGAAGCCCAGTTAAGTTCCTCAGTTTCGGTTTGGGTGATGTTTCTTCATGGTTATATTCAGGTTAGGCATGGTTGGCAGGGATTTCATGAAAGGGGTGCTATGTTCTTTTCATGGTATCCTATCAGGTGGCACCAAACCTGGTGATGTTCACTTTCATCATTTGATGAAGGTAATTGACATGATGTATCCTGGACCTCATCAAACTTTTAATTTGCTCATGTATTTTTATTTTTATTGGTATAGACTTCAATTTCATATTTTATTCAATGGGTTATAATCCATCACTATCATGATTTATTTCTATCCTTAAGTTGTTCCACACCTGGCCCATGGGAGCCCTTATGAGCAAGTTTCCAGGTCCTTATGACACAATTCCATCATTCTTTGGGTACATCCTTACTTTCTGGCACAGTAGAGATGTTCCAGACTTATCTTATATTTTTCCTCCCCCATCCCTGGAATCAATCACTTCTCCGAGGATGCTTGATTCCTTTTAGTGAAGAACAGTCTTTGGAAACCAACCGTCTAGGGACATTAAGTATGCTTGTTGCTATTGGAGTGTCATTGCTCCTGGACCTTCTCAGTGGACACAGCTAGGAAATGTATGTGTTTATATGTGTGTGTTAAATATCAATTTCTTTATCTATTATAGGTACTATTAAAAATGAGTTCCCACCAATATCTCCACCTTCAGTTTTCCCACTAGGAGCCATGATGAGAAACCTGGCTCCTGGTTTTTTCTATGTGTTTACTTATTTGATCAACCCTCCTGTGCATAACAAGCCTCACATCCCCATGGCTGACTGCCTTTCCCCTGCTTCCCATGAAAGCCTTTGTCATCCTGTGCCAGCTGCTGGAGCTCCCCACAACTCAAATGGTGGCCCCATTGATTTTAGGCCAGCTTAGAAAAACACAGTGGAAAATTTTTGCATCATTTGATTATCAAGTCATGATTGCAGTTTGTTGGGGTTGGAATGTGACTATTAAATAATACCAGATCAGCCAGGTGTGGTGGCTCATGCCTGTATTCCCAGCACTTTGGGAGGTCGAGGTGGGTGGATCACTTGAGGTCAGGAGTTCGAGACCAGCCTGGCCAACATGGTGAAATACTGTTTGTACTAAAAATACAAAAATTAGCTAGGCGTGGTGGTGCATGCCTGTAGACCCAGCTACTTGGGAGGCTGAGGCAGGAGAATGGCTTGAACCCAGGAGGCAGAGGTTAACAGTGAGCTGAGATTGTGCCATCACACTCCAGCCTGGGCGAGAGTGATACTCCATCTCAAAAAACAAAAAACAAACAAACAAAAAAACCAGATCACATTTTAAAAATGACACCTACCAGAATATCAATATCTGAATAAGCCAGAATTAGCACTGTTGGGAGGGTATATAATCATTCCATCAAAGTTGCATTTACTCAAACAGGTTGGACACCTCCTTCTAGATCTGTTTTTAGAACCACTTTCCAAGCCCAATCCAGAAACCCAGCCTTGCTTCTTTTCCATTGTAGTCCTAGTTAAAAGCAACCAGAGCTGCATAAATCTCTGTGGGAAAATTATTTTTATTACAATGATTTATGTATATGCTTATCTTCCCCTCTAGTCTGTGAGACCCTAAGATCCAAGGCTAACTTCATATTGTACAGCATCCAACAGAATAGTTGTTGAATTATTCAATGAATGAATCTTGTCTTTGATTCAATTTTCTCCAGCTTATATGCCAGAGTTAGTCCCAAATGACTCAGCTGTTCCCAAAAATGAAATTCGCCCTCAAAGTATGAATATTTACCACAATTGAGAAGAGTCAAAAATATATGTCTCATGCACGGAATGCAATATCAAAAGAGGAATTTTCACAGAGTTTTGAGCAGTCTCAAGATCACAGAATATGGATATCATATCCAAAGTATCTATTTAGAAAGTGATGACATGCTTTTGTTGTATCTATGTGTTGTGCTGTTAAGAAATCGCTTTCATTACTTTATGGTCAGCCATATTTTATATGCATTATAAATTATGTGCTTATTACAAAATCACAGCCACCAGAACCGTCTCTCTATGCTTTACAGTTCACCTGTGAAGATTTATGTTCTGAGTTAGCTGAGACATCATAGAATTCTCTTCTTACCAGGAAAGGATCATAATACATGCTGTTCAAAGCAATAGCGTAAGACTTATTGATATACAGTATCTATACTCCGCCCCTCTCTGAGGATTCTATATTGGTCATTGTTCAAGGCTTCTAGTGATTTTCTTTTATTATATGAAAAAGGAGAGTTCAATGTAGGACAGAGGTGGAGCTACCTTGGGTGGTGGGGCAGAGTACAAAGAACAAATAATGATCTTATATGTCTGTGCACGTCCTTCCTCCAAATGTTTCTATAACTGCGATCTTTTGAAAATTAACAGCCTTGGCCATCTCAAAGGAGGAAAAATAAATAAAGGAATATGCAGCTCAATCTGTGTGTTTACGGGGCAGATAGGTGAAGATGAGAACCATAGATCTTATTGAGAGGGAAGCTGCCCACTTTTGTCCTTCTATTTGGGTGAGAAGTTGTTGAGCCTCCCTATGTTTATACTGGGAGCCCTATTTTTATAAAGCCCTCTGAAGGCTGTGTGGTGTTGCCAACTTGGAGAAAAGGTTGAAGCTCCAGTCCTGGATCCACAAATTCTGTGTGCCCACTCTTGAGCAAGTTACTTAAGCCCTGTGAGCCTGAGTTTTCTCACTTCCAAAACAAGGTCCTCACACAGGTGTGCTGGGAGGTTTAGATGAAAGCACCTGCCAAATAAATCACAGAAATGAGAGCCTACCAAAGATTTGTGCTCCCTGCATTTTATCTTGTATTTTTTTAAAATCTCAAGATGGTGGTACTACTGCCTCTTCACCTCCTCATTTTCTTTCTTTTTCTGGTCTTGCCCTGTTATCCCCTCCACCAGGATGCACCCAGGACACTTTCCCAGATTTGCCATGTCCCATGGGAGGCTCTGGCTATAGTTAATAGAGAAGGTTTCCGAGAGAGAGAGGCTGAGACAGACACCTGGAAGGAAAGGTTGGATATCTCCTTTGGAGGAAAAGCTAGGGAAAGTCCTAAGAGGAGGGCATTTGCTGTGCCATTTGTCATTTAGATCTGGAGGTGGTAGAAATACAGACATTCTGATGTTTCTATAAAGGCTGTCAGGGCTTAATGAAGTTCTTCATGGGGCAGGAGCCGCACGTGCTTATTAAGGTTGGATCAGTGGATACACTCATCCCCTGGATCTGGGAGCAAACTGGAATCAACAGTGCCACCAAGTGGCAGCCAGCTAATAAGCAAGTTGAAACACTAAGACTGCAACTTCTAGTGCTTTGCCCAAATATCTCTGTCTCTTACTCTTTTTCTTTCTAAAAATAAGATCAAGTATATTTTCCTAGGGTGGATATAGAGAGAATGATCTTGTAGACATACCTTCTTCTGGCATGTTGTAGAGCTTGGATACATGATTTTTCTTTATTAAACAATCAAAACCTTTAAAGTCCCACTCAAATGAGCAGGTCATAGGAGTAGATACCTCTGCATACGTGTATACAGGTCATTTATAAAAACTGAGGGATGGGGGCTGTGTGTGTTGGGATTCAAGAAGATTTCCAAAGTGTATTAACCAGGAGTGAAACTCAGGATGACAAATACTGTACACGATGGCAAACAGCATAGACAACATACACGACTCTATTTAGGAGAGGAAACCATTTATATTATTACAGTCTGTAACCTTTTTGTTTTTTATTTAGAGTATTTCTTTTTCTGATCATAAAAGTGTTCGTTGTAATAATTTGAAAGGCTTATTACTTTAAAAAGAATACATTCTACTGGCTGTTAAACACCTTGTAAATAACACAAAATACCAAGATTTTTAGGATACAGAAAAATCCATTTCATTCTGGTCCATTTGTTTGTCATTAGAAAGAGTCTATTTTGTACTCATGCTGCTGTGTTCATTTTAGGACTAATTTGAGGTAAGCTTCCAGCTTTGATTGTTGCTTTCCCCATTATTTTTATTTTCGATCCCCCATAGAATGCATTTCCATCTTCCAATCTCCTCCTCCCGTCCATTCTGCACACAACCCAGCTTTCAGAATAATCTGGTATTGAGAGTCAATCCGTGCTCTGGAAGGTGTCTCAGTGTCCCTGTGACAGCCAGCTCTGCAGTATCCATCGGACTTGATATGGTGGCTCTTGTAGTGTTGCTTTTCTAAGAGCTAAAGTACTTTCTCGTGGTCATGAATAGTGTGGGAAGCCCATAGCTCGGGCTGTTGAAAGGTCTATCAGTTCTGCTGTGCCTGACAATGTTGACCCCAGGGTAGAGAGATTTCCTCCCACTTCCTAGGTGTGTGGGAGGTAGGGGCAAGTGCTAGGGGATTTATGAATGAGATGGAAGGGAGGACAGAAAATGAAGAAGGGAAAAAGATATCAGGAACCAACAGACCATCAGCTGAATTCTAACTACAAAAATGACAAATAACAAAAGCAATTTATTTATTTATTTATTTATTTTTATTTTTATTTTTTTTGAGATGAAGTCTTGCTCTGTCGCCCAGGCTGGAGTGCAGTGGTGCCATCTCGGCTCACTGCAAGCTCCACCTCCCAGGTTCACGCCATTCTCCTGCCTCAGCCTCCCGAGTAGCTGGGACTACAGGCACCTGCCACCATGCCTGGCTAATTTTTTGTACTTTTAGTAGAGATGGGGTTTCACCATGTTGTTAGCCAGGATGGTCTCTATCTCCTGACCTTGTGACCCACCCGCTTCAGCCTTCCAAAGTGCTGGGATTACAGGCGTGAGCCACTGCGCCCGGCCAGCAAAAGCAATTTAAAATGTACCTTGCTCCATAATAAATATAAGGGAGTGAGGAACAAAGCTTTTCTTCCCCCAATTCCTTTGATTTTTTATTTTTTTTGAAGAAAAGTAGATTAAGCATGAGTTTTAAGTACTGTTCAGAATAAAAACCAAGATAGACCCCAATAACTTACCTTAATTTTGAGTATAATATTATATTGTAGGTCATTTCTGGACTTGGGTGGCTATTTTTAAACATATTTTTAAATTGTGGTAAGATATACGTAACATAAAGGTTACCATTTTAACAATTTTTAAGTGGACAGTTCAGTGGCAGTATGTATATTCACATTTTTGTGCAAATGTATGTTTCTAGAACTTTTTCGTCTTCCCCAACTGAAACTCCACATCCATGAAACACTAACCCCCCATTTCCCCCTCCGTCATCTTACTTTCTGTCTCTGGCCATTTGTCTATCTTCTTTGGAGAAATATCCATTCAAGTCCTTTGCCTAGTTTCTGTCTCTATGAATTTGACTACTCTAGGGCCAAATATAAGTGGGCTCATATAAGTATTTGTCCTTTTGTGACTGGCTGATTTCAATTATAATGTCCTCAAGTTTCATCCATGTTGTAGTATGCATCAGAATTTCTTTCCTTTTTAAGGTTGAATAGTAGCTGATCATATGTGTATATCACATTCTGTTTTCTGATTCATTCATTGATGGACACGTGGGTTGCTTCTGCCTTTTATCTGTTGTGGTCAACGCTGCTATGACCATGGATGTATAAATATTTGCTTGAGTTCCCACTTTAGTTTTTTTTTGGTTATATGCCCACAAGTAGAATTGTTGGGTTGTGTGGTAATTCTTTTTTTTTTTTTTTTTTTTTTTTTTTTTTGAAACTGAGTCTCTCTCTGTTGCCCAGACTGGAGTGCAGTGGCACGATCTCGGCTCACTGCAACCTCTGCCTCTCAGGTTCAAGCGATTCTCCTGCCTCAGCCTTCTGAGTAGCTGGGATTACAGGTGTGCACCACCATGCCTGGCTAATTTTTTTGTATTTTTAGTAGAGATGGGGTTTTGCCATGTTGGCCAAGCCAGTCTTGAACCCCTAATCTCAGGTGATCCACCCTCCTCGGCCTCCTAAAGTGCTGGGATTACAGGTGTAAGCCACCGTGCCTGGTTGGTAATTCTATGTTTAATTTTTTGAGGAATTGCTATACAGTTTTTTTTGTAATAGCTGTACCATTTTACATTACCGCTGATAATGCATAAAAGTTCCAATTTCTCCACATCCTCACCAAGACCCTGTTATTTTCCTCCTGTTTTAAAATCATGACCATCGTAATGTGTGTGCAGTCGTATCTCATTGTGGTTTTGATTTGCATTTCCCTAATGATTCTTGATGTAGAACATCTTTCATACGTGCTTCTTGGTCATTTGTCTATTTTCTTTGAAGAAATATCTGTTCAAATCCTCTGCCCTTTTTTAAATGGGGTTGTTCGTTATTTTGTTGTTGAGTTGTAGTTTTTTATATTCTGGATACCAATCCCTTATTAGATATGTGATTTGCAAGTATTTTCTGAGAGTAGTTAAATTCAAGTGGACTGACGATTTAAATGGTTGATGCCCTAGCTTGAGAAAATCAAGCATCCTGTGATATGACTGCAATTGTTGAAGCTAAGAGTTGAGGAAAATGAGGGCCTCCCTCTAGACAGATCATCCACGCTGCAGACCGGTGGCCAACCTCTCACTTTTGGGCAACTGCATCGTGCTTCTGGAAGGATTTGGCTCAGCAAGGACAAAGCAACCCCTGTCACCTCACTGTGGCAGGTTGGTGATGTGAAATCATTGCTATCAGGTGTAGCATCACAGCCAAGGTCACTGCCAGAGAGCCAGGTAATCAAATAGTGGTGGAGCCCCTCTTAGGTCGTGTTGTTTCAGGATACTGAAGAGGAAAAATAAGCTCTTCATTTACAGCTTCTCCCATTATCAGCAAGTGACCCTCTCAGTCCGTCTCCAGCCATTTTAAAGAAGCAAAGAAACTACTGGGCTTTTGGGAGGATTTGCCCTCAGCGTTTTAAATGTTGGCTTGCTGGGCCGTTCTTGGGTTTGTAGCACAAAATATTACCATTGTGTTTCCACCGTGGGTTTGCCATTCTTGTTTCAGAAGAGAAATATTTCTTTCATCTACTTTCTTCTTTCTGGTTATTGTTCTTCTTTTTAAAAAAATAATTCTGGGCTGGGTGTCGTGGCTCACACCTGCAATCTTAGCACTTTGGGAGGCCAAGGCAAGTGGATCGCTTGAGCTCAGGAGTTTGAGACCAGCTTGGGCAACATGGTGAAACCCCCACCTCTACTAAAAATACAAAAAATTAGCTGGGCATGGTGGTACATGCCTGTAGTTCCAGCTACTCGGGTGGCTGATGTGGGAGGATGGCTTGAGCTCAGGAGTTCAAAGCTGCAGTGAGGTGAGATCTCGCCACTGTACTCCAGCCTGGGCAACAGAGTGAGACCCTGTCTCAACAACAACAACAACAACAACAACAAAAATATATATATCTATATGGCCAGGTGCAGTGGCTCACGCCTATAATCCCAGCACTTTGGGAGGCCGAGGCAGGCGGATCATGAGGTCAGGAGATCAAGATCATCCTGGCTAACACAGTGAAACCCCGTCTCTACTGAAAGTACAAAAAAATTAGCCGAGCTTGGTGGTGTGCACCTGCAGTCCCAGCTACTAGGGAGGCTGAGGCAGGAGAATCGCTTGAACCCAGGAGGAAGAGGTTGCAGTGAGCCAAGATCACCACTGCACTCCAGCCTGGGCAACAGAGCGAGACTCTGACTCAAAAAAAAAAAAAAGAAAAAAATTCAGAAAGAAGTTCAATGAGGAGCAGCATTTTACAAGAGATGTACAATATAATCATCTCTCATTTGACAGCATCCTCTGTGAAGTGGATGATATTAGTTTCTAGGAATCCCATAGAAGCCAATGGCAGGATTTCTGCCTGTGATGAACTTTCAGCCTCCTGAAGCCTAGATCTAAAGAGACTTAAAGATGTGTAGAGTAAACATATGGGTAGGCACAAGCAGATACAGTTAAAATGATAGAAGTTCATGCTGAGGCACATGGACCGACATGGTACTTAGGCCTAGGGTGGGGAGAGGTCCTGAAAGGGTGAGGATTTGAAACAGAATTTTGAAAGAAGGGAATAATGTGGCTTGGCATAAAAGCAAAATGATAACTATAGTAGGTATTTCTTTTTTTTTTGAGACGGAGTCTCACTCTGTCGCCCAGGCTGGAGTGCAGTGGCATGATCTCGGCTCACTGCAACCTCCACCTCCCGGATTCACGCCATCCTCCTGCCTCAGCCTCCTGAGTAGCTGGGACTACAGGCACCCGCCACCACGTCCGGCTAATTTTTTTGTATTTTTAGTAGAGACGGGGTTTCACCGTGTTAGCCAGGATGGTCTTGATCTCCTGACCTCGTGATCTGCCCATCTTGGCCTCCCAAAGTGCTGGGATTACAGGCGTGAGCCACCGCCCCTGGCTATAGTAGGCATTTCATAGCATTCATCTCCTCTCTCTTCCTTTTAGCCATGTATGTTAACAGGTTGCCTAGAAATACATTAGGTATGAGATTTGTTTTTCTTTGGGAGTAGGGAGCAGTGGGGAAAAGAAAGCAGTAATATGATTGAAATAAAGACTTTTTTTTTTTTTTTTTTTTGACGACAGAGTCTTGCTCTGTCACCCAGGCTAGAGTGTACTGGTGCATTCTAGGCTCACTGCAACCTCCACCTCCCAGGTTCAAGTGATTATCCTGTCTTGGCCTCCTGAGTAGCTCGGATTACAAGTGCGTGCCACCAAGCCTGCCTAATTTTTGTGTTTTTAGTAGAGATGGGGTTTCACCACGTTGGCCAGGTTGGTCTTGAACTCCTGACCTCAAGTGATCCACCTGCCTTGGCCTCCCAAAGTGCTGGGATTACAGGCATGAGCCACCGTGTCTGGCTTTTTTTTTTTTTGAGACAGGGTCTCACTCTGTTGCCCAGGCTGGAGTGCAGTGGTGCAATCATGGCTCACTGTAGCCTCAAACTCCTGGGCTCAACCGATCCCCCTGCTTCAGCCTCCTAAAGTGCTGGGATTACAGATGTGAACTACTGCGCCCTGATGAATGAAGACATTTTTCCAGGGTTGGGGAGTACACACTTCTTGAGTGGTCCTAGCAGGCCTTCTCAAACACTGGTCCCTCTTTGTAGGCCATGCAACCTGTCCCATCCTCTGTCCCAGCACAGAGTTGGCACTGGTGGAGCCCTGTGCTGTGGCTGCTTCTCTCTCTCTCCCTTTTTCTTTTTCTGAGACAGAGTCATAGTCTATTGCCCAGGCTGTTGTACAGTGGCATGATCTCGACTCACTGCAACCTCCACCTCCTGGGTTTAAGCAATTCTCATGCCTCAGCCTCCCAAGTAGCTAGGATTGCAGGTGCCTGCCACCACGCCTGGCTAACTTTTGTATTTTTAGTAGAGACGGAGTTTTATCATGTTGGCCATGCTGGTCTCGAACTCCTAACCTCAAGTTATCCACCGGCCTCAGCCTCCCAAAGTACTGGGATTACAGCCATGAGCCACTGCACCTGGCTGGCTTCTCTCTTGACTCACTGAGTCTGTCACTTGAATAGAGATGACCAACAACTGAGCCCTGAGCTGCTGGTGGGGACTGGCCTGGATCCCCCTGGGCATACCCTTCCTGTGCTCCGCACTCTGTCCTTTGTTTTTCCTGTGTGGCAGCCGACAGCCCCGTGGCCTGTATGACCTCTATACACTATGCCTGTTAGTTGCCCTACCACTTGTTCCAGAAGATTTTGTTGGTGGCTCCTGATAAAAGTGGCACCTCTCATGTAGTGGCTGAATAGGGGACCCAACAGACATGTCCACCTACAACCTCAGAATGTGACCCTCTTTGGAGTAAGAGTCTCGGGAGATGTACATATGGTATGGAACTTGAGATAAGCACGTGCTGGCTTTGGGTGGGCCCTAAATCCAATGACATTATAAAAGACGGAACTGGAAAAGAGGTATACAGATGCAGAAGGGAGGGCTATGAGGAGACTAAGATAGGGATTGAAGTGACCTGTCTGTAAGCCAAGGAGAGCCAAGGGCTGCAGCCACTGGGAGCTGCAGAGAGCATGGAACCGATTCTCTTTCAGAACCTCCTGAAAAAAAAACCAATGGGCCAGGCACGGTGGCTCATACCTGTAATCCCAGCATTTTGGGAGGTTGAGGTGGGTGGATCACTGGAAGTCAGGAGTTAAAGACCAGCCTGGCCAACATGGTGAAACCCCATCTCTACTAAAACACAAAAATTAGCTGGGTGTGGTGGCAGGCACCTGTAGTCCCAACTATTCAGTAGACTGAGGCATGAGAATTGCTTGAACCCAGGAGACAGAGGCTGCAGTGAGCCAAGATTGCACCACTGCACTCCAGCCTGGGCAGCAAAGTGAGACTCCATCTCAAAAAAAAGACAAAATCAAAAACAAAAAGCCCAACACTATTGTAACTTTGATTTTGGACCTCTGATCTTTGGAACTGCAAAAGAATAAATTTCTGTTGTTTTAAGCCACCAAATTTATGGTAATTCTTTATGGCAGCCCTAGTAAACCAATCCTGGATGAATCCTGGAGATCCCAGTTCAGTCACTTTCAGTCATTAGAATCACCTGGAGAACATTTAAAAAGAACAGCCACTGCATTAGAGTCTCTGAGGGCTGAGTTAAGGGATTAATATTTTTAAAAGTGTCCTAGGTGATTGTAATGTACAGCCTGGGTTCTGAACCACAGATCTTTGCCAGATGTCCCATTTTGCAGATAAGAAAACCAAGACTCAGCAAAATTGCTTTATGGTCCAGAGAAAAATTTGAAAAGTCCTTTTGTAGGGCTTTGAAAGGGGAAAAACAACTCACTCGAGGACAAAGGAGTGTGTGTGTAAATTAAAATTTTAGAAAAAAATTCATTTTTGGGTTTTGTGGGTGGTAATGACTAAGAAAAGGGAGGAAGAATTCATCTTCTAATATTTTTCAGGGACCTTCCACCATACCCGTTTTTTATTTTTAAAAATAATAATAATATTATTTAAAAATTATAATAATATTAAAAATAAAATATTATTATTATTTATTGTTTAGAGACAGAGTGTCACTGTCACCCAGGCTGGAGTGCAGTGGGCCATCATGACTCACTTTAGCCTCAAGCTCCTGGGCTCAAGTGATCCTCCTGACTTAGCCTCCTAAGCAGCTGGGCTACAGGCACACGCCACCACACCTGGCTCCTTTTTTTTTTGTAGAGGCAGAGTGTTGCTATGTTGCCTGGGCTGGTTTTGAACTCCTGGCCTCAAGAGATCCTCCCACCTCAGTCTCCCAAAGTGTTGGGGTTACAGGTGTGAGCCACTGCCATCTTGGCCTAAATCATTTCTAAAAGTTGATTTGTTCATGTGTACAATAAAAGAAATGTTTTCCTTCTTAGACATGTATGCCAGTTTAAAATAGTTATGATTTTCATTGCCACCTCAATAAAGACTCCGTTTCCTTATCCCCTGAAGAAATTCAAGCACAGCCTAGATTTCTGTACAGAAAAGGAGATGAATAATTGTGTTTGAGGTCTTGTTGTGGGTAAGCATTTTGGTAAATAACATAGAAGATTTAATGTTCAGAGTAATTTTTTTTTAAGTGTGTCTTGGTTTCAGGGATGTGGTATTAAATCTAATCGCCCACTTAGGTTATCTGTCCTTTGGAGACTCACGAAGCTAAGGGCAACTGGATAGTTAGGATATTATGTACTCTTTAAAACAGCATGATTTAGTCCAAGTAGGAATTGCTGGGGCTCTAAATTAATCTCCTGGGGAACAAATGAAAAAATACATACGTGATATATTATTGAGGTAGTATATATTTTGGTGCTTTGATATCTTGGAGAGTCTTACATTAATCTGTCATTAATTTTAACCAGGGCAATCTGACAGTGATTAAAGCATATCTAGATAATCAGAAGCTAAAGAAGCCCACTGAGAGATTTACTTAAATGATCTAATCAGCTTTTCTTTTCATAGCAGACACAAAACTGAGGTCCTGACGACTCAAGGGCATTAACAATCCTAGAGCACTTTCCATAACAGTCCGGGTATTTAGCCCCAGTGTCCTGGCCAAATTCCAACTCAAGTAATGCTATTTTGCCTCCCGAAAAGTCCCCCTGCAGCTACTAGTGGATACAGTATTATTCTTTCCTTCCTGTCCCGAAGTGTGAGGCTTTGTGTGGAGGTGACACCGTGTGCTGCAAATCAGATGCTTCATTTCTATTATGAGTGGCTGCATTCTGGCTCCAGGGGCGCAGTCCCTAAGCCGCTGTAAGTACATGATAGGGGATATTTACATGACTTGCGCTATCAGGGGAAAATTGCAGAAGACTTATTCTTTTAAAAAACTTGTTTTAATCTTCTGTAAAAGACAATGTTGTGATTAATATAATTAGATACAGTTAGATAATGATCAGATGAATACAATAATAATGTACATGTTTGTCTCTGTGCTTTGTTTTGTTCTATAGAAGGTTAGAAACAGTGATCCTTAGCAATGAGATTTCTATCCTCACCCTGGTCTATACCAGGTTGTATGAAAATGTGTAACATGAACCATTTCTCAGTTTGTGAGAAAAATCTACATAAAGATTTTTAAATGCTCCAAAGTGCAGAATGCTTCAATGTGGAAGGATGAAGAGATTCAGGATGCCCTGGTTAATGGGCCCGAGACTCATTGAGAAAACTGGGATTCAGGGAGCAGGAGAGTGATTCTCCTGGCGGGCGCTGTGGTGTCAAAACAGCCAACCTGGACAGCTTGACAAACTATTTCTGGAATCCTGTTTCTTGAAACAATCTGTTCACTTAGAGGGGAAATTTCCAAGTGCTCTACTGGCTGTGGTTTATGTGACATGGTGCATGGGAGAACAATGCCATGAGGAAGAATTGTGTGCCTGCCATAAACGGCCCCATTTCATTTCTTTCTTGAGAGATTATGAAAAACGAAGGGAGAACTTCTCAAGGGGCCTAAGGGCAACCAGCGCAGAAAGCTGGGAGCAAAGTGGGTTCCATGCAAACTCGAAAATAGTTATGATGGGCCAGGTGTGGTGGCTCATGACTGTAATCCCAACACTTTGGGAGGATAAGGCAGGAGGATCACCTGAGCCCAGGAGTTCAAGACCAGCCTGGGCCACATAGTGAGACACTGTCTCTACAAAAAATATAAAAAGTATCCAGGTGTGGTGGCATGTGCCTGTAGTCCCAGCTACTCGGGAGAGTGAGATGGGAGGATTGCTTGAGTCCAGGAGTTTGAGTCTGCAGTGAGCCGTGATCTTGCCACTTGTACACTGTAGTCTGGGTGACAGAGTGAGAATCAGTCTTAAACAACAACAACAACAATAACAACAAACATGATGAAGATGAGACAATGTAATAAGCATCGGAGGAATACTCCAAATATTTCAAGCTTTAAAAATTGAAATTTACAGCAAACTAGGTAATTAGACTATTTAGATATTCAAGCTTTCCTTCTCCCTATTTCCTTCTTTGACATTAGTCAGGACTTTTTGGTTGCAGGTGACAGAAACTCAACACCAACTACCTAGAGCAGAAAAGAGGGTGTACTGGCTTAGTAGCTGACAGCTGAAAAGACCAGAGCCCATGGGTCCGGGGTCTATGGTCAGGTGTCACCTCCTCTCCCTCTTAGCTCTTCTCTAGGTAGCTTCTTTCCTCGTGGTGACAAGATGACATTTTGCAGCTTCAGGCTTACATCCAAGCCATCTCAGGGGAAAGAATGTTCCTCCCCCCATAGTTTGATTGAAAGCTCCAAGGTTATTTGGCTGGGCCTGATTCTAGTCACACGGCCATCCCTGTAGCCAGGAGAGTACAAACTGAGGGAGTAGGGGTTGAAACAGCCCCATGCAAACCAAAAGGACTGGTGTATTTCAAAGGGGAAATCAAGTTGATGCCATCAGAAGGAAGGATATGGCTGCTGGCCCCAAAATACAGATGTCTGTTACTGACATATAAATTAAACCTGTTTATTGAAAAGTGCTGACAAATGCTTTTTTAACTTTATAAAAGTGTTCAACACATTTGACTAAAACCATGTAATTAATATCTGTAAAAAGAAGGAAAAAATGTAAAGTGTAGAATCATGGAGCTGACCTCCTAGCCTTTTTTCCCACCTAGTAGAGAAATTCACAATTTCAGTGTTCCTACTAAGAAGTATTTCAACTTCCATTTGAGTTCCTCTAGGCATGTTGTATTTATTACTTCATAGGGAAGTATATTACATTTTTTTTTCTTTGAGACGGCATCTTGTTGTCACCCAGGCTGGAGTGCATGGTGCAGTCACGGCTCACTGCAGCCTTGACCTCCTGCGCTCAAGTGATCCTCCTGCCTCAGCCTCCTGAGTAGCTGGAACCACAGGTTCGCCACCATGCCCAGCTGATGTTTTAATTTTTTTTTGGTAGAGACAAGTTCTCATTATGTTGCCCAGGCTGGTCTTGAATTCTTGGGCTCAAGCGATCTGCCTGCCTCAGCCTCCCAAAGTGCTGGGATTATAGGAGCCACCGTGCCTAGCCTGTATTCCATTTTAATAGGAAGGTGTTCTCTCTCAGATTAAGCTGAGAGGTCCCCCCTTCTCCCTTGCCTTTGTTCTAATGGTCTGTTTTCTGCCTTTTGGAGTTACATGAAATAAATGTAATCTTTCCAAGATCTCCTTTGTTCTTTTCAAAGTCTAATTTGTTTTTTGGCATACATAACTGTTTCTCTTACTTGTTCCCTTCTTGTTCTCCTCCCTCCTCCTGCTTTCTCTTTTTTATGATATAAAGAAAGCTTATAATCCAATTTCATGACAATCGTTGGACATGTAATTCCTTTTTAAAAGTTTCTCTTGTTTCTTAATGAATTACAGTTTGAAGGCTCAATTTAAAGTGTTTATCACAAAACTGAATTTTTAAACAGCACTCTCCAGCATTTATGTATTTCACTTTAAAAGTTAAATTATTTCGGCTGGGCGCGGTGGCTCACACCTGTAATCTCAGCACTTTGGGAGGCCGAGGTGGGCGGATCACAAGGTCAGGAGATCGAGACCATCCTGGCTAACACGGTGAAACCCCATCTCTACTATAAATACCAAAATTAGCCGGGCGTGGTGGCGGGCGCCTGTAGTCCCAGCTACTCGGGAGGCTGAGGCAGGGGAATGGCGTGAACCCGGGAGGCGGAGCTTTCAGTGAGTGGAGATCGCGCCACTGCACTACAGCCTGGGCAACACAGCAAGACTCTGTCTCAAAAAAAAAAAAAAAAAAAGTTAAATTATTTCAGGAAACAAAGGTCTTTAAGCATCTTTTGTGTCCTAAGTATTCTATGAGATGGAGCAACTGAACATGATGCTAAAAGTTCTTAAGTGTCCTTAAATAGCCCATGAGTATAAATATTCAGTTAAATAGAAAAACCGCAGAACAATGTAAGAAAATCGATGTAAGAGAACAATGATTTTGTAGATGGGAATTAAGATTCTAATATGCATTTGACCCAGTAAATGAACTCTTAAGAAGGGATGTCTCATTGCTCTCTCTTGTATTGCTGTGTTTTAAGCAATGGTAAATCTAAGCAAAGAATATTACAATCTTAGCTTTTTAAAGCAAATTCGGAGGCTTAAAATAAAACTCCATTATTAATGATTCTCTGTTTGCTTTGGCCATTGACATTTCTGGATCAGTCTTGTTTTCCTTTAGTTAAATATCTTAGACATATTTGTTTTAAAGAAGGTGTGTATCATTTCATTTCCTGGTTTTTCCATTTTAAATCGTGTCTTGTGTACTCACTACATTTTGTTTACTTCTTAACTTTTATTTTTTAATCATTAGCATGAAAAACATTTTATCAACAACGAATTGCTATCATCTTTATAAGAAATAGAGAATTTTATTCAGTTATTTAGGTGGTGATTACCGTATTCATGAAAAATTCACCAATAATTAACATTTTTTTTCAACAACTGCAACATTCCTATCCTATGTCGGGTCTGTAAAAGTATGTGGAAGAGGAAATTGAACAGCTTTAAGAAGCATATATTCTTACAAGTTAGGAAGGAGAAGCAGGGAAGAGGTTAATGAGTTCTCTAAGCCCATGAGAATGGAGGGAGGTGGCCCAACTCACAGGTCTGTACTTCACTCTCTCTTCCATTTCCATCCAGCTTATGCTCATATGGAAAGACTGATGGATGCTGAGTTGGCAGAACTATTAGTCTAAGAGGAGGGTGAATTGAGGATGGAGGTGTAGAAGGATAAAGAGAGGACAGCTAACACGTAACCAGGTTGAAGAGAGGTGTGCAGCTGCTGGTGGTAAGACTAGAAAGGTTGCCTGTCAGATGCAATTTCTGTTGAAACCCATCACCCTCCCTTTGTTAATGTTCTTAACCTGGTGCAATTTCTCTTCCAGGGACTGTTCCAGGAAAGATGTGCCAGATGGAGTGATAGGGTTGCAGGGAGGGTGATGCACCATTACTAGCCCCATCTGCTCACAGCCCCTGGGGCTTTTCAGCTGCAGGATTAAAGACTAATATAGAGTGGCAGCTGCCGAAGGGGCAATCCTCATACATAGCAGGTGCTCAATAAATGCCACTGGCTTTGTGTGAAGATGCTAGAGGTGGATGTGACAGGTTTTGCATTAAGAATCATGAGTTAAGACATTAATGTGTTTTAGCACAGTTTCTACCTGCATTTCAGAAGTAAACAAGTTTCTTCCTTCACACCTTCTTTCTTCTGAAACAAATGTCCCCTGAGCTGCTAAGTGCTTAATTCATTTTCGGCACTGTGGGTGGAAAAACTATCATATATTCCCTGTTTTTCTATGAAGTCAAGACTGGGTACCTAATTTTTTCCTCCCTCACACTTACTTTCCTTTTTATCATCTCAAATTCTCCCAGAGTATTGCAAAGTGTGAAGAAGACAAAACAACAGTTTTATTCATTTGTGGGTTAAACAAAGTGTGTTCATCAGAAAACTGTGATCAAGCTCATGACTTAAATACAAAACAAACCTGAAAGACTGCTGTATTCCTTGTAACTAAGGCATATGCTGTGGGGTCAGATTTTTCTTTTCACCCAAAGGAGATTTTTTTCATTTGTTCCTTACACCCATTTCCATGTTTATAAAGAATCTTTTTTTGCAATGCTATCAAGAAGAAAATCTTATTGTTCAGTAAAAGGTCACGATGCCTCATTATTGGGCAGACTCAGGTATATATGGAGAACTACTTATATTAAATATGTATTCCAACACACCTTCCCTAAAACCAGTTACAATACCCTTCACTCTTCTTATTTCTTGCTTCCTTTTTTTCTATCTCATTCTTAAATATTTTTTTTTTCCTGCTTGTCCAAACCACCTAATTTCCTTTCTCAGATTGCTTTTTATGATCTGTCTGTAAGTCTTTATGGCACCTCTCACCATAGATCTCAGTTTAATAGTATCTCTGTTAATTATCCTATCTTTAAGACACAATGGGTTGGTTTTTCAGAATCAAATTTACATTGCATTTCTAATTATGGACATCTACAGTTAATTGTTTCATTTTGATATGGTAAAAACATGGCTTGTACTATTTTTCAAAATAGTAATTAGAAATGCATCTCCTGACACTGTTACTTTTAAAACACCAACAACACTTAATAAAGGAGCAACATACATTTAATTAGGAAAAGCTAATAGAAACTTTCAGTTGCTTTTAAATGGTTAATAAAACGAGACTTGTAAAGGGAATTGTATATATTGCTCATTTTTTCTGAAGGTTGAGTTAGAGCCCTACCAACTGAGTGTGGGATCATGAGTTTTCTTTTTCCACATCCTTGGCCATTGTGTTTACTTTTATTGTGGTTGTCAACCTGGATTGTTTTCTGGGAAGGCAACACCCTCACTAGATAAAAATCAAAGCTTATCTGGGCTTTGCAGTGAAATCCTAAAACATTATAAAAGTTTTCAAAGAAGTGAACAAATCTGTGGAAATCAAAAAGGAAATATGTATGTATTTTTAGAAAATTCATTTGAATTCAATTTTTTTGACGTTAACTCTATATTTAAGTATGTGCTGTGTTTCTATTTTAAGTCTCCTCTACTGCTGTGATTATTTAAACAACAGACACAGCAAAACAAAATCAAACAAAAACCCCTGAGTAAAAAGAAGCCTTAACTCCAGAAAGCTTTTCTGAGACAGGGTCTCCCTCTGTTGCCCAGGCTGGAGTACAGTGGCGCGATCTCAGTTCATTGCAACCTCTGCCTCCCGGGCTCAAGCAATCCTCCTTCCTCAGCCTTCCTGGTAGCTAGGAACCCAGGCACATGTCACCACACTCTGCTAATTTTTTTTGTTTATATTTATATTTATATTTATTTATTTGTTTATTTATTTTTTGAGATGTACTCTTGCTCTGTCGCCCAGGCTGGAGTGCAGTGGCGTGACCTTGGCTCACTACAAGCTCCGCCTCCCGGGTTCACGCCATTCTCCTTCCTCAGCTTCCCAAGTAGCTGGGGCCACATTTTGAAAATTTTTTGTAGAACTGGGGTTTCACCATGTTGCTGAGGCCAGTCTCAGACTCCTCAACTCAAGAGATCTGCCTGCCTCTGCCTCCCAAAGTGCTAGGATTACAGGTGTGAGCCACCACATCCAGCCAACTCCAGAGATCTTTAAAAGCATTCCTGTTCTGCAGTGAGAATCAGAAGAAAAATATAACCACTGTTGATTTGCTACATGTGAATAGAAAACTTGGGTGATTTCTGTCATGTTTCCATGGATTTCATTAAAGAGGGATTTCAGCTCCATGTTGTTTATTATGACTTGTTAAATTTGACTAACTGTTCGAATGTGAGTCTCAAATAGTAGGCATCTCGTGACTATTAGTGATTAACTATTAATTGGGAACTTAGAGCATTAAGTATCATAGAAGGCAGAAGATGCAGCCCATGTCCTTGATGGTGATCATGGAATGATCTCTGAGCATTGCCATGAATATGACAAGTGAGCACGTGGGCCTCTAGGGAGGTCAGAAGCACAGCTGACAGGTATGGGGGAGCAAGATCGGAACTGCGTGTGCATGGGGTTAAGAGGGCCATTTAAGTGCCAGGGGTCTTGCTGTGTGTGTTTTCAGTCCTCTGAGCAATGGAGCACCCGCAGTTATGTTGCAGGCATCCCCATGCTGATATCACTTTGGCCTTCATATAACTGAGGCCAACCCCCAACCCCTGCAACCTTTATTTCTATTGCCTCATCTTTTGCATACTCAACTTCCCCTCCAGGTCTCCTCTGTAGCAAAATCACTCTTCTAGATTTATCTTGTAGCCCACAGCTTGGCCGCTCGTGTCCTTCTCTGTTCTCTTTTATGGGTACACTCGTCTGTAGACTCAAATGCTTAAAACATTAAAAAAAAATTGATATCACAGCATTGTTACCTTCCAGAGACCACATTTCAAGCCCCAGTGCTGGTGTGTTGTAGTAGGAATGTCTAGACTGGTGCAGAACTGAGAGGGTTGATCTCATTCTAGGTCCTTCAGATAGGGAAACAAAAGGAATGGAGTTTCTTTCTTTCCTTTTTTTTTTAGAGACAGGATCTCACTCTGTCACCCAGGCTGGAATACAGTGGTGCAATCATGGTTCACTGCAGCCTTGATCTCCTGGGCTCAAGCGATCCTCCTGTCTCAGCATCTGGTGTAGCTGGGACCACAGGTGCACACAACTATGCCCAGCTAATTTTATTTTTATTTTTATTTTTTATTTTTTAATTTTTTTTGTAGAGACAGGGTTTCTCTATGTTGCCCAGGCTGATCTCAAACTCCTGGGCTCAAGTAATTCTCCCACCTCCGCCTCCCAAAGTGCTGGGATTACAGGCGAGAGCCACTACACCAGCCAGGAACAGAGTTCTCTAACAGCACCCCTAGGCATACATAACAGTTTTCATTTAAAATATCATCTCTTTCTACCTCATTGTTTTTTTCTTCTTTCCCCTCCCCTTAACTTCTGCAGTCTCTCACGCTGTGATGTGTGAGTTGTGAAAGAGTTTTCTTAGCTCAGTTGCTAAGAATTTAGCTGTATTGATTTGTCCCATTGCACCTGCTGAAATGCTAAAAACTTGGCACATAAAATATAAGTCAGACTGATAAAATTAAACTTCACAAGATATGCAGCTGCTGTGTACACACAGAACACGACTAGAATCTTCACCACTGACTGCTTAGATATTCTAGTTTTACATCTTTGCTCTTTTCATCGGGTTTGCATTGTGCGTGTTGGGCAGTAGGAAATTTCAGGATTACCATTTCAGCCTGCAGAAGCAGACATGTGAGTCATCTAGCTCTGTGCTTGCATCTATAGCTTATGTTAACCTAAAGTGCAGCAATGTACAAATTATTGTCTCTAGGACAGTGTTGTAGCTTTAAGTACAGAGGTGACCCAAGTACAATCACTGCAGGGGAGAAACCCCTGCCAAGCAGTCATATTATTTAGGTGGCTCAGTCCTTATCCACTCTGTGAGGCTGAGGAGGTCACAACCACTTTTAGGGATAAAAACATCATTTAAAGGAAGAACTTATTAGCATGCTTCTTTTTTCCCAGGGTCTCTGAATTTTCTTTTATGGCCATGATATCTGCAGTGCTGAGATACAGTTGTGCTCATCCCAACGTCAGATAAGTTTAGGTAGATGAACTTAAGACAATGCTATTTATATTTATATTTATATATGTATAAAATATATGATGTAATATGTGATATATAATATATAATGTAATATATGATATATCATATATGATGTAATATATGATATATCATATATCATGTAATATACGATATATATCATACACCATGCAATATATGATACGTATCATGTACCATGTAATATATGATATATGATATAAAACATAAATCTGACCCATATATTATGTAACATATTACATATCACATAATATGTAATATATTACATATCACATAATATGTAATATGTTACATATCACATAATATGTAATATGTTACATATCACATAATATGTAATATATCACAATATATAATGCCACATCTCTCTATATTATATGATCTATAATAATACATCATATGATATATATAATACATATAAGAACATGTATCATATATAAAAAAGGGGACATGCTCCCCTTTTTATGAGGACACCAGTTGTATTGGATTAAGGCCCACCCTAATGACCTCTATTTAGTTTGGTTAAATTTGCAAAGACCCTATTTCCAAATAAGGTCACGTTTCCAGGCACCTGGTGTTAGGACTTCAACAAATCTTTCTCGGGGGCACAGTTCAACCCTTAATAGCCAGTAAGGCTGACAGTAAGAGAACCAAAGGAGCATGGCACTCCAGAAGCCAAGTGAAGAGTGTGCTTTAGGCAGGAAGGATGGATAAACTGAATCAGATGCTGCTGACTGAGCAAATAGGATGAGAACTGAAGATTGACGGTTGGATTGAGCAATGCAGAGGTTGTGATCACCCTTGGAGTGAGTCGTTTCAGCTTAGGGGTAAGGATGAGAATTAGATTGAAATGGAAGAGAGAATGGAAACAGAGGAGTTAGAGAAGGCAAGCATAGAGAGGTTTTTGAAGAGTTTTGCATACAGGGAAGAGAAAAATGGGAGGTGGCAGAGGAGGAACCAGTGTTCCAGGGGATTTTTAAAAAAAATGAGATAAATAAAACCATTTTAAAATATATGAGCCAGTAGAGGGGGAAAATATTACAGGAAAAGGAGACAGTTTGTAGAGTGATGTCTTTGAGTAGGCAAGAGGGTGTACGATATAATAGCTGTGCAGAATAAGGCTGGTTTAACAAGCAATCCAGATGATTCTGATACACGCTCAAGTTTGAGAACCACCATTCCAGGTAATCTCTAGGACTCTCTAAAATTCTGTGCCTTGTGATGACTTTTACCCCATTAGCTGAAAATGAAACCCCCTCTTTTGTTTTGAATGTTGATACTGCCTAATGTATATGAAGAATGAGTCGAGATGGAATGTGACCACATGTATTACAGGCAGATGTGCTGTGGGGAGTGGTAGCTCTCCATCTGTGCTTTACACTGAGAGGCTTAATCAGCTGTACTGTCTCTTTAAACTATAACTTCTGTCATTTAGAAGCACCTCTTCATCATTGCCTGGGAGATCTGGCTGCATCTCCAGCTGCTATTTTTTAGATGACCGGGCATTAAACCCTAGCATAGTGAAGAGAGTGTCACAGGGACTTAAAATATTTGTATTTGGCAGAACCCAAAGGCTGTATGACAAATTAATGTCTCAGTACCCCAATGCTATTGTATCAAATTGTTGTATATCAAGTTTCCTTAAAATATGACCTAGTATTTTCATTGAAACCTTCCCAAAGAAGGATCCCCAGTTTGGAGTGTCTGGCCATCTTATGACTTTATTTTGTTCCTCATAAATTGGAGCTGTAGATTGGCATTATCACTGTAAGATAACCTTAATTCTAAAACTCACAGTTAACAAAATGGCCACACTTTCTTTCTCAAGTCAATTAAAGTTGATTTTAATTTTCCTAATGTTACATGACTGAAAAAAGTTGAGACAATGGAAAGAGTTTTAATCAACGCAGTAAATAACCTGAGTTTTAATAAAATAACTTGGTGTGAACAAATGTTTGGCTGGCACAGAGCATTATGCTTTTCCAGCTGTTAAAATTAATTTGAGAATATTTATTTTGCTTTATTTGGTAGAAAGTATAAGGTTGTTAACGTTGTATATTCAAGAGGTCATTCCCCTTCCTCCCCTTTGAAGTAGTCACAAAGTATTTGAAGTGCCTTTTGATACTAGAAAGTGATTTCCCTAGTTTCTCTGAACATATCTAAGGAAATTTGGAATGAGACTTGCCCTTTAGTATTCTGGGATTTTGTTAATTGTCCATCTGTTAATGTCAATGTTAACATTTTCATCCTGGAACTTTCACTCAGCATCCAACAGATAGAGTGCCTGTGCCCAGCACAAGTGGTGCAGACCATACGGAGTGCCTGGGTTGGTGGAATGGCACCCAGAAAATAACATCTGTAATTCATACAACATGATAAGAGCAATGACAGACGCAGGTGCAGGGTGCTTAGGCTGAACAAGTGAGGGGGGCTTCACCCCGACTGCTGGGGGTGGTGGTTAATAGTAAGCTTGATAAATGGGGGTGAGTGATAGTAAAGCCTGTCTAATATGTAATCTTTTAAATCATTTATAATAACATGGATTATAATCTTTCATGTTTTAATATTTAATTACTTTTATACCCATCTGTTTTATCATCACAAACACCCAATATATAGGCAGATCAAGAAAGAAAATCAAGGCTTAGAACCTTTGACCTGCTCAACTTTACACAATTAGTAGGAGCCAAACCTAATACTCAGCACATCTGAATCCTGGTCTAAATGTTTTGTACCTATAGTTAAGGAAATGAACTATGATTGATTTCAGAATTGGTTCTGAAATGAACTAAATTATATACTAGACCAATTTACAGTTCAGCAGTAATTTAAAGGATGTTTGAAATGTCTTTAAGTTCCCTTGAAATTGTGAACCTTTACATGCAACTCTGATATTATAATTGGGAACTTTTAAGAAAGTTTAGCTTGAGATTGATGACTGAGACAATTTTGTATTTAATGTTGCATTTGATAAACATGCCATTAAATAATGTTGTTTCTTTTACAAGTTGTTTTTTTTTAATACACTACAAAACTTTATCTACACTGTCATTGTTTCCAAAGTAGAAGGTTTTGGCTTATAGGTTTTCAACTTGTTCTTTTTCTTTCCTTTTTTTCTCCATATTTTAAAGCCTTATATTTATAAGAAATTGAAGCTGTTTTGTGTGTGTTTGAAATTTTTTTGTTTGCTTAATTTAAAACTTGCAGTGAAAGTTGATCTAATGGAACAGTTTAATGCCAAGTTTAGCTTAAAGCACCTTCCAAAAGTCCAAAAGAGCAAGAATGGATTATATCTATGCTCTCCTTGGCCAGGGAGAATGCTATGCTCTCAGGACTGCAGGCAGAATGCAAGGACACAAGTCTAGCATGTCTGAACTAACCCTGGCTCCTGACCAAAATGAAAAGACCCAGTGAACAATGGCACTGGTAGCCACATTCCAAAACCCCTGGAATGAAAGTTATTCACATTGATAGTAGCTGTTAGTAGTATCATTTCTGAGAAAACATGCTGAGCTGATTGCAACTGGCTGTAAAAATGACATGAAATTTGCCCTGTTTTCAAAGTGATGTATCTCTCAGAAAAAATAGATGGAAAGTCAGAACTTTCCCTTTTGATGGTGGAGTAAGCTGGTGTTCACGATTATATGATTTACTGATGAAATTCGGAAATGCAAAAATAAGTCTGGCTTTAAATATCCTTTTCATGTCATGTTAAGTTATGAATAAATTAACAGATCAGGGCCAGGTGCAGTGGCTCACTTTGGGAGACCAAGGCGGGCTGATGGCTTGAGCTCAGGAGTTTGAGACCAGCCTGGGCAACATGGCAAAATTCTGTCTCTATAAAAAATATACAAAAAATACAAAAATAAGCTGGGTGTGCTGGTGCGCTCCTGTAGTCCCAGCTGTTCAGGAAGCTGAGGTGGGAGGATTGCTCGAGCCTCGGAGGCAGAGGTTGCCGTGAGCCAAGTTCACGCTACTGCACTCCAGCCTGGGCGACAGAGCCAGACCCCGTCTCAAAAAAAAAAAAAAAAAAAAAAAAAGGAATTTCATTGGCTATTAGGTATCATTTAGATTCTTAACAGAATTTCAGATTTGAAAACTAGTTTGTAGTAACCTTTACCTCTAGTGACACACAGTTAAGATAAAGGTCCCAAATGGTTTTTCTCGGTGTTGCTTGGTGTTTCTTTGATATGTGCAAGGTCCCTTTGATGCCTGTTTTCCACATCTTGCTTTTTTGTTTTACCTGAGATGCTGCATCTCCCTGCTATTAATACTACTTACACACATTACTCTGCCTTACCGCCAAAAGTCAAAGAGCAACCCTTCCCGGGAGACTGTTCTCCCAACCAGGTGTCATCTCCCTTTTCTCTGAAACCCCATATAACCTCTCTGTTATTTTAAATAAGATTTTAGATGTGAAAGCCCGGCATAAGATCTGGGACATAGGCACCCAGAAATCTCAGCTTAACCACTTGTTTTATCTTATTTTGTGGCCACTTGTATATATGACTATTTTGCTTTTGGCATTTAATGGAGTAAACTTGACTTTTCTACCTGTTTTTTTAAATAATACTTTATTTGATAAATATATCATATATGCAAAAAGCTTTAAATTGAATGCACAGTTTAAAGAATCATAAAATGAGCACTTTTGTCTTTGACTCCGAGCTTAAGAAAGGGATTAGCTGTACTGCATGGAGCCCTCCCTGACCACACCTCCTCCCTCCTGGATGAACCACCATCCTGAATTTTGTGGTTATAATTTCCTTGCTTTCTTTTATAGTTAATCTGCATGTGGACGATTTTGTGATTTGCTTTCTTTCTCGCAGTATTTTGCTTTTGAGATGCATCCATACAGCTTTAATGTTGCAATCCATCACTGCTGTCAATTTCACTGTTGTGTAATATTCTAATGTAGAATATATCGAGTTCTTTTGACATGACAATATGGGTGTACATGTGCAAGAGTTCCAACTCTAGAAGATATACCTAGGAGTGGATTGGCTCGTTCTCTATGCATGTTCAACATTTCTAGGATGTGATGCTATTTTGTGTTTCAAAATGGTTGTACTAAAATTATCCTCCCACTGGCTACATATACTGATTCCTTCTCCAAAACCTTTTCCTACTGCTTTTAAAGTTCCGGGAGGACAGTCAGTCTATCTTTTTTTGCAGGTCCAGCTTTTAACAGGGAACTTTGCGCAAATTTAGTAACTCCTGATTGTCTGATTCATTATTTGGTTGAATTAAAGAATTGAATAAGTTTCCCCATTCTCTTTGAAGTACTCTATATTAGGTTTTATGAACAAGAGAGAGGGCTGTGTAGGAGAAAGCCCATAAATTGCAATCAGGGATCTGGGTGTGAGTTCTATAACCTCCTCCTACCTTGCAAAACCTAATAGCTTCATGATGGCAAAATATTCTCTACCGTTAAAAGCAGATAATCATCCTACATCATGATGCAGAGACATCTGACCTAGTGTCTAGCCTGTGTCAGAGCTCAGCAAGTACTAGTTGCTCTTTCTATTTCACTCTACTCTAATGTTAAGGCAGGACTCTGAATATAGTTCACTGGTCTGCATTGGGATGAACCTCCCAGAGACAACTAAAGCCTCAGGACAAACAAAGCATTTGCCCGTGTAGCCTCAGGGCAGCCCAGAGCCAAGATACTCTGGCTGATTTTAATGTGTGCTTCGCTGTGGTGCATCCACTTGGAGTCATTCCGGATCATTTCTTTTCATTCTCACGCGGGAGCCCCCTGAACACCCTCATCGGCATGGTGGCTACACTTGATGCTAATTTGGCTGGATTATCTGCGCTACAGGCTTGTCACGGAGTTGGGTGGCAGGAGTTGTGTAAATTGCAGTTTATCTAACACAGACTTTGTGCCAGACATGTTCAACACTTTACAGATATTAATTCAATTCTGTGAGGTACACACTGTTATTATTGCCATTTTAGGGATGACAGAACCGAGACACAGAGGTTAAATAACATCCCCAAGTGGCATAGCTGGTGGGTGATAGAGCCAGGATGTGGTTACATGCAGAATGGTAACCTTAAAGTAGCAAAACAGGTGGGTGGGTTTTCATTTATGTCACACGATCATTTGGTGGCCTGATCTTTGTGTGTCAATACAGCATTGACACCAAAGTTAAAAGATCTGTGGCTTTGATGCCACAGACCCTCTGCCTCCAGACCTATTTCCTTTGGGGTGCGTGAATTAGCCGATTTAGAAATTTCTTGTTAGCTGAATATTTCCCTCTTTACAATGTCTCTTGGTCTCAGAGAATTCTTCCCAGTACTTAAAACTGTAAATATTTTCTCTGAAATTATAGATTTTAAAAGATTTGCTTGGACTTTTTCCAATTTCATAGTCCTAGCTCAAGGTTATAACTTGTTACAATGCTTCTGAAAAAATTAAGAAAGCATAAGGTTGTAAAACTTTTTAATAGCAGAAGCTTAAAAGAATTCTCAGTATCAACAACTCCCCCAGATATAATGAACTATGGTGGTTTTGAAACTAACTGGATACATTTTCTTCTTCAGGGTAGAAGTTCATCTCCCTCTTAACAGAAACAGAACTTTCATCAGTTCTGCCCAGAAGTAAGAACGCTTTAAAAACAACTTTATTTTCTAAAGTAATACTAAAGCATTGAAATCTGTCTTTGTGTTTATATTAGCACTTATCTTGCAGTGCCTGGGTAATTAACTCTCAAGTTTCATGAAATTGAAAAATTTGGGCATTTTTGGATACTATGATTGTACTGTATGCCTCCGAGTAAGTGCCAAGTCATACATTTCTTTTAATGCAGAGTTTCAATAAAATAAAAATTTATTTGAATGACATTAATAGGGATCTCGGGCAGAGCTTGGCATTTTCATAAGTTTTTCAAAATTCTTAGAACAGTTTGGAAAAAATACATTTGTGCTATGGTCCTTCCTTTCATCTGTATCCAAGAGAATTTACATGTAAACTTATGAATTGAAAATGGCTTAGAAAAACTTATTTAAATCTCTCACATTTCAAAGAAAACAGAAAAAGCTTGTTCTTGAGCCAGAAAAACAAACAAACAAAAACAATTCCCCGATGCCTGTCCGAGAGGCAGTACAGCTGCTTAAGTGCAAGGCTGGATAGATCAGAATGACCCGGAAATGCTTGGGGCAAACGGTTGACTTGGAACGTTCCGGACAATGCCAGCTAGTCACCTATAAACCCATACAACCAACTGGGAAAAATAACCATTAAACAGATTTGGCCTGGCTCTACCTTAACTGGCACTTTTTGTTTTTCTTGTTAATAGTAATGATAACAATAACAACAAACAGAAAACAGAAAACACCAAAAAAAGAGAAAAGGTACGTGGACCCCAAACCACCTTTCTACTGTTTCTAGTTCATTTCTCACAGCACTATTTGATGAGTCATTAAAAAATTTATTTGAAACACATTTTTGCAAAAATTTCAATTTTTCTCCTATTTTGTCCATTTTGCCCTGATATCCTGAGTGTTTTAGGCATACTTCTTTTTTGTTTTTTGTTTTTTGTTTTGAGATGGAGTCTTGCTTCGTCGCCCAGGCTGGAGTGCAGTGGTGTGATCTTGGCTCACTGCAACCTCCACCTCCCAGGTTCAAGTGATTTTCCTGCCTCAGCCTCTTGAGTAGCTGGGATTACAGGTGCGAACCACCATGCCTGGCTAATTCTTGTATTTTTGGTAGTGACTGGGCTTCACCACATTGTCCAGGCTAGTATCGAACTCTTGACCTCAAGTGATCCACCTGCCTCGGCCTCCCAAAGTGCTGGGATTACAGATTTGAGCCACCATGCCCAGCCCTAGGCATACTTCTTAAATCCCACTTTATCACACTCACACGCGACCCTTCATGTTGGTTTAGCTCAAGTTTCAGGCCATACCTTAAAAATGAAATGCTAAGGCCTTGATTTTCATAACTTCTTGGGGATTATTATAATAAGGGAACATTGGATGAGGCTTATAAAGAATCCAATGGGTAGGCTTATTTTTATACTTGAAAAATGAAAACAGCTTTATTATCTTTTTCCTTAACTACTGATGCTCATTATAAATGTTTAAACAACATAAAGCAATAAAGAAGAAGAAACTGCCTGAAATTCCCATCCTTCAGAAACAATCATAGATAATATTCTTGCCTGTTTCCTTTCAGACTCTTGTGAGTGTGGATGAGTATGCAGGGACTCACAGAAAGCATCTAGAAAGCCAGGATTTTAAAAGAGTGGGAAGTGGGATTATAGCCAAGAAGTCTGCTTAACATCACTTAATTAACACTCCTCTTTTCTCCCCAAAATTCTCCAAACTACAAATCTTACATTGTATATGCTCAAGATGGTAGGGGGGAAAGAACGTTGTCAGTGAATTCTTTTAATTTTTTTATTTTAAAGTTTTATGTATTTATTTATTTTCATTTATCGTGATATAATATTTGTACATATTTATGGGGCATGTGATATTTTGATACATACATACAATGTATAGTGATCAAATCAAGGCATTAGGATATCTGTCACCTCAAACATCGTTTCTATGTGTTGGGAACATCTTCTCTTCTAGCTGTTTTGAAATAGACAATATATTGTTGTGACTATAGTCACCCTACTGTGCTGTCAAACCCTAGAACATGCTCTTTCCATTTAATTGTATGTCAGCGAATTATTTATGTGGACCCCAGGTCTTTAGTGGAGTCATCAGTAGGACTAGGTGACAACAGGTTGGGGCTGAGCATTTTCTGTCTGTATGCACCACCGGTGGCCCTCCCAGGGTTCAAGGAAGTGGCATTTCTACAGAACATGGCTGGAGAGAACCTGGTCTGTAAAATCCCATTCTTGAGGGGTGGAGCGGCACTGCTCTTCCTGAGTGTTGGTGATTTCACTGGATTATCCATGCTCTTTCAAGATCATGCCATTTAATCTTGGTTTTAGCATCTCTACAGACTTTGCTCTATATAGAAAGAGCTTCTATACCCCGCTGACCAATCGGTGACAGTCAGCTGGTGACTGAGCTTCCACATGAAGGGCAGGGGTGAGTCCCCTGTTCCACTGACTTTGAACTGTGTGGGCTTTGTAGATCCTGAGCAAGGCTGGATTGGGCTGTGGGTGTCTTTTGCTGCCAGGCTCTCCGGAGTCTTATTGTTAGCTGCCTATCATTCTACTGCAGAAAAATTGGGAAGTGGTTGGAGAATTGAGGTGGAAAGCTTAGCTTCTTTTAGCAAAATGCAGACTTGACCTGTGTCATCATTTTCTGTGAACATTTTGAGGTCGTTTGCTCTCTCTTCCCAGTGTTGACTCATGAAGTGACATCTGCTGACAGATGAGCCTGGCCATCTTCCCTCAGAACCACTCCTTTGGAGGGTGACAGCTCATTGCAACTTGCATTTCCTTCTGAAGGAAAAAGCGCAAACACTTCTTGGTGCAGTTTGTGTCATTTTCCTTCTTATCTGATATGTAAAGTTTTTTTTTTAAACTTTTTATCATATATCTTTAAAAAATACATGTTTTTATTTTGAACCATGTGAATATCTCCTCTCCTCTCCCCTTCTCTGCTCTCCTTTTGGCCTTGCTGTGTTGTCCAGGCTGGTTTCAAACTCCTGGGCTCCAGTGATTGTCTTGCTTCAGCCTCCCGAGTAGCTGGGACTACAGGCCAGCACACCACCACACCCTCATAGGTGAAGTTTTCAGTTAAATTAAATACTTAAGGAACAAATGTGATCATTGAGTTGTATACATTGAATATGTACAGCTTTTAAGTTTCAATCATATCTCAATAAAGTGGTTTTAAAAACAGAGTCTCCTGTAGATAACATATAGTTAGGACATTTAAGAAAATTATCCTGCCAATCTGTGTCTTTTCACTGGGGAATTTAATCCATTTATACTTAAAGTGATTATTGTTAGGGAATGACTTAATTTGTTCATTTTGTTATTTGTTTTCCATGTGTCATAGATTTTTTTGTGCCTCATTTCTCTATTCCTTTCTTCCTTTGTGTTTAGTTGATTACTTGCAGTGTCACACTTTGATTCTCTTTTCATTTTCTTTTATGTATATTATGTAGATATTTTCTTTGGGGGTACCATGAGGATGACATAAAGCATCCTAAACTATAACTATCTGTTGTGAATTCATATCAACCTAACTTCAACCACATACAAAATCCCTACTGCTTTACATCTCTACTCCTTTTAGCTTATTGGTATCACAAATTACATCTCTACACATTGTGTACTCATTAACATTGATTTCTAATTTTATGCATTTGTTTTTTAAATCATACAGAAAATAAAAGCATGGATTACAAATGAGAATTACAATAAAAAATGTGATCTCCGAATATAAATCCTCGCAAAGCTCTGATTGGCTTCTTGTGTAAGGGGTATGATGTGGTCATAGTCAGGTTGAGGTTGAGGTGTATGTGTTTTTTTCCTATCTCTAGACATCAGGGATGGTGCTTTATTCTATTTCTTCTTTTTTCATCCTGGCTGGGTTTCAGGGGCATATAATTTCTTCTAAAGAAGAAGGATATTCTGTACATTCCATACACACATGGCTGAGTGGAGTGTTCATAATAGATGGAAGCCAAATCTAGGTGCAAAGTCAATAGGCAAAAGGATGAAAGTCAGTGAAACAGGGTGTGTAAGACTCAGGGAATCTGAAGCATTATTTTTTAACATAGGAAACAGTGCTGTGTACTGGAGACAGAGAGCACAGCCCCTACAGCCAAATGGCTTCATGACTTTTTCTGCATTCTACATAGGATGAGACACCACATCACTCTAGAACCTAGAATGTCATCTGTGTGATCTTCATAGCTTTTCTTCTACTATTGTTCTCCCACCCATCTATTTATTGAAATCTTCTCATTCCTGGAAAACACCTGTCAGATGCCACCATCTTCAAAAGCCCTTGGAATCTACGCAGTCAAATTAAGCCAAACGCCCACGCTGCACCCGTTCCTCACTTTCTTTATTTTGCTTTACTGCTGGTTCATTGTTCTCATGCTTCTCCCCGTACTGCAGTGACATCTGCTTCTTTGCAGACAAAGGCTGTGTTTCTGCATCTCTCTTCTCTAATGTGGAGAGGGAAGGCCATTTAGAGGCAAAGTGTATTGCCTCTAAGAATATTTAATGTCTTTGAATTTTCTCACCTGTAAAAAGAGGGAAATAATATAGGGATTTTACACGTTGGCTGTGAGAATTGATTTTAATGTGTTTAAAATGTAGTTGTGATGATGATGTTATGAAAGATTACCGAATTGAGAAAAGGTAAAAAAAAAGTTGCCAACAGAAATCAGATAGTTTCCGTGAGAATACAGAAAAAGTAAAATCAGAAAGTAAGAATTTATCAGCACGTATCTAATGATGTCCAGGCAAAAGAGAGACTCTACCTGGTGAAACCAAAGATAGATTATAAAGAATGGTATGCTCTGTTATGAGATAGTAGCAGTTTATAAGGTTGAATTATCTAGAACTTAGAGATGAAAAGGACCTTAGATATTACCTAGTCTTCCTCCCCCTTCATTTGGTCTCTCAAGGTCATTCAAATCCTATGCTCTTCAGTAACCTTTCATGTTCACTTTGGTTTCCTGGGGGATACTAAAGCTCTTACTCCTCATCAATGAGGTATTCTGGAGAGACCATTTTTCTAGCCCGTTGAGGTTTTATACCAATAAGAAGTAATATACAAAAATTAAATAAAATTGGAAGGAAAATATTTCTGTAATAGACAGTTCACTTTGCCTCTAAGTGGCCTTCCTCTCTCCACATTAGAGAAGAGAGATGCAGAAACACAGCCTTTGCCTGCAAAGAAGGGGATGTCACTGCAGTAGGGGGAGAAGCATGAGAACAGTGAACCAGCAGTAAAGCAGAACAAAGAAAGTGAGGAACGGGGTCAGGGTGGGCGGTTGGTTTAATTTGACTGTGTAGATTCAAAGGGCTTTTGAAGATTGTGGCATTTGACAGGTGTTTTCTAGGAATGAGAAGATTTCAATAAATAGATGGGTGGGAGAACAATAGTAGAAGCAAAGCTATGAAAATCGCACAGATGACATTCTAGGCTCTGGAGTGATGTGGTGTCTCATCCCTGTTGAGTTTGGTTCTGACGTGTAATCAATCTTCTTATGAGCTTGGTTAGAATAAATAATTTTGCTAAGTTCTCACCCAAATCTACAATGAATTGATAAACTTTCTTCTCCAAAAATGCAAAGCAGCGGGCCCCAGACCCTGGGTGTGGTGGGCCTGCTAGATGGTAGCAACCCTCATAGGAGAAACACTCTAAAAGGCCACTGTGATGTTCAATGTGATATGTCAGCTTGGCTAGGCCATGGTACCCAGCCTTTGGTCAAACACCTGTCTATATGTTGCTATGAAGATTTTTTTAAAACATGAGATTAACATTTTAATCAGTACACTTTTAGTACGGATCACTTTTCATAATGTGGGTAAGTCTCATTTAAAGAGTTGAGGGCTTTAAGAGAAAAGAGATTAAGTTCTTGCAAAGAAGAAGGAATTATTCTTCTAGACAGTCTTTTTATTTATTTATTTATTTGAGTTGGAGTCTCTCTCTGTCATCCAGGCTGGAGTGCAGTGGTGTGACCTTGGCTCACTGCAACCTCCACCTCCCGGGTTCAAGCAATTCTCCCTGCCTCAGCCTCCTGAGTACCTCGGATTACAGGCACCTGCCACCATGCCCGGCTAATTTTATTTTTTATTTTTTGTATTTTTAGTAGAGACAGGGTTTCACCATGTTGGCCAGGCTGGTCTCGTACTCCTGACCTAAGGTGATCCACCCACCTCAGCCTCCCAAATTTCTGGGATTACAAGCATGAGCCTCTGTGCCCGGCCTAGACCTTTAGACTCGAATTTGCAATATCAACTCTTGCTTGGGTCTCTACCCTGCAGATTTTGGACTTGCCAGCCCCCACAATTATGTGAGCCAATTCCTTGAAATGAATTTCTCTCTCTCTCCCTCTTATTGATTCTGTTTCTTGGAAGGACTCTAAGACTGCAACCATTTGCATCTTTACCACTTTTATATTTTTAAAACTCATGTGGTGCTAAATCTATTGTTTCTCTTCTGTTACTTAGGTTTTTTTTTTTTTTTTTTGGTAGAAATTTATTATGTCTAAGAGTAGAATGGCCCTTGGAAGAAGACCGCCCCGGGAGATTTTCTGAGTGGCAACCATCAGAAGCTGCCAGACTGCATCTGTATTTACATGTTTTCCAGCCGTGTTTCCCCAGCATGCTGTGGGTCTGTGACTCTCCTTGAAGGAATTTGGTATTCAGAAGTCAATAAACAAATTACACTGAACTATAATGTGGGGCTGTCACAGTGACTGATGGGATACCAACTCTTTGAGGACAGCGTGCGAGGGGAGAACAAGACTGAAATTGCCCATGCAAATGACAAGGGATGCTGGGAGAGTTCAGTGCAGGATGTTCCTCCTGGTGAAGCTGCCACAGCAGAAATTTTTGTCTTGGAGAACCGCTCACTTTGCATTGCAATGTGTTGATATTGTGATGTGCAGAAGGGTGGATTCTGTGATTTATCAGTTGCTTAAATATCCTCTGGTGCTGTGTACCCCCACAAAAAAGGGAAGGTTCTAAGCTATATGGCAATAACATTGTAGGGTGAAAGTGGTCTTCTTGGCAAAGTTAATAATACTTGAAATTTATATATCTCTTCATGATTTATTTCAGCAAACACCTTTGACAATATTGCTCGGGCATGCGGGGAAGATTCCGGTTGCTTTTAACAGTCTGAGGAAAGGGAACCTCTTGAGATGAAGTGATTTGGTCAAAGTCACAGAGCTAGTTGGTGGCAGAACAAGGATTAAGACTCATCCCCTCTGATTCATACAATAGTTGTTCAGGTTATTTTAGGCACAGATTTTCATAAACCTCCTGCACATTTTTTTGGTCAATGCTATGTACTTGGCCAATATTTGTTTTATGCCACTTTACCTTCATTTATTTGTGGGACAAAGTAGAGTGTGTGTTAAAAAAAATCTTTTTTTTTTTAAAAAAAGCTTCATTTGGGGCAGTTTTAAATATGAGGTGATCTATTATTAAATGTGTTTAGGAGAAATGTGAGTTGTATTATTAATAGATTCTTCTATAGAAATAACTAAAGCATTGCAGAACCCCACATGTATTTTTGTTTTTTTCTGTCCCATTCTCCTGATCAAGTACCTGACTGGATACTGTCCTAGGGCACAGAGCTCCCAGGAAGGATGTGACTTGTTCAAGTATTGGCAGACATTTTGACAAAGGAATGTCTCAATCATCACTTTATTCATGACCATAATCAGTGTCTGTTACTTGGGTTGATCTTGTATTTTTGTTCTTGAGTAAATCAACAAGCTGATTGAGTAAAAGTGACTAAATAGATGATCTGCTTTTCTCCCATAGTTTAAATGTGTGGCTTTTTCATTATCAGGAAGTCAGTGATTGACTTTCAGTACATCTGGAAAGTCTGCATGGCAGTAACATTCATCACATTTTATTCTGTAAACCATACTTCCTTGAAAATATAACACTATAAGAGACCATGGTCTAAAATCATATATATACTTGTTTTTTTCCCCATCCAAAATGGATGTCTTCCCCATTAGTTATTAAAACAAAGTAACAAATGATAAAAATATTGAGGTTAGGGGCCGGGCGCGGTGGCTCATGCCTGTAATCCCAGCACTCTGGGAGGCTGAGGCAGGCGGATCACCAGGTCAGGAGATCCAGACGATCCTGGCTAACATGGTGAAACCCCATCTCTACTAACAATATAAAAAAAATTAGTCGGGCGTGGTGGCAGGCCCCTGTAGTCCCAGCTACTTGGGAGGCTGAGGCAGGAGAATGGCGTGAACCCGGTAGGCGGAGCTTGCAGTGAGCCGAGATCGCACCACTGCACTCCAGCCTGGGCGACAGAGTCACACTCCGTCTCAAAAACAAAACAAAAACAAAAGTATTGAGGTTAGGTTTATAACCTGCCGCTAAAGAATCCAAATTTTTTAAAGCAGAAAACAAATGAAAAGTCATATGTCTGCCTTTATTTGTTAATTATTTTTTAGAATAGAGAAGCAAAAGTTATGTATGTTTATGGTGTCTAGCATGATGTTTTGATACATGTGTACACTATGTAATGGCTAAATCAAGCTATTTAACATATGTATTACCTCGTATAACACTACAAAATCTATTTTCCTAGCAATTTTCAAGTATAAAATACATTGTTATTAACTGTAGTCATCATGATGTACAGTATGTCTCCAGAACTGACTAATCCTAACTGAAGTTTTGTACCCATCAACCAACATCTCCCTATTCCTCTCATCTCCCAGCCTCTGGTAATCACCATTTTCTGCTTTGTTTCTATGAGTTCAACTTTTTTAGATTTCATGGATGAGTGAGATCATGTGGTATTTATCTTTCTGTGCCTGGCTTATTTCACTTAATGCCCTCCAGGTTTTATCCATGTTGTCACAAATGACGGGATTTTCTTCTTTTTAAAGGCTAAGTAGTATTCCAGTGCACACACGTGTGTGTGTGTGTGTGTACCACATTTTTTTATCCATTCATCTGCCGACGGGCACTTAGATTCATTCCGTGTCTTATCTATTGTGAATAGTGCTGTGATAAACATGCGATTGCAGGTATCTTTTTGACATACTGTTTTCAGTTCCTTTGGATATACTGTATACCCAGTAGTGGGATTGCTGGATTACATAGTAATTCTATTTTACATTTTTTGAGGAAATCTCCATGCTGTTTTCCATAATGGCTATACTAATTTACATTTTCATCAACAATGTACAAGGGTTTCCTTTTCTCCACATCCTTGCCAACATGTGTTGTCTTTTTGATAACATCCATCCTAACAAGTGTGAGGCGATTTTCCATTGTGGTTTTAATTTGAATTTCCCTGATGATTGGTGATGTTGAGCATTTTTCACACACCTGTTGGCCATTTGTATGTCTTCTTTCGAGAAATGTCTATTCAGGTCCTTTGCCCACTTTTTAATCAGGTTATTTGTTTTCTTACTATTCAGTTTCTTTCTCCCTTTATTTCTTGACCAGAGTAGATTGATTATTTAAGCAATTGAACATTCACAGTGGTTTTTGGTGTATTATGAGTTTTTGAGCACTGGAGTCAATGACATTTATGCATATGCTTTTGGTTTTTAGCAGTTAGTATCGCGAGATTGAGATTGTGACACCTAAAACAAAAGGAACATATTTCTTTAAATGTGTAAATTAAATTTTCCAATGAATTATGGTTTGTTCAATACTTGAATGGTCAGATTTCATCTCTGAGCATACATTTTCTTTTGATTCTATTAATTTACTTTAGTATTTCCTACAATTCAGAAACCATAAAAAAGATTACTCACTTTAAGCAGAGGCACAGAGTCAAAGTCATACAGCAATTTTAAAGATACAGTTTTAATTTTAACAATTTATGGAGGCCCATGAGAATGTGGATGTATTTGAAGAAAAAAGGCTGAATTTTCATTTTAGCAAAATAGTCTATAATTAACGTTCTTCTGAGAATGCCTGTATTTCAAGCCAATTATACTTTTTTTATTTTCACTAGTTTCCAGTGAGCTGTTTGTTGTATCATTCTTTCAGTTAATCAGTCTTTTAGTAATTCATTTATTCATTAAGTATTTTTGTCAATTCTCCTCCTCCCCTAGACAAACATACCGGCAATTAGGGACAATGGGCATGCACACAAATGTCATGATGGATTATCCTGAGTGAGTTGCAGAAGTGCTGATATGAATCTGTGGCTGGGGGATCATGCAGTATTATGGAGAAGAGCTTACGGAGCAGGGGCATTTGAGCAGGGTGATAAAGGGTACATAGATGTTGACCATTTAGCAAGGAAGAAGAACACATTTAAGAAATAGCAAAAGCAAATGGATTTGTTTGGAAATCTCAGTGTGGTGGGAAGAATCTGTGAACAGCCATGTGAATTTATTTTCTCTTCTTTTAAGCACCCCTCTCCTATTTAAATACTTGGCTACAGCACTGCATGAATCAGCATTTCTCAGGATATGTTCTGAAGTGTACCAGTTGTGTAAGATGTTCCTGGAAAAAGAGGACCAAATCTGAGAAATCTTGCAGTTAGGAGCTTTTTTTTTTTTTTTTTTTTTTTTTTTTTTATTCTTACTCTGTCACCCAGTCACCCAGGCTGGAGTGCGGTGGCACCATCTCAGCTCACTTCAACCTCCGCCTCCCGGGTTCAAGCGATTCTCCTGCCTCAGCCTCCTGAGCTGCTGGGATTACAGGCGCCCACCACCACGCCCAGCTAATTTTTGTATTTTCGGTAGAGATGGGGTTTCACCATGTTGGCCAGGCTGGTCTCGAACTCCTGACCTCAGGTGATCCGCCCGCCTTGGCCTCCAAAATTGTTGGGATTACAGGCGTGAGCCATCGTGCCCTGCCTATGGTGGCTTTTTAACATTCTGTGGAATCTGTGTTCCATGGAGCATTGTTTAGGGAATGTTCCTCTGAAATAATATCCAACATCAGCTTTCTGTAGAAGAAATATCCTACCCTGTTTTTAGACGAATCTGTAGAAAGGAGCTTCAGGTGGCCATATGCACACTGTGGATCTATTTAGAGTTGTAGACTAGGATCTCTCCACTCATTTTATAATTCTCTCTTCTCATCCTGAATTGGCAACTTTTTAAATTTTATAATAGATAATAAAAACAAATACATAAACTTACATATGGTTACATAGTCTGATGCATCTATGTTGAATAAATATAACATGATTATTATTTGATACATCCTAATTATTTGTTGAAAAAATGAATATTTGAGAGACCTCAATTGTTTGGCGTGGCAGATCTGTTGCTGGGGAGTGACAGTTACAACGTGTGCAACTCTCTCACTAGGAAAGGTGATGATATTAAAATATTCCCATCTGCAGTTCTTTTTCAGTACAAAGGAAATCTAGTTTATAAATAAGTTAAAAAGAGAATTCCTTTAATCATGTATGTGTGTCTGTATGCACAAAATTGAGTCACATGCATGCTATTTAGTTAAAGAGAAAATTAAAATTTGAAGAATGATATCTTAAAGTTGTCCCTTTTAAATGAGAAAGTTTAGCATTCAAGGAAAAGAGCTAATTATCCTGTTTATTGTGCATAGAAAGCACACTCGAAGATCTTGGATTTTTGTAAGATTGCAGGCTTTCAAAATTCTGACAGGGCTGCTTCTAAATTCGTCAATGTTGACGGCTGTTTTTTTGTAGGATGACAACTGGTTGGTGTTGCTCCATTTTATTGAAAAAAAGAAAAGTATCAAAAATGGCTCCACCATCTGTTGGATGTGAAGCATTGTACTATGAGATAGTGTGTAATGAGGAAAGGCTGTTGCTGGGATATCGTCTGAGACCCTTTTTAAGATACAAAATGTGCTATATGAGGGAAAAAGGCCTACTTCTGTCAGATTTAAGTCTCTAGAAGAGCTGTATAAGTAGGTTACAGGGAGATATTGGTGGAAGCATTGTCCTTTCTTGTTTGCATACACAGCAGACTTTTCCACCTTCTCTCCTTGATTTCTTGGGCAATGTTATTTTTGAAGAAGAAAAGAAAAGTCTTCCTCAGAGGACTTAATTAAATGGTTCAATGGAGTTAGCTACTTTTACTTTTCATGTGGTTTAATTCTTTAAGTGAAAGCAAAGGCTCTCTGTGAAAGCCATTTGTTTTTGTTAATCAAAATGAATGTGTACTTCTTATCATGTGAAAGAGAAAATTGTTGCATTAAGAGCTTGTGGTCTGCAGGAAGAATCCAGAGGTTTGCTGGTCAATGGTTAAAAACCAGCTCTCTCAGAGAACAAAAAGGCCTGATTTGCAGTGTTTGCGATTTTCTGTGGTGAAAAATACTCCCACCATGGTAAATTTCAAGCCATCAAGCTGGCATTACATGATCTGAAGTTGGAAAGAACAGTGCAAAGGCACATCCTGATGGCATTTTCCCTTACAGATACAAGAGATGTGACTAAGAGCAGAGACCATAATACCACGTAGTAACATAATTAGGAAGTGAAGAGATTTGAACATTTATTACCTTTGCTTATATTACCATTGATTTAACTGTAAGTTGATACAATTTAATTTTTAATAATGGCTGTATTTAGCAACTTACTCATAAAATTCTCAAAAAGTGCACAGTCAGCTCCCATGAGCCAGTGTGAGCCAACTCTAGCCCACTGCTGGTAGACAAGCCTGTGTTAGATTTTTGGATCCAACACTCACTAGCTGTGTACTCTCCAAGACGTACGTTCCTCAGTCCCAAAGTGAGGAAAATGAGAGTATGTACCTCATAAGGTTGTTGGGAGGATTAAATGAGACGTTAAATACAGAGTCCTTGGAGGAGTACCTAGCACCGTACTAAGTGCTCAGTAAATGTAAGTAATTTTTAGCATTAGAGCTTTGGAAGTTGGGCATTCTTAGTCACAGGATGAGATAGGAGGTCGGCACAAGATACAGTCACAAAGACCCTGCTGATAAAACAGGACGTGGTAAAGAAGCCGGACAAAACCCACCAAAACCAAGATGGCAATCAAAGTGACCTCTGGTCATCCTCGCTGCTCATTGTATGCCAATTATAATGCATTAGAATGCTAAAAGACACTCCCACCAGCACCATGACAGTTTACAAATGTATGACAACATCGGGAAATTACTATATATGGTCTAAAGTGGGGAGGAACCCTCAGTTCTGGAAATTGCCCACGCCTTCCCTGGAAAACTCATAAATACTCCACCTCTTGTTTAGCATATAATCAAGAAATAACTATAAGTATACTCAGTCGAGCAGCCCATGCCGCTGCTCTGCCTATGGAGTAGCTATTTTTTTATTTTTATTTTCTTAATAAACTTGCTTTCAATAATAATAAAAAAAAGAGTAGAGGGAATGCCATATAGCTGTATATCTAACTATCCTTCTAGTGATTTTAAATCTCAAAGGCATTTAAGAATGGGCTGAAGGTTAGTATAACCTTCTTTCTGTTATTGCTTGTTTTTAGTAAAAGCAATTTCTCTCTCAGGTCAAAACTCTCCTTTTTCTTCTCGGCTTTTTTCCATGTTGTCTGCATCTTCCCTTGGTTGTTAGTGGTGATGATGATGTTGTCTTTGCTCCATCTTGACAGTGCTGTGGCAGTATTGAAGCTGCAGTGGCTTTGCAAGCTTTTGATGGGACATCTGTAGCTCTAGAATGAAGCTGGAACAGAAAACCAAATACCGCATGTTCTCCTTCATAAGTGGGAGCTAACCATTGAATACACATGGACACAAGGAAGGGAACAATAGACATTAGGGCCTACTTGAGGGTGGAGCGTGGGAGGAGAGTGAGGACTGAAAAACTATCAGGTATTATGCTGATTACCTGGTTAACAAAATTATCTGTACACCAAACCCCCATGACATACAGTCTACCCATGTAACAAATCTGCACATGGAGCCCTTGAACCTAAAATAAAAGTTGGAAAGTGTGTTAGTTCTTTACATTGCTATAAGGAACTACCTGAGACTGGGTAATTAATAAAGAAAATGGGCTTAATTGGCTCTTGGTTCCACATGCTGTACAGGAAGCATGGCTGGGGAGGCTTCGGGAAACTTAGGTGGAAAGTGAAGAGGAGGCAGGGACATGTTACATAGCTGGAGGAAGAGGAAGAGGGCTAAGGGGAAGGTGCTACACACTTTTAAACAACCAGATCTCATGAGAACTCACTCACTCTCACAAGAAAAGCAAGGGAGAAATCCCCCCATGATCCAATCAGCTCTAATGAGGCCCCTTCTCCAACATTGGGGATTACAATTTGACATGAGATTTGGGTGGGGACACAAATCCAAACCATAAAGAAAAAAAAAAGAAATGTGATTCCTAAGGTTGGTAGTGGGGTTTGGTGGGAGGTGTTTGGGTCATGGGGGCCAATCTCTCATGAATGGCTTTGTGTCCTCCCCATGGTAATGAGTGAGTTCTCGCTCTGTTAGTTCACATGAGAGCTGGCTGTTTAAAGGAGTCTGGCATCTCCTTCTCTCCTCTATTTCTCCTTCGCTCACCAGGTAACATACCTGCTCCCCCTTCACCTTCTGCCATGACTGGAAGCTTACTGAGGCCTCACCAGAAACAGATGCTGGTGCCATGCACCCTGTGCAGTTTGCAGAACTGTCAGCCAAATAAACCCTCTTTCTTTCTTTTTTTTTTGAATGGAGTCTTACTCTGTCACCAGGCTGGAGCAACCTCCACCTCCTGGGTTCGAGCGATTCTCCTGCCTCAGCCTCCCAAGTAGCTGGGATTACAGGCACCCGCCACCATACCCAGCTAATTTTTGTATTTTTAGTAGAGACGGGGTTTCATCATGTTGGCCAGGATGGTCTCAATCTCCTGACCTCGTGATCCACCTGCCTCAGCCTCCCAAAGTGCTGGGATTGCAGGTGTGGGCCACCACGCCCAGTTAAACCCTCTTTCTTTAGAGATTACCCAGGCTCAGGTATTCTTATATCAACACAAACAGACTAACAGTTGGTATTTCAAAAATATTCTCTGGCTGTGTAATCCTATGCTATTAAACCTCTGCCAGTCAAAAGGATCATCCCACATGTCACGGTCTACTGCATCCTCCCATTCTTCATGGTTAATTGTTTTCCTGCTTGCTTCTGTGAGGTCTGTATTTTTCAAACTATGGATTGGCTCCATTTACTGGGTCAGGGCATTGATTTGATGGGTCAAGACAAACATTAAGAAAAAAGGAATATATTAGAATAAAATAGAAAAAGTTAAAGGGCATCACACAAAATTAGTCTAGGTATTATTCCGAAGCTTGCATTTTATATGCATCTGGGCATGTACTGAGCTGTGAGGTGAGATGCATCTCTTACTGTGGGCTCCAATCAAAGTTTTAAAAACACCATTTTAAGTTATGTTCAGTGGTTACTGAATCTTTTACATAATTTAGTTCTCTCTTGAATCTTCTTGTCGTCATAGAAAATGTCCTATATCAATTTTTACAGCTATAACCATCTGATCTTCAACAAACCTGACAAAAACAAAGGGGAAAGGATTCCTTGTTTAATAAATGGTGCTGGGAAAACTGGCTAGCCATATGCAGAAACAGAAACTGGACCCGTCCTTACACCTTATACAAATATTAACTCAAGATGGATTAAAGACTTAAACGTAAAACCCAAAACCATAAAAACCCTAGAAGAAAACCTAGGCAATACCATTCAGGACATAGGGATAGGCAAAGACTTCATGACTAAAACACCAAAAGCAATGGCAACAAAAGCCAAAATTGACAAATGAGATCTAATCAAACTGAAGAGCTTCTGCACAGCAAAAGAAACTATCATCAGAGTGAACAGGCAACCTACAGAATGGGAGAAAATTTATGCAAGTAACCCATTGGACAAAGGTCTAATATCCAGAATCTACAAGGGACTTAAACAAATTTACAAAAAAAAAAAAAAAAAAAAAAAAAACAGCCCCATCAAAAAGTGGACGAAGGCTATGAACAGAACACTTCTTAAAAGAAGACATTTGTGCAGCCAACAAACATATGAAGGAAAGCTCATCTTCGCTGGTCATTAGAGAAATGCAAATCAAAACCACAATGAGATACCATCTCACGCCAGTTTGAATGGTGATCATTAAAAAGTCTGGAAACAACAGATGCTGGTGAGGATGCGGAGAAATAGGAATGCTTTTACACTGTTGGTGGGAGTGTAAATTAGTTCAACCATTGTAGAAGGCAGTGTGGTGATTTCTCAAGGATCTAGAGCCAGAAATCCCATTTGACCCAGCAATCCCATTACTGCGTATATACTCAAAGGATTATAAATCATTCTACTATAAAGACTCATGCACACATATGTTTATTGCAGCACTATTTACAATAGCAAAGACTTGGAACCAACCCAAATGCCCATCAATGATAGACTGGATAAAGAAAATGTGGCACATATGCACCATGGAATATTATGCAGCCATAAAAAAGAATGAGTTCATGTCTTTTGCAGGGACATGGATGAAGCTGTAAGCCATCAGTCTTAGCAAACTAACACAGGACAAGAAAACCAAACACTGCATGTTCTCACTCATAAGTGGGAGTTGAACAATGAGAACACATGGACACAGGGAGGAGAATATCACACACCGAGGCCTGCCAGGGGCTGGCAGTAAAGGGGAGAGACAGTATTAGGAGAAATACCTAATGCATGCAGGGCTTAAAACCTAGATAACGGGTTGATAGGTGCAGCAAACAACCATGGCACATATATACCTATGTAACAAACCTGCATGTTCTGCACATCTATCCCAGAACTTAAAATAAAAAAAATATATGGAGGGAGTGCATGGGTTATAACCTTGAGTTGCTACTTGATTGAAAATGTCATGCTTTTCCCCTCATAGTTAGGTAGTAATTTTGCCCTCAAAACCTTAAAGGCATAGTTTTGCTGATAAGAAGATGTGATATCATAACTTTAGAGGCAAACTTTTCTCTCTCTCTCTCTAGAAGGTTTCTGAAGAATCTACTTTTGATTCTGAAATCTCCCTAGGGTATGTCTTATGAAGACATTTTTGCTCGTTCTGCTGGGCATTTAGTTTGTTCTTCAGAGGTGAAGATGCAAATGGTTCTTACTCCCTTTCTTGTTTCTGAACCTCGTATTAAATGAATTTGTCTACAGTTTCCTTAACTTTTCTCTCATTTTGTCTATCTTTCTACTCTTCATTAGGGGAGTGTTTTTTGACCTCCAATTTATCTTGAATGTTCATTCCATTATTCTATCTCTCTGTTGACTATTTTATTTCAACAATCACACATTTTTTAAAAAATCACTTTTTAAATTTTATGTAGAGTAAAATTTATTTTTGGAATATGATTCTATGAGTTTTGACAAACCCATATAGTTGAGTAACCACTGCCACAATCAAGGTATGGAACATTTCATCACTCCCTAAAATTCTCTCTTGTGGCCCCTTTGTGGTGAACCTGCCCTGACTGTCACCCGACCCACATGAACCACTAATTTCAACACATATATTTTTATTTTTAAATTTTTTAATGGCTCCTTGGTATTTCTGATTCCCATTTTTTTTCTTTGCAATTTGTTCTTACTTTATTGATCTAACTTGATTTTGTTGTGATATTCAAAATCATGTAATGTCATATCCTCTTGAATGGTTTTCAGGGTTCTCATGCATGAATTATCTGCTCCTTCCAGGGCTAGCCTTATTCTCTTGTGCTCGCTCTCTCCCTCTCCCCACCCCCTCCACCCCCACCCTCATTTTCATCTTTGTTCTTTTCTTTCTTGCTGGTTGGGTTTTCTTAAATGACTGGATGGTCGCTGGCTGCTTGTTCATTTTTAGGAGCAAAGAGGAGGCTGAATAGCACAGGTGGCCAGAATGGGTTTCAGTTGCAATGGGGAAGTCCTGATTCCTGAGTAGGTTTTAGACTTGACTGGGAATGCTGACTGTGGGCTTCTACAAGTGCTGTGCGTGGCCAGGGGTGTCAACAGACCAGCTTCTGTAAAGTGCACAGGTGGGAACAGCTACGGTGGAGAACCTCTGGAGTTTCTGGAATAAACAAAACGAAACAAACAAAAGCAAGGAGGGCTGTATTCCAGGGGTCAAGAGCTTTAGAATATTCTACGCTTGAGTAGTGTTGCTCCCCCTACCTGGTGTCTGATGTGGAGATACCCAAGTCACCTCCAGGCCTAATATTCCTCATCTCTGGCCTCAAGACAGGGTATGTCCATGCTCAGGCGGATGGTTCACTTTCTGTAGAGACAAGCTTAAATCTGTACCTGGGGTAGATGCCTCTTCTGCTGGAGGAACGTGCTTTGCTTATATGGAGTAAAAGGAGGGTGCAAAGGACCTGAGTAGCCAGCTGATCTGAATGCACTTTTTGAATAGCCTGGCCATTGTGGGCCTGGTGACATTTCCAGAGCCCCTATCTGTCTGATATCATTGGCTGTTTTGTTTTTCTATCAATCTGCTCCTATTCATTGACTATCAACTAAGGGGTCTTCCTTCTTTCCTTTCTACTGTCAATGCTTTTATTCTTTATTTTTTAAAGTTTTAAATTTGAGACAGATCCTTGCCGTGTTGCCCAGACTGGAGTGCAGAGGTGCAATTATGGCTCACTGCAGGCTCGACCTCCCAGGATCAAATGACCCTCCCACCTAAGCCTCCCGAGTAGCTGGGACCAGAGGTGTACACCAGCACGCCTGGCTAATTTGAGAATTTTTTGTAGAAAGGAGGTCTTGCTATGTTGCCCACGTTGGTCTCTGGGATCAAGCAATCCTCCTGCCTCGGCCTCCCAAAATGCTGTGATTTTAGGCATGAGCCACTGTGCCTGTCCTTTTCTTTCTTTTTTCTTTTGAGACTCCAGCTGTGTCCCCCAGGCTGGAGTGCAGTGATGTGATCTTGGCTCACTGCACCTTCTGCCCCCTGGGTTCAAGTGATTCTCCTGCCTCGGCTCCCTGAGTAGCTGGGATTACAGGTGCGCGCCACCATGCCCAGCTGATTTTTGTATTTTTGGTGGAAATGGGATTTCACCATGTTGGCCAGGCTTGTCTCGAGCTTTTGACCTCAAGTGATCCGCTCACCTCAGCCTCCCAAAGTGCTGGGATTACAGGCCTAAGCTACCGTGCCCAGCCCTTTTATTCTTTTAAACAACTCTCTTTCTTCCTGTCTCTGTATGTATGTACATGTTATATATGTATATATGTACATTTAAAAATATTTCAGCTGGGCTTTGGGTGGGAGGTTTGCCATTTGAGAAGAAAATGTGTATGATTTTGAAGGTAATAAGGATATTTATTTTAAAATATGGTGTCTAGTTCAGACCTTCCACAAAGTTCTTCTTTTCTTCCTATGCCATTATCCTGTGATGGAAAAGGCTTAAAGCTGGACATCTTTCTCCTGATTCAAGGCACTGAACACAGCAGAAGTATAATGACCTATTGAGTTTTAGTTTAATTATATAATCGATGGCCAGGAATAAGTATATTTAAAGAAGAGCTGATATATTTTGTGATTAGATTCTGCCTTGAAGTACCTAGGAAGAAAGTGTGATTTGCTTATTGAGTTGCTTGGAAGAGGTGAGGAGAATAGTCGGGGTCACAGTAGTTGACAAGGTTGTACACAATGCTTAGTTCATTTTCTTTAACACATACTGTTGTAAAATATACTAATTTTGGGGGGCGGGGGGAAGGAGAGCATCAGAATAAATAGCTTGGGGGCTGGGCATGGTGGCTTATGCCTGTAATCCCAGCACTTTGGGAGGCCGAAGCGGGCAGATCACTTGAGGCCAGGAGTTTGAAAACAGCCTGGCCAACATGGTGAAACTCTGTCTCAGCTAAAAATACAAAAATTAGCCAGGCGTGGTGGCAGGCGCCTGCAATCCAGCTACTCAGGAGACTGAGACATGATAATCACTTGGGCCTGGCAGGTGGAGGTTACAGCGAGTTGAGATTGCACCACTGCACTCCAGCCTGGGCAACAGAGCTAGACTCCAGCCTGGGCAATGGAGTGAGACTCTGTCTCAAAAATAAATAAATAAATAAATAAATAAATAAATAAATAAATAAATAAGAATAAATAGCTAGTGCATGCTGGGCTTAACACCTAGGTGATGGGTTGACAGGTGCAGCAAATCACCATGGCAGATGTTTACCTGTGTAACAAACCTGCACATCCTGCACATGTACCCTGGAACTTAAAATAAAAATTTAAAAAAGATGCTAATTTTGGTATAATTTTTCCCTCCCTCAGTGCATCGATCCTGAAAAACCATATTTAAATGAATTTAATGTATAAAATTTGGAACTTAATAAATTGAAGTGCGTTAGACAGTTTCCTCCGTTAGACAGTTTCCTCCTCTCCCCAAGGACAGTTCTTTAACTCCATAGTGGAGGCCAATGATTACATAGATATTAGTCTGTTGAAATTGCTTTTGTAGTCATACAAGTTAGGAAATAACTGATCTGCAAATTGTCAAATAAGTAGAGTCTATGTATTGCAAGGAGGCTTATCCTGTGCTCTAGGATGTCTGGCAACAGGTGCCTGCGTTACTGTGCTGAGAAGAATGTTGGATCTTTTCTGGACTCTGCTGAGAGTGGTGTGATTAGTAATGTCTGCTCTGAGCACAGGAGGTAGCCCATAAGCTAGGCATAGATCAGTATGCCGGTGGTAGTGGTTGTTCTTGTTATTTTTATTGTTAATTATTAGTTTTCCACAATTTATTTAGCTTATTTATTATTTTGGGCCATACATTTATAGACCATAGTATTTTAATGGAAAATATATACCTGAATGTAATATGGTATTTCTAGTTTTGTTTGGGTCTTTTTTTTTTTTTTTTTTTTTTTCGAGATAGGGTCTTGCTCTGTTGCCTAGGTTGGAGTGCAGTGGTACAATCACAGCTTACTGCAGCCTCAACCTCCCAGGCTCAAGCAATCCTTCCACCTCAGCCCCCCTAGTAGCTGAGACTACAGGTGTGTGCCATCACTCTCAGCTAATTTTTGTATTTTTTTGTAGAGATGAGTTTTCGCTATTTTGCCCAGGTTGGTCTCAAAGTCTCTGACTTAAGCAATCCACCCGCCTCGGCCTCCCAAAATGCTGGGAGTACCAGCGTGAGCCACTGTGCCCAGACTGGTGTTTTTTAAAGAAATAATTTATTTGAAGATGTAGTTTTATATTGAGAGCCAAACGAGAGCCATATCATAAGAGCCAAGTGAGATATTGATATTTTATCATACAATTTTCTTTTCTTTTCTTTCTTTTTTTTTTTTTTTCGGAGACAAAGTCTCGCTCTTGTTGCCAGGCTGGAGTGCAGTGGTGCAATCTTGACTCACTGCAACCTCTGCCTCCCAGGTTCAAGTGATTCTCCTGCCTCAGCCTCCCGAGTAGCTGGGACTACAGGTGCACACCGCCATGCCTGGCTAATTTTTGTATGTTTAGTAGAGATGGGACAATTTTCAATAAGAGATTTCTGTTCTACATGGATGAATTTTGAGAGTGACAGAGATTTAAGTTTTAATATTTGTGATATATTCTTATAAGTGGGAACTAAACATTTACACATTTATGTACATCTACACATGGTCTTTTCTTAAAAATAGAATTATTTTATGGTTTTCCCCCATCTTTAGGCTTTAAATAATTATTTTTGTTCATATTGCACATTTGCTATAGGTATGATACTTATTTATTATCTTTATCAAAGGAATCGAATGTGATCCTTCTTGTGCTTCTAATGTTCTGTTTTCTTATAAACTTTGTTTTGATATTTTTCAGAGTATACTCATATCTTAGATACTCGAGTCCCAAATCTGCGTGTGTTTCTCTTGGCTGTAATCAACAGTGCCGGTTGGTGTTCCTGGGCACAAATCACAGGGCTGCTCGATGTCACACATTTCCTTGTTTGTGTATTCCCGTGATCAATATCAGCAACAGCACAGGGAATAGACTCTCTTCCACTAGCTCATATTTTTCTTAAACAATATGTAGGTGTGTGTGTGTGTGTATTAATTTCTCACCTTTTACACCATAATTCAAAATCTAGGTGACATGTTTCAATAGCCGATAAGCATTTCATAGTAGGGTAGGTCAGGTTTACCGTATAATCCCTTTGATAATGCCTTCTTTTATAAATACATGAGAGAAGTTACAATTGAGTCCTGCTGAGGAAGTAGATCAATAGGTGGCAAGCTGTTTGACCCTTCGAGCCAGAAAGAGAATTTGGTAAATTGTTAGACAGGTTATTGACTGCCCTTTAGAGAGCCAGGGGTTTGGATTCTGTAACTCCTTTCAGCTGGGGCTTGTATTTCACGTGTGAGAGGCCTACATTATCATAATCCATTTTTTGCTTTTATGTTATCTATCAGCAGCTCTCATAAGTCTGCTTTCTGAAGGGCATTCCCCATTTACGTGCTCTAATTCACCGTCTTTTAAAAAAATTATAAAATTGATGGTTTGCAACCAGAGGCATTATATGTGAGTTGTTTATAGAGGTGCTGCTACAGGGAAGAAGGTTAGTGGTAGAATTAAGAACAAGACGATGGCTGTGGAAGGAAATTCATGAATAGACATCGCATCAACACTACAGGAAGATAGGCTCAAAAAGCATCTTAGACCCCAAAATCCCAGAAGAATATCAGGCTTATAGTCATTATAATTATGCCTTTGGCTGATGTTGAATGGTGCTAATGGTACACTACCAAATTTTTACTTAAGTGGCTCCATTAAGTGGAAAATGCCCAGATTGACCCCAATATGTAAAAAAGGTATTATCTTAAAATGTCTCTACCTATTAAATGGTGATTCTCCTGGCTCTGCTCAAATGGGAAATCTGTGGAAATATGTAGAATTGTTGCACTAATGTTATCATGAGACTTAAAACATTTGATGGGAGAATTTCTTCATTTGTACAATTTTACACATCTGAAATTATAACCCAATTTGGATTATTTTTGTAAATTATTAATAGCTTCTTATACCATTTCCTAGGACATTTTATTCATTTGAGTTTTTGAGTTTTGAGTTTTGAGTTTTTTATTCAAGGGAAAAATGTTCTGTTTTTCTTGTTATCTCATATAATAGGCTGTTTTGCTTTACAGTTCTGAAACTAACAGACAGAATCTTTTATGTGCAATGAATGTGAGTTTTAAAATTTTTTTATAGGGAATAAAACATGAAGACTAGTAAAGTGAGTATGTGTATACTCTGTCCTGGAAGAAGTGAGTGAAGGAGGCCCAGGACTTGACTTTTGGGGGTTCAGGTCTTCTACAACTTGGGCTCCCGGTGGGAAAGAAAGAAAATGGTAGAAGGAGAAACTGCCCAGGCAGCAGAGTCATCTGCAAAAGCAAGTGGCTGACTCTGTTCTGTTCTTGATGTGGCAGCTTGGAGCTGGCTTCAGTTCAGATTTTCTAGGCATTGGAGGAGGTCTTCCTTAAACAAATCTGTTAACATTTTTGTTTTGGGGAGAACACAGCGCCGCTTAGATGTAAATTCACCAGTTCATGTTTCTGCCTGAAGTTGCTGCATCTCACTGCTCCCCTGGGCCTCCCATCGCGGCAGGAATAGGCGTGGTCTTGGTCCATCCAATCTTCATTGCTATGCCTGGTTTTTGTCCTGCGGTCCTCTGGCTGTGTTTGTTCCTGTTGTTCCCTCTGCTAGGGGAAACCTCTTTGTTTGAGCATGGGATTCCTTGGGCTTCTGCAGCTCTGGGCTTTCTCTTCCTGGGGTAGTTGTGGTGGCAGCTTTCTCATGGTGAGCAGGTGATGGGTGACCCCCATAGGGTTCATCATCATCCTCTTTCTCTCTCTCTCCTCCTATCTCTCTGCCTCCACCCTAGTGACATGCTGTTTCCTTTTCTCACTACTTCTGGGCTTAAATGCAGACATCCTCAATGAAGCTAACTCAGATGGGACAGACATCCACGAAGACAGCCATTGTCAAACAGAGAGAATTGTTCATTCTTTCTACTACTCTGTTCTCATTCCATATGGCACACGTGGGCATCACGCTTTTTCCTCCACATGGGAGCTGTTGGAGGCAGGGTGATGGTCATCAGTGCACACCGGTGTGTCCTAATGGTAATTTGTAGCCAGGCCTGCTCTGATCTTTCAGATACCATTTTTGATTGGTGAGTGCCATGATGTACAGGTGTTAAGTGGTTTGAATACCACCCCTGCATGGAGACATGACTAATATCATTGTCACAAATTCCGTATTTCACATATTGGCTCAGGTGCAGATCTGGAGTCATGCTCCTTTTTGCCATCTTTCCTATCTGACTCCTTCCAGTGGTCTTTGTTCCCTCTGTCTCCTGGACCATGGCTAGAGTTCCCAGTGTGGTCTTTTGGGACATTCACCACACCTACTTTATTTTCATCTTTCCTTGCTGGTCCTTTCTCAGACGGTTGAGCTGGAGTTACTTTTCCCCCACCACTTGTAGGGTATTCGTGCTGTGTGTCTGAGCTCTGAGATGGAGCAGGAGGGTTAGAACCTCACTTCACCAAGCATTCTCCTTTGGTGGAGGGGCTGGCATTACCTTTTGGGGCTGATCAGTTTTGGTAGATTTAGAAGTTGGAGAGTGACAGTCTTCCTCCTTACTGAGTGTTTCATTTTCTAGAGACTTTTCAGTCTCTCTCCTTCCTGCATCCTGGTCTGATTGACTTTTGCCGGGTGTGGCGGAGGTCCCAGTGTGCGATGACTCACTTCCTGTCCTCCACCGTTCCAGTTCCTGAGTTTCTTCACTTCGCCAGCTTGGGTGCCTCTCCGGTTCCTGGGTTTCTTCACTTCGCCAGCTTGGGTGTCTCTCCCGAGGCCGTCATTCTAGTTTTGCCTCATCCAGCTGATGCTGCAACTTATCTTGTTCCTTCTGTAGCCATTCTTCTACTTTTGTTTCTCTAGCAGCTCTATCAACGGGCTTTGCCCCTCCAAAGACAAAATAAGCTCGACCGGACTGGGAGGTACTAGCAGAAGAATCATCTCCCTTAGGAGTATTATGAGGCTTTAGATTCAGTTTGGGTCTTTGAGGGGGACGGGGGACGTCTATCATTATACCTATAATCATCCCGAGAGAAATCATCTCTGGAGCTGCACGACCCATCATCCCATCTGTTGTATCGGTCTTCATAGCGGTCCCTGCCTCCTCTGTAGTCATTGTCCCTGGGTACCCACTGCCAAATGCCCTTCTGCCACTGCCTATCCAGGAATGATAGCCTCTAGCATAGTCTCTGCTGCCTCGGTCATCATAGCGATCCCTACCGCCAGCCATATCGATCCATATCCCGGCATGGGCCATCCCGATACTCATACCAATACCCACGGCCAGACTGGTCTGAATCATAACGATCTCGATACTTGTCTCCAAACCTATCATCACCCCTTCTAGGCGGGTAGTCATCAAAGCTGTCTGTGGCAGAACGAGCCCTCCAGTCTGTATCTGTTTTGTCAGAATCCCGATTTCTATCACGGCCAAAAGAACGATCGTCCCTGTCTGTATCCTGTGCTTGATCAGCAACGTCCACTCGAATTCTCCTGTTACCTAGAGACTCTTAATTGAGACTCAGGGCACTGAGCAGGGAATCCAGGTCCTCAAATTCAGCATAACCAAAACCTTTCAACCTCTCTGGATTGCTGGGTTCACGTGGTAAACGCACTGCACTGATAATTAATCCTCTAAAGAATTCCTTAATTGACTCTTCTGTCACATCATAGGATAGGTTCCCTAGAAAAGAAGTGTAGGGTGGCGATTTGGGAAGAAAGCTCCAGTTGATATTGGGTTCCCGAGCAGCCGGTGGAGCAGTGGGAAGGATGGAATGGTCAATTGGAGGCGCCCTATACACATTGTTATCATTACTGTGTCAAATCGTTGAAACATCTCCTTCCAGGTCATCTGTTGCATCAGCCCAGCTGACTGGTTTGGAAACATAGGTGCTTCCTCCACCAGTCCCCCAGTCCTCAGCTAGAAAGTCTGTTAGGGAGATAGTTTTCCTCTTCTTATTCGTCTTTTTTGCTGAGGCCGCCATGTTGGGAGCGGGAAAGCAACACTTTCATTTTAAAAAGCATTTTGTCTCATATTAGTATAGCTATTTTTTAGTGGAATTTAAAAATATGACAATATCAATCTTTTAGCTGGCAAGTATTGCCTATTTACATTTTTATGATTATTGAATTGTTTCTCCCAACTGTTAAATTTCTATTTGTCCTGTTTATTCTATGCTTTTTCTCTCTGTCTTCATTTTTTTTTTTAAATTATATTGAGTTAGATTTTTGGTTCTTCTAAAAAATTTGATATTTTCCCTTTTTTAGGATTTGAATTTATGTAATCTTATTTCCATTTTTTGTGATTATACTTAAAATGTTATTGCATGTGCTTAAACAAAATCTAAAATTCAATAATATTCTAACCTTTCTCATGAAGGATAGAAAGATCTTAGAATACTTTAATTCTCATATGCCCTCTCAACTTATTGTCCAGTATTTTAGCTTTGTCTTTAAAAAAATCCTATATAGTAGACACTGTTATTATTCCACACAATGTGTGTTTGTGTGTGTGCCTGTGCATGCGTGTGTGCACATTTACATTTTATTTGCTTGCCACTCTCCTTTTTTGCATTTTAGCTTTTCCTTCTGGAATTATTTTCTTTCTTCCTGACAGTGTATTCTTTATAATAAGTAGCTTCATAGAAGACCTGATGGTGGTACTCTCTCTCAGAGTCTGCTTATTTTTAAATGTTTTATTTCTCATTCTTCTTCTTCTTCTTCTTCTTTTTTTTTTTTTTTTTTTTTGAGATGTTTGAGATGGAGTCTCGCTCTGTTGGCCAGGCTGGAGTGCAGTGGCACAATCTCAGCTTACTGCTACCTCTGCCTCCTGGGTTCAAGCAATTCTCCTGCCTCAACCTCCTGAGTAGCTAGGATTATAGGTGTGTGCTATCATGCCTGGCTAATTTTTGTATTTTTAGTAGAGACAGGGTTTCACCACATTGGCCAGGCTGCTCTTGAACTCCTGACCTCAGGTGATGTGATCCACCTGCCTTGGCCTCCCAAAGTGCTGGGATTACAGGTGTGAGCCACTGCACTTGGCCTATTTCTCATTCTTTAAAGATAATTTTGAATGACATAAAACAACCATTTTTCCTACAAAATGGAGTGGTTCAGACTTAGGAGGAATAATTAAAATTACATTTAAACCTTCTATCATCTTCCTACATCCCTAACAGTTAGTTATGGTCTTGGTCATTGGGTAAAATGACTTCCTTGGTTAAAATCAGAGTGTGAAAGATGGTCCCCAGCAAAGAGATTGGTCTCTCTCCTAACTCAGAGAGGAGGAGCTAAAAAGCCAGTTTCATGATGTGAAGTCACAACTTTTGCTTTTTAAATGTTCTTTAAAAATATGGCCAGGTGTGGTGGCTTATGCCTGTAATCCTAGCACTTTGGAAGGCTGAATTGATTGGACCACTTGAGCCCAGGAGTTCGAGATCCAGCCTGGGCAACATGGTGAAACCCCATCTCAACAAAAAAATACAAAAATTAGCCTGACATGGTGGCAGTTGCCTCTGGTCCCAGCTACTCAGGAGGCTGAGATGGGAGGATCACCTGAGTCCAGGAGGTCGAGGCTGCGGTGATGTGTGATCCTGCCACTGCACTTCAGCCTAGGTGACAGAGTGAGACTCTATCTGAAAATTAAAAAAAAAAAAACAAAAAAAGTTGTTGTTTTTTTTTTAAAGATAATACGTTAAATATTTAGTATACTTCTTCCTTTATGAATGAAAGCCTGTTACGCACAAAGGGGCCTGTGCTGGGGTCCCCAAGAACATCCTCAGTTTTGATGATTCTCTGGGAGGTTTCACAAGAATCAGCATACAGTCCTGCTTATTCATGTGGCCATGATTTGTTATGGTGAAAAGACACAGAGCAAAATCAGCAAAGGTAAAATGCATGGGGACATGTCAGGAGGAAGCAAGACGCTTGTTCCAGCAGAGCCACACAAGATGCGCTTAACTCCTCCAGCAATGAATTGTGACAACCTATGTCAAACACTGCCAACCAGTGAAGCTCCTTAGAGACTTAGTGCCCATGGGTGGCCAAGAGGGGGAGTGGGTTATCACCAAATTCCAGACACCCATAAAGAAAGCAGGTGTTTAGCTGTTTGTACAAACAGCTTCAGCACAGTGAACCACTCTTGGTGGTTAATGATGGTAGAAAACCCTCCCCAAATTCAAGTTCCCAGACACCAGAGAAGGGCCATCCTTCTAAGCAGGCCTTTCAAATGAATGCTAGCAGGCAGCCCTGCCATGTTAACTCATTTTCACATAAAGCCCATAAGGAAATCATCATATAGCAACAAATTCTTTTGACATCTGAATTCTGCTCTCAGATCCTCTAGTTTGAGTGTAAATGTGACAGTGGTTAGGTAAACGGAAAGCCAGAGAAGGTGGACTTAAGTGCTCAGGAGGGAGAAGATGGAGATGGATATAATCGATTTAGAATATGGCAAAAGATTAAGGGGCCATGGTGGCTGTTTGATTTCACCAGGAGACAGGAATGAAAACAAAGTTTAGAGATTTGTTAGAGCTAGAAGTCTTAAAATTAGTGGTTGCCTATAATGTTAGAGATTTATATCTATTAAACAAGACTTATTAACCTCAGCACTGTTGACATTTGGGACAGGATAAGTCTGTCAGGGAGGGGCTGTACAGTGTACTGTAGGATAGCCTCATTTCTGGCCTCCTGACCACGAGATGTCAGTAGTATTTTCCCCTCCCTACTCACTCCCAAATGAGACAACCAGAAATGTCTCCGGACGTTGCCTATTGCCAAATGTCCTCTGAGGACAGTATGAAAACATGGGTTTTACAGAAAATAAATCCATGAAGATCTTAGCTTTATATGTCTGAGTTGTTCACTAATGTTTCTCATTTACAGTAGTTTTCCATTTATAAAACTTTTTCATGTGATTCCAGCAGCAACTTCATGAGAGAACCAGGAATATTTTATTCCGACTATATAGATGAAGGTCGTGAGACACAGAGGTTAAATTACTTTGCAGGAGAGCAAAGAGAAAGTAGTAGTAGTTAGTAGCCATAATATTAATAGTAATAGTGATAATAATATTATAAGTAATGGTAGACATTTTCTTGAGTGCCTACTATGAGCCACAAATGGTTTCAAATGACTTGCATGTGTGAATTTTGCAGCAAGCCTGAATTGTGCTACTCTTATGTTTTTCTTATAGATGAGAAAGTTGAGGCCAGAGAGGTTAAGAAACCTAACCCAAAGGCACACAGATGGAAGGTAGACAAGCCAAGTACAAACCCAGGCACTTTGACTCCTGTGCTCCTATAAGCACCGGAATCTGGATAAAAAGAGAGTGTTTCTGGGTTCTCGCTCTCCCCAGTCATGTTCTTTCTCATTCCCATCTCCATGGAGGTTGCCATTTGCTTATGTCGCTTCCTGCATTTTGACGAGCTCTGACGAGGTCTAGTGATTTGCATATAACTTTTCCTATATTTTTAACAACTGAATCTCACAGAGAAAAAAAATTTGAAGTCATCTTTCTGTGACCTAACTTTACTATTTCAGATGCAGTCTTCTATTATTATCTTGATTCTCTCTGTCTTTATTTTTAATACAGCATTTTATGGAAATCTGGATTTGTTGCAACTGTCAGCTCAGTCTTGATACACACACTTCAGCCAATTCTTGCATAGCTCATCTAAGAGACTTCTGTTTATGATGCTAAACATTTCAGCATATTCCCCACATCTCTCAACCAGCTCTGAATGCGTTACATGTCATATTTCCACAATTATGTTTTGTTTTCCATGAAACTTATGAATGTGTCAATTCATCCATTCCTCCTTTTTTTTTTGTTTCCTGATTCTCTTTGAACATCCATTTCTCATGCCCTGTGTCTTCTTCCTACATTCTTACTCCAATATGGAGGAGGAAAAAAGTGTTATTCTTCCTCTAGGCCTGGTGGAGAAATCTTCTGTTTTCCTTAAGATTTCTATTCAAGACAATTTTTTAGGAAGACCTTTCACAATCTTTTGAATGCAGTGTTTGGAAAGGGCTTTAGAATTAATTGTATGGTGCTACCGATTCGTGTTAGATGCTTGACTTCTCTCTTCTATAATCGTATGAGGACCACCAGCCCCTCAGTTTATTTCTTATCTTATCTGGTTTTCTTTTCTTTTTCTTTTTTTGCTGGAGAGGTGGAGTGGTGGGTGAGTGGAAGTTGAGATTGTGACTTCAGAGCAGAATGTTGTCGGATTAGATTAGATGGACATTACTACATGGACATGATGTTGAGAAATCCAGTGTTTGATGGGATTTTCAGATGTGTTGAGTTTGAAATTAATTAGGTTCCTACAGATATTGTAATTTTCATTTTCAGTATAAGGCAGTATGAGTTGCCATCTCTATAATTACACTTATTTCTTCTGAGTCTTATGGTCTCAACTCATGAGGCCATCCCACTCTTTCTCAATAGTTAAGCCTTCTTTTTTTTTTTTTGGAAGATCTTATTCTCTTGCATTTTGCTAGCTCTGAATATAATGTGAATCCCCCAATCCTCAGGTTTTAATTCATTTTAGTTCTCATGATCCCTGGTAGTTTCAGGTATAAATTCCTTCTTTCCCTCAGCATTTATTATTTTCGTTACTAATACTAAATTGAACTTTTTCTCTCCTACATCAAGATTTTGGATAGTTTCTTCCTGTTATGCATCTTTAGAGAAAGTTATGCTACATACTGATTAACCCACTATTAAAAAATCATTAAATCTTAGGATTTAAAAAGATAATTGGAAAAAGTACAAAGCATTGTTATATGTTTCTAGTCCTAGATATCAGTATACATTGCATAGTATGCTAGTAAGTTTGCACTTTGGTCATGAGATTAGCAGAATATTTTTCTAAAAGACAGTAGAAGCTTTTCAATGTTTTTTTTTTTTTTCCCCAGAGTAACACTTTTTCCAAATAGAACTTTGATGCTCATACCAAACTTATCAAAGTAGTGTTTTATTTATATGCATATATTTTATAAGTTCTATCACCCTTTCATGTTGCAAAGTCAAATGGTGAGAACAATTCAATTATTTTCCTGAAATGATACTTCAAACTTAGTGGTATGGGCAGCAAGTGAAGTTCATTACTATCCAAATAGAATTCATTTTTGTCTTGCATGGAGGAAATTTGTGCACACATAGTGAAGAGACACAAATTGCACTCTCCTCTAACAGTTCACTTTTCAATCTCAGGATACTCTTTAATTAAATAATTAAGCAGAATTTTACTTTATTTTATTTATTTATTTATTTATTTATTTTTGAGATGGAGTCTCACTCTGTCTCCCAGGCTGGAGTGCAGTGGCACAATCTCGGCTCACTGCAACCTCCGCCTCCTGGGTTCCAGCGATTCTCCTGCCTCAGCCTCCCAAGTAGCTGGGATTACAGGTGTGCGCCACCATGCCTGGCTATTTTTTTGTATTTTTAGTAGAGACTGGGTTTCACCATGTTGGCCAGGCTGGTCTCGAACTCCTGACCTCAAGTGATCCACCTGCCTCGTCCTCCCAAAGTGCTGGCATTACAGGGGTAAGCCACTGTGCCTGGCCCAGAATTTTAAATTAAAGGTAAATGGCAGAAGAAGGTTGTTCCCCAAAGCATGCCCCCAAACTGAGTGAACCTGCAAGTTAGTATGAAGGGGATCTCTCAACGGGCTAAACTTTCTGTAACACATTTGACAGTGGATTCTAATTACAGTTTAAAAAATGGTTAAAATCCATATGTAAAATTTTCAAATTAATCATTGTAGAGACCTGAAAATCTCAGTGGCAACTTTATCCCACAGAATACATTTTGAAAAACAAAACACAAGAAAACATGCTCAGTTGTTACTATAGCTTTAAAATACAGCCATACGTAGTTGCTACATTTTAAAGTTCAGTAAAGTTCAACTTCCCAAGTTGGAACTTGCAAATATTACATAACACACCAGAGTTGTCTGCCTAACTTCCTCTGTCTATTGTCTGGAACATAGTTCAGAAGTAGCCCCTGGAAGAGTGTGGCCAACATTTTGTCTGACTTCAGCATAAGGAGAGCAAAAGACCTTACCTGCTACACCTTACTCGTTTGAATCAATAACTCTGGTATTTACCAACATTTTAAACAACTTGACTATCTAGAGAAGATGAGGCAGAACCGAATGCTGTGTGTGAGAAATTATCTCTTGACAGTCCAGCGGTTATACAAGCATAATCATCTTGTATGATTTGGGTTATTTACCTTTACAAACTTCAAAAGCATGACTTCTTTGTATCATGGTCTGATAATATCTATTAAGATGACCCTACATTATCAGGAAAAAATATAACTAGATTCGTTTATACTCTAAGAAGGCAGGAAAATTGTGTAAAGGGTTTTGAAGGATGTTAATTAAAATAGTTAAAATGAGTCCAGCAGTTATGGGGTTAACTCCAATTACCTGGAACATTGGCTTATATGGGACATTAAATTCCTGAAGAATGCTGGAAAAATGAGAATTGCATGTACATTTTCCTACCACGAATCTGACTCCGTGGGAGCTACAATATTTAATCTTTATTTCGCAAGTGCTAGCGTGCTTTGGGTAGGCTTTATCTGCACCGACAAATGATTACTGCATCAGCCTTCTCATGGGACGCCAGGGACAGGGATGCTGAAAAGAAACTTTTACCAGGAGAGTCGAGTTTGAAACAGTGAGGATGTTAGAGAAGCCACAGGAAGAGACACACGTGGATACCAGAAAGGAGAGGGGCTAGAAAGAAGCAAACAGGGAGGATGTTCTTTGAGGAGCAGCTCTGAGCTCTGTGGCTTTTGTGACCATGGGGTCACAGCAGCTAAAGGTGTCTCCTCAGCGCCAGCCGAACATGGGAGCAGTGAGTAGATGGGACAGCAGCTCTGAATCAGTGTTTGAGTCTTTACCTGCACACAGGGAGGAAATGCCATCTCCTCACCACCAGGGGAGTCATCTGTGAACATAAGAGGCCGCTGAATGTTTGCACAAATGCGACGACATGCCTTATAGGACACGCTGAAGTTTGACTGTAGCCAAGGCATGGGCTCCTTGTGTGGTTGTTCTGCTCCCTCCATCCCTTCGTTTCTTCTGTCCACAAGTATTTACTGAGGTCACACTAAGAGGCAGACACTAGCAGGTGCTAGCGATATAGGCAGGAATGCACCCCAGCAAGGCACAAGACAGCCCACTATTGCTACCACAGAACTTTCGTTGTACTGTGAGGCAGAGGCCTGCCAATAGGAAAAGCCATGAGCAAGATAAGCATTAGCACAGGGGCAGAAAAGTCCATCCAGGGGCCATTCCTGACCCAAACTTGGGAGGCCAGGAGAGCTTCCTGGAGAAAGTGACATCTAAGGCAAGACCTGAAAAATAAACACAGTTTATAAAAAATGGGCAGTAGGATGGGAAGAGGGATGGGTTTTCCAGGAAAGGGGAATAACGTGTCAGGGGAGCAGTGGGAACGAGAAGGGGGAACTCAGGGGACTGAAGTGATCCCTGCAGCAAGAGCATGCAGTTTTCACAGTGAGAAGTCTGCAGAGGCCTGGCCATGGGGGCCTTGGCAGACAGGAGGCCAGACTTTATTCCAAGATCAACTGGAAGCCGTTGAAAGGTTTTACTCAGGGGAGTGACGTGATCAGATTTGCATTTGAGAACATTTGTTCTCAGATGGGAAGGGCAAGACTGGCTAGTGCTGTAGTCACCTAAACGATAAATGTGGCCGACAATTAAAAAATGGAGTCAAGATGGAGACATATACACATATATACATTTATATAAGTAAATAGTTGAGATATATTTGCAGACAAGATCAATAGATTTGGTGAACGAGTGATTGGATGTGTGAGGAATCTAGATTACTCCCAGCTTTCTGACTTGGGCTACGGGGCACTAATATAATAAATGAAAAAGAAGATCCAGGGGAGGAACTTGTGTTATGGAGGGGTGGGGTGATGAACAGCTGTGTTTTGGACTGGTGGAGTTGTGCTGGGTATGGAATCTGCAAATGGAAATGCTATTGGATCTGAAACTCAGACTTCGGAGTAGTCAGCTCACAGAGAGGCCCCAAAGCTGTGGGAATGATGTGATCCCCAGGTGATGGTGTAGACTGAGAAGAGAAGAGATCCCAGGTGAGGACCTTGAGTGGGGAGATACACAGACTTAGGGGAGCCTGCAGGAGACAGGGAAGGAACCACTAGAGGGAGCAGCTGAGCCAGGGGTGTGTGTAAACCCGGGGAGACGACATTTCAAGATGGAGGGAGGCCGCCCAAGAGGAGGACTACAAGATGTCTGTTGGTTGTGTCCACAGAAAGTCATTATAACGGGCAAGAGAAACTTCTAGAAACGGAAGCCAGAAGCCAGTCATAGAGTTGGGGAATGAGTCGGAGAGGAGATGGGCAGGCACTGTGAGGTGAGGCTTCTTTGTCAGGAAGTTTGGTTGGAGGATGGATGATTTGGCACACATGCTGGAAGGGTGTGTGGGGTGCAGGAACGGTGGAGGTTAGGAGAACCTTGAGCATGGGTGAAGATGCGCTTAGAAAAGAGAAGTCAAGGTTAAGCTGTGGGAGAGAGTGAGGATGTCTGGGCGACAGAGCCATGAGAATGGGATGAGGTCTGGAATAATGACAGAGAGATGACCTTAGCCAAGCTCAGGTCCCTCTTCCACTGTGATGGGGTTGGGAAAAGGGGGGATGTGCAAAACAATGGGTGTGAAAGTGTTGTTTTGTAGCACAATATTTTAATTATGTCCTTTTAAAAAATTTCCCCACAGACACTACCCGAAGCAGTCCTTCACCACGGTGGCAGATACACCTGAAAATCTTCGCCTGAAGCAGCAAAGTGAATTGCAGAGTCAGGTAACTTCTAGAAGATTTGTTTTGTTCCCTTGGCCCTAAAGATTTTTCACAAGGCTGCTCTTCTGAGATTCTTGTCTTCGTACTGTTCCTGCTGGGTCACCAGCCGGTGTGGAGGCTGAAAGCAGGCCTGTGTGGGAATTCCGGGTGAAAGTGTTGAACATCTGTACTGTTCCCGGTCTTGAATTGTCCTGATATTCTCAGTTTTGTTATTCACGTTGGACTAGGGCAAGTAAATGAGTTCCGGTCAGAGTCAATGTTTCCCAACAATCTTGACTTATTTGGTCCTAAATATTTAAACACATTTTACAAATAGCTTTTCCACACCGCATATGTGGGGAAAAACAAGGTGTTAACTTGACCCAGTTGCAGTGTGTGTGCGGCTAACACCCCGTCTGTGTATCTCACACCAGCCAAGGGCTTTGTTTTCCTCCTGTCACTTTGTTCATATTTCTTTCATATGTCACATTGACAGCATGAACAAAGATGAGAACACCACAATTGGCTCCCGGTCAACCATGTTAGATGGCAACTTGCCTTCAATATGGTGAAACACATCAGTTAAGACTAGGGTTGTGAGTGGCAGCGTTTTCTGCAGGGACACTTGATCTTTTAGTAAATATGGGGTGCTCTCTTTCAAAGAAGCTGTCTTTCCTGGCACCCCATAGTAAGACACGGAGCAACTACATTGCAATCCATTGGTCAGTGGTGAAGTAAGGACGGAAGAGGGGAGAAGGAAGGTGGAGGCAGGGGAGGCTAGGTGGTTGTAGGCCTCCTTCATCTGTTCATTGGCTGTGGCCTTAGGCCAGTTTCTCTGATGTTTGCACTAACGTGCAGTGAGACAGTCCATCTTGTCTACCTGTCTTGAGGGTGTCTGTAAGTATTAAATGAGGTAGTTAGGTGTGAAAGCATTTCAAAAAGTGAGAAGATATTCTATGACTGTGGAGGCTTGTTATGATGGTGATAATGATGGTCCCTGAGAATTCCTGGTATATGAAAGGGAAACGCACAGAGTTTGTGAAGGAAAGAGGTGTCCAGCTAACAGGCTTGAACATGTCAAGTGTGTAGCTCTTTTTCTGGGGGGAGGGGTGGGAGAACGGAGTCTTGCTCTGTTGCCCAGGCTGGAGTACAGTGGTGCCGTCTCGGCTCACTGCAACCTCTGCCTCCCGGCTTCACGCAGTTCTCTGCCTCAGCCTCCCCAATAGCTGGGATTACAGGCGCCTGCTACCACACCCGGCTAATTTTTGTATTTTTAGTAGGGACAGGGTTTCACCATCTTGGTCAGGCTGGTCTTGAACTCCTGACTTTGTGATCCACCTGCCTCGGCCTCCCAAAGTGCTGGGATTACAGCGTGAGCCACTGCGCCCGGCCTGAAGCTCTTTCTTAATGAGAGCAGGCAGCTCTCAGTGGCTTGGGATTGAATCATTTCCTTGATGGTGTATCTAATCACAGGGGAGGTTGCAGTTGCCTGTAGTCTCTTTCTGGGGGACTTGGGATCACTTCTCAGTCCATCTAATTAGAGGAAATAATCTCCAAGTGGAATTTACTGTTGGTTAATAATGCCATGAATAGATGGTTGGGAGCTATTTTTTAGTTTGTGTAAAATGCTGGTGTTTGTATACTGGTTTTGGTTACAAAAATGAGGTGCTGGCCAAAGAGAGACACTATTATGGAGGCCGGCAAGAACACCTCTGTTCATTCACACCCCCAGGGGTACCAGAATCTGGATCTGCTCTGTGCATATCCAATGTGCCTTTCTTCTCGTCAAGTTAGGGTTCATCAGGTAATTCTGGACAAGTACACACTGGACATAGAACTAAATCAAGCAATCAAATACTCATTTCCTGCCTGTGACATGCTTTGGTACTGTGCAAAATCATTTAAAATTAGTTTCTCTTCCCTTCATAAATTTATAGGGTGTCTGAGGAAAGAGGACTAACACACACCTTGGAATGACTATATTTAATTTGTTATAAGGACTGAAAAAGAGAAAGATCAGGCTGGGCACGGGGGCTCATGCCTGTAATCCGAGCACTTTGGGAGGCCGAGGTGGGTGGATCACTTGAGGTCAGGAGTTCGAGACCAGCCTGGCCAACATGGTGAAACCTCATCCCTACAAAAAAATACAAAAATTAGCTGGGAGTGGTGGCGGATGCCTGTAATCCCAACTACTCGAGAGACTGAAGCAGAATTGCTTGAACATGGGAGGTGGAGGTTGCAGTGAGCCGAGATCGTGCCACTGTACTCTAGCCTGGGCAACAGAGCAAGACTCTATTTTGGGGAAAAAAAAAAAAAAAAGAGAAGAATCAGTGTGGATTGGACTCCGTAGTGCTTTGTGCCAGATGTGAGATTTGAATGGAGCCTTGAAGGTTGAGAAAGAATCTGATATAACCACTGTCTCCTCCCTTTCGAAGGCACACCACACACTTTGGGCTCAGTTAGTGGTTATAGATGCCTTCAGTGCATTCCAGGAGCAAGCATTTATTGTTTTCCTATTATATGCCTGACTTTGGAGATGCAAAGAAGAACAAGGTCACTGTTTTATGAATGGCCGATTTTATTCTCCCTGATGTGGCCAGCTGCAAGCTTCAAAGGGTGGCATATACAAATAATTATAGGCTGGTGGGACAAGAGCTAATGGCGAGATGTCCAAAGATCTGTGGGATCGCCAAGCAGCAGTCAGGGGAAGACATCAGATCTTTATAAAGATTTTGCTCAAATGTCGTGTTCTTTAGAAGCAATTGGGCTCCATCAAGCAGACAACATGGGGAAATTCAATGCAATTCAAGAAACATGTATTGATTACCTACTCTGTGCACTGGGATATAAAGACATCATCATCATCAACAGTGTTGCTGTATTCCAAGGACATAATTTTACATGTATTATTTTATTTAATCATAAACAACTTCAATGATACAGGTGTTTATTATTATCTCTATTTAGGTAACACATTCAACCTTTAGAGAATTTCGATAACCTGCCCTTTCACACTTAGCTGGTACGGAATAGGTCTTGGAATGGGACCTAGATCTCTGAGCCCTCGATGTCCACACTTTTCACCAGTACCCTGGTCCCCTTGCTCAGAGAGCACCTAGAAAAGATCTGTAAGCAAAGAATTGCAATACAAGGGTTGATGCAATGTATGTAAAGGTAGAATTTGGCATTAAGTATAAGTAGGAAGAAGTCATTATGGTTTCTTTTTTTCTGGGTGAGAGGTGAAAACACTTCTGTAAGAATATTTCCATTTTTGCAAAAACGTGGGTAGGTATCTATCCTAATGGTAATACTCAGTAATGGCATTGGATTTCATTTTAGCCTATTAAATGATTTGATTCTGCATGAGAGCATTTCCTTAGAGTTTTGATATCTGGAGTTCTGAACAGCTCACTGGTTTTGGTGGAAAATTGACTATTAATATTTTATAGGCTTGTTTTGATCATTTGTGATGCTAAGTGAATCACATCTATTCATAGCTCCAAGTTTTCAAATTCTGAAATCTTTTAGAATTGTCTGGTTAAAACCAGTTCTCTTCTTTCAGTTCATTAGCTTACCAAGTGAGCCAAAAATAAAGAAAATCGAAATATATTTTCCAATTCAATCTAGAAAGTTATTTATAGTTACCCACTGTTATCTCTTTCTTTAAAAAATTTTCTCTTTTCTTTTTATTTCCCCCCCTCTCTTCCTGAGAGGGTTATAAACACTGTGAATATTTTACATCTAAATGCTAAATCCTCTCAAGCTTTTTTGGAATCTATATCAGGTGCCAGATTGTCATAATAACATTTTATGAAATACTGTGAATAAACAAACAAACCAAGAGTTAGCTCTTCAAAGCCAGTGGTTCATAGGCTTTATCCAGTACCTGGTGAACATCCACTTGGCCAGCCTCTGACTGCAGTAGATGTGGACTGCTCTGGACCTTGGCAGTCAAGAGGAAGAGAGGGAAGGAAAGCCCTTTTATAGTTACTAGTTCCCTTTTGATCACACATCCCAGCATGAACTGCTTCAAAGAAATAGCATGAAGAGTGGTTAGACGCCCCCACGGGCCCGCAGCAGCCCATTCAACAAGAAGCAAAAGTAAAACTGCTTCTGGTGGAATCAGCAACATTATAGTTCACCTGCGGGGGCATCAGGCTTTTACTGCTTGCCTTGGGAGTGGCTCATCTCATTTTCTTTAGGAAAGTGAGATCCAAAGCCCTGACTTAGAAACAAAAGTTTTGGAACACAAACTCTTTGTAAATTAGGTGATCCCTAAACTTAAAACATCCAGGCGAGATGAAAGACCCCTTAAAAAAGAAATTTCTAGCCGGGTGCTGTGGCTTATGCCTGTAATCCCAGCACTTCGGGAGGCTGAGGTGGCAGGATTGCTTGAGGCTAGGAGTTTGACATCAGTCTGGGCGCCATAGGGAGACTCCTGTTTCTACAAACATTTTATAAAAAATTAGGGCATGATAGTGCATACCTGTAGTCTCAGCTACTCAGGAGGCTGAGACAGGAGGATCCTGTTGAGCCCAGGAGTTGGAGGCTGCAGTTAGCTGTAATCACACCACTGTGCTCCAGCAGCCTGGCTGACACAGCAAGACTCTAGGAAACAAACAAAAAACCCCAAAAAACAGAAAAAATAAATTTACTGATTATTTTAATATCATGTGGTAGAAAGCATTCCCTTTTTCGGGCTGTGTAGCACACTCTTATTGGAAGGGAAGGCATAGATGCTTTGGGTACTCTGAACCAGGGCTCTGGAGCCTTCTCAAAGCCGTTGAAATGGTTCTTCCGATGACATTTTGAGTGGGAGCCCCTACTGAGAAGACAACAACATGGAGCTACCGTGATTGAAGCAGGGGAGCGGGGGCAAGCCCCTGGCATCTCCAAACCCCCCCGACTCTCCTCATCTTCCCACCCCCAGAGCCTTAAGGAAACCTGGTCTTCTGTAGAGCATGGTTTTGAAAAAGGCTGCTTAAAATGAAGACAAAACAATAGCTACTGCCCACTTAGTTGTTTATGTGCTTGGCTTAGCTATTTGCAATCATGTTGAAAATAAGAGGGATTTGGGGCTCACTGTGCTCTTAAATGGAGTATGTGTAATTTATGAGGGCAGATACGATGAAAGATGGAAAATGATAATGGAGAGAATGCAAATCATTCTGGAACCTTTGAGTCTTTCTTTTGTAATCTATGTTGATTCTTTTTTAATCTTCCAGGTTTCTGCAGAGGCATGAAAACGTGGTTCATAGGAAGTACGATAAATGATAGTAGTAAGGGTAAGAAGTAAAAGTGATTTCTTTTTATAGGGAACATAATAGTTAAACATCTTTTGGGAGAAATGAAGGCACGTGTTTAGTATAAACCTTTGGAAGCTCCAGAAGGCAGTAACGTGGCTTGCCCTTGGCACATTTCTGAACCTTCTTATTTTATATTCCATTTCCAGAGGGTTTTCTCTCAGTTATCTGTCATCTAACCATCCAGTAAGATGGACCTTACTGGTAAATATTACCTAAAGCAGAACCTTTCTCAGGGGGGAGTTGCATCTTAAAGCGTGTCTGCTGAAGTCTGACTTCCTTCAAAGCAAAGAATCCCTGACTGAAGAACTCCATTGACTGTCCAAAGATAATTGGAGAATTATTTTGGATAGCATTGTCCAAAAGTTTCAAATCCCACTCTGTATGATTGCCCAATCTTAAACTTGACCTAAATTTCTTTTGCCACTGGATACCGATTGCATGTCAGATTTTGGATATCCTGCAGTGAGTGAAACCAGATGAGGCCCTTACTCTCAGGGGGTTTATGGTCTAGTGGGAGAGAGGGTGGTAATAACGTAATAAAAAATAGGCCAGGCCTGATGGCTCACTCCTGTAATCCCAGTGTTTTGGAAGGCTGAGGTGCAAGGATCACTTGAGCCCAGGAATTTGAGGTTGTAGTGAGCTACGATCACACTACTGCACTCCAGCCTGGGTGACAGAGTGAGACCCTAAATCTAAAATAATATTAATAATAATAAAAAATAGGAAAAATTACAACTGCAACAAGACCTGCAGAGAGAATGGAGTGTATTTTAAGTATGTTTTAAGGCACTTTTGGGGAGTTGGAGGCCTGCAGACCTTTCTGCAGCAGATGCATAATAAAATCTTAGAACAGTCTGCTGTATCCTGCTCAGCTCCGGATCCCATTTCCAAATATATATCCATTTTCCCCATTTTTTAATCCTAGGGGACTCTGCTCTTCATTGGGTTCTTTTTGTTTTAGATGGAGTCTCACTCTGTTGCCAGGCTGGAGTGCAGTGGCACGATCTCAGTTCACTGCAATCTCCGCCTCCCAGGTTCCAGCGATTCTCCTGCCTCAGCCTCCCGAGTAGATGGGATTATAGGTGCGCACCACTACGCCTAGCTAATTTTTGTATTTTTAGTAGAGATGGGGATTCACCATGTTGGCCAGGCTGGTCTCGAACTCCTGACCTCAAGTGATCTACCCACCTTGGCCTCCCAAAGTGGTAGGATTACAGGCGTGAGCCACTGCGCCTGGCCCTCTTATTATGTCTTATCTCATTGGACAACTTCAGACTTCTAAACACAAACACTGCTTCTCCCGACAGTTTTTGTTGGGTTCTGCTGGTCTTGGACAAGAAGCCTTTTATGCTTGCCTCCTAACTTTCTCTTTTCTTTGAACGCCATTTTGGCAGCTTTACACTTCCACCTTTTGATTTTCCACCATTTGATGCTGTCTTCTGATCCATGGTAATGCTTCTTGTTCTCCGAGTAAGCACTTTCTCATGTATGTAATGGTTAAAGTTCATTGGGAGAAGCTTCAGCATGTTTATTTTCAAGGTTTTGAGGCAACGTAAATGATAAGAGATTACGTTTCACATAGAGGAATGGGTGAATGTGAATGAGAACTTCAAAGGGGACATATGAATTCACTGGATGTGGTACATTTCCTTCAGGGAGCACAGCGTGCTAAGCAGATGTTAACTCCAACCTTTGCGATTCCACTCACCCTCACAGTTTCCCATAAGTCAGATCCCCACCCTGCCCCCACGCCCCCATTGTACCCCTGGATAAAATGATGTAAGAGACAAAAATGTCAGTAGTGGGAGACAGGAAAATAACCAAGATGTTTTGATTTTTGTGCACTGCTAGGTTTTCGACCCTTTAATCACAGGGACCTGGTGTTCTACTCTCAACCCTCCTGAGATGACCTGCATCCTTTTCATCTGTTTCCCAAGGCCTGGAAAGTTGGTCCTTTGATTCCTTCCTGGCCCACCCTACTTCCCTTTCCATCATTCCCATAGCTGACGGTGGAGGGAGGTGTGAGTGCTGTATTTTGGGTGGGCAGGCTCTAGGCTGTTTGTTAAGAGTAAGTGGTTCAGAGTCTGGTAACTGGCCCTTGTATTAGGCGTTTCAATATATAGTCTATCTATCGAGGAGGATGTTTTAAAAGTATTAAATCAGGCTGGGCACAGTAGCTTATGGCTATAATCCCAATGCTTTGGTAGGCTGAAGCAGGAGGATCACTTGAGGCCAGGATTCAAGATCAGCCTAGGCAACATAGGGAAACCATTGTGTTTGCCAAAAAAAAATAACAAATAAAAATAAATAAGCTAGGCATGGTGGCTCATGCTTGTAGCCCCAGCTACTTAGGAGGCTGAGGCAGAAGGATCGCTTGAGGCCAGGGGTTCAAGGATGCAGTGAGCTGTGATCATGCCACTGCACTCCAGCCTGGGTGACAGAGTGAGACCCTGTCTCTAAAATTAAAATAAATAAATAAATATATATATACACAATCAATGCATTTTTCATCTTTCTCTCACATAAATCATGCTCTGCCATCCTGCTTCACACTTGTGGCCCCAGAGAGAGAAACAGAGTGAAGAGTGAGTGGCACTCTGGGAAGGAGGGAAGATGGTCCCACTTGAAGGGGGGCACCTACCCTACTCCCACTTCTGGCCATGGTAGATTGTACGAAGCAAGCAGAAAATCGGAGACTGAAACATGACCTCCTCTCTCTCTGCTGACTGCAGGCTCAGAGATGAAAGTTGGGAGAGGCAGATTAAACTGCCAAAAGCAGAGAAAACCACCCCACAAAATGTATTCCCAATCTCCTCCCACCTCAGTGGCAGACTTGGGGCCTCTGCAGCATGGCAGGCAAAGTAAGAATGTGGGTTGCATTTCCCAGAATCTTAGTCTCTCCCATAGTGTGGAAGGCGATGGCAGCTGCAATGTGCCTTGTAGAAGGATGCTGAGGTGCTTGCTGGGAGCTGCCAGGGGCATTGCCATTGCAGGAACAGTGTGGCCCTGGGGCCAGGGGTGGATGTGCAGGTGGGGAGTAGAGGTTAGACCTCAACGAGAAGCATGGAAGGAAGTGTCTTCAGGGGGTACCGCTAGGCTGTTCCTGAGCCAAGGAAGAACACACCACAGGGTTACCAGCCACAGATGCCAACAGATGCCAACAGATGCCACAGATGCCAACAGATGCCAGCCACAGATGCCAACAGGGTGCCTGGCACCTGAGAGGACAGGAGACACCACTGAGGCCAAAGGAGTTCGAGGAGAGAAGGAGGGAATGTGGGCATGGGTCCCAGGCTTTCTTCTTCCTTCATTCACACACTCCAGGACATCATCTCAGAGGGGAACCAGGAAGCAGGAGGAAATGGGAATTGACCTAAGCTGACTGTTTCAGTTGTTGAATGGACTCAATGCAACCGATGGAACTAAATTTAGTTCTTTCCACTTCCGTGTGGTACGGACTTGTAAAGAATCACAGGGCAGCTCTAACACATAAAGAAGCTTGGTTTTCTTTTGTATCAGAATACGAGTACATCGTAAATAAGTTGCTGACCTGTTGTATACGCTTTGATTTTATTGGGTAAATATAGCACTAGACCAGCCACCCAGCGATCTGGGCTCTCCCCCTGTCCCTGCCACTAAGTGTGACTTTGGGCACTCCTAACCTTTTTCAGGGCATAAGATGTAGGTTGTAGTAAAATTCCTTCCAGTTGTAATAGTCTCTGATTTTAGTACAAAAATGTTCTGCAATAATGTCTCAATGTAGCAATAAAAGAACTTGAAAAAAAACTGCCATTATTTTTTCTTTTCTGCCAAAATAGCAATTGTCAGGCCTGCCATTTCATTTGACCATTCTCTAAATAGCTCCTTCCCTGGACTGGTCTCAGATATTGGCTGAAGGTCATAATTGGGAGGTCACATAGATTTGAGGGAAGTTGATGGGCAAATCAGTTTCACATTGGAAGATGTTTAAAGAATGGCACAGGACGAAAGACAAGAATAGCTACAGTCATGCTGTTCATTCACTGATAGCAACTCATCATTTAACTCAGTTGTCGAGCTTCAGTAACCTACGTTCAAAGTCATTTATGCCATGTTACATGACTTCCTAATTAGCTCAGTAGATATTTTTCAAGTTTTCTATGTAGAAGTAGAGTAACTCTATATATTTGTATACTTTTATGAAATGTCTTATTTTAGTTTTACTTCCTAATGCTTTCTTATTTTTTTTTGAATGGCTTTGCTTGATTATGTGGTAGCTTTTGAACTTCAAAAGTTGGTCTTGGCTGGGTGTGGTGGCTCATGCCCGTAATCCCAGTGCTTTGGGAGTTCGAGGTGGGAGGATGGCTTGAGGCCAGGAGTTTGAGACCAGGCTGGGCAACATAGCAAAACCCTGTTCTTGCAAAAAAAAAAAAAAATTAAAAAATTCGCTGGGCATGGTAGCACACACCTGTAGTCCCACCTACTCAGGAGACTGATGTAGGAGGATCGCTTGAGCCCAGAAGGTCGAGGTTGTAGTGAGCTGTGATTGTGCCACTGCACTCCAGCCTGGTCGACAGAGCTATACCTTGTCTCAAAACAAAATGAAACAAAACAAAAACAAAAGCAAACAAACAAAAACCATATATCTCAATTCAGCATGTCTCTGTGATCCCTTATACAGAGGAGCTGATCTAAAGCAATCCCATTTCATTAAATTAACAGGCTCATTAGGGAACTATTCCTTAATACCCTTAATCAACACTCTTAATTTCCTAACAATGTATTTTTTGAAAGGAGGACACTACTTAGACACTACTGTCTCGTAATGGCCTTAAACAACAAAACCAAATTTATAGGACAATATAGAATTCAGAAAAGGCCTCTTGGAGATAACTCTAGGGGTAACCAGCAGCCTGCGGTAGCCCTTATTGTGCCCTGAATGTTTAAACTCTCATGAAGTACATATATGTGTGCTTAAAAATTATATATTTTAAGCAGAAATTATCTAGCCTACTTGTCATTTTCCTTTACCTCAGAACTTTGTTTAGAGCACCCATTAGCTTCAGAAGGACCTTCCCACCGGAATTCTCTGGGGGCCTTGCAAAAGGATAAAAACAGGCTCAAGAAATTCTGTAGAGAAAAGATGACTATGTTAACATCATTCTTTGAAAAAGCTTCCGTTTGGGACAATTGTATTGTATTCTGAAATGAGATACTTGGGCTTCCAAAATATGGGTTGTGCTTTGTAAAATGGAGTTTTTCTCATTACAAAATGTTGGAAGAGAGCAATTAGAATTTCCTTCTCTGCCTCCTTCCCTCTCTCTTGATTTTTGGTGAAGTCAAGGGTCAGGATGATGCTAAATCAGAAATTAAGGCAACACAAATTTGATCCCAACTGGTAGAGCTGCTCTGGACCCCTTTTGACTGACACTGAGCTCCTGTTTCTGTGGAATTTTTCTTATTTACAGGAATCCATGATCTGTGAATGTCTTCTAAGATAAATCTAATAAGCATCTTTAGCTACTGAGTTAGCTTCCTAAGCACACAGTATTTTAGACACCACACAACTAAATATACCAATTCCAAGCGATTTACTTATACAAAAAAGTGAAATATAGTAAAACCAAGAATTCCATTCTATTTTTAATTAGGCAGTCATAGAGCCTCAATACTGATTCTTTTAAAAACCTCTAGAATGGCTTTAATGCTTATAAACCATTAAAATTAAAACCAAAGTAGCTCTTAACTATATTTCTGCTATTGGACAGAGAACATATCTGTTATATAAGTTTTCCTTAGAATTGGATAATTTCCAAGGCTTTGAATCTTTTTATTCTAGAATATTTTATTCTTCATAGGAATACCACTTAATGTCTTAGGAGTGTGTATGTATATGGGTTTTTTATATACATATATAATAAATATTATATGTAATATACATGTATGTAGATATACATATAATATACATACATTACATACAATATGCATACAGTAGACACCCCTTATTTGCAGGGAATATGTTCCAAGAACCCTAGTGGATGTCTGAAAACTGCAGATAGTACCGAACCTTATAAATACTGTTGTTTCCTATGTGTATATATCTACAATAAAGCTTAATTTATAAATTAGGCACAGGAAGAGATTAACAACAATAACTAGTTTACATTCCCACCAGCGGGTTTTCACTGCATCCACGCCAACATCTATTATTTTTTGATTTTTTGATTATGGCCATTCTTGCAGGAGTAAGGTGGTATCGCACTGTGGTTTTGATTTGCATTTACCAGATCATTAGTGATGTTGAGCATTTTTTCATATGTTTGTTGGCCATTTGTATATTTTCTTTTGAGAATTGTCTATTCATGTCCTTAGCTCACTTTTTGATGTAACCAAATACCATCTGTTCCCCAAAAATCTGTGGAAAAAAATTTAAAAATAAAAAACCACAACAATAACTAATAGTAAGATAGAATAATTTCAACAGTATGCTGTAATAAAAGTTATGCAAATGTGGTCTCTCTCTTTCTCGAAATATCTTATTGTACTTTACTCACCTATTTTCAGCCCACAGTTGACTGTGTAAAGTGAAACTAGGGATAAGAGGGGACTACTGTACATATATATAGATATGCATACAATATGCAAACATATTCATTATGCATATAAATATATGCATGTTTTTACATACATTTGTATGACATCTACCTATACATATATACACACACACGTATATAATAATATAACAAAGTTAACTTGGAAGGACAATGTTCGGGAAAGTCTTGAAAACCTGAAAGACCAAGAAAACATGAAGTGTCTTTTCTTTTTTGTTATGAATGGCTAAGTATGATTTAATTCACTGCTGGACACTCTAACAGTCACCTTATTGCAATTTAAGTTCCCCATCTGTGAATTAGCTTTGCAGTCTCTGTGTCTTTTAGTTATTCCATATGTTTTAAGAAATAGCGAATGTGAAAAACTGTAACAGAAACATGTAGTGTTACTTCTGGAAGTGTGGTAATGAGATCTTTTTCAAAATATTACTGATTCCAGAGGATAGATCACTCATTCTACTATATAACAAGCACAGATGTAATTCAAGAGGCTTTACCTGTTTTAGTGGGTCTTTCTCTGTGTAGTTTGTTCATTAATTTAAGGTTTTTTATGTCTGTTTTCATCTTTGTCCTTTGCTGTAGATTTTAAACTAGAGGCCAGTGATCCTATTTAATTTAATGGTTACTAATAAATAACCACACTAAGCAATCGCCTGGATGATATTGTGCCGTCAGATGATAAGGGTGATAATGTATGAAATGAAATAGAAAGAATGGAAGGTAGTTTCATAAAAAGCAAGAGTCTTATAAGAATGAAGAACAAGACACTTTTCTGACAGGTGGACAGATGCTTTTCCAGTTCTTTCTTGGCATAAATTACAAATGGAGAAAAACCTTGGTATTTTTGGTTTCAAACCTTTACTAGCAAAGAAATCTCACTGAAGGACCCTCCATACTTCCTGTAACTTATCTGTATAAGGCTGCTTTAATTATTTATTGGTTTAATCTACATTTATTGGATACCTCCTTTGGCCCAGCCCTGCCAGCTCTTGGGTGCGGGTTGTGTGAGGCGAGAGACCAGCGGCTGTGGGGAGAGAGGGTGAATGGAGGAAAGACCTGACCCCTGACTTAGAGGTGTTTATTGGGTCCCCTCAAAATATATTCTCCCAAATTCTGTGAACAGTTTTTTTTTTCTGTATTTCATTCGGCTTTCTCCTCTCATTCTCCACTGAAATGTTTATCCTTTCTTTGAAAGAAACCCCAAAGTGACTCTTTTCCTCTTTCCATGGATCAGATGCCAAATTCTTTGAGAAATATGTAGAATAAGAAAGGATCCTTTACCTGGTTTGGAAGGAGCTCTTTCTGTTTTTCTTTCCCCACCCAACACCTGTGCCTTTTTGTCAACTATTTATAGAACTCGCTCCTTCTTAAAATAATGTGGATCGAAAATGGTTTGATTGCTTCATGGACACAGGAAGACTTCTCCAAAAAAAGCAACTTTCTTCTTATTGTTATCCTTGGCAAAATTAAATCATGTCGTAAACAATATCCCAATCCTCTTGTCATCCATCAGACTCTAGAAGGGTGGCTCCTAATGCTTTTCGGGTCTCGGACCACTGTGGAAATTTGGTGAAAGCCATGCAACTCCTCCTTTGGAAAAGTTATGGTAGCCTGCTTTAGAATATAAATGCAGAAGTTCAGGGTATAGTGAACTCCATCAGTGGAACCCTAGAAAGTCTCAAGCTTTAGCAGGAGTGGCTGGGCTGGCCAAGGGAAGGAACAGGGAAGAAGGACTGGTTGGATTTACAGGTCTCACGGAGAGTGGTGGCATTGTCACAGAAAGATTATGGACTCCCTGCCTTCTAAGCACAATTTTATTTTATCTCCATTAAAATATTAACTCTTTTGGAAACATGAACTCTTACTGCCTTAAAAAAAGCAATCTAGCAACAAGTGTTAAAACCTGAAAGACACAAATACGTTTTGTTCTGGCAATTCCACTCCTGGGAATCTCTCCCATGGAAACAAAATTATCAGCATAGAAAGCGTAAGTACAAGGATGTCTATGACAGCACCGTTTGTAGTAGCACAAAACTGGAAACAGAGCGAAAGGTCATCTGCAAGAGAATAGTGAGTTACATTTTGATAATCTGCACCAAAGAATATGATGCGATCATTTAAAGGAAGGAAATAGAGCTCTATAGCCACATGCCTTGGAGGTATGCCTGTGAAGTGTTGCTCAGTGAGAAACACAGATGTAGAAAAGCGTAGAGATGACCAAACCCTCTGTGTGTGCCTGCGTTTGCGTATCTATGTCTATATATGTTTAGCTCTGATTAGGAATATATGTATAGGTAGAAAAATATGGATTAATATATTCCAGGTTACTAACATTGGTTCTTGGGGCTTACAGGGTGAGCCTAGCAAATAAAGGAAAAAAAAGATTGCAATACTTAAAAAAAAAAAAAAGTGTTAGTATGTCAGTAATTCATTGTATCAGATTATACTTATGGGTGGGTAGATGTAAAAATAAATAAAATAGTGATTTTATTTAATTTATTATTATTATTGTTTTGAGACACTTGCTCTGTCACCCAGGCTGAAGTGCAGTGGCATGATCACAGCTCACTGCAGCCTTGACTTCCTGGGCTCAAGTGGTCCTCCCACCTGAGCCTCCCGAGTAGCGGGGATCACAAGTGTGCACCACCATGCCTGGCTAATTTTATTTTATTTGAAAAGATGGGGTCTACCTATGTTGCCCAGGCTGGTCTCGAACTCTTGGGCTCAAGCGATCCCCCCATCTTGACCTTGCAAACTTCTGGGATTACAGGTGCAAGCCACTGTGCCTGGCCAGATAATGGTTTTAAAACAGATTTGCTTATGTACATTTTAAATTTTACTGTTTTACTTCTTCACAGTCAGTAACACTGAGGCTTTACCATTCAGGCTGCTGGGGACTAATCTGGCCAATTTGACCAGCTGGGGGTCTCCCTGCTGATTTCTTAGATGGGTATTCTGTGACTTATTGCTCTAAAGGCATTAGGTCTTTTAGCAAATGTTTATTGGATGTCTATTTTATGTCATATACTAGGCCTTGTGCTCCTTAAAGAACTAAGGTGTGAGTGTGTGTGTGTGTCTGCACAAGTCAGGGACTGTTAACAGCTGCAATTGAACTTTCTGTCCTCAATTTGGTATTTGTCTGTTTATTTGGTTGTGAGCGTGCAAAATGGAGGGCATAAGGTGTTACTCTCAGGCCAGTAAGAACCTAAGAATTTGTTTGGGTGAGGTCTTGATTTCCTTTTTTGCCTCTATTAAATGGCCTACCCTTAATTCACCAGTTTCTCCATAGAAATGCCTAAAGACCTTGAGAGGTTAATACTGAAAGGGTTTTAGAGGAAAAAGAAAGGTGAGATGCTTTCTGTGAGTCAGTGTTTCTCCAAATAGTCTTTTCCTGCCTACCTGTATGCATCACAGTTACCTAGCGAATATGGTGAGAATGCTCATTCATGGGCCTGGCCCCAGACCCACTGACAGGGAGGCCCAGAAATCTGCATTGTTAATTCTCCAGGTGATTCTTTTTTTTTTTGAGATGAGTCTCGCTTTGTGCCCCAGGCTGGAGTGCAGTGGTGCAATCTCGACTCACTGCAAGCTCCACCTCCCGGGTTCACACCATTCTCCTGCCTCAGCCTCCCGAGTAGCTGGGACTACAGGCACCTGCCACCATGCCTGGCTGATTTTTTGTATTTTTAGTAGAGATGGGGTTTCACTGTGTTAGCCAGGGTGGTCTCGATCTCCTGACCTCGTGATCTGCCCGCCTCGGCCTCCGAAAGTACTGGGATTACAGGCGTGAGCCACCGTGCCCGGCCCAGGTGATTCTTATTTACGCTTGTTAATATTTGAGAACCAGTTCCATAGAACGTCGTCCCAAATAATGAACACTCCTGGCATTTTTTTTCCAAAATTTTACTCTTTTAATAAATTTTTCCAATATTTCAATGGCTTTGAATTTTTATTTTTTTATTAATGATGCATTTATTCATAACGATGTCTGCATTTTAGAGAAGTGTTCATGAAGAAGAAACTTCTTCAAACAACACTGTTGTTACCAAATATCCACTGCATTCTTAATGTAAAGGAATCAATGTAGGTCAGTTAAAGGCTAGAATGGTTTAAAAAAATCAACAATCTGATGCTCAAATTCAAATGTCTTTAATATACACGTACTTATGTGTATGCGTATAAGAAAAAATTTCAGGTTACAATGCATTCTGTTGTTTTGAACTACAGGAATCAAACCAGAATTTTTAGCCGTGATACACATTTGATACATTCATGGATTCTTGATTTTTTGGACGACTTTTGGTTTGTTTATAAAGTTCCATAATAGAGACAAGAACTGAAAGGGTTTTTCAGATATTTTTTATTCCCTTTCATACATTTCTTCCCCAAGAAATTTAGATACGTTTTGAGATTTTCATAAAATCTTAAAATAATTGAATAGTTTAAGCAAAGGCTAGTTCCTATGAAAAGCAGAATTATATGACAATTTTCCTACATTCCTCATGTGATTGTACCTGTGCAGAGAACAACCCTATTCTGATTAGAAAGATCCTGCCTGAGAACCTTTTAGCTTCACAGCAGGATGTGTACAACCGAAGTCGATTCAAGAAACTCATGACGTCATCCCTCAGTCAATAATCATTGATTGAATAGAGTTGGTTTCAGATGTAGGTATTAGGTACCAGTAGGGATACAGAAGGAAAATTCATGGTTTCCGTCTTTGAAGAATAATCTGGTTCAGAAAATAGTTCAAATGTGCATGTTTTGACATGGCTTCATAACAAAAGATCCTTTCAATCAAAATGCTAGGGAAACCAGCATTAAAGGAGAGATTGTGGGGCAGGCGAGGTGTTGGCAGCAGGGACATGGGTTGTCAGGAGACAATGGAACAGAAACAAGACATGAGAAAAAGTGTGAGCTTAATCCATAAAGCTGTTTCCCTCCAAAGGTGTCAGCTGCATGGCGTGGGAGGTCAGGCAAGTGGGTCTGTGTTCCCCAGGGTGGGAGAAGCATTAGTAGAAACAGGTGATGAATTCCTTAATTAGGATAGGGAAACACTGCAGAAGAGCTGTGGTCTAGGGATTTTATGAAATGCAAAGCTTGGAAAATTAAAGAAGCCCAATGTGAAGAAGTTAGGAGGCAGGATCAAGGTGGCTGTGAAAACAGAGAAGAAAAACTTAGAGCTCCTTTTGGAGAAAATGGGATATTAGGGCTAAATTTGAAAAAAAAAAAAAAAAAAAAGCCACATAATGAAAATACCTGTGATGTTATTAAACCCATCATGATGGGTTCAGTCTAAGGCATTTTAAATTAGAGTGAACACTGTGGGTAGTGGTGTGAAAGAGACCTCACTAATTGATGATATGGTTTAGCTCTGTATCCCTACCCAAATCTCTTGTGGAATTGTAATCTCCAGTGTTGGAGGAGGGGCCTGGTGGGAGGTGATTGAATCATGGGGGCAGATTTCCCCCTTGTTGTTCTCGTGATGGTAAGTGAGTTCTCCCGAGATCTGGTTGTTTAAAAGTGTGTAGCGCTTCCCCCTTCGCTCGCTCTCTTTCGTACTCCATTGTGTGAGGGTGTGCTGGTTTCCCCTTTGCCTTCTGCCATGATTGTGAGTTTCCTGAGACCTCTCCATCCATGCTTCCTGTACAGCCTGCAGAACTGTGAGCCAGTTAAACCTCTTGTCTTTATAAATTACCCCGTCTCAGTTCTTTATAGCAGCGTGAGAATGGACTAATACAATTTTAAATCTTTAATTTTCTGTTGATTTATAATTTAAGAATTTATTTCTGTAATAAAATACAAATATCATCTAACAGACCTTTGACATGGTAAACATTCTACAGCGTAGGATAACTTTATAAGGTTTAGGTAGTAGGTGGTGAGTAAGTGCTAGATGACTGAATTCTGGTGTTTATCTTGGAAAGTAATCTGCAATTCTATATGACGTTTTTTCCTGCATAGGACACGAAGTTCTGCTACAATTATTTAGGAATAACTTTTTTTATGACTCATGTTAGTAATATTACTGTAAATCAACATTTTAAAAAAACAATGTTTCATCACCATAAAAAAAAAAACCCTCCCTCCTTCCCACATCAAGGATATCTTCCTCTTGTCTAAGAAGCACCTACTCCTTTTTGGAGGTTGACATTTACATCGAGCGAGTACCTTTCATCTCTGAAAAAGAAAAAGAAATACGTGTAGAAAAACCCAACTAACTAACAAATCACCTTAATTACTACCTGCAGAGAAAAAGGGTTGGCTTTATGTTTCTTTTTTAATTGTGTGTGTTTTTAGCTCAATCCACAAATGAGAAATAAGTGTTGGTGGAAAAACAGAGACCAGTTTTGCTTATATATGGTGTGGTGGGTGGAGAGAAAGGGTACATCAGATTGCTACCTAACAGAGCGAGGAAATCAGTTCTTATTTTCCATTAGAAAACAAAACAAATGGCAATTAATCCATTCATGTCTGAGGTTGCAGGTTTTTGAATTTTTGCAATCAGACCTTGGCGATGACCTTGAGCAGTAGGATATAAATAACTCCCACATGCTTAGAGTTCCAATGATGGAACACTAGGCATAAATGGGCTAAAGACAAAAAAAAAAAAAGTTGTGAGTATATTGACTTCCCAAGGAGCACTAGGCTTCTGCAATAAGTTCACCTGTGGATTGCGTGTTAGTTACCTCCTAATTACTGAAAATTGAGCTTTATCAGTAGTGGCATGATGTTCCTTGGGGTTTCTTTCCCTGGAGTATCTGTGATAATGCCATAGCTTGTCTTGCAAATCATTTATTTTGCTAGGCTATGAAATGATGTCCACCTTACAAGTTGGAAAAATCTTTCTGATAGGAAGAACTCTGGCTGTGTTCCACCTCCCTGGATTCTCTGATTCCCAGCTGCTACGTGGCTCCCAGCTTGTCCCAGGGAATGTCTGTGGGACAAGACATTCTCTTTACTTGCCGATTTTCCTCTAGCACTAGGTACCTGTTTTCACCTGGAATGTGACAACCAGGTGCTGTTAGCTTTTTGTCTCTGGCGGTCTGTCGGCTGGCTGGACCTGGGGAAGCAGGCAATAGAGTCTAGGCCTGGGGTTAGACTAGCATTTTCCTGACCACCTCCATCCCTCTGACATCTTACCTGCTGCTTTCTGTGGAGAAGGGAGGATCTATACAAGCTCATGGGGACCTGCATTGGTTTCCTGAGGGAACTGCAGATGATTGGGTGTGCAGGAGCGAATTCCTGACCAGGAAGTCAGGACCCTCCTGTGCTGGCTTTGTCTGCAGGAGACCAGCTCTCCAGCTCTATCTGGGCTTCTTCCCTTTTTCTCTGCCCTTAAATCCCAATGTGGCCCTTCCTGGCCATCCTACCTTTTTTCTCTCCCTTCAATGCACTTGATTTCTCTCCAGTGAATCAGCTTTCTTCCATATCTTAGACTGCAAAAACAGCAGAGCATCCAGAAAGACAAGAGACATCTTACCTGATGTCATCTGCTCCATTGCAGTCTTTTGCTCACTTTGTCATTTTGGGGTGTTGCTTTCTCGTTTTGGGAGCCTTATTTCTGTTTGCAGTAAGTATTTAACCTTCTATCTCAAAATGTTCAGAGTTTCAATTTAAACAAATTCTTACCCACTTGATTTTATTTTTCTACAAATGTTTTGCTCCTTCCTTTGCAAAGGCTGGTCTCCTGCTTGACTCATTTACCTGGGAATGGGTGGCTTCTCTCTCTTTAGAGACCTCTGTTCTTTGCAGAAGGTCAACATTCTGCAACCCTGTGTAGATGGGGAGGGATAAATTTGTTTGGCCAGGAAAAGTCACTTTTGACAGGGGACTAATGGGGGGACCAGAATCCCCCCTACCATAGTGCAGCATGGGACACAATAAACCACCCCATCCAGCTAGCACTCAGGGCCTCTCTGTAGCTATTTCCTGGGGCCATGCTGGGGCCATATGGCCCCTTGAGGGCAGGGCAATAATCTGTTGTGGTAGCTGCAGCTCCCTCTGCCCCCCTCTGGCCCCCCATGCCCCCTCTATACCCCCTCTATTCCCCCTCTATCCCCCTCTGCCCCCTCTCTGCCCCCCTCTGCCTGGCTTTTTCCTTGCCCTAGTGGCCAAAGCTCTTCACTAGATTCACCGAAGATGGTGACACTGCCACGGGCCGCCTTCCAAACTACAATAGTTCGTGGCAGCAGTGAAAGCTTAATTTTTTAAAACCTTCCATCAGAGGAGGAAGTGCTTTGTAGTAAATGACTACATTGCTGGAAATCACTTACTGGCGTCGTCTTGATTATATTCCTTAGTCATTACGGTTTGCATCACATGATCTTTTCTCAAACATCAGCATGGGGAACCAACGATGAAATTGCATTTCTTTGAATTAGAGTATAGATTATTATGGGAGAAGAAAGACATTAAAGGAGCAGCGTTCATGTTTATGTTTGAAGAAATACGACAGGCTTCACAGCCTCCACGGCAGTTAAAGCGGGGGTTGTAAGAGAACATGGAGCCATCAGACCTCATTGCCTTAGATAGGTCCCAGTGAGTGTAGGGAAAATGCTTTGGCTTTTACAACCCTGGGTATATAGATCCTGGATATAGAATCAGTTTGGTTTGTATTTCTTTTTCTTTTTTCTTTTGTGAGGTGAGACAGGGTCTCACTCTGTTGCCCATGCTGGAGTGCATTGATGCAATCACAGCTCACTGCAGCCTCAACCTCCTGGGCTCAAGTGATCTTCCTACCTCAGCCTCCTGAGTAGCTGGGACTACAGGCATGCATCACTATGCCTGGCTAATATTTTTAAATTTTTAGTAGGGATGGGGTCTTGCCATATTGCCCAGACTTGTCTTGAACTCCTGGGGTCAAGCAACCCTCCCACCTTACCCTCCCAAAGTGCTGAGATTACAGGCGTGAGCCACTGCATCCAGCCTGGCTTGTATTTCTTGTGGGGCTGGGAGAATATAGCATCACTGCAGGTCTTCTCACACATAATTGGGCAATCAATAAATGATTGTTGGAATAAACCAGAGTCTTACTCAGAGAGTACGCCTTTCTTCCCTGACAGCCTTTTTTTTTTTTTTTCCCCCCACACACCTCTGGGTTTCTGTACAGTTTTTGTATGGTAAAAGCCAAGGATTTGGAAATTTTTGGTGCCGCAGATAAAAATAAATAATTCAAACATAAGTCTGGGAAAGGGAATGAATTATTGTTTGCTTGGACTTCTTTACTGGCTCTGACTCCAGGCCTTGCCTAACCCTGAACACCCAGCATATCTTCACTTGTTCCAGATGGCGGATCCTGTTTTGTTGGCGGCCCCCAGAACTTGCTGCGGTGTGACCTTCCATCCTTGTCATCTCACAGTCCTCATGATCCGTATATCAGACTGACAGAAGTTAGTCCATAGACAAACAAAGTGATCGAATTAAGGGACTTCATTGGGGCTAGTTGTGAATTCAGATTGTGACTTTTAGGGGGTGTCAGAGTTGACATGTTGCAGAGTGTTCAAAGCAATGCCAGTTGGATTTTTAATGTAATATGCAGATTGGATAGTATTATTGCTGTGTGCATTATTGGAATTTCTATTCTTCCTGGCCATCTGCTTGGTTATATATGTCTTAATTCTGATGTTAAGTATGAGATGTAGACGTAGCATTTTTATGGTTCTACCATTTCCCCTGCCTTCTTTTATCTGCACATTTCTTGAAGCAGCCAGGAGCCATGGTTTCTAAATGCCTATTGTTGAGAGCCCTGGCAAGAGTGGAGACCTTATCTTTGGATTCCCCATAGATTCTAGATGAATGAATGAGTTATTGGAAACAATAACAGACATTATTTACTGGGAGTTAACGATGAGCCAGTTGTTTGCTAAGGCTTTTTGTAGAGTATCTCATTTAATCTTCCCCATACCTTTCTTAGGTTAGCATGATTGTTCTCATTTTGTAGATGAGGGAGCTGTGGCTCAGAGAAGTCATGTAAACTGCCTGAGGCCACACGGCTACTCAGGGTCCTTGCTAATATTTGGCCTCAGGACTTTCCGACTCCAAAGCCTGAGATGTTTCTTATTAGCTATCTCAGCATTGTCATTATTATGACATTTCTGTGATTTCCATACCGTATCGTATCAGTGATATGACATTTTAGGTTTAAAATTCTCCAGGATCTCTTCATTAGGTGAAATTTTTATATTTGGACTTTTAAAAATTGTGATTTCTGATAAATAGCCTTTTATTGTATTTAATTTATTTTTTGGCTCCATTTGATTTTCATCATTCCTGAATGTTTTTAATACTTTTAATTAAGTTATGTAGTAAACTTTTCATTTGGAGGTCAATGATTTTAGCCAGTTTATTATTTTAGCAGCACTCTGTTTTGTTGGCTGTACCCATCTTAACTGGTATTGAATAAATGTCCTCATGTTTTCTGAGCTTACTGATTTTTAAATTCAAATTCTGTATAGGATCCTATCTCAAGCATCTAATGTTTTCAGTTATTGCTATACTACTGATCAGAACATTACCACTGAAGCTATTATAAAACCAATGAAATAATATATTATTCACATTTCAAAAACATTTTAAAAAGTAGATCTGATCATAGAAAGTACCCAATTATATTAGAAATTTGCTTTTCTGTGTAATGATACTTTGTTAGGAACTGGTTGAACACTTTAATCCATAGTGCATTGCAGGGTTGGCTACTAATCCGAATCCTAAATTCTTCAGGAGTTCTGTTTTTTTTTTTTTTTTTTTTTTTTTTTTTTTTTTTTTTTTTTTACTGAGACTGTGCGTTTATTTGGTGTGGTTTGCGGCTGTAGGGATGGGGGTACCTAATGGTGACTGTGGCCACTTCCTTCCCCACCTTGCCCCCCTTGGCAGTGCCATGGGGAGAGATGGAAGTCTAATGCCACTGATGCCTTTTGAGATTCCAGACCTGAGTAACAGGGACTGTTACTGGCTGTGGTCAGAGATTGAGAGGGCAGGGAGCCTGCTGATCCCATTATCTCTGCAACCCCACCATTGTAAATGTTTAAATGAACAAAGGATTGAGTGAGTGAGTGAGTGAGTTCAGGATTAGGATTAAAGAGTTTGGCTATTATTTAAGGGGAAATGACTTTCATACTGATGGACAAACAGTGATAGTAAAGTAAAAACCAAGTAGTGACCAAAGCTTTCTAAAATTATGTTCAGTTACAGTGTAGAAAGATGGATTTTTGAAACTAAATGTTTATGATTATGGATAAATAACCCACATTTTATAGATTATGTATGATGAACTGTTATCCAGTTTGAACATTTATTTTTCAAAATGGCCGAGGCATTGATCAATTGCACACACGTTTCCAAATGTATTCTGGGGTTTAGAGAGAGAAAAAGACCAGAGAAAAAATATTTGCACAAAAACAGTTAGTATTGAGAGTTGGAACTGCTTTTTAGATTTTTAGATTTACCATTAGTCTTGATATTGAGGGATATCAAAAATATCCCTGTAAAACTTTCTGGCTGTTTTTAGGCAGTCCATATGATACTTTTAAGAAGGTAACTTTTGCAGTTTAATAGCTTCACATTACAGTCTAGCCCCCTGAGAACTAGTGGAATGTGAAGGAAAGAGTGAGGGTTTTGGAACAAGTTAAACTTGGGTTTCAATTTGTCTCCGCCACTTAATACTATGTGTCCTCGGACAAGTTACTTAAACTCTCATTTTCTTTATTTTAGAATGGTGATGTTTATCTCTCCCAAAAGGTTATTGTGAGGTTGGTGATAAGGCATCGATCCAGTAGACCTAGGACAATCCTTGGCACTTCCAGGCACCCAGGAAATAACCACAATCACTGTCTTCAGGATACTCTGCATTTTCACTTCGCTGTCTATAAAGTGACATTGATCAGTGTTGAAAATGACAGCTGTTATTCTTACATTTGGGAGTGGGATGGCAATTGCAAGTAAAAAAGCATTCTGGAAATCATATCCCCAAAATTTGTTAGTTTGCCCTACCCCCTGGGGAAAAGGCCTCTCCTAAAACTTCACATGGGAGAACCTTGAAAGCGTATCACATCGTAGTGGCACATTAACCGATTTTGTTTCACTTGCTGTAAGAAGCATCTAGAAGTCTCCAGCCTTCTTTGGTTTATGCTGTGTCTGACCTGAGAACCCCCATTAGTATTGCCTGAGTTAGGAGCCAGAACGCGCTGTTCTCTAAACCTTGCTGGCGAAGATAAGTTGTGTGAAGGAATCTGGCCACAGAAGGAATCTTATAAAAGGTACTCTTCCTTTATAAGATTAAAATTGGAAGTATGGAGGTGCAGATTTTTTTTTTCATAATAAACTGTAAAGGAAAAAGAATTAGTCCCACAAAGGGTAAGTTGGTGGGTACAGCAGTAAGAATTGCTGCTCACAACATCTAGCTCAGAGCGGGCCTTCCCCACTCAGAAATAATTATTTTCAAGCCGAGCAGCATCTGCAGAGGTGGCTCGGCAACAGCTGCGTCAGCTTCAGCATGTGTGAAAACTGCTCAAGAATAAACCCTGAAAGTAGGTTTTGGAAATTTAAAAAGGAATTCAAGGATGTTTTGATGTGGAGGGTTTATTAGCAACAGTTTACAAAAATATAGAGCAGTGAAGTTGGGAGTTCATTTCGTTTCTCCAGCGTCCTCCTATTTATCTTGCTGATAGATTTGTCTGCTCGGTTACCATAGAGCTTCTCATTGGTATTCCTCAGCGTGCGGTGCTGCTGCAAATCCCCTCATAATTACACTGAACTGGAGGATCTTTACTTTTTAGGCCTTCCTCATGCTCAGGGACCCTTTTTCCTTGTATGTGGCAGCTCTCATTTTGTACAAAAATGACAGTGATTGTCCTGCACCGAAAAGGTGACCAAGCAGCCGCCTTCACACGGCTGCAATTGCTAATCTGTTGCCTTCCCAAGAAAACAGCACTAGCTGCTGTCCCCACCCCCAGGGACTGGAAACATCATTTTTTTATGATGTCTGCCCTGCATGCCGGCTCTGTCAGCTCTGGGCTCCTGTTCTCAGAGACTGGGGGGTGCTGTACATTTCTCAGAGGGGAATAACCATTTCTTTTCAAGATCATTTTCCCTTGGCATTTTTCCCTGTCCTGACGTTCAGACTTTGCTTCAAAGGTGAGGGGGGTCCCCATGCCCTCCGTGTTTTCTCCAACCCAATGTGGATGTCTGTGGTTGGCTTTTGGGAGAGGTGTTTGTAAGCATTTTTAGTTACTTTTGTAAGTTAATTTGGTATAACTACAGTTGACCCTTGAGCAACAAGGGTTTGAACTGCATGGGTTCACTTACAAGTGGATTTTCTTCCCTCTCTGCCACTCCTGAGACAGCAAGACCAACCCCCCCCTCTACCTCCTCCTCCTCAGCCCACTCAACATGAAGACAATGAGGATGAAGACCTTTGTGATGGTCCATTTCCACTTAATGAATAGTAAATGTATTTTCTCTTCCTTATGATTTCCTTAATAACATTTTTTCTCTAGCTTACTTTATTGTAAGAACACAGTATATAATATAGAGCATACTAACTATGTGTTAATCGACTGTTTATGTTATCAGTAAAGCTTCCAGTGAATAGCAGGCTATATGTGGTTAAGTTTTTTGGGGGACCAAATGTTATATGCAGATTTTTGAGTGTACGGGGGGGTCAATGCCCTTAATGCCTGCATTCTTCAAGGGTCAACTGTTGGCTTTTTATATTACGGCCAATGGAAGTAATTATCTTTGAGTCTGGATTTTGAATGCAAAAAGACGTTGAATTAGTTACATTTGAATCTTATTCATTAATTAATGCAGTGATTTTTGAGGCTTGAATTAATGTATATTATAGACGCAATTACTCTTTTTGGATCTCATAGATGAAATTCATTGAAAGATCCCCCTGGAGTTGGCTTCCCTGTACTTTGCCTCTAGCTTCTCTTATATGGAATCAGCTTCAAGTTCAAATACATTTTGTCTGATAAATTGACTACACATGGAGAGACTAAAGAGAGCAATTAAGTATGACATAAAATAAATGACTCAGTGAAAAGGTATATTCCTTTCAGGTCAGCGTAATTCAAAGTGTGAGAAAACATGATTTAGCTGGCTGAACTGAAAGACAGTTTAAATTACGGGATGGGAAGAATCGCTTTGCATTCTGAGGTTCAGTAATTGGAGTTATGTAACATTTTATTTTGTCTGCTGTGAGATGATTCTGTTGTGAGATGGCTGCAGTTGTTTATGTGGCTGTGGTTTAATTTGACATTGTGAGGGGCTGGTCTGACCTTTATGAGTAATGTGCGGTGCCCTTGGGTGAGATGACGATGGGTGGCTAAAGCCTGTTAAGCTGTGATAAACCAATGTATTATATTCTTTAGAGAGTTAGTTAGGGTGGCAGTGCCCCAGATCAGGGAGTAGGTGCCTCTGTAATTGTCGAAGTGTTTTCCTTCCCTTCGTCACCTCCCCCTTTTTGAATCGTATGCCCACATCTTTGCCATGTGACTCTGTAGATCTTCTATTAGAGAAGGTACTGTTGCCCCATTGGTGTTGGTCATGGTCATGTGACTCTTGCCAGCCAATGGGCTTTGAACAAACATGATACTAGCAGAGGTCTTAGATGGGCTTCCATGGCATCCCTGCAACCCATTGTGAGAACATGTTCTGTATAGCTGCCGTCTAGCAGGGTGTGGAGACATGTGGAGCAGAAATAAAGCCACCCTGAAACCTAAAACTAAGTAGACTGTGACTCATGAGCAAGACGCGTGAATGCCTATTATTGTAAGCCACTGACTTTTGGGCTAGTTTGCTATGCAGTATAATTGTGGAAATAGCTAATATGTGTACATATGTTAAAAATTCCCTGCCCTTGTAAGATTTTCATTTGGATTAATAAGCTCCTTTTACATTTAGATCCTTGTTCTCACCTTACCAGTAAATCAACGTCATTCATAACTTAGTGGTATCTTTTGCCTGCAATGTGGTAATGTCCTTTGCTAGCAAAACTTTCATGACCAGAGGTTGCATGAATATATCCTCTTAAATATTAATAGAATTAGACACCCCTATTTAATCTTTTTTCTTTGGGATTTTACATGTTTTAAAACGTCACGTAGACACGATTGTTTTAAAAAGACTTTGAAAAACTCCCTAAAAGACTTTGTAGTTGCAGGCCAGGCGCGGTGGCTCACGACTGTAATCCCAGCACTTTGGGAGGCCGAGGCGGGCAGATCATGAGGTCAGGAGATCAAGACCATCCTGGCTAACACAGTGAAACCCCGTCTCTACTAAAAAAATACAAAAACAAAATTAGCCGGGTGTGGTGGCGGGCGCCTGTAGTCCCAGCTACTGGGGAGGCTGAGGTGGGAGAATGGTATGAACCTGGGAGGCGGAGCTTGCAGTGAGCAGAGATCACACCACTGCACTCCAGCCTGGGTGACAGAGCGAGACTCCGCCTCAAAAAAAAAAAAAAAAAAAAAAAAAAAAAAGACTTTGTAGTTGCAAATGACTGATTTCATTGTAGTTGGCCTACGGAGAAAGTAAATTTTAGTAGAGGATAGTAAGTAGCTCAGGGAAGGAAGGCAGCTCAAGGCGAGGGTAGGAGAGCTAGGTCTGGAGGCTGAGCAGTCAGGGATAGGGCTCTCAAAGTGCATAGTGACCGTCAGCAAGGACCCTATTAAATCTGCTGATAAGAGGTCACAGCTCCTGTTGCTCTCATGGGTTTCTGGGTCCTAGAACCTCTGCCACTGGGGCCTGTGCCACCCTTGAGCCCAGGAGCCTCTGTCGTCACTCAAAAGAGGAATTCTGCATGGTGCCTGCTTCCCCATGTTCTCTTTGGAATTAAAGACTCTTATGGGTCCATCTAATTCATGCTGCCTAGGTCACATGCCTGTGTCTGAACTGCAAGGGCGGTTGAGAAAGTATCTATAACTTCAACCTGGTGAGAGGCAAGACTTAAAATGTGGAAAATTGATGAAACTTAGGAATGGCATTCAAAAGATGCTAGATAGTCATAAAACATAAAAAATGTTCATATACATCTGTAATATCTATTTTTAAACCAACGTTTAATTACTACTAATTAGCAAAGTAATTTTTAAAAAGTGAAAATGTAATTTATTTCATTACTTTTAAAAACATAAGGATTAGCATTCCTACCAAAAAGATACCTGCATTCATGTTTATCACAGCACCATTCCCAATGGCAAAGACATGGAATCAGCCTAGGTTCGTTTCAGTGGTGGATTGTGTAAAGAAATGTGGTACACATACACCGTGGAATGGTACACAGCCATAAAAAAGAATACAGTCTTGTCCTTTGTAGCAACATGGATGCAGCTGGAGGTCATTATCCTAAGCAAATTAATGTGGGAACAGAAAACCAAACACTGCATGTTCTCATCTGTAAGTGGGAGCTAAATGCTGAGTACATATGGACACAAAGATGGGAATAATAAACACTGGGGATTCCAAAAAGGGGAGGGGGGGAGGGAGGGAGGGAGCAAAGGTTGACAAAGTATTGGGTACTATGTTCACTACCTGGGCAATGAGGTCATTAAAAGCCCAAACCTCTGCATCATGAAACATACCCATGTAACAAACTGCACCGGTACCCCTGAATATAAAAATAGAAAAAAATTAAAAAAATTAAAAACAAAACAAAAAAAGGAAAAATGAGCATTTATATAAACAAATTAAAAATCTCAGTAGAACCTCTGGTTTTATAGGCATACATTTGTCAGCTGGGCACTTTCTTTAAAACAGTCCCAAAAAGCAAATATCAGGGAAAATTTTATCTTTTCCATGAAAATCTAATTGATTTAAATTTTGTTCAAAATTTATGATAATAAATGTGACTAAATTGATTGTCAATTTCACAATATGACAGTGTTTATAACACTGTCATAAAAATTTTCAAACTTTAGAACCACCTATTTATAGATAATTTTTCAACATTTTTTGTCATCAAGCTAATAGCATTTTTTTTTTGAGGGCTTGACAGTTATAAATGTACTGTAAAAAATCTCCTATATACATTCTTCATTAAGTCAGAGAGCCAATTCCCCATTTAGGAAATAGGAATGAAGTCTAGAACATTTCATTTGCTGCAGAGAAAATTGTTAAATGAACCAATGTGGAAATATCTCATACTTCTCTATAGGTTTTGTTTATTAAATTATAGCCCCTGTGTCCCTGTAGAGAAAAGCTGTCAAATGTCAGAGTATGTGTTAGGGATGCTAATTTGTTGTATAGGGCAGAGCTTGATTGATGGACAGCGTGCAAAATAGAGTGCCCAGGTTTGTGGACTGAGTAGTGGGGCAGGAAGAAAGGGAAGGAGAAAAGCAGGATGTGGAGAGGATTTTGCAGTCAGATTGGTAATGAGAAAATCAGAGCAGGGATGAATGATCTGAAACCAAGGGATTATCTGCTGGATGTAGTAAATAGTGGCAAGCATTCTTTCTGGCTGAAGATTAGTGACTGAGTCACACTGGGTGAGACAGAAAGAAAAATGTCATTTTGCTAGGCTGGCTAAGCTGCATTTAGTGAGTAATTTTAACTTGCATAAATTCTCTGCACAGTGTTGGTTCTCTGAGATATCTTTGGCCTGGAGGTAAGTGTCTTAGTTTGGGTTGTTACAACAAGATACCATAGACTGGGTGGCTTAAACAACAGACCTTTATTTCTCAGTGATTTGGAGGCTGAGAAGTCCAAGATCAAGGGGCCAGCAGATCTGGTGTCTGGTGAGGGCCCTCTTGCTGGTTTGCAGATGGCTGTCTTCTCTCTGTATCCTTGCATGGTAGAGAGAGAGAGAGCTAGTGCTGTGGTTTTATAAGGACACTAATCCCAATCACGAGGTCCCTGTCCTCATGATCTAATTACCTCCCGAAGGCCATCACCTTCAAATATCATCACACTGGAGATTAGGCTTCAACATATGAATTTGGGGAGGACACAAACATAGCTGTAAGTGTTGTTAACATTTCAAAGCAGGGGTTTTAAGCTTTTTGTATGCCATGGACCCTTTTGGCAGTTGTATAAAGTTTATTGGCTGCTATTTAGAAAAAATGTTTTTAATTCCATTAAATACAATTAATCACATGGAAATGAAGTATATTAAAATATAGTTATCAAAATATTAAAAAATAATTCATAATAGAATAATATGGCTTCATTATTAAGATGCCAAATAACATAACTTCAATTTAATGACAAGTATAAATAATACTTCAAGATATCTGTAACAACTCTAATGTGACAGGAAAATATTTCCGATTTTTATCAATGTTAACATCACAGGTTCTGCTCATATTTCAGCAGTAATTGGTATGCTAAATTTCAGTTAGAGGTGAGTAAAAATAAAGATGTTCTTTTTCCCCATTTGAATTTACTGACTCTTTGAATTTTATCCACAGCCCACCCCCCAACCTCTGCAGACGTCAGGGTAAGGACCCCTGCTCCAAAAGATTTACTCCTGTAAATGTTCATTGAGCATGTGATCCTCCAAGGAACAAGAATCCCTCAGATATAATGGTCATAAATCAAATGTCAATATAAGTGGGGTTCTATTGCTGGGCCTTCTGCTTTGTTCTGTTGATCAATTTATCTAGTCCCATGCTAGTACTTCATGAAGTTTTTGTAATATTTTTCTTCTCCAGAAAGGCCAGCACTCCCCTCCTCCCTCCCTGTCTTCTCACACTTCATAAATTTATGGTTTCTTTTGGTTGTTTATTCATCCATATAAATTACTGCATTCTAAAAAAACATTTTTTGGAATTTTGGTTGGAGTTACGTTGAAGCTATATATCGATTTGAAGACTATGACATATTTATTGAGGTTTCCAGTCCACAAGAATGGTATATCATCTTTTATTTTGGTTTTCACAAATTGCTAATGAAGGCTAAGACATGTTTTGAATGATCACCTTTGGAAATCATTTCCTCCAAAAACAAAAACAAAAAACCTCCCCAAAGTAAAGTTGGATTAAATATGTTTTTAAACTAGGTAAGTTGGGGGGAAATGGTGATTTTAAGATTTTGGCTGCCTCGAGAGACAAGTACTTAATATGTACCCATCTCCCAAGATTACAAATCTTCTATTCATTTGTACTAAAAGCATCACTTTAGAAAATTGACCACTTATTTAAATAAGTGACAAATCAGATTCTGGCAGCAAAAATTCTTAAAGTAATCATGGTTTTGACATTTACTGTAAATTCATACTGATAATATTTAGTTATGAAAATAAGAACTGTGTAAATTTCAATGGACCAATTATTCATTCAGCAAATATGTATTGAGTACCTAATGTGTGCCATGCACTTCTCTATGGACTGGGATGCAGTCAAGTGAAGGAAATCATTCAAGAAGGGTCGGTTCAACTCTGCTCAAATGCTCCCAAGAAGTTGATGGCAGAATTGCCCAATGGATTTAGCAATGTGGAGTTCACTGGTGGCTTTGCCAAGTGTGGTTTCCATGGTGTGGTGGGACAAACATCTGCTTGCAGTGTGCTCATGCCCAAGTAAGAGAAGAGAAGTCAAAGCTGTGAATCTGGATAACTATTTGAGGAGTTTTTGCTATAGAGTAGCAGAAAAACAGGGATCTAGGTGACACAGTATGTGTGTATGCTAATGGCAGTGACCCAATAGAGAGAGACAATTTGATGATGGAGGAGAGAGAGGTTAATTCTGGGGGCAAAGTCCTTGGCTAGGCAAGGGGGGATAGGACTTATTGCACAATGGAGGGAGGAGTTGGCTTTAGCTAGGAGCCAGGACAGTTCATCTGTTGAAACAGAGACAAGGCAGAGGGTTGGTCAATTTTTTTTTGGTGGGAAAATGCTAAAGCTTTCTTCTAAGTAGTCCCATTTTTCCAGTAAAATAAAAATTATTATCAATTGAAAATGAGTGAAGGCACAGATATGGAATGTTGAGGAGGCAGAGTAATGTGGAAAGGGTTTTTCTGAGGAATGGGAAAGTCATGGACTCAGGACAAGTCATGGGGTTGCCAGACATGGCTAAGGGCTTAGTTGAAATGATCATAAGCTGGAGCCAGAGAGCATGGTTATGTGTTTTTCTGTACCACACTGGGCCTTTTGGATACAACGCAGAGTAGGAAGAGATTGGATTTTACCAGAATTGGGGTTTTGCTAGGAGAGTCCCACAGACAGCAGAAGGGGAGAGTATTTGAGGATAATTGATTTTGATTGGTGTTACATTGAACCATATATCAATTTGAGGAAGACTTGACATATTTATCCAGTTTTCCAGTCCATGAAGATGGTATATCATCTCATAAGGAAGTAACCATAATGCTGTACCATGGAATATAAGTTTCATGTGAAAGAAATGAAGCTGTGGAGACTGGTGGGCAATTCCAGTAGGTGGAGTCAGTGGAAGTCCTAGTGATGTCAGAGGATTGTTGAAGTATTAAAAGGAGTGAGTGGAAAAATAAGGGGTGCTGGTACAGAAGGAGCCCTGGAAAATCTCCTTCCATTTATTCCTGAGTACTTGTTCATTGCAGTTCTTCCTCACCATGCAGAAGTTAGCCTTGGTCTTATGCTCTAAAGAAAATGCCCCGCATTGCTATAATCCCTTCAGTCTCAGATGGATCCTAGTATAGACTGAGATGCTTGAAATAGATTTGGGAGGCAGCACAGCTATTGGCACCATGCTCCAGTCTGTGGCTCTGGTGGTGGGAGGCAGAGCTGAGTGGAGGATATAGTGTTTGGGAGAGGGGGTTAAGGATTGAGGAGTGAGGATGTGGAGTGCATTGCATAAGTGACATTGAGGTCACTGAGAAAGCACAAAGAAAGGTGAAGAAATGAGAAAGATTAGATGAAGAGATGTGGCTGGAGTAATGGGTGTGTCATCCAGCAACATGTATATCAAAAGAGCAGGGAGGAGAGATGAACAAAGGCCTGGAAGCAGCAATGGGCAGGAATGGGGTCATCCAACTCAACTTGTTATCATTTGAGGGGCTTCAAGGGAAACATTGTCCTTAGGAAATACCCACTCAGGGTTTGGTTAGAATGAATGCTATATGTGAATGTCTTAGGAAAAAAAAAAAAGAAGCAATGATCTTGTTTGTAGGTTTACCCATAACGGTCGGTACAGATAGTACATATGCAATTATAGCAACATGGTATAATAGCTTAGAAAAATACATTAATATTTTTACCCATTTAATCCACATTTCATCTAGCAAATACCTGAGAAATGTAATATCAGAAATGAATTTCTAAATTCAAATAACGATGCTTTACAATTGCTAAAATAGGACTCCAAAGATAGTAAGTCGATAACATTTTTTTGGTGGGTGTTGGGGGTTCTGTGCTAACAATTCCCCATAGCTGAATGAAATAAAAAGAAGAAAAGAAGTTCCTGTGAATATAAAGCAGATGCTTGGATTTATTATTCTGATGCTATTTGGAGAGAGTATGTTTTTCTATTGTCAGTCTCATTTCATTTTACATTTTCAAGTTTTATTTAGGATCTATCATAGAAATTCATACTCAAGAGAAAACAAGTTTCTCTGTCATTTATTTAAACATGAAATGAGAATGACTTGTTCATTATAATTTAATTGATGCTAGTTTATTTCAAGAACCTATAAATTGTACATGTGTGCATCAATGTTTTGATATATTAAGATACTAGGGAAACACAGAACTTATTTTTGAAAGGGATTTTAGGTATCATTTGTTGAAATCTTCTTTAGCCATTATTTAGGAACATTTAAGGCATTGGAAGGCTGGCAAACCTTGAGCAATAATTAGCTGGGTTGATTGTAACACTAATAGGCATTAAGTTGCTCAGTTAGGATCTAATTGAAAAGTACTTTGGGAATTTTGAAGGGAAGCGAAGAGTTGCTGAATTATTTTTGGCTTAATTATTTTGCTTAGGTCAATGAGATATGTGACATTTCCATTACTGTTAGCCCTATTTTAAAATCTGTGTTTGTTTTGGAGTAGGCTAATCTAGTTATTGCAACAGCGGAACCAACCTTTGAACTGTTGGGTTGCTTTGCATGAATTATATATATGGTATGATATTTCCTGGTTATATTGTACTAATTTGGAAAAAGCACCTATACACAACTGCATATGTATTAGAACTTGGCAGGAGGACAATGAATTATGATGTATCACTGCCTCTGATGTATTTTCCATTTAGCACTTGACCTGCTTTTATGTAGTTGCAGTTCATTTCTGCCTTGTAGAGCAGCGTCCATTCTCCATGCTTGTAATGCCACCAGGTCCAGAGTAGATCAAATCCCCTTAACCTAAAGGGATATGTTTTTAAACTTTTTAATTCTTGCACAAATAATTTTATAACAACAATAATGAAAATAAAAATCTGAACTCACCTGTAGGCCCATTCTCTAAGAATCTAATGCATCAACATTTTTATTTTCCTGCTGGTCCTTTTATATAGAGATGCACACTGGTTTTTTTTAAAAACATAATTTTCGTTATAGCTTTCACTTACCTTTTTAGACAGAGCTACTCTCCATCCTGAATATTGTATGTTCAGTATAGCTGCATACTAGTAGATTGTGGGAAATAAATAAATAGTATTTATTTATTTATTTCAACTAAAACAGTAGAGTGTTTTCACTACTAATAGATGTTTCTGACTGCCTGAAATGAGTAGCAGGATTCAAGGAGCAATGTGACTGGTTTGTCGGATATTTAATTAGCAGCTTAGATTGAGATTTCATGGTAATGAGTTTTTTTGATCCATGTTCTGGTATTTTATATGAAGATAATCTTATTAGAATGTTAGAGACTCTGAATAATATGAAGATAATCTTATTAGAATGTTAGAGACTCTGACTAAAAAATATTTTTTGAACAAAATTTTTTGTGAGTGGGTAAAGGAGGTTTCCTTGACCACCTAGCCTATGAGGTTAGAGTTGCTGTGATCCATTTGAGGTTGAAGGGCATGGGGATAGAGTTGCTGTGATCTGTTTGAGATTGAAGGGCATTACAGATGTGGGGCATTTTCTTCACCATAGCGGTCACCAACCTTTTTGGCACCAGGGACCAATTTTGTGGAAGACAGTTTTTCCATGGATGGGGCACAGGATGGTTTCAGGATAATTCAAGTACATTACATTTATTGTACACTTTATGTCTATTATTACATTGTAATACATAATTAAATAATTATACAACTCAGCATCATGTAGAATCAGTGAGTGCCCCGAGCTTATTTTCCTGCAACTAGGCAGCCCCATCTGGGGATGATAGGAGACAGTGACAAATCATCATGAGAGCATCAGACTCTCATAAGAGGCAAGCAACCTAGATTCTTCACACGTGCAGTTCACAATAGGGTTCGTGCTCCTATGAGAATCTAATGCCACCGCTGATCTGAAGGGAGGTGGAGCTCAGGCGATAATGGGAGCTGTGGGGAGTGGCTGTAAATACAGATGAAGCTTTGCCAGCTCACTTGTGGCTCACCTCCTTCTGTGCAGCCCGGCTCCTAGCAGGCCATGGACCGGTACCAGTCCGTGGCCTGGGGGTTGGGGACCTCTGCTTTACAGCATAAGACCAAGGCTGACTTCTGCTTGGTGAGGAAGAACTGCAGGGCCCAAGTGCACAGAGAATGAATGGGGGAAGACTTTTCAGGGCTCCTTCTGTATCTCACAATAAAAAGAATGACTCTGCCTTGTAGAATGCTCCAATTCTTCGATGTTCTGGCTTAAAACAAGTCGAATTTCAACTAGGGGAGAGACATCTCATTGTCAAAACCTGATGAGACAAAGGTCCTCTCATGTGTCAGACTGAAAATTTTCACCAATTTGCCTTCTCTCTAGAAATAATAGTTTTCGTTCAATATTTTATTTTGTCCTACATGAAAAACATAAACAACATTCCATTCCTCTAGATTATTTAGTTTTGTCCCTTGGACCCTGTCAAACAAACTGACAACTACATTATTCCTATAGCTTGGAAACAAATAATTTTGTTATTAAGTTGAGATAACATCACGATAGTTTGTTTTACAATGATGGTGGAAATCAATGTAGCATACACAAGTTTGATATTAGATTTTTACTATGTGTTTTTGGTGTACCTGTTTTTAATATAATCTTTACTTTTTAGAAGTTTGGAGCTTTTTTTTTTTCAGGTACATTTTCTGTTGGATTTTTGGATGTTTGCCTGCAAAACTTCATTATTAAAAAGTACCTTTCCCTCCCTTGTAGGTTTTGATTAAAAAACTAATTATTGGGTGAGCTGTTTAATGTTTTTACCTTTTGAAAAACTACATAGATTTGCAAAATAGATATATTAGGGTCATTACTTTCTCTTTAAAAAAGTAATTGCTATAAAAGAATTTTAAATACCAGTTCCCTGAGGCATTTTAAATAGGACTTGATTAACTAAAGTGTAAATTATAGTCATCCAGGATTTCTTAGTGTCTGATGATTTTAGCCATTTTTCCTTATTGTACATGTCATGTGTAGCATTTTCCTGGAGACTCTCATACCAGGGGTAAGTGTATATGTCTCATTAGTTTGTGCCTAATGGGCTGCTCAGTTGGCCTAGCCAATATTAATGAGGCCAAGTTTTGGGTTCTGTCCCTGGACACACCAATTACTTTAATTTCTCTTTGCCTTGTACACAATTAGACTGCGCTAGTTATCACTGGATGCTTGTGAATACCTATGGACAGATATTTTGGGTACAACGATTTGCAATTTGATAACAACTAGTAAGTTTATTGCCAAATAAAATTGGAATACTTACGGAAAGAGAGGTTTTTCCAGATTCACTGTTTTGGCTAGCCAAAGATTAATCAGAAAACTCCCTTTATTTCACTGATGATTTTTGAAAATGATTCTACCATAAATCAAAATTAAGCTATCATTGGAGTTTAGTGCATACTTTTGCGTTGAAGTTTAGCACATACTTTTGCAGTACACTGATTTTATGTGTATTTGGTGATTATTATAAATGGTCTCAAGATAATTGTTCTATCTTTCATGGTTAATTTTCCAGGCAATTCTCTGGAATGAATCGTAAAGTCTCAGCATTCTACAAGACTTATGGAGATTATCTAATTTGATTTTCTCACTTCCTAAGTGAAGAGACATGCTTCTCCAGATAGCTGCTAAGGTCTCACCATGGGATAGGCCCAGCTCCAAGTTGGAAATTCAGGATTTTTCACCAGGTTGCCATACTCCCCTCTTCGGTTCCCAAGGGTTAGGGTACCTACCTTACCCTACCCATCCTATAAGATCAGCTTCCAGCCTTCACATTTTCTTTATTTTTTTTGAAATTAGATTGTAGATAAAACATTCTAGTGAATGTTCTGAGGTCTTACTGTGATCAATTTAAATACTAAGTTTATTGTCAAGCTTCTCAAACCCATGTAAAACTTGGCATTCTTAAGATATGATTGCCCTGATATCAGAAATTATCTTTTATCCCTTTTAATAGACATTACTAAACAACACTATGGTTGAAAAATAAAATATTAAAATGACTGGAAAAAAACAAAAGATAGTGAGAAATTTTTTGGGGGGGAAGGCCATACTAAGAACTTTTGAATACCTATGGTATGCTAAGTGATTAAAAGATATCCCAAAAGGTATAAGTAAGATGCTTGTCAGTTCTTGCTTTTAGGGTTTTTAGGAATTTTGCATAATCCAGAAAACATCTTTTCAACAGAAATATAGAATCAGTGAATATACACAGCTAAATCACAGTTATCTTGTTTTCAGTCATTTTGTGGAATTATTCTCTCCTCTGAAAATTGTTTTAAATACCATTTTAGTGATATTATAGTGTACTTTTAAATATGATTATCACCAGAAGCTCAAATAGTAACACCCCAGCAAATTCTAGAAAAAGAATTCTTGCTCAAGTTCAACAAATAAAAAAATAGGATACCCTTGCTGAAATTGAGACTTTTTAAAATTTGTGTGAGCACTGATGCCTGAAGTTAGACTTACATGCAGTAGTTTGGAGAGGGGGAGTCCCATCTGAGGATCTGTCAAAAAATATTTAAACAACATTTGACGATGTTTCCGAATTTTCTGTAACTACACGATGCATTCCTAAACCATATGCAAATGATTTTTGAGTACCCGCTGTTTAGGATTTTCTGAACCACTTTTCTGTTAGGGTGGGTAATTGAACGTTGATCACAAACAGCTGTGTTAAGTCTTAGCCTGGCAAATGAAAGGTATGATACAGGAGAAATGTAATCTGGAAGACTCTAAAACCCATTGAGATATGTTTTAATGCTAACAAAATGTAGATGAGTGTATCAGTTAGGAATTCTTTTTGTTAGAAATGCCAGATATCTCAACTCCAATTGTCATTGGCATTGTTGGTTCTGGTGCCTGAGGAGTCCAGGGAGGTGAAACTGGCATTAGGGCAAGGCTGCTAAGAGGGGCTCATAGGCTGTTTATTTCTATCTCTCAATTCATGTCTTCTGTGACAACTCCATTTTCAGGCAGGCTTACCTCATGGTCGCAAGGTGGCTGCCAGACCTTCAGCCTACATCCTTGTAGCTGTCAGTCCAGTGGAAGAGAGGCCCCTATCACCGGTGTCAGTGGGTCTCTCTGGCCCTGACTGGATATCATGTCCATGGCTGAACAAGTCACTGAAATAGGGAAGTATGATACTCTGATTAGCCAGTCCCAAGTCATGTTATCCAGCCTTGGGAGAGATAAGGAGTGCTGAGTTTTCAGAAGCAAGTCAGGGTGCTGTTACCCAAAGAAGGGATGTAGGTTGCTGACTGCTCAAGGAATGACAAATGCTGACCACAGTATATATGAAATTTTTGTTTTTTACTTTATAAAGTGATTGTTTTATAATTTTGTGTGTGTTTTTTTTATGAGATGCAGTAGAATTCTTCATAATACTAGGAAGGGGGTGAGATAAATAATTTTCCTGTGTTTGTGAAGTCAACATTAGAATGTCTTTTTTTTTTTTCTTTTCTGGCCTGTATTAGTGTTTGAAGCCATTTCGGGTAGACTGTGCCTCCAGCAGGACCTGTCCTCAAATCAGTATATCTATATTTTGAACTTTATGTGTTCTCTATCTTTAGGACACATCAAGTTTGACCAGGTACTACGTTGTAAGACAGTGAATTAACCTGTGTGTTTAAGTGGAATTTTAGTGAGGTGGCTTTGAATAAATAATTTGTTGGGGCTGGGCACAGTGGCTTATGCCTATAATCACTGCACTTTGTGAGGCTGAGGTGGTAGGATCGCTTGGGGCCAGGAGTTTGAGATCTGCCTGGGCAACATAGTGAGGCCCCATCTCTATTGATTAAAAAGGAATAAAAAATGTTAGATGAGACTCTGAGACTTCGGTGGAATGTCTTAAGCACAGTTCTTACCAGCCTTGGAAGAATATTAAATTCTTGCCTGTTAGAAGGAAGAAGTAATAAACTTAAAATATGCTTTGTTTATAAGATGATTCAAAAAGCATTGATACTTACAAAGAAAATCAGTCTCACTTTTGTTAACAAAGGCAGCCAGGAAGAGATGGGAGCTAGGATAGTGATCAACCTGCTAAGTTTGTACCTGATGCAATTTCTAGAGCCTGGGGAGGGAATGGCAGATGTGGATCTTTGCCTTCACACTGGTCTTGAGGTATAGAGGCTCTCTCTGTTCTAGGGCCCCTGGCTGATACTTTACCAAGTGTAAGGCCACTGGTTACTGGTGGTCACCTCCATGCTACCTGCACTGTTTGTACCATGCACGCTATATATGTACATGACCTTAACCAACGATTGTATGTGCACTGCAGGTGTTTGTACATCTGCCTGTTTATTTTTCTTTCTTCTCTACTTTTCTTTCAGTGTCTCTTCTTCTTTCTCAAGCACCTAAATATATTTTTTTTTCTTTTTCTGGTTCTTTTGTTTCTGAACAAAAAGAAACTTTTTTTTTTGTTCTTTTTGTTCTGGAACAAAAAAAACTTTTTTATGTTTCTGAACAAAAAGAAACTTTTCTTTGTGACCACCAGAGCTGGACAAAAGTATGGCTTAGCCCATTCACTGATGACATTTGAGTTTTATAGGTGATACCAACTCCAACACTGTATACTTCTGTATAGGCTACAAACACACAAATATTTGCTAGCAAGTTAAGCCATTTAAATTGAGTTCTTTGAATACAAGCCCTATGGAATTTCTACAGAAACTCATCTCATGGTGAATTTTATGGTTTGTTTTTTTTTTTTTGTGGAAATGAGACACTTTAAAAGAATATATTCACATCTTAAAATTTTAAATTAAACTGTGTCCAGTTGTGGTGGTTAACTTCTGTAATCTCAGTGATTTGGGAGGCTGAGGCAGGAGGCTTGGTTGAGGCAAGGAGTTTGAGACCAGCCCAGGCCTATATTAAAATTTTATTTAAAAATTAGATGACCATGGTGGCATGTGCTTGTAGTCCCAGCTACTCAGGAGGCTGAGGTAGGAGGATTGCTTGAGCACAAGAGTTAGAGGTTGCAGTGAGCCATGATTGCACCACTGTATTCCAGCGCAGGTGACAGAGTGAGAGCCTGTCTCTACTAAACAAACACATAAATGAATTAAAAAAAACTGTGTTATATTATGTTTGCTTAAAACATTATGTATATCTACATCACTATTTACCTTTATTCAGTCAATCAGAATAAAGAGAATCTATGGGATAAGCATTTCACGATGCAATTCTACTCTGTACATTGAAAGATCTAAAATAATGTGGCATGTTTTCTTGAAGTAATAATATTAGATCTCTTCTGAGAATTATACGAGTAAAACATAAATACATTACATGTAAGAAATAAAAATAGTATAGACAAGGCTAATGACCACCTGGGCTCTCTTGACCACCTTTTGCATCTTCTCTTTCATGCTCTCAAAGGACCATTCCTACCATTTGGCATTTTGGTGTACATTTTTCCAGGTTTTTCTTTTTTTTTTCTTCATTTATATATCTAAATAAATACTCATAGAAAATACAATCTTATATGTGTATTATCATTATTATTATTGTAGAGACAAGGTCTTGCTCTTTTGCCCAGGCTGGTCTCCAACTCCTGGTCTCAAGCAGTCCTCCCACCTCTGTCTCACAAAGTGTTGGGATAACAGGCGTGAGCCACCGTGCCCAGTCCTACGTGTATTATTTTAATAAAAGATTTCATATTCTATATTTATCCTCCAGCTTGCTTTTTTTTTCATCTAATATTGTTTTGCAGAGTTATGGTGATTCAGCTAGAGAAATAGAATTGATTTAATTTTTACTTATTTACTTACTTAATTTTAACTGATGCCTAAGATGCCGTAATATGACTGTATGCTGTCTTATCTGTGTATTGAGACATTTAGATTGCAGATTTCACTGTGCTATTTATCCTTGTGCATGAGGAGACTTTCTAGGGGTAGATATGGAGACATACTCCTCTTGCTCTCGAGTGGCTCCAACTTTTATTTTTAGCAGCAATTGTTTTGATTACTGGATGCTCCACACCTTTCCAAACTTTTTTTTTTTTTTGAGATAGGGTCTCGCTCTGGCTTCCAGGCTGGAGTGCAGTGGCACAATCACGGCTCACTGCAGCCTCAAACTCCTGGGTACGGGCAATCCACCTCAGCCTCCTGAGTAGCTGGGAACACAGGCATGCACCACCACTCCTGGCTAATTTTTTTAAATTTTTATTAGAGACCAGTTCTTGCTATGTTGCACAGGCTGTTCTCGAACTCCTGGCCTCAACCAATCCTTCCACCTTGGCCTCTGAAAGCACTGAAATTACAGATGTGAGCCACTGCACCCAGCCCTTTCTAAATTTTTGATTTAATCAAATAACTCGTTTTTTTTTTTGGTTAGCTTTTCTTGTTAATTTTACTGAGAAATGTCATAAATAGGATAGACTCACAAATGGCCTTGTATATTACTTGAATAAGCTCTCTATTCTTCGGGATATTATTGATCTGTCTTCATTTAGAAAACTAAAAAGATTTGGTGTTCTGATTAGACTATTCAGTCTTAGAGGAGCCCTTCCTGAGACTAGGATAAAAGGTCTCAGACCAGGGAAGTGTTGGGGAAGATGGAATATTTATGGTTGGATAAACTTGAATCTCATTTCGGGTCTGTCTTTTAGCTGGGGAATTGCCTAGCTGACTACATCTATTTTTCATATCTATTTCCTTATTTTCTTCTGCAGTATTTCCTGAAGCGTTAGGAGCCCAGAGCATTTAAATAAACAAAAAAGATTTTTAAAAGGATGTGTGTTTCATACCACATTTTAAGATTAATTTTCAATGTAATCTATTCCCTTAAAATACTGTATTCTTTTCGTGGCAGATCCTATTTTCTTGTTTGTTTCCGAGCAAATCCTAGAGATGAGCAGGAACGTTAGGCTTGAGTTACAGATAAAACCGGGGCTGTATTTAGTATTCCTTGCATTGCAAGACTGAATTAGGAAGTGGTACTTCATAACCTGGCAACGTATTAGGGCAAACTGTGGTTGGCAGACAACTTTCAAAGGTACCATTCTGATGCTTTTGTTACATTTGCCTTTTAAGTTTAAATGCTAGTTGGAACAAGCTAACACCACTGATTTCACAGTTTTTTTTCACCCCAGTGCGGGGTCTTTTGATTGATTCAATCTCTGGCAGAAGGATTTGAGTACCAATTGGATTTGGTGGAATTAGCCTTTCATCTGGGCAGCTCCTCCTCCTCCTCCTCCTGTGGGCTCACAGGCCAGCTCGCCTATCTGTGATGCCTCTCCCTTGTCTTGCAAGCCCAGCCTTTCAGCTCTTTGTGTGAGCCGTTATCAGTTTCAGTGGATATGGTTTGTTACCTCTATTTGTACTATAACTAGAAATTTGATAAGGTTATGTGCCTGTCACATGATTTAGATGTCAGGTGCAGATGAAGCAAAGCAATTTTGACAAGTCAAACATTGGTTAAGAAATGGGGGAACGAAGACGACCTGCCACTAGAAGAAAGCAAAATCCCTTACAGCCTCACTTTCTTTCTCTTTTAACTTTAGGTCAGTACTTTAACCTCTTTAATTTGTCCCTTCTTAAGTGAATGTGACGTGCTGACTTCCGGCTTCTATCTAAAGGGCAGTGAAATGGAGGTCGGCCTTTGGAAGGTAGATGCTGGCATTTAGGGAGATTTGACTTTGGGTGTTCTGATAAAAACACCTGGACTGGAAACTTTATCTTTGACTGAAACTGAGATTAAGGGCTTAAAAGACAAGGTTTATTAATGCCAGTATCTCTTCACATATGTGTATTACAGAAAGCCTAGTGTTTTTGGTTGGCTATGTTCCTTTGTTTAGGTACAGGTAAGGACCTGAAGCACTTTTTTTTTTTTTTTTTAATGTAGATTCAGGAATACATATGCAGGTTTGTTACATGGGTATATTGTGTGATGCTGAGGTTTGGCCTTCTAATGTTGCTGTTGCCTGAATAGTGAGCATAGCATCTCACAGGTAGTTTTTCAACCCCTGCCTCCCTCCCTCCCTCCTCCCTTTTGAAGTCCCCAGTGTCTATTGTTCCCATCTTTGCGTCCAGGTGTTCTCAATGTTTAGCTCCTATTTATAAGTGAGAACATGTGGTATTTGGTTTTCTGTTTCTACATTAATTTGCTTAGGATAATGGCCTCTAGCTCGATCCATGTGGCTGCAAAGGGCATGATCTTATTATTTTTTATGGCTGCATAGTATTCCATGGTGTATATGTAGCACCTTTTCTTTCTTCAGTTCACCATTGATGAACACCTGGGTTGATTCCATGTCTTTGCAATTGTGACTACTGCTGTGATAAATGTACAAGTGCAGTTGTCTTTTTGGTGGAACAATTTATGTTCTTTTGGGTATGTACCTAGTATGGGATTGTTGGGTCGAATGGTAATTCTATTTTTCAGTTCTTTGAGAAATCTCCAAACTTTTTTTTTTTTTTTTTAATATAGAGTCTCAGTCGCCCAGGCTGGAGTGCAGTGGTGTGATCTCGGCTCACTGCCAACTTCTGCCTCCTGGGTGCAAACGATTCTCCTGCCTCAGCCTCCCAAGTAGCTGGGATTACAGGTGCCCGCCACCATGCTCAGCTAATTTTTTTTTTTGTATTTTTAGTAGAGATGGGGTTTCACCATGTTGGCTAGGCTGGTCTTGAACTCCTGACCTCAAGTGATTTGCCTCCCTTGGCCTCCCAAAGTGCTGGGATTACAGGTGTGAGCCACCATACCCAGCTGAAATCTCCAAACTTGGAAGCATATTTTTGTCATAGATTTTTCACAATACAGGCAGTGATTTGATGAGTATTGCTCATTGGCTTGTCATATTGTCCACTGGATGGGGTCAGTAGGGCCTCTGATTAATTAGGTTTAAGTTTCTCAGAGCCCCTTCTTTTTGTTTTTCTTGACTGATTAAATAACACCTCTATCTAAATCTCTTTACAGCCCACATATATATCTATATGGACACATAGATTTCCTTTGGCAGCTACCTCAGCAGAAAATTCCTCATTTTGCTAGTGCTAGGTTGGGCAGTAGTTACCTCGTGAATGGTTAACATGTCCAAGAGATGCTGGAGTTGGAGGCAGGCTTCCAGTCTTTTGCCACCTTGTTTTGTAAAGTTATGTAATGACTGTAGGTATTCAAGTGTAACTCATCTTGACGTGGGTTTCGTTATACTCTGAAAGAACAATTCAAAGAAATAACAAATTTACATTCAGGGTAGTTTTGTTTGAGTTTATTTAAAGAAATGAAACATACACAATCCCTATAATAGCTCTTGCTACTGATGTATTGATGGTGCTGACAAAGAGAAAACTCGGACCAGATGGTTTCCACATAGTGGAACCACCTGGCTCATTGGCAATGCCAACTTATTGCTGTTTCTCAAATAGCTGTACTCTCATGAACTATGAAATGTAGGAGTGAGCCATTCATGGGCCCAAGCAGAATGACATTCCAAAATTAGGATTCTTAAGAGAAGTCGAAACACTTATCCATGTCAACCTCAAACTGGCCCCTCTTTCCCACTTCTAGTACTTTTAAGATCTTATTTTTAACTCTTTCTCTTTGTAATTATAAAGTCCAGTTCTTTATATCTACATTACAAAGAAAACAATATGATAGGCTCTTGAGGTATTTATTGTAGAGGAAAAAGAATGGTCCTATGTCATTTTGGGAAACTGACCTAGAACTGGACTTGCTTGGAGCCCGTTAGTGTGTTCAGGCTGAGGGGACCATTTGGAGTCAGCAAAGGACAAATATAATTGTACCTGTAACACCATGGAATTATATCGAATCATGAAACTTGAAACTTCATAGAAATACAATCAAGATAATAGATGAACTGAAGCACAAACTCATGCAATAGTTTTTCTAATTATAATGTTAACAAAGTTTGGGATTTTCTTGAATTATTTAGTATCCATTTTTTTCCTGTTGAAAATTCACGTTAATTTTTAAAAGTCAGACTAGCAAATTAACCTACACACTTTTCTAAGTTGGTGCTTTAAGACTGCAGTTATTTTACAGGTCATTTTAAGTAGTTATCTTAGTTATTTACTCATTTGATGGACACCTACTGAGCATCTAATTGGTAGTATGTGTAACCATTAAAGGTTAATTGGCTAATGTATGTAACATGTAAGAACAATTTAAAAATTATTTCAGATCTTGTTTACATTGTTTAGAATCTAGTCTTTTGAAAAATAATGATATATTTTTATTTAAATTACATTTCAAGGCTGGGTGCAGTGGCTCATGCTTATAGTTCCGGCACTTTGTGAGGTTGAGGTGGACAGATTACTTGCCCACCTCAGGAGTTCGAGAAGCAGCATGGCAAAACCCCATCTTTACGCAAAATACAAAAATTAGCTGGATGTGGTGGAGCATGCCTGTAGTCCCAAGTACTTGAAAGGCTGAGATGGGAGGATCGCTTGAGCCCAAGACGTTGAGGCTGCAGTGAGCCAAGACTGCACCACTGCATTCCAGTCTGGGCAACAGAGTGAGACCCTGTCTAAAAGAAAAAAAAAAAAAAAGAAAAAAAACTAAGCGATGGTCTTTGAAGTTTACGAAGTATTTGAATTGCCATTTTGTAGCATGATAGGATGGGAAGAGCAAAGACTTTGGGGACAGCAGATCTGGGTTTGAATCCTGACTCTACTATTCACAGATGGCAATGCTGGTCCTGGGTTGTAACCACTAAACCACTAAGCCTCAGTTTCTCATATTAGTTAGAATTCTTGGTCACAAGTGATAAAAGTACCCAATGCTCATTAACTTGAACAAAATGAGAATTTTGAGGATACTGGGGTATAAAATCCAAGGGCAGAAGTGTGCCTGCTTGGTCTTCAGGAACAGTGGGAGGTCAGGATTCAAATGCCATCAGACCAGGACTCTTTTTGGCAGATGAACTGCATCTGTTCCTCCACATCTGTGATGGCAAACATGGCTGTTGATAGTTCTAAAGTTTGATGTCTTAGAGTTTTATTCACTAGAGAGAAAGATTCACTCCAGACTTTGGGTTCTAGTTCCTAAATCAAACCTCTTGACTTGGACTGGCTTAGGCCAAATGAGGCCAATCCATGGTGGTTAAAGAAGGAGGTTAAATTAAAAAATGGCACCTCTTGACAAAGTCTACGTGAAGAGAAAGAGGCTCAGGACCATTACTAGAAGGAGGGAGGATTTGGGTAGATCAAATTATAGGTTTCTGATACATTTTTTCTATGTAAAAAAATGGTAGTCTGGGAGCGATGGCTTATGTCTACAATCCTAGCATATTGGGAGACAGATGCAGGAGGATCACTTGAGGCCCGGAATTTGAGACCAGCCTGGGAAATATAGTGTGACCCTGTCTCTACAAAATTGAAGAAAAAATTAGCTGGACATGGTTGCTCATGCCCAAAGTCCTAGCTATGCCGGGGGCTGAGGTGGGAGGATTGCTTGAGCTTAGGAGATTGGAGGCTGCACTGAGCCATGATCATGCCACTGCACTCCATCCTGGGTGACAAAGCAATACTCTGTCTCTTAAAAAAAAAAAAAAAGAAAAAGGTAAAATATCTTTTTTACAAAGTGATTTTGAAGATTAATCAGGATAGTCTGTTAAGTGCCTAGAACAATGTCTGACACCTTATAGGTCTTCAATAAATCATACCTGCTGTTACATAGCAGGGAGACAACATTCCAGCATTTCTTACAACTGACACTGTAATTAATGTGGAGCTCTTACGGTTAGCTAAGAAGCCATAATTCTTCATGTAACTCTTCAACACTTCTAATATATTTATTTTTAATAGTTTCTTTCTTATGGAAGACGTGAATTAGTGCTCTATTTCTAGTTGTAACATAGATTTTTTAAATAACCTGTAAAAAATTCTAGGAGATTTATATTTTAAATGAAATTCAGCAGTAAGGAAATAATCTTTTACATGCTTTGATTAAAATGACTTTTTGAGATCCATGCTGTCTGTCATCCCTTTGTGTCATTTGTATACACACTAAGTATAATGCATTTACATTTTTTTTTTAATTTTTATTTTATTTTTTGAGATGGAGTGTTGCTCTGTCACCAGGCTGGAGTGCAGTGGCGTGATCTTGGCTCACTGCAGCCTCTGCCTCCCGGGTTCAAGCAATTCTCCTGCCTCAGCCTCCCGAGTAGCTGAGACTACAGGTGCGCACTGCCATGCCCAGCTAATTTTTTTTTGTATTTTTAGTAGAGACAGGGTTTCACCATGTTGGCCAGGATGGTCTTGATCTCCTGACCTCATGATCCGCCCACCTTGGCCTTCCAAAGTGCTGGGATTACAGGCATGAGCCACTGCACCTGGCCTATATTGATTTTTAAATTTGTATTTCTTTTTCTCTTTTGCTGTTTACAGAGTTTTTTTCTTCTTTTTTCAGTTTTGTAGAGTGGAAGAATTATGTCTTGTTATAGAAAAACAGTTGGTGTTTGCCTGATCAATAATGCCATTGCAGGTATGAGAGGGAGGTTAGGAACAATTTTAATGACATTATCAATCTACATATCTAGAAACATTGAGGAATAATCTGTCACTTTTATCAGCTGTGACGAGACTTTGAGATTTAGGACAGGTTATTTTCACTTTCATGACTGTTTTGTGTTAGTTCACTTTGTTTATATTTGCTTGATTCTGGGTTTATCCTGTTTCTTTAAGCTAGTTAGGATGTAGCTTTTCTTTTCTGAATGACTCATTTCCTAATTAGTTATTTTCTAACTGGAAATTACTTATTTCGTAATACTTTATAATTCAGAATATGTACACAGGACTATTCCCTGTTGTGATTTCTTATTCTCTCCTTATTTTAACCTTGTGTGGTACCTTCTGGTTCAAAGTAATTTCAATAATATTCTATTCTATGGCTGGGCGTGGTGGCTCACGCCTGTAATCCCAGCACTTTGGGAGGCCGAGGCAGGCGGATCACGAGGTCAGGAGATCGAGACCATCCTGGCTAATGCAGTGAAACCTTGTCTCTACTGAAAATACAAAAAATTAGCTGGGTGTGGTGGTGGGCGCCTATAGTCCCAGCTACTAGGGAGGCTGAGGCAGGAGAATGGCGTGAAGCCGGGAGGCAGAGCTTGCATTGAGCCGAGATTGCGCCACTGCACACCAGCCTGGGTGACAGAGTGAGACTCCATCTCAAAAAAAAAAAAAAAAAAATTCTAGGGTTGGGGGAGGGGGGAGGGATAGCATTGGGAGATATACCTAATGCTAGATGACGAGTTAGTGGGTGCAGCGCACCAGCATGGCACATGTATACATATGTAACTAACCTGCACAATGTGCACATGTACCCTAAAACTTAAAGTATAATAAAAAAAAAAAGAAAAAAAAATTCTATTCTGTGTGTGAATTAAGCTATTTATATTTAAAAATTATAATCATATAAAGATGAGACTAAAGGATTAAGAGAACATGTGTTCAGAAGCAAAATTTATCAATTGTCCAAATTATTAAATGCTATTAGTGAAATTCTTAGTGAAAATATGGATTATGTGTACATATTTTAGGCTTCAATTTTCCTTATTAATATAGATATAATATTTTGCCTTGAATTAGTATTTTTGCCAGTGCTACCATTTTGGCAATGGTATTTCCCTGCTAATCTGATCTTTCCTAAAAGAAAACTTAAACCATTTTTGACTTCAACAGAAAGACCTGAAAACACTTTTATTGAAATGTAGGTTGTGTTAAACTTTACCTTGGGAGGTTATTTGTCTCTTTTGTGGCACTACAGGATCCGTTACAGATAATAAATTAACTAATTTTAGGTTATGCAAATCTTTTGGCATCCTATACTAAGAAATATTCAATTGGTTCCACTTTCACTTCTGCTTATTTACAGAATGTTGTTTATGTCTTACTTGTGTTCACTTTGATATTTTTCGCTTTGGCATTTTTTTCCTTGTCAGATAAATTGAAAGATAACATCTGGGGAGATGCTGGGCAGGTGGATGTCAGAGAGACTTCCGCCTTCCATCAGCTCCATGACTTCTGCAAACTTCCTTCATCTGTGAAATGGACCTTAACGTGCATACCTGCTAAGATTTATCTGAAGATGATATATGTACCTTGTAATTATTGTTGCCTTTATTTATTTATATTCTATTAATTTTTTTTTTTTAAGATGAGGTCTCGCTCTGTTTTCCAGGCTGGAGTGCAGTGGCATGATCACAGCTCACTGCAGCCTTCACCTCACAGGCTCAAGCAATCCTCACACCTCAGAGGCCTCCTGAGTAGCTGGGACCACAGGCATGTGCCACCATGTCCAGCTAATTTTTTTTTTTGGTGGGGGGAGCAGAGACAAGGTCTCACTGTGTTGCCCAGGCTGGTCTTGAACTCCTGGGCTCAAGTGATCCTCTTGCCTTGGCCTCCCAAAGTGCTGGGATTACAGATGTGAGCCACTGTGCCCAGCCTATTTGTATTCTTTTTTTGATCCAAAAAGGACTGAAGGAGCTCCTAAATGCAGATTGCACAGTCCCTGGCCATGGGGCAGGATGTTGAGTTATGATGAGTGAGTGAGTCAACATGTGTGTACAGTAAGGAGTGCTGAGCACATCTTACAGCTTATCCGCTGGGCTTCCCATCCTCGCTCTGCTCACACAATAATGTAAAACACTCATTACTATGCTTGGAACACAGGAGCCACTTACTAGATGTCAGGCAGTAGTATTATCTCATTTAATTCTCACAAAAGTGCTCTCAATATTGTACTAAAATTACGCATATTTTGTATATGAGGAAACTGAATCTCAGAGATACTAAGTAACTTGCCTAAGGTCACACAGCTAATATGGTGGAGTCAGGGCCCAAGACAAGTTTGTGTAATTTCTGAGGCTATATTTTTAAACACTAAGCTACACTTGAGTGTCTTAGGGGTAATTTTTAATTATCTTAACTGATTGAGAAATTGAAAGGTGCTTTTTGGGGCCAGGCACGGTGGCTCACACCTGGAATCTCAGCACTTTGGGAAGCCAAGGAGGACAGATCACTTGAGGTCAGGAGTTTGAGACCAGCCTGGCAACATGGCAAAACCCTGTCTCTACTAAAAATTCAAAAATTAGCTCAGTGTGGTGGTGTACGCCTGTAATCCCAGCTACTGAGGAGGCTGAGGCACAAGAATTGCTTGAATCTGGGAGGCAGTGGTTGCAGTGAATCAAGATTGTGCCACTGCACTCCAACCTGGGTGACAGAGAGAGACTCTGTCTCAAAAAAAAAAAAAAAAAAAGAAAAGAAAAAAAGTCATTTTTAATGTATTTAGCATTTTTGTTTAGAATAAAAAAAATTTCATTTTTTTTTTTTTAAGTAAAAGAACCCCAAATCTGGTAAAGTTGGATTGTGAATATACATGGAAAACTGACAAAACAGTAAATATCACTAAGAGCCTCTGGGAATGCAGTGGAAGTTTAATTGAAAGCTTAGAAATCTATGGACATGATTTTTAATGCTTTTTAATTATGTTTAAAAAGGTAATTATAATTTTAATTTTATTTAATTAACCATAGATTTACAAATTATGAGATTAATTTATAAAAAAGCAAATTTACTTTTGAGCTCATTCCTTTGACTTAACATTTGCTAAAATTAACTTCACCTTAAAAAAAACTCTTAATCAGATTTTCCTTTCGACTGTTTAATTCCCGTCTAACATTGTGAGATTAATCAATTTTCTGCATTTTAGACCTTAAACGTACAAAACTAGATAGTAATCAATCATGAAATGGTTATTAAGCTTTTAATCTATGCTTAGCACCTGCTTAGCACCAAACAAAGTGCAGTGAGAGAGAAAGAAGCATGTGGTCTACATTTTCTAGTACCTTAAAATCTGTGGAAAGATATAAGATGATGATGAACTATACAAGAACTATACATAATTGAGCACTAAATTTTGCAGATCAAATTAAGAATTTTGCATGTAGTTTTAAAATATTGCGACCCTCACCATCTCCCTTTAAAGAAATGTGGAGTATCTATCATGTCGTGAAAGGTAATGAAATTAGTCATGGATTTCATTGTATCAGAAATGTATGAAATAAAGAACAGAATAATGCGAATCAGTAATACATGTGCCTGAGATTTTAGGCTTCTGTTAAACATATTCTGACAAGCTGCATTAAAGCAAATACTGTTCTCCTCCTATATATACCTTCCGTCCTTGCATAGTTCTCACTGCACTTGTCTATCGTGATACATGCGACGCATCCCCTTGAACTTCTATGATTCCTCCCTCCTCCATATTTATGTATGTATTTAATTATTTTAGAGATGGGGTCTTGCTCTGTTGCCCAGGCTGGAGTGCAATGGTGTGAACATAGCTCACTGCAGCCTTGAACTTCTGGGCTGAGGTATTCCTCCTGTCTCAGCTTCCCTAGTAGCTGGGACTATGGGTATGTACCACCATGCCTGGCTGATTTTAATTTTTTTTTTTTTTTAAGAGATGGGGCCTTGCTATGTTGCCTAGGCTAGTCTCAAACTCCACGCCTCAAGCAATCTTCCTGCCTCAGCCTCCCAAAGTCCTGCAATTGCAGGCAGGAGCCACGGTGCCTGGCCCTAATCCATATTTGGAATCCCTTTAACACCACCCTTTTACACTCTCTCAATGCAATTTTTCCTACCTTCTTGCTTCAAGTCTGTGTTTGCTGGTGTAAACAGCCTCACTAAGATGAAGAAACTCAGAGTGGCCGATTTAACTTTCTGCAGATGGTGGATACCCATTGACTAGCTCACCTGCCATTTACGAAAAAACCCAAGTCTTTGGCTGACTGAAAATATCAACTGAATTACTGGTTATAATACTCATTTTCTCTTCTCCCACTCATGTTTTTTGTCTAATCTCTGGGTTCCTCAGTTTCTGCATCAGGACTTTTAAAACTGCGTCCCTGCTTTCTTTGAAAATATTCTTATCGTGAGATAGTTGATCAACACAAAAGATTATATATAATGTGTACATGCAAGTTTTGTAGGGTGATAGTAAAAAGATAACGTGTGAATTCGCCATCAAATGTAAGAACTAGAACATCACCAGTAACAGGGAAGCTCCCTGTACATTTTTTCACCAGCAGGTCTTGTCACCACTCCCCTGAAAGTTGTTATCAAGCCCCCTCCCACCATACATTCACCAGTATGCACTTGTTTTTTTTTTTTTGAGATGGAGTCTCGCTCTGTCACCCAGGCTGGAGTGCAGCAGTGTGATATCAGCTCACTGCAACCTCCGCCTCCCAGGTTCAAGTGATTCTCCTGCCTCAGCCTCCCGAGTAGCTGGGACTACAGGGGTGTACCATCACACCCGGCTAATTTTTGTATTTTGAGTACAGCTAGGGTTTGGCCATGTTGGCCAGGCTGGTCTCAAACTCCTGACCTCAAGTGATCCACCTGCCCCGGCCTCCCAAAGTGCTGGGATCACAGGCGTGAGCCACCATGCCCAGCCCTGTGTCTACATTTCTTGCTTTTTCCTCCCCTCAGCGTAATGTTTCTGAGACTCATCCACATAGATCCATGATTCACTTATTTTAACTCTTAAATAATATTACATTGGATTTATTCATTCTCATGTGGATGGATATTTAGGTTGTTTCCTATTTTTTTTTTTCTTTGAAAATAGAAACAACGTTATTAAGAACATGTTGGTCCAGGTCTCCAGATGCTCTCTCTTTGGAGAGAAGCATGATCTGGTGTAGAGCTGGTGAGCTGTAGGATGTGCCCATCCTTGAATTCATTGCCAAGTGTTATTTAATCTCCTTTTAACGTGAACTCTCCTTTAACGTGAATCTCCTTTAACGTGAATGGTATGGTCATAAACATACCATTTATGACCTACATAATCTCCAATTAGTGTTATTTAATTGTCATTCAACAATTTACCAGTCTCTGGTCCCAGTTGGCTTCCTTCTTCCTTCATCCGCGATGGCTTTCTGCCTAACAGTGGCCTTTCTCTTTAGTGGATTCCATTGTCTCCATTTACTGATGTTTTATAATAGTAATAATTGCGCTGTTTGCAGCATTTGGGGAAGAGAACTTTTATCTCAGCATTAGTAAATAATTCCATTTGCCACTCTGCCTGTTATTTTGTTTTTCAGAAGTCTTCCTTTTTAGTCACTGTGAGCCTTTTCCTTAAGCTGGTCCAGAACTGCTCCGGTGTCCAGGCTGTCACCCTGCATGAACTTGGGAGAGCTAATTGCTGATGACTTCAAACACAAACTGTCACTAAGGGTGCACACTTTGGCAGAAATGCACATACTTCAGCAGCAAAGGCCGTTTTTAAAATTTAGTGAAAAGAATGAAACTAATATTTGCTGAAGGGTCATATCCTTGCTTGGTATTTTCACATGTTATTTATTTTCACCTTGCAAACATTCATTTAATGTGTAGCATATTGCATATTTTCTTGTTTTATTTTCTGAGGATCAGGAGTGTTAGATAAATAGAACAAATTAAGATCACAGAAAAGAATCGGTTTAAATTCAGGTTTCTTGATTCTTGCTTTAGCGTTCTAATCTATGTTGCAGGAAGTTATATATGTACACATGCATATCATGTTTCTGTGCATACATGCAACATATACACACAGACACGTAGAATGTCAACACATATGACATATATAGAATTTCCATAATATATAGTATTCAATATTTGACATAAGACATTTTGAAGTTACTTCTGAAGGCAAATATGGCAAAGCAAGTTGCCTATTACATGAATTTCTCACATTTGACTTTGAATGCGTTTTCAAAGTGCCTTTCTTCAGTCTTGAAGGGATAAGACTGTAGGGAGATAAGACTGTGTTACTTCCCAGGTATGGCACATTCTCTTTCTGAGCTCAGGTTGGTAACTTAATTCTGTCCTCTCTCCTCTTTGTCCTTCCTGCTCCGTTCTGACAACAGTGTGTAACATGCCTGGTGGGGTCTTTCGGGGACGCCAGGGCCCTGAGGCTGGGCCCAAGAACTTTTGCTTTCTTCTGTGGTCCTGGGACAGTTCTCTGACAGTGGCTGACTGGGGGAGGTGGCTGGATATTGCCTGACTCTACCTGGGCTTCTCGCGTCTGTCCTGCACACTTCCAAGGAGTTTGCAGGATAGCAGCCAGAGAAAGCCTTTTAAAACACAAGTCAGGGCATACCGCTGTTCCGCATACAAACCTCCACGGGCCCCATGACCCACAGGGAAGAAAAGCCAACATCCTCAGGGCGTGCAAAGCCCCGTGTGACCACTCTCTGCAGTCCTCTTCCTCTTCCCTCCCACTAAGGTTGCTCCAGACAGAGCGGCCTTCCTTGACCTTTCTAAAGGGTTTTAGGGCTTTGCTCTGTCTGTTCCCTCTGCCTGCATAGCTCTCCTGGAAGAAGTCTGTGTGGCTTTCTTCCTCCCTCTTTGAGGCCTTACTGAAATGTCACCTTCTTACTGGGGACTTCCCTGACCACCCTGTCTAGAAGGGCAGACTGCCTGACACTTCACGTCCCCTTGTCTCGCTATTTTTCTCTCTTAGCGCTTCCCACTAACATACCATTTATGACCTACATAGATCTTGTGTGTTTTTCATCTCTTGCATTGTAATTAACATAAGCCCCATGAAGGCAGGGACCATTGACTTCTCTTTGTCACATCATTTCTATACCTGGAACAGCTCTTGGCCCATAGTAGGTGCTCAGTAAAGATTTGCTGAATGAGCAAAGGATTGTCCATGAAAGCAATGCTCTTTCCTTGATAGAATCTGCTGTTGATCTAAACTATTACATCTTGTAACATACATAGGAAGAATCAGGGCATAGAAGTCAATGAGAAATTTACATGTTTGTATTTACTGGGAGCCTTGTCATACGTGTGTACAACACATGGACACGGGGGCTGGTTATGTTCATCAGAATTCTTTTGATTGTAAAAGGAAGAGATTAGCTCACGTAACGGGCAAACCTGGTATTTCTGGCTTTTGGAAGAGTTAAATTCAGGTGCTCAGATGGTGATGTCAGGACTCTCTCTCAATCACTCTTTTGCTTGCCTCTGTGTTGACTTCATTATTGGACAGTGGCCACATGGTAGTCAGCAACTCCACTTTTACAGCCAGTTAAACTAGCCAGACCATAGCAAAAGAGCACCCCTGATATGGTTTGGATGTTTGTCCCCCTCAAATCTCATGTTGAAATGTGATCCTGAGCATTGAAGGTATGCACTAATGGGAGGTGTTTGGATCATGGGGGCGGATCCCTCATGAATGGCTTTTTGCCCTCCCCACAACAATGAGTTCACGTGAGAGCTGGTTTAAAGAGCCTGGCACATTCCCCTGCCCTTGCTCCCTGTCTTGCCATGTGACACGCTGGCTCCCCTTCACCTTCCATCATGATTGGAAGCTTCTTGAGGCTCTGACCAGAAGCAGATGCTGGCACCATGCTTCCTGTACAGCTTACAGAACCATAAGCCAAATAAACCTCTTTTCTTTGTAAATTACCCAGTGTCAGGTATTCCTTTATAGCAGCACAAATAAATGACACAACCCCTTTCCCAAGAATTCCTGCCAGAGTCCCAGAGCTGAGGCTTCTGGATGCTTGCTAGATTATGTGGCCCTCCCGAGATCTATCACAGGGTCTTGTGGATGTGGTGTCCTTTTTGGCTGGATGAGGTCATGTGAGGGCAAAGGGGCCACATGAGATTGGAGAGAGACATCCTGCTATTTCCCTCTGTCCTCTGTTCTCTTTTTATATCCACTTGCCTCCTAGAATCAGACTACACATGACTGACAAACCATCTGATACCACATTTAAAATTAGACCTAAGTAAATAGGATGAAAGTGGGTGGGAGTGTGGAAAAGAGAGAGCTGATGAATGGCTCGGAGTTTCCCTATGTGTAGTAAAGAAATACTGGTGGGCTGGTGCTTGAACTGGTGCTGAGAGGGTAAGAGGCTTGGCTGTGTTTCACACCATTCAAAAGAAATAGGAATCCTGCAACACTCTGCAAGCCATTTTTAGAGGTGATTGTACACTTCTCAAAGTTAGTCACACAACCAGCAAGCCAAAGTCAGATGATTCTTTTGTGTCTTGTGAATGTGGAAAGGATTGTTGAACAGTAGTCAGCTCAAAACCTGTGATTCTAGGCTGGGTGTGGTGGTGGCTGATACCTGCAATCCCAGCACTTTGGGAGGCTAAGGTAGGAGGATCACTTGAGGCCAGGAGTTCAAGACCATCCTAGGTAACATAGTGAGAACCCATCACTACCAAAACAAAAAGAAAAAACCAAAAATACCTATGATTCTAGAATTTATTGGTTTTTCTTTTCACCTCTGTCTTTGGAAATTGCTATTAAAAAATACAGACGAGTAACAAAAATAATATGTGATTGTGCCTTCTCTGAGACTGGTGTTAGGAATGCTAGAACTTGTCTCACAGGCATTTCTTCCTATGTCTTCATGCCTGTTGCTATTCCAACCTTGTCATCCTTTTAACTTTTATTATTTTACTACTCTGAGCTCCAGTGCTTACTACCAGCAAAACTAAATAGCTTGCCTGCTTAGTTAGGCATTAAACGCTGAGAATGTGCCAGCATGTGGATCTTTACCCATGCTGGGAGATGGAGGGTGAGAAGGCTAATCTCTCAGCATTTTATGTGGAAGAAAAATATTGCAGTTTATTTGACCTTTTACTTATGGGAATAAAGTAAGGGGTTTAGTGCTTTTACAAATCGAAAGTACAGAGAGAAGAATTAGGTATTCTTAAGCTAAAAGCGATGAGAGTATCTAGATTTCCGTGTGTGTGTGTGTGTGTGTGTGTGTGTGTGTGTGTGTGTGTGTTTTTCTTTCAAGCTTGTCTGGTAAAAGAAAATCTTGTCGTATCCTTGAGGATAATAATGCTTGATAGAATTGGGTATTTAAATACAGACATGATTCAACAGAAACAGCCATTCCATGTTCAACGAAGTGAACTTTTCTACCTTCTGCAGAAGACTACACTACACTAACAATCATATTGAATAGGCAACCCTAAATTAACTTAATTAATTTTAATGATCAATGTAAGTGTTGATTGGAAGCTTGTAATTTTGAATGTAAAATGGGGATTCTATGGATTATCAAAATATGTTTCCAAATTTCTTGATATTTAGGCTTAAAAAAAGAACAAAGTGATGTAACCATCTCAGTCATTAACAAGCCAAATCTTTAACTGGTGTGACAGTTATTGTCATTATGCTAATAACAGGAGATGGGGTTCTGTAAGATGAAGCATTAGCTGTTCCAGTCCTCCGAGGAAACAGTAAAATTCAGCTCCATTGGGTTGTAATTAGAAAAGAAGTATATTTAAATACTGAAAAAAATCTTCGCTACTTCAGCACACAGTATGCCAAGGGCATGTGTGAGCAGCTTTTTAATCTCTAGGTGTGGCCTATTTTATAAATATTTTCATAAGCATTTATGTACTTGCCATTTGGCAATACAGCATTGTGTAATTGTATCCATATGTTGGCCTTCTGAAGTTGAATAAAAACTTCTTGGACAGGGCTAGCTGTCAATTCTTCATCTCCCTCCTCCATAGGGCAGTTTAGGCTCAAAATGAGGCTTTTTCACTGACAGGCGGGCACAGGAGGAGAAGAAGATTTAGCTTTCTTTTTCTACATTTTCTTTCCTTTCACAGTAGTAATGGTATTAATGGTGATAATCATAATAACTATTATGGAGTACTTACTTGTTTCTGTCAGCCAGATTCATGCATCAAGTAGTCTGATCCCATCCCTACAACCTCTTAAATAGCCATTGTTGTTTGTTATTGCCGCTGTACAGATGACACCACTGAGCACAGAGTGGTTAAAGAACTTGCTTAAAGTCACACAAATGGTAAGTGGAGTTTCTGTGACACAAACCAGGTAGCCTGGCTGTTTCCTTCTGGTTCTTAACTGCACCTCCGGCTGAGATCTGTGTTTTTAGCCATTGTTTCCAATTCCAGCAGCTTCGTTGGCCCAGCCTATCCCGAGTGGGATTCGTGATCCCTCTGTTCACTTTTCTTTTCCCCCTTCTTGTTAGGTCAAGTACAAAAGAGATTTTGAAGAAAGCAAAGGGAGGGGCTTCAGCATCGTCACGGACACTCCTGAGCTACAGAGACTGAAGAGGACTCAGGAGCAAATCAGTAATGTAGGTGCCTGTTTATTCAATAGCATGATGGCTCTGATGTGCATTTCTGGATGAGAAAGGGAGGCTGGATGACTTGGAAGTGTTTGTGTTGCTGTGGGGTGCAAGCAGTACTCAGTGCACGCATAGACTATGCCAATTTCATCTGGTAAACCCTGCCCTCTGGTTCCATCACAGTTATCTAGGACCCGGTGCTTAGTTACCTAATAGAAGATCTCCTTATTCCATTTTGAATGGTTCTCAGCTTTCAAATTTTTCCAAAATAGGCCTTTTATAATTAAAATAAGAAACTTGAAAGTTAAGTTTTGACTGTGGATAAGCATATAAAATATACATATAAGGTTAGGAGTCTTAAGATCTCCTATTTGCCGACTAGGTGTCTATAAGATTTCATATTTTGAATTAGATATTTGTTGAAATCAGGTATTACATCTTACTTTTGAAATAAACATTTATATATGTAGTTGCTTTGGACTTGAAGCTGTGCCTTGTTTATTAATATAGTTTCCTCAAAAGAGAAAATGGAGACTAGGAGAAGTTCAAAATGTATTAGGGAGGTATTAATTCAGTACTTATTAAAGGTGGATAAACAGCTCTTCTAAGTTTTGGTAATTCACACCTGTGATTATGTTTCTTCCAAAATATTACATGAAGTGTGTCAGGATGTATTTTTCTTCACAAAAATTAATTCAATGTTAGATATCCAAGAAGAAATATGGATGAAAATTAACAGATGTGTGAGTGACATAAAAGTATGAGCAAACAGGCAACACTCATACCATTTTTCACGAGAACTGTATTTTGTGCGTCACTTATAAAGTCACTAAAATTTGTATATCTAGGTGTTATAACTGATGTAGCCTTAATTTCCAGGACATGTTTAATTAGCAGGTGGTTTTAAACTCACTGATATTTGGTCATCATCATGAGATGTATGTATACATGTATATATGTGTGTGTGTGTATAAAATACATGTGTATATATTATATATGCATTTATATATAAATATGTGTATATATACACACATATACACACATATAAAATTTGCAGATAGAATTATGTATAATTTGAGAAAAATACTTTTTATATGTCTAAAGTTCAAAAACAGAATTATTTCATGTTAAACAATTTATTAGGAAGTGGGAGGATGCAAAGTACACATTGTTTTTTGCTCTTTAAATGGACATTTTATATTAGTAGGGATTTCCTTTGAAGAAAAAGAGTTGAATTTTAAGACTTCATGACATTTGTCTCTTAGTTTTTCTACCCCATCCCAGCAATCCATCAGTCATGAATACTGAAGATCACTGCCTTATTTTTCTTCCTCTTTATTCTTTCCTTAAACCAAAAACCTATTTTTGCTTTTAAGAATGCAAATCAATGATCTATTACACTGGCAGTTACATTTAATAACAGTTCTTTCTTTGGATTATTTTTGGCAAATGTTTATCTAAAAAATAATTCTGCCAAAAACAGTTATATTATACATCTTCAACAATCACTGAATTTTATTTCAAAAAGAACTAAACATTTCTACCTAAGACATCCATGTGACAGCTAACATAAGGATTGAAGCTGATCAAAGGTAAGCCTTTTAATTTTTATTCAAATTTAGTCAATATTCATGTTTAATTAAAAAATACTGATCATTTTACCAACCTTTATCATTAGCAGGAATATACATTTTATTCAATACCAGAGGTGGTTTGCAGATCCATTCTTAATTATGCAAAATACCCTTATCACACAGGTATGTATTAATCTATATTTATCATATATAATATGTTATATAGACAGCAGTATAAAAAGCACCATTTAGATTAAGCCTATTATTTAGACAACTCTGATTTTTAAAAGCATGTAACTTAGACAACATCTTTTTTTAAAAAAAAAACTTTTTGCGATGTCTTAATGTTAGCAGCCGTAGCAGTCTTATAAGTAGTTCTCTTAGCCAATATGAGGCATATTAAATGTTTGGATAGCTGTAAAAAATATAGACTTCATAATATTACCATTAGGGAACAACTCTTAAAGAAGGGAGGCTGTTAAGTGCTCTGAGGTCTGGTGAATTTATTATTCATTTATAAGACTGCAACTTCATGAACTTTTTCCCTTACCTCACTAGGTTTTCCATATTACTCAAGGATCTTTTTCTATAAGAAACTTGGGTTGATCCAAAAAGTAGTACTTTGGCAAGTCCAGTTTTCCATATTACTTTAATCTAAACCCACTGAACAGTATTGGCTAAAACCCAAACAGATATTTTTTGACAGTGGCTGGATTGTGTCTGTTATGAGAGGAAACAGGTGAGAAAGTGTCTAGACTGGAAAGACCCCAGAATCTTCCGGCTAGAGATGCTGGGAAATTATAATCCTGAAAATTATAGATCCTGAAAATTATTAGGGGTATGAAATTTGTGAGTCTTGCATTTGAGTGCCAAGTTTAATATAGGTTAATATAGGTAGGTTAACTAAGATCGGCAGTCTTTGCTGTCTTTATGTTTCCCTGTGTTTCATTTTCTCCTATTTGTTTCTAGTTTATCTCTGAATATTGTGTGGCTCTTTCTTAGCTGCCTTTAATCTCTCTTGTATAAAGACATAAAGCAGTGAATTTAATGACAACTCCTAAGTGTTTTGGGTAATATGTTACGGATGAATGGGAATTTTTGATTGCTTATGTCTATGTCAATGTTTTGAAATTTTTTCAGCTCTTCTCATGTTTGTTTATTGAGGATTTGAAATCATTTGGAAATGACCACTCAGTCTGCATGTTACTGAGGTGTGGGATAAAATACAACCGTAAATTTCAAATTGAGTGTGATGAACGAGGTGAGAGTGGGTGAACTTGCCTTTTCTGGGTAGCTGTAATGACAACATATTGAACATGGGAGATTTGTTAAATACTGCAATTTATAATTCTTCTGCTATGTTACCCACTTAGTGTAGCCACAGAACAAAACAAGAAAAGAGGCAGTATTTCAGAATTGACTAAATGGCTGGGAAGAAAAAGAACTTGGCTTCTAAAATAAAGCAAAATTATTTTTTTCCCCATGAAATTCCAGAAGATGTCTTCATCTCATTGAATATATTAATATTCAGATGGGGTTTGGTTGCTTATGAAATTGAATGTTAGGCTTGGGAACAGTTTTTATAGGAAGTCAGGAAATCGAGCCAAATCGTTTAATTGAAGATAATGTTCAGAAGTCCAGGTTTTGTTGAAACTGTATCTCTTCAGTAGAATGAAACCTGACAGCCAATGTGTTCAGCACTGACTTAGGAACTGTGGGCCAGAAAGCCCTGCCTTACGGATTTTCACAACTGTGTCGCTTAATTGCCATCCACCCTCTCCTTGCCCCCAAACTCTAGGGCATAAATTCAGAAATGGCAGAAATATCTTTGTACATCACATTTTCTTTATTTACCAATATTTTAGGAAAATATTCTTAAGGGACAGTGTCCAAATATGAATTGAGGAATACTGTGCCCAAGGGCATTAAAAAAAATGAAACACCCTTTTCTGTGGCTGCTACTGGGCTAGCTCATGTGGGTAACTGTAAAGGCTCTTTCTAATTTCAGGTGGTTCCCACCTTCAAGTTTACAAGCAATGCATTCAGGGTACCTGCAGCAGGATCTCAAAGCACAACCATCGCCAGACATTCAAGGGACTCAGGCTAGCCTTGGGAAAATTACTGATGTTTCATTCTGGCTGTTTACCCACTAATATCAGCTGCACTTTCAATTAGCTGAGACAGTCTGGGGATAAATTGTGAAATAAAATGGTGAAGTCAAACCCCAAGAGACTTTTACAGACTTTGTGCCATAGATGAAAACTGGATGTTTATTTTCTAATTTATTTCAGGGGGAAGAGAAATATCAAATGAAGGGGAAAGAAACAAAAATCGACCAGATGACAAAATTGTGTGTTTTAAAGACTGACTGAAATGGTGAGTGTACCATTATTTGATTTGTCAGGATTTCTGCGTGTTCTTGACAAATGGAGAAAATAGTTTTGCTTGTCTGTGTGTGCGTATATCTGTGTATGTACCTCTGTGTGTTGACTTCAATGAGAGTGTCTAAAACCCCATTTTCCTAGATCAGTATAGACTAATGTCTATAGACATTAGTGTTTCACCTGCCCTATATTATTTCCCTTACCTTGTCAATGTTCACAATTTTAATTATCTGTCCGCTTTCCCAAATATCCTTTTTTGCTACCACTTTCAATTTCGCATACCCATTTATAAGAATTGCTTGCCTACTTTACAAGAAAAGCTAAGAGTGACACTTTTAAAAAAGTATACCAAAAAGTAATCTCTCTATAATTTGATCTTGTAATATAATTATTTTTAGCTCTTTTGCTACACTACATAATTTTTCACTGACTTCTTAGAATGTAAAATAAATTATATGCCCATTAATAAGCTCACACGGATACTGCTGATTTAGTTCCCTGAGATTTTGTGAGTTAGCTTCAACAATATTAGATTATTGGGACTAAACATTGCCTAATAATTGAATAGTAGTGTCTATGGGCTATTAAAAGATTTGATTCAAAGTTCGGTTGAGTGCAAGGGTGAACATGAGGGTAGGGACAATTATCTAGGGATTTGGTCTCTGTTTGTAATTTAAATAAATCATTTTGACAGAGACTGACTGTAACCATGTTCAGGCTGCTGACAGTGTGAAATTGAGTTGTATGGTGGACAGAAGACAAGCAGTCAAGAGAAATCCCCAAAGGCGAAATTTGTTATGTAATTGGGTCAACTCATGCATGAGCAATACATGCTAATTGTAAACTGGTGGCAAAATTATCGTGTATGAGGCAATTAGGTCTTACATGAATCTGAACAACAGACACTGAAGGAGATTTTTTTCTTTTTATATTTAGCAAACTTTTTTTTTTAAATATGAGAAAGGTAAAAATTATAAAGTCATTCATTGAAATACATTATTTGTTAATTTTGTTCTTTATACAAAAAGCAGAAGTTTTATAACTAATGAAACATTTATGTAAAAGCTTCTGATTTTGAGTAGTAAAATCTAGTACACTAAGCAGTTTGAAGGGAGAATGAATGTTATTTTTATTGTAAGTCATAAGTGGGTTGATTAACATAGACGATTAGTTATGAGGTCAGTGGTTTAGATTTAAGCTCTTGAAGGCTAGTATTTTTACAGAGTGAATCTATATGTTGCTTTAGTGGACTAGACCTTATCTGTAGCTCATCTCAACCAATAACTGATGAATTCCCAGTAAATAGTGGGGTCAGTAGCATTATCTTTAAAGACAAAGTTTAAAAAAAAGAGAAAGTGATAGGGCAATAACACATATTTTCTCATAATACCTAACAGATGTATGAATACCTCATTTATTTTGAAACACTTTGACATACCCTGTTTAATTAGATCCTCTGAACAACCGCTCCTCGGGAAAAGTATTTCTATAAGGATTACTTATACTTTCATGTGAGAAATGTACGGAAAATTACCTCTTGGTCCTTTCTTGTTTCCAAATCTGTGGTTTCCCTTACACCTGGTTTTGCTTTATTTTTCCATGTAGAGCAGAACTTCAAAGGCTGATCTCTTCTTTTTAGCCTCAATTTTTCAGCCACAGTCACTTAAAGAAACAAATACATCCCAGACCAGTAATTACTTGTGCATGTCAAGTACAAGAGTTTTGGTTGTAAAATGGCATTGTCTAAAGGGGAGGTTTGAGAAGAGCCCCGGTAATAAAAGAATTAACACATATGACTTTTTTTTTTTTTTGAAACAAGAGATGAGGGATTCAGTGAACAATCTGTGAAGATCCTTTTTTCATGAAATCCTTTTTTCCCATATTCCTTTCTTTTCAGTTTCACTGTGTTCAGGCCATTATCTTGCCTGAGTTACTGCAGTAACTTCCTAATTGGCCTTATCTCCTTCTGTTCCTTTCATTGCATCTAAAACACAATGACCAGATGAGGTGTTCTAAAATATCTCTTTCATCAAGACCCTAATTATGACCCACTAAAATACTTTCCATGGCCCTCCAGTTTGAGTAGGATAAAGTCTAATCTCCTAAACCCTTTAATTCTGACTCTAAGGACCCTCCACAATCTGCTCCTAAATGACTATTTTTCACCTTATCTTTCACTACTTTTCACCTCTGTTCTTCGATTTCTTTTAGGCCTGCCTACTTACTCTGTTCTGGGCTTTTGCATGAGTCATTCTGCATGTTTAGGACAATTTCACACTATCTGTAAATGACAGCCCAGCCCCCTGATCCCAGACACACACTCAAACCCAGCTACAGTGATGTGTCTCATCTCTGAATTATTGTGGGACTTTGTGCTATAACACTATCATTTGTACCACTCATTTCACACATCATATTCTCCACTTTGGTTTTAATTAGCATTTTATGTGTCTATATGTCTGACCTCCTTAACTTCCCATAGGTGAAGATCATCCATGTCTCTTTCCATTTATGTTTTATATCTGAAAGAATGCACCAGATGGTGCTTTATACTTTGCATTTCTCGTCACCTCTCTAATTTAGGGCCCTCCCTACCCCTTGATAGGAGTGTGGGAATAGTCTCTTGACTTGGGCTATTCTCCTTACAGTTTCTTGCAAGGTTTTCCTAAAATGCACATCTGATCATGTCACATCCTCTTTTAAAATCTGTTAAGTCTCTCTGCTGCCTTTAGGATAAAATGTAAAATCTTTTGCCTGGAATGTGAGGCTGTCCCTGGCTTAGTGCTAGCTGAGACCTCTAGCCTGGGAGGCCCTCTTGCAATCTGAACCCATCCATTTCACACTTCTGCCTGCAAGTCCCTTCATACCTCTCCCCATCCACACTGGCTCAGAGGCTACCATTGAGACAGCCAGATGGGAGGGGGTCCCCGGAAAAACTCCAACCAGCCTGCCCACTAGGGTAGAGCCTTGGGAAGTTTGTGCTGTTTGCAGAGGGGGCGGGGTGGTGGTGGGGGAGCCAGGCCCCCTCCTCTTCCTGTGTGAAACCTGGAATTCGAACTATGAGGCAGGAAGCTCTCTAGCAGGGGACTCTGGCCTTGCAGGGAGTCCCTGTTTCCCCCTTTTCTTCCTTTCACCCAGCAAAACCCTGTCTTACTCATTCAAATTGTCTGCGAGCCTGAATTTTCATTGCCGTGGGACAAAGGACCCCATCTTTAGCTGAACTAAGGAAAAGTCCTGCAACACCATCTTTCCCTAGCTGCTCTGACAGTCAGCTTCTATAGCTGCATTATGAGTTTTCCTACCCTCAGACTGAACTCTATGAAGAAATGGGCTGTGTCTTTTTTTCTATACAGACCCAGGGCCTAGCCCACTGCCATATTTAATAAACAAATGTATCGACCATTTGTGTCAACAAATATTTTTATTTTTTACTTTGATGAGTGAATCTCCTGGCCTTGTGTGAATTTCATCTTACAGTGAAGATTATTACTAGGAGTTCTAATCTCTTTCAAGGTCTACATATCCATTGCACATCAATTTTCTTCTTGAAAGCTCCCAGATTTTTTTTCTATTGTGTCATTGTCTAGCACAAAGTAGTTATCAAATAAATATCTATTCAGTAAATAGCTGGATTATTTTATGGGATTACTTTCTCTATATCCAGGGTGTTTTTTCTTTCTTTTTTTTTTTTTTTTTTCCTTAAGAAGAGTTTGCCATCCCATCCACTTTTCAGTCTAGGCAAGTAAAATCTTTTCTGGAATATCTGCCATAGTGGAGCAAGGAATGAGTCTACCCCTTCAATGCAAGATCGGTTATGCCTAGAATAGAGCTCAGTACAGAGCACGTACTCAATAAATGCATGTGGAATAAACGAATGAGGTAATAATATGTAAAATATTGACTAATTTTGTACATTCTTTTTCTTGAAACTCCTCTTTGCAAGGATATTTTTAGTTTCTCAAGTTGCTTTCAATTTTATGATTCTTTTCTTTTTGGTGCTGCTTGATAAACACGATCTTTTACTCTCTGCTCCTTAAATATTCAGTGACTTCTATAGTTTTATCAAAGGATTGTAGCAACATTTCCTCAGTAAAGCAGGATAATTTATTTTCTAATTACATTACAAATGCCAGGACTTCCCCTATCTTAATATATCATAGGGAATTCTTTTTGGTGTCTAATCCAAGAGCCTACAAAAAAAAAAAAAAAAAAAAAATTAGGGCTTGTCTTAGTCTGCTCAGGCACCATAACAAGATATTGCAGGTTGGGCAGCGTAAAGCGACAGAAATTTTTCTCACAGTTCTGGAGGCTGGGAAGTGCCAGATCAAGGTATGGTAGGGCTGGTGAGGGCTCTCTTCCTGGCTTGCAGACACTTGCCTTCTTGCAGTGTCCTCATGTGGCCTTTCGTTGGTGTGTGCATGTGGAGAGAGAGAGGGAGAGCAAGAGAGATCTCTGTGTCTCCTCCTCTTAGAAGGACACAGACCCAATTGGATCAGGGCTTCCTTGTGACTTCATTTAACCTTAATTACCTCCTTAAAGTCACCCTCTCCAAATACAGTCACATTGGTGGTTAGGGCTTCAACATATGAATTTTGGGGTGGTACACAGTTCAGTCCATACCAGGGCTGAATGGGGAATGATCTGCATGTATAACAGGGAAATTTTGAGGTATTTAAGTGACATACACTTTGTGAATGTGCTTTGAAATATCCAAAGTGTCACATAATTATAATATAAGCTGCTATCATGAGCTAATTTCTTGTTTTTTCTTTTCTTTTCTTTTCTTTTTTCTTTTTCTTTTTTTTTTTTTTTTTTTTTGAGACAGGGTCTCACTCTGTCACCCAGGCTGGAGTACAGCGGTGCAATCTCGGCTTACTGCAACCTCCACCTCCGGGGTTCAAGTAATTCTCGTGCCTCAGTGTCCTGAGTAGCTGGGATTACAGGCATGTACCACCATGCCCAGCTAATTTTTGTATTTTTAGTAGAAATGGGGTTTCGCCATATTGACCAGGCTGGCCTCAAATTCCTGTCCTCAAGTGATCCGCCCACCTCGTCTTCCCAAAGTGTTGGGATTACAGGCGTGAGCCACTGTACCCTGACAGATGAGCTAGTTTCTTTAGTGAAGCTAGATAATACTACCCTCTACCTGTTGCCTTTCCAGGAAAACTTCTACATTCAGTTTTAAACTTTTCCCTATTTTCAAGCTGAATATTCTTAACTAAAAAAAGAAAAAAAACTTCCTCCTATATCCTATTTCCAGTTCTTTTTTTTTTTTTTTTTTTCCTTCAGACAGAGTCTCACGCTGTTGCCCAGGCTGGAGTGCAGTGGTACAATTTCGGCTCATGGCAACCTCTGCCTCCTGGGTTCAAGTGATTCTCCTGCCTCAGCCTCCCTAGTAGCTGGGACTACAGGTGCCTGGCACCACGCCCAGCTAATTTTTATATTTTTAGTAGAGACGGGGTTTTACCGTGTTGGCCAGGCTGGTCTCAAACTCCTGACTTCAGGTGATCCACCTCCCTCGGTTTCCCAAAGTCCTGGGATTATAGGTGTGAGCCACCCCGCCTGGCCCCGGTTCTTAATTGAACCTTTAAAACTTTTCATTTCCAGGTTTGAGCCATTAGTCATTGATAGAAACACAGATACTTTAGAGTGTAGTGAAGTTTTTAAGTTTTCCAGATCTTGGTTGAATTATGTAGTTCAGAATGTGGACTTCACATGTCCCGTGCTAGCAGTTTAGCCTGGGCAGATGTGAATAAAAAGGAGGGCAGAGAGGTGAGAATAGAAAAAAAATTTCCAGGACACAGGGAAAGTCTAACAAAGACTAGCTTCACGTCTCAATTTCCAGTGCATGATGCAGATTTAGAACTTTGAAAGTATCTAAATTTTCTTCCAGATTTTATTATACCTTTTGGGACATAGCCACAGTGAGTAGAATATCCTGAATGTTAAAGAAAAACCAGAACTCTTATGTATATATTTTTGGAGTCCCAGATGTGACTATCATTAATAATTAGGCCATATAATTATAATGTCAATGAAGTTTTAGAGGCAGGTTTAAAACCTGTTGTTTTCTTAGTTCTTAAGAGTAATAGTTGAGTGTTATTTTAGCTTATTGGAGGGTCATAAGTCAAGGGAGACATTGTATAGAGATTTAATTCAAAATCCATTGGTAATCTAAGCCAAGTTTATACAATTAGAGAAAATTTTATGATTTGGAAGTTAGAAACAAGAATGTCTTTTTTTTTTTAAGTATGCAACTATGCTCTCTAATTTACTTTGCATTTTCCTGGAAGGATTATGTCATAAAAATTGCATTTCTTTCTTTTTTTTTTTTTGCTCATATTTTCTTCTATAGCTTTCTTTCCATTCATGGTTGTCAGGCCTGCTTTGTGGCCTTTTTCTCTTTTGTACAGAATCACATGCAATGCTGCTTGCACAAAGATATCTAAATTTCTGTCTGAAGGACCTATTGCTTTTGTGAAATGCCTCCAGACTCTATTTGGTTCCAAGGACAAGAAGTAGGAAGTCATGTTTTTTGCTTCTTTATATTTTTGATTTTTCCTTTTGTGGCTATATCAATTGTAACAAAGTCAGCTTCTTTTTTTGTTTTTTTCGAATAGAGATAAGGTTTGCCTATATTGCCCAGGTTGGTCTTGAACTCCTCGGCTCAAGCCATCCTCCCATCTCAGCTTCCTAAAGTGCTGGGATTACAGGTATGAGCCACCATACCAGGCCACAAAGGAATATTTAACCATTTGAATTAAGCTTTGTATCATTGCATCCTTAGAATTATAAAGGTGTTAGAATTTGCCTGTGTTTAGCAAACCAGGAAAGAGAGTATGGATTTAGAAAAAAAGAATACAGGAAAAAACCTTAAAAACCATTCTATTATTCTTAACACTGTCATTTTTGATAGAATCAATTTCCCATAAACAAAGTGATTGAAATATTTATTTTTGTTGTGTAATTGTGTGAGGCCTTTGATGATAAGTGGCATTTCTTGATCATGTTTAAATCCTCCAGAATCTGGGGCTTTGACTGTAAAGTATAAGACAGAAGTAGAAATTACCTTCACAGTTACCTGACACGTATACACCTTTATTCATGAAACATTGGGTCTGGACATGACATTGCATCAGGCCGTGTGGATTTCAGAAAAAGTGAAAAACCACTTTTCTGGATGTGTTTCATGTTCATCCTAGGATGCATGAGGGCCTCGGTTGGATGTAAAAGTGTTTATGAGGGAGAAGAGGCAGAAGGAAGGGAAGAGATGAATATAAGGTTAGGAACACCCGGCGTCTCCTTGTTAGAGTGCAGGGAGAGATCCCATTCCTGAAATATAGGTTGAGGCAGGATTGTTGAAGGAGTAGTTATCGTAGTTTCAAATGTGCATAATTTGGGCATCTATAAATCCAAAACAAACATTTCTAGATGATACCACTTTTGAGATCTTAATTATTGACTTAACAAACATGTTTTAAAGTGTTTACTATGTGCCGCGCACATTGCTAGGAGGTGGGATTAATGAGGAATAAAGCACAGATGACCCCCGATGCCCTGCGGCTTGTAGTTAGCCTGACAGGCAGCAGACAATGTTAGAGCAACAAGCTCTGTATATGAGATAATACATCTAATGTTCTAAATGGGAGAAATGCCAGATAGAGGGAAATGCTGTGTTAATATCAGAGGGTAACAAACTCAGGTTTAGGAGGGAAAGGAATTGAACACGAGTCATACTATTTTATTAGTTGTTAAAAACTTCACTGAATCATTGATTTCAAGAGTGATTTATAATCTTTGTTTAATAATAGAGGCTATACATCTTATTTTTAAGTTTGTCCACTTCTGTATGTCTGTTTTCTTTATTCACTATTTGCCTATCAGTATTCCAGAAAATACCACAAAAAATTAAGTCAAACCATCTAAATCGCTTAACAGCCATTTAAATAAGGAAATAAAGACGTCCTCAGCAGAAAAAAAACAAAACACAAAAGGAAATCAAACCACAGTATTCTATATAAAACATTGCAAATGTTCAAGTATAGAAGAGTGTTGTTCAGCTTATTAATTTCAAAATGGTTAAAAAAAATCAGTATCTTAAAAATTTGTATACATTAAAAATTCATAAATATGTTTTTACTATTTCGATTTTCAATGCTTAAGAAGATTAAAGAGTTTGAAAGTGAAACTCTGGCCGTGGTTCCTTCATCTCTTTTCCTGCCTCCAACCTGTGTGTGATACTTTTGAATTTCTTTTTATTTTTTACTTTACGTTCTGGGATACATGTGCAGAATGTGCAAGTTTGTTACATAGGTATACATGTGCCATGGTGGTTTGCTGTACCTATCAATCCGTCACCTAGGTTTTAAACCCCGCATGCATTAGGTATTTGTCCTAATGCTCTTCCTCCGCTTTTCCCCCATCCCCCAACAGGCCCTAGTGTGTGATGTTCCCCTCCCTGTGTCCGTGTGTTCTCGTTGTATGACTCCCACTTAGGAATGAGAACATGCAGTGTTTGGTTTTCTGTTCCTGGGTTAGTTTGCTGAGAATGGAAGTTCTGGCCAGGGCAATCAGGCAAGACAAAGAAATAAAGGGTATTCAAATAGGAAAAGAGGAAGTCAATACTTTTGAATTTTAAATTTTTCATGACAGGGCCCAAAATATTCAGGAAATATTTTGCCTTTTAAAAACATACATGCATCTGAAATAGCTGTCTTTGCACATGTGACATATGTGTTTGCCACGTATGTGTAGAGTGCACATATGTGTTTGAGGACAGAGCTAGTGAAAGGAAAAGAGAAACATTGGTTTTAGTGCTGTTTGGTTTCCACCTTTGGCGTTCTTGGCCCAGTCTGTGTTAACGACAAACCACTGGGACATCCCCTCAGTGCTGTGGGGTCTTTTCCTGCCAAATATTGTTCTCTTGCAAGATTAAATAGCTGAATCAGTGTGGCCCGAATCTTGATCCTGCTGAGAATATTAAGAATCCTGCAGGTTGTAATACAGATTAGCTGGTGAGAGCTCTGTTGGAGAAATAAAGTGAGTTTCTCTAAATGAATTTAACAACTGCTGTGAACCTTTTTGTGTCCTCCAGCGTGAGTGTGTGTCTGTTGGCAGTTAACCATTTATTCCCCTCATTTTCTCCAAAACTTGTTCTTGTCCACCCCTGTGCCTTTATTGTAAACACTTCCATAACTATTTCACATTCAAGTTTTGCCAGATAAGGCATTTGATACATTAAATAACTGAGTACTGTGAAGGGTAAGCCATTATTTACTTGATTTACTTAAGGGAGAAAATAATATTTTTTGGTATTTATAAAAGGAAAGGACTAGTGTCATGGGTATAATGAAATAAACCACACCACTGGGTTATTTGGAGTAAACTGACTAGCATATTGGATTCTGATCCTAGGCTTTATGTTATTGGTTGAAAGGCATGAAATATTTAGCAAGAGGCCGGACAGATGGTTAAGATTATTTACATTGCTTCTAACCTCTATCCCATTATTATTTCTGCTTCCAGGGTTAGATGCAAACCATTAAAGACTCTAAATTCCATAAAAAAGATGATACTTCCCCCTAAATGAAAGAAATTTAAAAATAGGAACAACACTCAACTCTAAAGCTTGTCCAACCCATGGCCCTTGGGCCACATGCGACCCAGGACAGCTTTGAATGTGGCCCAGCACAAATCCATCAACTTTCTTAAAACATTATGAGATTTATACATGTACCTTTTGTTAGTGTTAACATATTTTTTTGTGTGGCCCAGGGAATCCTAAAGATTGGACACCCCTGCTCTAAAGCATAAGACATACAGATAACCTGAAAATAATTCGGTGTTTGTTAGATTGTCTGATTGCAGACTTCTGTGTAAGTTTGTTGAATTCTTTTCTATTTTGGGTGCCCCTTACCTCACTTACGCATGAAGCATGTGCTCAGTCTGCTATGAAGCCGTCCTTCCATCTGCTTCCTACACTATTACCCTTTTGTCTCCTGACACTGTGTGTGTGTGTGTGTGTGTGTGTGTGTGTGTGTGATTTCTCAGTAAAAATGTCAATGGCTGTGATTTGTAAATAGCAAAGCCTGGCACAATGATAATAAACAACTATGAAGCTCATCAGTGCTGTTTTACTTTTGCAGATTACTCCATCGATTATTACTGTGACTGTTACAATTATATCTTTAGAAGTTAAATATTTAGTTAAATTATTTTGTAGTTGTCATACATACACCAAAAACTGGGAGGTAGTGGGGTGGGGAGGGGAATGTTGTCCTAAGAGAAGGCACAAGAAGAGGGGAGCAGGTGAGTTTGACACTTTCTAGCCTGCCCTCATACAATAGCCTATGTTTTGCTGTTCTAGCCAATGAGGATATGAGGATGTCAGACAAAGTACCTTCTCATCTTAAATCTGTGCTGCCTGAATACTTTGAAAGTTACCCTACAACTCCCCTAATGCTCTCTGTGAAACACTCAGGGCTAGCACCGAGGCATTCTGACCTCTAGTCCAGGTTGCCTTTTGTTTTCGACATATGACTCTTTGAAACTCACATCCACAGGCATTGCTGAAATTCCCAGTCATTCAGAAACAGACTTTCAAGGTGTATTCAAAAAAGGACTCATTAAGTATTAAACTGTAAATCCTTCAGATATCATCAGCATCATCCTATTCTCAGGATGCACCCTGTACTCCTGGTTATTTTTTAGGGGACCTTTGTATGTCTCACTACCAAATTCTTTGGAGTCAGTCAGTTTCTGGGGATCTTGGGGTGGTGAGCCTCCTGGCACTTGTATGGGTTCCACAGAAGTAGCTATTAACGATTCAAAAAAACCCATCAGTTTAGGAGGCAAAAAAATAAATGTTATCCTTTGTTAAATGCTGCCAGGATTTCCACATCTAGAATCCCTGATTCCAGCCTCCTGATATTAAGACTCTACCCCACTTTTAGATTGTGAACTATATTACACATACAAAACAGTTGATAGAAAATATGTCCAGTTTAAAGAATAATAAAACGGGACTGGCGCGGTGTTTGAGACCAGCCTGGCCAACAGCGTGGTGAAACCTCGTCTCTACCAAACATACAAATGTTATCTGGGTGTGGTGACGTGCACCTGTAGTCCCAGCTGCTTGGGAAGCTGAGGTGGGAGAATTGCTTGAACTCAGGAAGCAGAGGTTGCAGTGAGCTGAGATCACACTACTGCACTTCAGCCTGGGTGACAGAGCGAGATCCTGTCTCAAAACCAACAAACAAACAAAAAACAAAAATAATAAAATGGGTAGCCACGTAGCTACTCCTGGCTCAAGAAATGGAATATTTGAAAAACCTCTGAAGGTCTTTGTGTGTTCCTTGACTCAGCTTCATCCTGCTAACTACCAGTAGCACGAGGGCCACAGCTTCTTGAAAACATAGATTTTCATAGTGAGCTCCTGAAAAGATGAAAAGATTATTTGAAAATCCAATTTCCATGTGCAGAAACAACATGTAGACTTTGGAGGAAACACGATGGGCTCCTTGCTCATACAGCCTATGAGGGCTGCCTCTCACCTTCGTTGTCCTCATTTAGCTGTTCAAGACTCAAGCAGGGGCCTGTCAATCATCTGTGCATCCCTGTTCGTACATAGATGACACCCACATACCCGAATAGAGGGAAGAGATGAGAACGAACATTCATGAAGGGCTCTTGTGTGTCGGGCCATCTTTCATGTTTGTTATTTCACTTATTTTTAGCAACAATCCCTGGAAATACTTGTCATTATTCTCATTTCACTGATGAGCAAACTGGCATTTAGAGAGGATAAATGAATTATTTAATTGCATACAATCAGTAAAGAACAGAGCTGGGACTGGAGTCCAAGTTTGTTGGTTTGTTTTTCTTTTTTCTGACCTCAAAGTCCAGTACTTGAATCCTCTACACCAGGATTTTGGGAGCATTGATTATATGTTATATCTGGAGCCCTTGTGCCACAGAGCAAATGTCCAAAGATTTTGGTTTCTTTTTGTCGGTACGGAAGCTAGTGTGTTCTTAAACGGCATTTTGGGATCTGCATGGTGAGTATTAGGACCAAATTTTGAAATTCCAAGTTTCTTAACACTGGGAACCAGACTTTCTTCTCATCCCTAAGGAGAATCTCACTCAGATGTTCCTTTATGTGCTGGGATATAAGAAGGCTTTGCATTTTTCCAGACAATTTACCTGTGGTTTATTCACGTGATGCATGATGTTATTAAGGGTTGATGCTTTTTCTCCTTCAGAATATGCTTACTTTACTTGTTCCTCCATTCTCTGAAGGTACCTTTTCTGAGCTTGACACTATCTTAGGAGCTGAGGGTACAAGATCTAAGCACAGCCGTCAATGCAGAACACAGAACGTAGCCTGGTAAGTGTGTTAAGAGTGGGAATTTTTGGAGTACAGAGTAAGGCACCTAACCCTAGCTGGGGTTTGGTGACGGTCCCAGATGGCTTACAGAAGAAAGTGTCCTGAGATGAGTTTTTAAGAATGAATAAGGATAGACACAAGTGAGGACTGACTTGGCAGTGGTGAATGGTGGGTGGCAAAAAACTTCGCATGTAGGGAAACTGCACGTACAGGAATGAAGAATGAGACTGTGTGGTGTTTAATGAGCTGCAAATACTAATTTTATCCTGAAAGTTTTGAAGAGTAACTAAAAAGTATTTTTTAGTAAGGAAATAACCCTACATTTCAGGGTTATTGTTTGTTTAAATATTGAGAGTGCTTAATCTAGTCCTGTGGTCAACTTGGCCCTTATGTGGATTGGATTTCACTCTAATTGTCATATGGGATCTTGTGGCCTCTTATGTCTGACTGTTGAGCCGGGTATGATTATGGCACTAGGATTTGTACATGTCTGCTTTTGGAGAATAAAAGGGAAACAATTATGATTTCTTGTATCTCTGTATGTCGAAGCAATGCCAATTAAACAACTAACTTAGGCACTTTTATTGCATTGATTTAGAATTGAATGACAAATGTTGAGCAAAGGTGTCTGTGTGGTTTGTAAATTGGGCAATGGTGTGCTCACGCTCCAACTGTGATACAAGCCTGGGATAGCTAGTCTCAGACATGCTCTCAGGTTGGCAGGTGTGAGAGAGTGCAAACCCATATAAATATGTATGCCTTTAGCCTTGCATGCTGCATTAGTTCTCATACAAATATAGAGAGAAATGCTACATTAGTTCTCATGCAAACACAGAAAATCTCAGTTAACCTAAAATGTCTGCAATGTGGGGTGTTCTGGTAAACCAATTATTATATTTAATTTTATTTATTTATATAATTTATTTTATTTTATTATGAGACAGGGTCTTGGTCTTGTCGCCCAGGCTGGAGTGCAGTCACGTGATCTTGGCTCAGTGCACCCTCCGCCTCCCAGGTTCACGTGATTCTCCTGCTTCAGCCTTCCAAGTAGCTGGGATTACAGGCACCCGTCACCAGGCCTGGCTAATTTTTGTACTTATAGTAGAGACGGGGTTTCACCAGGGTGGCAAGGCTGGTCTTGAACTCCAGACCTCAGGTGACCTGCCTGCCTCGGCCTCCCAAAGTGCTGGGATTACAGGCATTGAGCCACTGCGCCCGGCCTATATTTAACTATATTTAAATACAAGTTAAGCCTTAACTTTTATTGTTTTTATTGACTGTGTGTCTGAAAGTTAGATGGTGAACCATAAGGTAGCTAACTTTGACTCCAAAACTTAACCGCCTCTTGTTCATTAAACAGACCAGAGACTAGACCGTAGACATTGATTGACTAGCATAGGTCATTTTAGTGGATACAGACGACCCAAGAGATGGCCCTGGGTCCCTGTTGTCCTCAGGACACTGTCTGGAATTACCATGTTTTGCCAGCTTATGAGGATGCTTGCTTGAGGCCATTTACCTTTGACTCTTAAAGTCAGAATACAGAGAAGTAGGATCCTAGTAACTGAATAGTTTTGAACGACTTAGTTTTACGTGTGTAAGGAATCGAGGACTTGATCCTAGTTAAAAGCAAAGGAAGTTGGCTTTGCATTGTAGCAGGACATGTGGGTAAGAAACAAGAAATAACTTCCTATGCTATATGGATTATGTGATAAATTCGTAAGGCTCTTTCAACTTTTTTTTTTATTATTATACTTTAACTTTTAGGGTACATGTGCACAACATGCAGGTTAGTTGCATATGTATACATGTGCCATGTTGGTGTGCTGCACCCATTAACTCGTCAATTAACATTAGGTATATTCCTAATGCTATCCCTCCCCACTCTCCCCAACCCACCACAGGCCGCGGTGTGTGATGTTCCCCTTCCTGTGTCCATGTGTTCTCATTGTTCGGTTCCCACCTATGAATGAGAACATGCGGTGTTTGGTTTTTTGTCCTTGTGATAGTTTGCTGAGAATGATGGGTTTCCAGCTTCATCCATGTCCCTACAAAGGACGTGAACTCATCAATTTTTATGGCTGCATAGTATTCCATGGTGTATATGTGCCACATTTTCTTAATCCAGTCTTTCATTGTTGGACATTTGGCTTGGTTCCAAGTCTTTGCTATTGTGAATAGTGCCGCAATAAACATACGTGTGCATGTGTCTTTATAGCAGCATGATTTATAATCCTTTGGGTATATACCCAGTAATGGGATGGCTGGGTCAAATGGTATTTCTAGTTCTACATCCCTGAGGAATCACCACACTGACTTCCACAATGGTTGAACTAGTTTACAGTCCCACCAACAGTGTAAAAGTGTTCCTATTTCTCCACATCCTCTCCAGCACCTGTTGTTTCCTGACTTTTTACTGATCGCCATTCTAACTGGTGTGAAATGGTATCTCATTGTGGTTTTGATTTGCATTTCTCTGATGGCCAGTGATGATGAGCATTTTTTCATGTGTCTTTTGGCTGCATAAATGTCTTCTTTTGAGAAGTGTCTATTCATATCCTTCACCCACTTTTTGATGGGGTTGTTTGTTTTTTTCTTGTACATTGTTTAAGTTCATTGTAGATTCTGGATATTAGCCCTTTGTCAGATGAGTAGATTGCAGAAATTTTCTCCCATTCTGTAGGTCACCTGTTCACTCTGATGGTAGTTTCTTTTGCTGTGCAGAAGCTCTTTAGTTTAATTAGGTCCCATTTGCCAATTTTGGCTTTTATTGCCATTGCTTTTGGTGTTTTAGACATGAAGTCCTTGCCCATGCCTATGTCCTGAATGGTATTCCCTAGGTTTTCTTCTAGGGTTTTTATGGTTTTAGTTCTGACATTTAAGTCTTTAATCCATCTTGAATTAATTTTTGTATAAGGTGTAAGGAAGGGATCCAGTTTCAGCTTTGTACATATGGCTAGCCAGTTTTCCCAGCACCATTTATTAAATAGGGAATCGTTTCCCCATTTCTTGTTTTTGTCAGGTTTGTCAAAGAACAGATGGTTGTAGATATGCGGCATTATTTCTGAGGGCTCTGTTCTGTTCCATTTGTCTATATCACTGTTTTGGTACCAGTACCATGCTGTTTTGGTTACTGTAGCCTTTTAGTATAGTTTGAAGTCAGGTAGCGTGATGCCTCCAGCTTTGTTCTTTTGGCTTAGGATTGACTTGGCAAGGTGGGCTCTTTTTTGGTTCCATATGAACTTTAAAGTAGTTTTTTCCAATTCTGTGAAGAAAGTCATTGGTAGCTTGATGGGGATGGCATTGAATCTACAAATTACCTTGGGCAGTGTGGCCATTTTCACAATATTGATTCTTCCTACCCATGAGCATGGAATGTTCTTCCATTTGTTTGTATCCTCTTTTATTTCATTGAGCAGTGGTTTGTAGTTCTCCTTGAAGAGGTCCTTCACATCCCTTGTAAGTTGGATTCCTAGGTATTTTATTCTCTTTGAAGCAATTGTGAATGGGACTTCACTCATGATTTGGCTCTCTGTTTGTCTGTTATTGGTGTATAAGAATGCTTGTGATTTTTGCACATTGATTTTGTATCCTGAGACTTTGCTGAAGTTGCCTATTAGCTTAATTAAGGAGGTTTTGGGCTGAGACGATGGGGTTTTCTAGATATACAATCATGTCATCTGCAAACAGGGACAATTTGACTTCCTCTTTTCCTACTTGAATACCCTTTATTTCCTTCTCCTGCCTGATTGCCCTGGCCAGAACTTCCAACACTATGTTGAATAGGAGTGATGAGAGAGGGCATCCCTGTCTTGTGCCAGTTTTCAAAGGGAATGCTTCCACTTTTTGCCCATTTGGTATGATATTGGCTGTGGGTTTGTCATAGATAGCTCTTATTATTTTGAGATATGTCCCATCAGTACCTAATTGATTGAGAGTTTTTAGCATGAAGGTTGTTGAATTTTGTCAAAGGCCTTTTCTGCATCTATTGAGATAATCATGTGGTTTTTGTCTTTGGTTCTGTTTATGCTGGATTACGTTTATTGATTTGCGTATGTTGAACCGGCCTTGCATCCCAGGGATGAAGCCCACTTGATCATGGTGGATAAGCTTTTTGAAGTGCTGCTGGATTTGGTTTGCCAGTATTTTATTGAGGATTTTTGCATCAATGTTCATCAGGGATATTGGTCTAAAATTCCCTTTTTTTGTTGTGTCTCTGCCAGGCTTTGGTATCAGGATGATGCTGGCCTCGTAAAATGAGTTAGGGAGGATTCCCTCTTTTTCTATTGATTGGAATAGTTTCAGAAGGAATGGTACCAGCTCCTTCTTGTACCTCTGGTAGAATTCGGCTGTGAATCCATCTGGTCCTGGACTTTTTTTGGTTGGTAAGCTATTAATTATTGCCTCAATTTCAGAGCCTGTTATTGGTCTATTCAGAGATTCAACTTCTTCCTGGTTTAGTCTTGGGAGTTTGTATGTGTTGAGGAATTTATCCATTTCTTCTAGATTTTCTAGTTTATTTGCGTAGAGGTGTTTATAGTATTCTCTGATGGTAGTTTGTATTTCTGTGGGATTGGTGGTGATATCCCCTTTATCATTTTTTATTGTGTCTATTTGATTCTTCTCTCTTTTCTTCTTTATTAGTCTTGCTAGCAGTCTATCAATTTTGTTGATCTTTTCAAAAAACCAGCTCCTTGTGTTCATTGATTTTTGAAGGGTTTTTTGTGTCTCTATTTCCTTCAGTTCTACTCTGATCTTAGTTATTTCTTGCCTTCTGCTAGCATTTGAATGTGTTTGCTCTTGCTTTTCTAGTTCTTTTAATTGTGATGTTAGGGTGTCAATTTTAGATCTTTCCTGCTTTCTCTTGTGGGCATTTAGTGCTATAAATTTCCCTCTACACACTGCTTTGGATGTGTCCCAGAGATTCTGGTATGTTGTATCTTTGTTCTCGTTGGTTTCAAAGAACATCTTTATTTCTGCCTTCATTTCGTTATGTACCCAGTAGTCATTCAGGAGCAGGTTGTTCAGTTTCCATGTAGTTGAGCGGTTTTGATTGAGTTTCTTAATCCTGAGTTCTAGTTTGATTGCACTGTGGTCTGAGAGATAGTTTGTTATAATTTCTGTTCTTTTACATTTGCTGAGGAGTGCTTTACTTCCAACTATGTGGTCAATTTTGGAATAGGTGTGGTGTGATGCTGAGAAGAATGTATATTCTGTTGATTTGGGGTGGAGAGTTCTGTAGATGTCTATTAAGTCCGCTTGGTGCAGAGCTGAGTTCAATTCCTGGGTATCCTTGTTAACTTTCTGTCTCGTTGATCTGTCTAATATTGACAGTGGGTTGTTAAAGTCTCCCATTATTATTGTGTGGGAGTCTAATTCTCTTTCTGGGTCTCTAAGGACTTGCTTTATGAATCTGGGTGCTCCTGTATTGGGTGCATATATATGTAGGATAGTTAGCTCTTTTTGTTGAATTGATCCCTTTACCATTATGTAATGGCCTTCTTTGTCTCTTTTGATCTTTGTTCATTTAAAGTCTGCTTTATCAGAGACTAGGATTGCAACCCCTGCCTTTTTATATTTTCCATTTGCTTGGTAGATCTTCCTCCATCCCTTTATTTTGAGCCTATGTGTGTCTCTGCACGTGAGATGGGTTTCCTGAATACAGCACACGGATGGGTCTTGACTCTTTATCCAATTTGCCAGTCTGTGCCTTTTAATTGGAGCATTTAGCCCATTTACGTTTAAGGTTAATATTGTTATGTGTGAATTTGATCCTGTCATTATGATGTTAGTTGGTTATTTTGCTCATTAGTTGATGCAGTTTCTTCCTAGCCTCGATGGTCTTTACAATTTGGCATGTTTTTGCAGTGGCTGGTACCAGTTGTTCCTTTCCAAGTTTCGTGCTTCCTTCAGGAGCTCTTTTAGGGCAGGCTTGGTGGTGACAAAATCTCTCAGCATTTGCTTGTCTGTAAAGTATTTTATTTCTCCTTCACTTAAGAAGCTTAGTTTGGCTGGATATGAAATTCTGGGTTGAAAATTCTTTTCTTTAAGAATGTTGAATATTGGCCCCCACTCTCTTCTGGCTTGTAGAGTTTCTGCTGAGAGATCAGCTGTTAGTCTGATGGGCATCCCTTTGTGGGTAACCTGACCTTTCTGGCTGCCCTTAACCTTTTTTCCTTCATTTCAACTTTGGTGAATCTGACAGTTATGTGTCTTGGAGTTGCTCTTCTTGGGGAGTATCTTTGTGGTGTTCTCTGTATTTCCTGAATCTGAATGTTGGCCTGCCTTGCTAGATTGGGGAAGTTCTCCTGGATAATATCCTGCAGAGTGTTTTCCAACTTGGTTCCATTCTCCCCATCACTTTCAGGTACACCAAGCAGACATAGATTTGGTCTTTTCACATAGTCCCATATTTCTTGGAGGTTTTGTTCATTTCTTTTTATTCTTTTTTCTCTAAACTTCTCTTCTTGCTTCATTTCATTCATTTGATGTTGCATCACTGATATCCTTTCTTCCAGTTGATCGCATCGGCTACTGAGGCTCGTGCATTCGTCACGTAGTTGTTGTGCGATGGTTTTCAGCTCCATCAGGTCCTTTGAGGACTTCTTTGCATTGGTTATTCTAGTTAGCCATTCGTCTAATTTTTTTTCAAGTTTTTAACTTCTTTGCCATGGGTTCGAACTTCCTCCTTTAGCTCAGAGTAGTTTGATTGTCTGAAGCCTTCTTCTCTCAACTCGTCAAAGTCATTCTCCATCCAGCTTTGTTCCGTTGTTGGTGAGGAGCTGCATTCCTTTTAAGGAGAAGAGGCGCTCTGATTTTTAGAATTTTCAGCTTTTCTGCTCTGGTGTCTCCCCATCTTTGTGGTTTTATCTACCTTTGGTCTTTGATGATGGTGATGTACAGATGGGTTTTTGGTGTGGATGTCCTTTCTGTTTGTTAGTTTTCCTTCTAACAGTCAGGACCCTCAGGTGCAGGTCTGTTGGAGTTTACTGGAGGTCCACTCCAGACCGTGTTTCCCTGGGTATCAGCAGCGGAGGCTGCAGAACAGCAGACATTGGTGAGCAGCAAATGTTGCTGCTTGATCGTTCCTCTGCAAGTTTTGTCTCAGAGGAGTACCCAGCCGTGTGAGGTGTCAGTCTGCCCCTACTGGGGGGTGCCTCCCAGCTAGGCTACTCGGGGGTCAGGGACCCACTTTAGGAGGTAGTCTGTCCATTCTCAGATCTCCAGCTGTGTGCTGGGAGAACCACTACTGTCTTCAAAGCTGTCAGACAGGGACATTTAAGTCTGTGGAGGATTCTGCTGCCTTTTGTTTGGCTATGCCCTGCCCCGAGAGGTGGAGTCTACAGAGGCAGGCAGGCCTCCTTGAGCTGAGGTGGGCTCCACCCAGTTCAAGCTTCCTGGCCGCTTTGTTTACCTACTCAAGCCTGGGCAATGGCGGGCGCCCCTCCTCCACCCTTGCTGCCGCCTTGCAGTTTGATCTCAGACTGCTGTGCTAGCAATGAGCGAGGCTCCATGGGTGTAGGACCCTCTGAGCCAGGCACAGGATATGATCTCCTGGTGTGCCGTTTGCTAAAACCGTCGGAAAAGTGCTGTATTAGGGTGGGAGTGACCCGATTTTCCAGGTGCCATCTGTCACCCCTTTCTTTGACTAGGAAAGGGAATTCCCTGACCCCTTGTGCATCCTGGGTGAGGCGATGCCTCACCCTGCTTCAGCTCACGCTTGGTGCACTGCACCCACTGTCCTGCACCCACTTTCTGACACTCCCCAGTGAGATGAACCCAGTCCCCCAGTTGGAAATGCAGAAATCATCTGTTTTCTGCGTCACTCACACTGGGAGCTGTAGACTGGAGCTGTTCCTATTCGACCATCTTGTCTCCACCCCCTGGCTCTTTCAACTTTTGAAGTGACCTGTTTCAGCTGAACATTGTACCTCAATCACTATGCCTGTTTTCTCCTACATCTCTCATGGGAATGATAATATCTGATGCTTATTTTAAGTTGGGAGGATGAATGAATGCATGATGGAAAAGCCCTTTGCGTGACTCAGAAGAAAGTTGCTGTTAAATAAAAATATGAAATCGAGCTTTCTCAGTGGAGATGGGTACACCAAGGGGTGATTGGCTTTCCTTTTGGGTCTTTAAGAATTTTATTAACATGTAATTGAGAGACATGGGAAAACCAGTTTAGCATGGTTTGGGAGAGTTGGGGAAGTCTGTGTGCCCTCATGTAGGGCAGGAGAAAGCTGAGCCTGTGTCATTGGGCTGCACTTGGCAGGTGCAATTTTAAATCCTTCCAGATCACACATCGAAAGCAAAGTGGTGGTATTTATTCCTAATGATTCCAAAATGTTTTGCTTTGAAATGCGGATTAATACCAGGCAAAAAACGGGATGTTTGATGAAAGGTCCCATTTCCTTCTTATGCTTTTGTTCTTTTTAAGAGTATGTGATATGAGCTAGTGTTTATGTTGCTGCTGAAAAGGAATCGACCCAAGCTTATTCATAAGGTGGGAGATGTTCAAGCCTGTTGAACAGTGTTGGATTACCAGGTCATTTGCAAGGTCAGAAAAGGCAATAATTAGAACAGGCAGAAATTAAACTATAATGAGTGGTAATCCTAAAGAAAATTGAAACACAGAAAACACTGCATTATTTATTTAGATTCAGTGAGAAGTTGCCAAGAAAGAGGCAGCTGGCCTTCTGCTTTTTGGAATGTTTGTACACTAGAGAAGGAGCTGTCCCTTGGATTTAAGCTCTCACTTAATTCTTGCTCTAAGGCCAGACCTAATTGTAAAAGGAAGTGGGGAACAGACATAGTTAATTATGTGATTCAGGACAGAAAAGACATGGGCCAGAGTGACAAGCAGACTGAATTTGGATTCTGCTTATACAGATTTCATAATCTTTGTCCACCATTTTTTAGGTTCCATTTGCAATAGCCTGTTAGGCATAAACAGCTGATTTGAGAGACAGACTAGACCTGAGTTCTGATGCCCACATCTTTTTTTTATTGCCCCTTTTACCGTAGGAAATAGAGTAATAAAGTGATTCTGTTTCATTCACTTTATTATGTCTAAGTTTCCACATCTGTAAAATGGAAATGAAAATATTTGCAGAGTTTTTATGAGAATTAAATATTAGCTCTTAGAATATGAGTAAAAGATTTGTCATTGTGCTTAATAATTGGTAGTTTTGTTATTATTATGCAATAAACTGAAAATGGAGGAAAGATTTTGGCATGGAAATGCTTTAATTAGTCATGTCATTTTGAATTTGTAGAAGTAGCAGCAGTATTTCCAGTCTTCAAATTTATTGCCATTTGCAACAGTTTATTTTATATTTATTTGGATTTTTTAGAAGGCACGTTATTTTGATTACCATCCCTTACAGTTTTAGATATAATATCTTTATTAAATAGTGCTGCAATTTTTTTCTGGGAGCTAATGTCCATTATAGAACTTCCAGTGATAAGAGTGGAAGTTGGGCCTATAATGATTCTCATGTATTGAAGGTGAAAAAAATTCTTCTTAGATTATTATTTCACAAATGAGCTATTTTGCAATTTAAACTCAGGACCCTAAGATTTTTAGATAATTTCCTAATGATTCTTTGCATCCTTACAAGCATTGTGATAAGCATCAAGATTATTTAAGATGGGATGGAGAAAACCGTGTATTTCTTCTGAAATTCTGTATTTTAATTTAAAGAGGTAACAGTGTTTTAATTCTGCTTCCATTTCATTAAAAGGCACAGATTCCAGAATCAGTCTCTCATTGCACAGTATCCTTGCAAAGGAGGAGATCTGCCAAAGTCCGTGTGATTTCCAGGCGATGCAAATATTTTAAGGCTCACTACCGAGGGGAGCATGTTCTTGGGGGTGTTCTCAGTTCTGTTATCTGCATTCTTCCATGTGGTGCTTAGTGAATTCGATGAAGAGATGCTGATAATCGTCTGCTGCCTTACTTGATATTAGCGTCACTTGTAGGCTCACAGTTGCCAGTTGTCGTGTTAAGCACAGTCTTGAGAAGATTCAAAATTTCTGTTATTTTTTATCCAGAAATGAATCTATGTTGTGATCTTTGTTATTGATACCCATGTTGTGTATTATACAAAATCTCCATCTGAGAGGAGATGGTGGATGCTTCCTCGGGGTGACTTTTATAATGCTTACCACACTGTGTTGAAGGACTGATTGAATTTCCTCTCTTTCTAGCCAGGTAGACTGTGGTTCTTTGAGCTCAGGGAATGTGGCCAGTCATATTTTTAACCCTAGCACCAGACATGGTACCTGGCATGTATTGGCCTTCAGTAAGTGTTTTAACGAATAAATAAAATCGTGTGGCACTTTGCTTCACTATTGCACAGCATGCCAGTTTATTTCCAGATTCATTTCCAATCACAACTCTTGACCTATCGTGATACTGTCCTAGATCTCTCTTCCCATTTTGTTCCTGCTAGAAATGTTGCTATGTCTTAAAGATTTGTCTGTTAATGAAATAGTAGGTGCATTTTATGTGCTGTGGTTGCACCTTGTATGAGTCAGGAAGTTAGCTGCTGAAATAAACAACCTTCAGATCTCAGTACAATAGAGGTTTATTTTACTCTGACACTACAAACCAACACAGCTTGGTAGCAGAGAGGGGGCTTAAAAGGGCTCTGTTCCATGCAGTCATTCAGGGATCCAGGCCCCTTCTGTCTAGCACCTCTCGTATCCAGTGGGGCCATGGCATTCTCCACTGGATGAGCTGTATCTGGTGTGCAGTCAGGCAAAGAGCGGGCCCATCGTGGATAGCACGGGTTTCAGGTTCAGTCTGGAAGTCATGCACGTCACGTCCATCCATATTCCACAGGCTAGAATTCAGTTTTGCGGACTCACTTCACTGTGGAAGGCTCAAAATGTGGAGTGGTGTGGCAAGGAGAATGACTAATGAGTCTGCGTTAGTGCACATTAGTAAGTCCCTGTGGCACACTCTCTGATCAAAAAGCACATCCTTTGAGACTAGGCAGAAATAGTCCCAAACACTTTATATATCCCTTCAGCTCCTGAGATGCTTGTCATATTCTCATGACAGCCGAATTTGAGTTTCAAGGAGACCTAGGCACTCTCTGTAATAGAAGGAATACTTGGGGCTCAGAACCCATCTTCTTTGCCTTTTGTTTTGACCGTAGACCTGTCTGTGAAGTCTTGCTCAGTCCCAGATGAGACTAAAGTCCAGTCTGAAGCAGGGAGTGAGAACTTGCAATCATTTCATAAATCAGGCACAAAAAGTTGAAGTGTAAAATGGGGCCTTTTTTTTTAAATTTCAACATTAATGAAAACATATTTTAAAATCAACCTGTACTTTTACAAAAAATACAAAAGTAAAGATAGTGAAACTGATAGTGTACCCAGCTGGCCATATACTGAACTGAGAAACTCCTAATAGTTGGTGATAAGGAAATGGCTTCTTAAACACTCATCTCCCCAAGATAAGAACCGTCCTCACTTGAGAACTAGAACTGAGTGGAGGACACCTGCCAATGTCATTTGTGTTGTATCTGAATTCACCAAACCGTGAGGCTTTATTGTATTTTCTTATGTAACTTTCTTTTTTTGTTTTTGAAATGGAGTCTCCCTCTGTCACCCAATCTGGATGCAATGCAATGGTGTGATCTTGGCTCACTGCAACCTCTGCCTCCCAGGTTCAAGTGATTCTTCTGCCTCAGCCTCCCAGGTAGCTGGGATTACAGGCACGTGCCACCACACCCGGCTAATTTTTGTATTTTTAGTAGAAATGGGGTTTAGCCATGTTGGCCAGGCTGGTCTTGAACTCCTGGCCTCAGGTTATCCACCCGCCTTGTCCTCCCAAAGTGCTGGGATTATAGGTATGAGCCACCGCACCCGGCCTTCTTCTGTAACTTTTTAAGGTTTATATTTACCTGCCACTCCTGAGAGTGAGTCAGTCATATAGTCTAGTAGTGTACGGGTAAGTTTTGAGGCTATTTTCTGAAAATAACTTTGGAGTCATATTTGTTGTGAAAAAACTAGTTCTTAAGGGCATCTGATGGCTTAAAAAATTGACACTTTCTTTCATGGTCACAGGTAACAATTTATAAATTTACTATAAAAAAGGGCTTAATTAGTTTTTGGGTCAGGAGGGACTGATGCAAATGGTGAACCATAAGTAATCTAAAGGCTTCAAATCATTGCTGGGGATCCCCAGTTCATGCCCACAGAATGGCAAACACATCGAGAGAATCTAGGTTCTTCTAATCGATTGTACCTTTTTTTTTTGTCATGCAAACTTGTGCATGCATTTTCTGAAGTGTTAATGCAGTTAGTATCTAATGTACCTAATTTATGCAATTGGATATTTCATAAATGGGTTTTCTGCATGCAAGCATTTGTACACATTAATATTTATGCAAGTATTCAAATCAATGCAAGGGCATCTGTCTGAATCTGTGATGAAAATATGCATATGCATGAACATTTGTACTGGGGGATAAGTCCCCAAAGTTAGGGATTGCTGAGGTTACAGTTTTCAACTTTTGTCCTTTTGGCAAAGTTTTCTTGATTAGGAAAGGCATGTGAAGAAATAGCACAACGATTAGTATCGACAAATAAAATGGTTTTATGTAAATATACGTAATAGCAAGTCTATTGAAGTTCCTTTAATCAGTGATATGATTTTTAGAAAATGCTATTTTAGAATGTGTAGCAGTTTTCAGCAAGAATACTTATTCTTTTCTTAAAAATTTTAAAAAAATTTTACTTTAAGTTCTGGGATACATGTGCAGAATGTGCAGGTTTGTTACATAGGTATACATGTGCCATGGTGGTTTGCTGCACCTATCAACCCATCATTTAGATTTTAAGCCCTTCATACATTAGTTGTTTGTCCTAATGCTCTCCCTCCCCTTTCTCCCCCACCCCCCAGCCCCAGGCCCTGGTGTGTGATGCTCCCCTCTTTGTATCCATGTGTTCTCATTGTTTAACTCCCACTTGTGAGTGAGAACATTTGGTGTTTGGTTTTCTGTTCCTGTGTTAGTTTGCTGAGAATGATGGCTTCCAGCTTCATCCATGTCCCTGCAAAGGACATGAACTCATTCTTTTTTAAGGCTGCATAGTATTCCATGGTGTATACGAAGGGCACTTATTCTTATATATGAGTACGGGAGACAGGTACGATATGGTGGTTTGGACTAAGCTGGTGGCCACTGGAATGGAGAAAAGAAGATGAATTTAAGTTTTGCCTTGGAGATAGATGGATAAAACATGCTGAAGAATGAAATGTTTGTAATGAGGGAGTAGAGGAAACAAGAATGTCTCCTAGAATATTGTTTCTAGTAAATGGGTGAGTGGTGTGGCCAGTTAGCTTAGATGAGGAAGACCAGGGAAGGAATACATGAAAGAATATGCTGTTAGTAATAAAATAATTTGTGTAAGAAATGTTTGATTTCTTTATTATTTCTTTCCTTACTTTGGCTTGAATTTGACCTATAGAAATAAATAGGCTTGGTTAGTGTGGGACTTTCTTTACCTCCTTCCAGATGCACATAAGAATGTAAAGGATGATAGAATATGGGGCTGGGGTGGGGAAGAAGAGTTTTGATTTCAAGTTCTTGGTGGTCACTGTTGAGACCCTCGTCCATGTCATGTCAGGTGGCTCTAACTTCTGCGCCCTGCATGGGCCGGAGACTCTTTCCCAGGTTGGAAACTCCAGCGTCTGGGATTGACCGCCCTAGGCAGGCCAAGGAGCCTCCCCCAGGAGGCCTGGACTTTTTCCAGGCCACAGCCATGGCGCAAAAGGACTGACAGTCCTCATTCCTTGATGATCTACTGACTCTCATCCCATATCTTTGTTAGTTTAGAGGAACATTTCTTTTTGATCTCTTATGTTTTCAATTCTGATTTGTCCATTTATTAGTTTCAAATGGCAAAGTGTTTCTCTTAATTTATAAACGTATTTATATACTGGTAAAACTCCAGTCTTCTATGTTAGCAGTTTATGGCAGGCCAAGAATAAACAGAGTTGATTCTGAAACATCAGTTTTGCAGTTTAAAGATGTGCCAAAGATTTTTTTTTAAAAATCTCATTGCAGAAGAATTTAATATCTACCAGCTGTTTAGAAGGATTGAGAATTATGGTGCGTCTTTGTCATACTTTGATAACATCTTCCCAATGAAATTTTGGTTAGTTTATTTTGAGCTGAAATGCTAGAGAGTTTATTTTTTTTTTCTTATGGGAAAGGAAAGGTTGAGAAAATTATGAATGACTGAGGTGTGAATCTGAAAGGACTGGCTTGCTCAGAGTTGTGATGTCTTTCCTGAAAGCCTAAACAGTACTGATTTTCCACGATTGACTGGAGTAAAGGTACAGGCGTTTGTTTCTATGTTTTGTATGTTTAGGGTAAGGCTGTGACTGTCCACACAGCAGATGTCGATTGGTTAGATGTTCCAGATTGCAAATGGACATACAATATTGCCTACTTTGAATGTTTTCCAGTTAGCATCATTCTAGGCAAACCTTATGGTATGGGATTTGGGTCCTGGATCTCCATGCTCCTGTGTGGTAAAAGAGGATTAGAATCATTTGTAAGGAAGATTTTGTCTCTCCAGTTGGCATTTATGTGGCTCATGTCTAAGTAGAAGCCGTCTATTTAGGCTCAAGGCAGAAGGGGTAGCAAGTGGGAAAGTTCTGCAGTGAAAAGGAGGATGGTGTGTCATCAGTGGAGAGAAAGCTGGACTGAGCAAAAGGGGAACTGGTGTAGGATTTAGTAGGAGAGACTAGGCAGGGCCATGGTAGAGCTAGGATTTTACTGTCACTGTCATGAAAGTTTTGAAGTAAAGGTATGATACAATTTAATTTGCATTTTCAAAAAGACTACCTTGGCTGATGTCTAGGAAAAATGGGTTTTATGGTGCAAGAATGTACACAGAGAATGAGTACAGGAGACACGTGAGATAGGGTGGTTTGGACTAAGCTGGTGGCCATAGAAATGGAGAAAAGAAGATGAATTTCAGTTTTGCTTTGGAGATAGATCCAATAAAACGTGTCGAAGGATGAAATGTTTGTAATGAGGGAGTAGGGAAAACAAGAACGTCTCCTAGAATTTTGTTTCTAGTAAATGAGTGAGTGGAATGGCTAGTCAGCTTAGATGAGGAAGACTAGGGAAGGGATAAATTAAAGGTAGACACATTTTGGTTGGATGTGGACATCTAAATGGAGGTGGCCGTTAAGCTGTTCTCTCTACTAGTGTGAAACTCAGGGGAGAAGGCAGAGAAGAGGCATAAATGTGAGAGTCGTCAGCACCTAGATGGCATTTACAACCCTGGAATGAGGCGAGATCACCCAGCGAGAAAGTTTAGATAGAAATGAGAAGTGGCCCAGTACCAAGCCTGAAGCTCTCTAACCTCAATTTTTTTATTTTTATTTTTTATAGACTTAGAAGGTACAGGTGCAGTTTTGTTAAATACATATATTGCACAGTGGTGAAGTCCGGGCTTTTAGTGTAACTGTCACCCCAATAGTATACACTGTACTCATTAGTATACCCTGTACTCATTTCGTAACTTTTCATCTGTCATCCCCTCCCACCCTCCCCACTTTCCAAGTCTCTAGTGTCTATTATTCCACTCTGTATGTCCACGTGTACACATTATTTAGCTCCCACTTGTAAATGAGAACATGTGGTATCTGACTTCCTGAGTTATTTCACTTAACGATAATGGCCTCCAGTTCCATCCACATTGCTGAAGAGATATGATTTTATTCTTTCTCTGAGTAGTATTCCATGGTGTATGTGTATATGTATACATAGATGCAAGGGCATCTGTCTGCATCTGTGATGAAATATGCATAGGCATGAACGTTTGTATCAGGGGGTAAGTCCTCAAAGTTAGGGATTGCTGAGGTTACAATTTTCAACTTTTGTCCTTTTAACAAAATTTTATTGACTAGGAAAGGCAGGTGGAGAAATAGCACAACCCTTAATATTGACAAATAAAATGGTTTTATGTAAATATACTTAATAGCTGTGAATAAGTCTATTGAAGTTCCTTTAATCAGTGATAGGAATATATATATATATATATTTATATCTCTCACATTTTCTTTATCCAGTCATCTGTTGATGGACACTTAGGTTGATTCCGTATTTTTGCTATTGCGAATAGTACTGTGATAAGCATACTAGTGCAGATATATTTTTGATATGTTGATTTCTTTTCCTCTGGGTAGATACCCAGTAGCGGGATTGCTGGATCAAAATGGTAGGTATGGAGGTTTCTCAAAGATCTCCAACCTTTAGAGGCCTGGTGGAAGAGGAGGAACAAGCAAAGGTGGGTCTACTGAGATGAGAGAGAATTAAGAAGGTAAGAGAGGAGGCGATGAATTGGAAATAGTGAATAGAGGTAATCATTTAAGAAGTTTTGCTGTGAAGGGCAAAGAGAAATGGCACTGAAGATGGAAGTAGTCTAAGATCAAAATATTTTTGTTGTATTTTTCATCTTTGTTTTTAAATACAGGAGCTACAAAAGCGTGCTTTAATTAACGTTGATGGAATTGGTCTGGTAGAGTAGGAGAAACCGGTGATACAAGAGAGAGGGATTACAGCAGGAGCAAAGTTCTAGAGAAGGGTGGAAAGAAGGGGATATAATTCAAAGCACAAGTATAGTGTTGGCCTTCAGTAGAATCCAGGAATATTTCCTTCCATTGGATCAGAAGGGAAAGCAGAAAATATGTCTACAGTTTTGGGCAGGGGAAAGTGAGACACCCACAACGGATTGCTTCTGCTTTCTGTATTCTCATGGGCTCTGCCTGCTATTTCTTCTCCTTTTCTCTCCAGTCCTTTTTCTTAGCGCTTAAGATTTGTTTCTGCACATCTCCAGTCTCAGTTCAGTTGTTTATGCTGTATATATGTCTGAGTTCTCTTGTGGTGCCTGCAAGTGATGGCATAGCCTGACCCAGAGTAATTTTTTTACCTTAGCACTCAGCTGTGTAGCATGGTAGCCACTGGCCACATGTGACTACTGCCTACTTGAAAGGTGGCTGGTGTAACTGAGAAATTGAACACTTAATTTTACTTAGTTTAAATGTAAACACTGATACTCAATTCAGTTACTGGAAAAATTTTACTATGTTTGGGACATGTGAATCTACTTTTTCAACTGTACCAAGTATTTCAGATGATGTTTAGCATCTGGATTGAGATGTGCTGTAAGTATAAATTGTACAGTGATTTTGAAGACTTAGCTAAAAAATATGTAAACTATTCCATTAATAATTTTATATCAATAACGTGTTGAAATGACAATTTGGATCTGCTGAGTTAAAAATATATTATTAAGTTCATTTCGTTAGATTAAAAAGAAACTTTTTAAAAGTACCTCCTAGCAAAGTTAAATATAATATGTGGCTCACATTGTATCTCTGTTGGGTGACACTATCTTACAGGATGAAAGCTTCGTATTTTATGTGTATACTTGGTCGTGCCTATCTAGGAGTAAGTCATATCTTACCACGAGAAGCAGAAACAGTTTAGGAAACATAGCCTCAGAGAGTTTATTCTTCTTGCCTAAGGTCTCAGGGCTGCAAAACTGGGATTTGAACCCTGGCTGTCTGGCTGCCACAGGCTGTGCTCTGGACTGTATACCACACATAAGTCATTCTGTGAAGTCTTGCACTTGAGTTATTCTGTGTTTACACTGGCAAAGGATATTTACACGAACACTTAAAAGATAGGTTTTGGTTTTTAACTCATAGTTGAAATTATGACTCTCAGAGTATGGTTTTAATGTACTGTTACTGACTTTGCTTTGATCAAATTGAGGATACACAGTTTATAGTTAGGGATCTCCTTGTCCTTAAGCTCATAGGCTAACAGTCAACTCTTTTATGTGTCTTATTTACTATCAGTGATGATCACCATTTGCTCTGTGGAGTAGATCTACAAGAACCAAACTTCTTCCATATTTGATGACATTCTTTTTCTGTCTTCAGATTAAGATTTCATAAAGAATCTTTGTGAAGAAAAGATCTATTTAATAGGAATAATTTAAAGTTAATATAAATTTTAAAGGGTTGAAGTTCATAGTCGGCTATGATGTTCTGTGGGCATCTGCGGGTCAGCACATCCCAAACTTGAACTCATGGTCCATTCCTTTTATTCTTCTTCATTCCCCATCTTATTTAATGTTATCACTGGACACACAGTGGCCAGAGTAGAAACTTAGTTATCCTCCGCTCCTGAGCTTCTGTCTCTCCACATGCAGTCGCGTTGAAACTCCTCTCCAAATCTCTCCAGTTCCTCCCATCCTTTCTTTCCACCACCACCACTGCCTAGTGCAGACCTTCTCCATTCAGTTGTGATTGTTCAATGATTTTTCCTCCCCACTCATCTGTGATCTCTTAGGAGAGGGGCCTTTGTCTCTTTCATCTATGCATTTTTAGGTCTTAGCTGAGAGCTTGTGCTTAGTTGATGGGAATATTCATAGGTTGTGTTTCTCTTCTTTTCAGAAATTGAAACCGATCTGTGTTTACTCTCTGTTTGCGTTCTTTTCTCCTGAATACTGTTAGCAAAGCTTATTCAGCATCACTCTTCAGCTGGATGTGCCATCGGCAGTAATGCTGCTGGCCATTGCTGAATGCGAGACGACACACTCTCCCCCTGCACCCGCTCAGCTCACATGAATCCAGCTAAAATCCCTCCCTGGCTATTCCAATGAATGAGGGACAGATTTCTTTCCTGGAGCATAAGTCCTATAGTAATATGCCCCTAAGGAATAGAATGTGATAGAAATCCTTGGAATACGATATCTCATACTTGATAACCTTGGGACAAACTGTGGATAATTTTCATATAGGTATAGGCAGAGCATCAGGCACATGGTTTATAAGCCAAAATGTTTGATAGGAAACTGAAAAAAGGAAAAATGAGATCATAAAAGAAGCAAAATTTCACATAATCAAATCACAAGTTTGTTTAAGCCCTCTTAGAAAAATTAGTCAAGTTTTATAAAGGATTGCAAAAGAATCCCATGAATATAAATCATGCTCAGAGCTCTGTGGTACCAGGTTACTTCAGCATTTACTTTGGGTCTGTCTCCAAACAGGATATTATTTCAGAAATGAATCTGCAGCAATCCTGTCCCTGGTGAAAGGGAACCAGTTCTTTTTGCCTGTAACATAGCAAAAGATGCCAGTAGCGACTCAAGCCATTTTTTTGTGCATCTGATGAAGAGATGTTGGTATTTTTATATGGCCTATAAGATTTCATAAGAGGCATAATGGAGAGTTTAGTTAAACAAAATGTTCTTTTCTGCTCTTTCTCAATTTACTGGTGGCAGGCTGGGAATGGTGGGTCCATATGTTATGGACACCTGTTTACGAATGGCCCACACCTATAGACAGCTGGCCTACTCTTTCCAGGACACCTACTGAATAAGAGTATTGTGAAAAATCTCAGAGCTTTTGAAGAATAGTTTGACTTTCAGCTAGAGGAAACAAAAAAACTGCCCAAAATGTCGTTAATTAGAGAAAGCTCTATGTCCAGATTTTCCGGCATGAGACAATAGCCAATATGGCTGACCTCTACTCCAAATTGTGTACTCTTGATAGCTTCTGTTCTGCCTTTTTTTTTTTAATTGTTGTTCTCTCTGGAATTCCAATAATGAGTTCAACTTAGTTAACAAACATCTTTCTAAATGTGTGGGTTAAGGAGTTGGCAGCAATTCATATAATAATTAGTGTGAAATCAGATTGCTTTCTTTCAGAATAAGGTAAGTCAGGCCAGCCACTCTGAAAAAGGTGAGTGTATTTATTGGTGTGAGGAAGTCCATGCTTTTGGAGGGTGGACGCTTTGGGAAAAAGGACAGAGTAGAACCAGTCAAGAGAGAGAAGGTGAAGGGTTCAGGGAAGCTCTACAAGGGGGATGGAGGGAGGGATACTAGGTCATAAGAGGGGAAAGATGAACTTTTGCTGTTTCAGAGTATTCCTAGGAGCCATCCTAATGTTGATACAAATATTCCATCCATACCATGGAATGTTCCACAGTCATTAAAGAAATAAAGTAGATTTATGAGTAAAAAGAAAGTGAAGAACAGATTGCATTGTATATTTCCATTTCTGGATATAATTTGAAAGATGATACATGCATATATGCATGTATATGTTTGAGTATGTGCAGAGAGTATTTCTGGAAGAAATGTAATAAACAGTGACTTTGTCTCTACAAAAGGAGCCTGGGGGATCTGGGTCTGAGGTATTATTTTATTTCCGGGGCTACACTTTGCATTTTTGTGTACATTACTTTTAATTTTTTTTTAATATGCTAGTTAGTTTTCTAGGATTACTCTTACCTCTAAGAGAGGTGGTATAGAGCAGGGGGTTGGGGGTCTGCAGATGGGGGAGAGGAGACAGGGAAGGGACAGATCATCTCTTTGTCCTTTGTTCTTCCAAGTTACAAACCTCAGGGACCATGTACCCCTCGACTCCTGCAGTTTTATAGCGCCAGCCGGATTATGGTTAACTAAGCTTTTCTGGGCTGACCTGGAACTGAACGACCGTTTGTAATCTCTTTCTATGGGGGAAGCTCTACAGTGTTCCAGAGAGCACACTTAACCAAACTGCCTCCAGCCATTTTCTCTCCCTTTCATGTCTATCACTTTCCTCACCTTCCCTCACCTTATTTTTTTTTAAAAAAAGAACTTTGGATTTATTCCAGGAGGCCCTATTCTTTCACATTCTCACTCATTTCATCAGAAATGACCAGAGCCCTATATGTAGTTATGTGCTTGGTGCTTAGCTACCTGCTGGGATTTTTTTTTTTTTTTATACAAGATACTCTCTGTATTGCACTTTCTCTTCCGAGGAGCTTATTTTGGTGAACGAAGTGCAAAGCAAAGGAAAGGTGTAGCCTTTTTTTTTTTTTTTTTTTTTTTTTACTTCATGCCTGATCGAGAGCTATAGGCATTTGATACACATCTGTCAAATCGGTAACTTAAGGTGTGGATACAAAGCAGATAGGTACTGTAAGTTGTCACAGGTGAAACTTTCAGGGTCTCAGAAGACACAGGGCTTCTCAATCCTGGCATTATTGACATCTTGGGCTGTGTATTATACAGGTTTGGAAGCATCCCTGGCCCCTACCCATGAAATGCCAATAAGAGCCTCTAATCATGACAATTAAAAAGTCTTTAGATATTGCTGAATGTCTCCTGGGAGCAAAATCTCCCTAGCTGACAATCACCAATTTAGAGTGATTTTGGATTTGCTATTCATTGTCCAAGAATTGCTGTATATCGAGAGGAAACTCTTCAAATCCTGGGGACCTAGATGTGGGGCCCAGTAAAGCTCCTGAAAGCTTACATAGTGTCTTTGTGCAGAACTAGAAGACACCCAGATGAATTAGAAAAGGGCTAGATAGGAAATGTAGGCTGGGAATGTGGGCTGGGTTTCATCCTCCAGCTCTCCCCTCCTTTTATTCCTGCTGGGTTCCTAGATATGAGGAGCTCTAAGTCAAGGGTCTGCCTTGTGTTGATAGAGAACAGGTTCTTGGAGCCAGTACTCATGCAAAGGGATGAAGTGCAGGCTTGACAGCTTCAACATTAAATCAGCTGTGCTGTGGTCACTTCCAAATAGCATGTCAAGAAACCATTTCTTTTTTTTTTTTTTTTTTTTTTTTTTTTTTGAGACGGAGTCTTGCTCTGGAGTGCAGTGGTATGATTTCGGCTCACTGCAATTTCCACCTCCCGGGTTCAAGCGATTCTCCTGACTCAGCCTCCTGAGTAGCTGGGACTACAGGCTTGTGCCACTATGCCCGGCTAATTTTTGTGTATTTTTAATAGAGATGGGATTTCACTGTGTTAGTCAGGATGGTCTTGATCTCCTGACCTCGTGATCCACCCACCTCAGCCTCCCAAAGTGCTGGGATTACAGGCATGAGCCACCGTGCCTGGCCAGAAGACATTTCTTATTAATATGAATACGTGGCCAGGTGTGGTGTTTCATGCCTATGATCCCAGTACTTGGGAGGCTGAGGCAGGCAGATTGCTTGAGCCCAGGGGTTTGAGACCAGCGTGGGCAACATGGCAAAACCTCATCTCTACAAGAAATACAAAAATTATCTTGGTGTGGTGGTGCATGGCTGTGGTCCCAGCTACTTGGGAGGCTGAGGCTGGAGGATCGATTGAGATGGGAGATTAAGGCTGCAGTGAGCCGTGATGGCACCACTGCACTCCAGCCTGGGTGACAGAGCGAGACCCTGTCTCATAAAAGAAAAGAAAAGAAAAAGAAGAAAAAGAAGAACAAGAGAGAGATTGTATTTCTGTGAATGCATTCATTTAACAAATATTTATATTCATTTAACAAACATTCTACCAGGTACTGGAAGGAAAAGTGCTTCCCTATACTCCCCTCTGCCTTATCTCTGCCTGAAGTCATCGGTTTCTGTGTGTTTGGTATTATCATTTCATTTTACATTTTTCAGAATCTGTCTAGCACAAAATCTTCTCTTCCCTTTCCCTTTAATTGACTTGGTTTCTGAAGGACCAATTATAATTAAAAGGAAGGGGAGCAACGGAAGGGATGGGATGGCTCGAGTGCTCAGAATGTTCCTTAGCTGTGTGTCAGGCTGGGTGAGTGCACACCCATGCTGGGCTGCATTCTGGACGGCCTCCTTGACTCTGCCTATATTTATAAGTTATCCTACATTGCGTTAGCACGTCAGCTGCCAAGGCAGTTTGTAGAATCTCCTTCCCTGGAGGTCTTCAGAAATAGAACAAAATGCCCATCTGTCCATAATGGCTTTGATGCAGTCCTGCTGATGAGAAGGAATAGACTAGATTTTTCTGTCAAGGTTGGTTTCAGTCTTGAGTGCTCTTAAATGGATGAGTTTGCTTTTTGGTATAGGAGGGAGGGATGTAAAGTGACACTCTATGAATTTATTGGAGTATCACTGTACACATCCCGGATAAATGGAGAATAAAACATATCGTTCTCATGCTTTTAATGTTTCTGAAGCACTTAGTGCATTCAGAGCCTCACAACAGCCATGGGTAGGGGGATGGAGGGAGGGCCTATATTTGGGTCGCTATGACACAGAGAGGAGTCAGTGAGGCACAGAATCATTTAATTCTCAGCCAGAGTCACAGCCTGGCTGATGCAGAGCAGAGTTGCCATTCCAGGTTGCCTGCTCTCCAGCGCATGTGCTTTTCTCTTGACCCTGTTGCTTCTTTGTGTTTGTGGTTTTTGCTCTGTCATACAGTGTCCATACAATTGTTTTGGAGGCATAAAATTTCAGAGCCAAAACAATTTTAGGAGCCTACTTAGGAGACCATTGCTTGCTCTATTTTCCTTTCCAAAAAAGTGCATTTTCACATAAAATTGTAGTGAGGTTTATTACTAACCTTACACAGACACATATATGTTCACACATATTTTTATATGTACTTATTTAGATATGTATATGTTTGTGTATATATGAATGTGAGTGTGTGGATGTATGGATGTGGAAATATAGGTATAGCTATGTGTGTGGGGGTGTGCATGTGTGTATACATATGTGTGTGTGTGCATGTACATGTATGTGTGTGCATGGATATGTGTATGTGTGTGCATGTGTTGTGTGTGTGTTGTCACATATTAAGGTGCAGCAGGAAACAAAGTAAACCCACTTATTGGCAAATAAAGAGAGTTTGCAGAGCTGTGGGCATGATTAGGGGAACAAGCAAGGGATAGTGAGGTGCCCCGAGATTCAGGAAGTCATGACCACCCTCTGGGCTGAAGCCCATGGAGAACTGGAATTGTGGGAGGGGATGCTGCCAGAGGGAGACTTAGTTGTGAGGATGAGGCTATTGGCAGAGAAAGAACTCCAGAGAAGGGAGGGTGTGAGGAAGAAATACCCTACCTCCCTCTTATCCTGTCATCTGATCTCCCGTTCCTGCCTCCATTGGCCAAACTCAGTTGGATGGGAACCTGCAAGGAAGCCCAGGAGATGCAGTGCTCAGGTTCAGGGTCTCCTCCTGGGACATGGAACAGGGCAGGGGAGGAATAATGGAGCTGGGCCGGAGGCAAATGGAGAATACTCAGGTAGGTGCGTGTGTGTGTGAATTTGTCCTTATTTTTCCAATTTCACCTTAGAGCTGAAAAATTTGGCATGGATCAGCACTACTCTGTGTTGGCTTCACAGTTTAAATAAAATATCAGCATTTGTTTCCTGAGTTAGGAAAAGGCATAACTTCACTTTCTGGGTGATTATCTCAGACTATTCACGAATGTAGATTGGAAATATTCTTTCTACTTTTTTGATTCCCTGTTCCTACTGTCATTACTCCAGACATTTTCAGTGGACAGAGCTGGTAAACACATATTTCTTTGAAAGAGAAAAAATATAATATTTTCAAAATATGAATAGCAAGCTGGCTAGAAATAAATGGACCTAATCATACATCAAATTTAGATTTATAAAATGTGTGTGTATAATTAGTTCCATTTATTTCAGCTTAGTATAATTAGTTCCATTTATTTCAGCTATGTACCATTTGATTTCAAATGGTAGAGTTTGCTTTGTTTTGTATTCTGAGTTATTTATATATTTTTAATTGTATAAAAGTTTCCATGATTTTCCAAACTGATGTTTATTAAGAGAGATCTCACTTTTTTCCCCATTTCTTCCTTCCTATTCTGACCTTTACTTGGTAAATATTTTTTCTTCTTTTTATTAGTTTTTGTTTGTCTTTATTTCTTTTGAATACAGAAGTAAATGTGTTCATATAGCATATATTCTTTCATCTCTTAACCAAATGGTAATTTACAGTACACACTCTTTTGTACTTTGCTTTTTCCTCTATTGCTGTATCCTGGACTCCTTAGCGGTATGCAGAAATCTGCCTTATACATTTTGACAGCTCCAGTGTGTCGCTGGACTACAATTTCTTTAACTAGTCCCTTGTTGATGGGCATTTGGGTTATTTCCAGTCTTTTGCTATTGCTAGTATTGTAATGAATAGTCTTGTATATTTATCATCTCATATTTTTTACCAGTACCCCTGAGGGTTGGTTGTTATAAGAGTGACTGATGGGTTAAAAAGTGAATGCATATGTCATTTTGCTAGATATTGCCAAATTCTCCTCCACTGGGGTTGAACCAGTTATGTTTCCAACAGTAATATATGACAGGGCCTGTTTTTCCACAGTCCAACAGAATACGTTGTTAAACTTTGGAGTTTTTGCTAATTTGAAAGGTATAAAATGTCATGTTCTTTTAATTTATATTTCTCTTATCACCAGTAAGAAGCTTGGGCGTCCTCTCTTACACTAAGGACCATTTGTATCTGTTTTCTGTGAACTATTCATCTTTTGTCCATATTGGGTTGTTGATTTTTTTTCTCAATTTTTAGATACTTCTTTTATATTAGGACTCTTAGCCCTTCATGATGCAATTTCCCCCTGCTACCTTGCTTTTGCTTGCAGTGGTGGTTTTCTTTTTCTGTGTACATTTTAGATTATTATTCATTTTTATTTTCATGTAGTCAAACTTATTTTTATGTAGTTGTTATTTTTCCTGTAGGTTCCGGATTTTGAGTTAGGAATGGTTTCCCACTCCCAGGTTGTAAAGCAATTCCCCTATGTTTTGTTCCACGGTTTCATATTCTGCATTTGGATCTCATTTGGAATTTATCTTGGTGTGAGGCATGAGAAATGGATCCAATTATATGCTTTTCCTGTGTTGTTGTAACATTATTTATTAAGGGGTTGTCCTTTTCTCCCTTTTCTTGGATGACGTTTGTCCTGTGGACATGGGTCTATCTCTGGACTGTTTATCTCATTCTATCGGTTAATGTTTCAGGAGCACACAGCTCTAATAATGGAAATTTTCTTTATAAAATGGATTAAAAGTACTTTAAAAGTCACCATGACATGATTCCCATGATTATAGAAACATAAAGTTTGAAATGGTAGAATTTTTAGAGATACCCTATGAATGGGCTACCCTTATTCTTCCAATGTGCATAGAAGGGAAGTGAGGCTTACAGAGGTTGCACAAACCTATCCAGTATCTCCCAGTTAGTCAGCAGTGGGACTGGAACCTATGTTCTCAACCAGTACGTTGCATAATTTTCTAAAAAGTATATAATTTTCTCGGAAATCATGAGAGACTAATCTCCCAGCAAAGACTTAACTATAGCTCAGATGCCTTCTCTTGCCACAAAATATTTTTTTTAGTTTTGAATTTTTAGGATAGCACATAATTTAGCTTATTTTTAATTATCATATTGCATCTTAAGGCATTTGGAATCTTTCTGAAATGAGTAATAGTAATACCAAAGGAAAAAATATTCCAGAATTCTACTACTGACCTCCAGAATTGTGTTACTTGGGTCAATTCCTTCCAGAATTTTCCTATGCATAATGTTTCGCTTTATTATGATCATGTTAAGTGGGAACGATTTTAAGAGAATGACAGTAATATTATTTATTTATTTATTTATTTAATTTATTTTTTTGAGGCGGAGTCTCGCTCTGTCACCCAGGCTGGAGTGCAGTGGTGCAATCTCGGCTCACTGCAAGCTCTACCTCCCGGGTTTACACCATTCTTCTGCCTCAGCCTCCCGAGTAGCTGGGACTATAGGCGCCCGCCACCACGCCTGTATAGTTTTTTTTTTTATTTTTAGTAGAGACTGGGTTTCACCGCCTTCGCCAGGATGGTCTCGATCTCCTGACCTTGATCTGCCCCCGTCGGCCTCCCAAAGTGCTGGGATTACAGGCATGAGCCAGCCGTGCCCGGCCCCAATATTATGCATTTATTATGTACTTACTTAAGTGCACTGATTCAAGTGCTCTAAGTATATTATCCTATTTAATTATCACAAAACTCATCTGAAGATGCAATCTTTATTATTTCACTACTACTGATGAGTAATGATTGGCTCTGAGAAATTAAATAACTTTCCCAAACTCACAAACTCGGTGAACAGTGGAGCTTGGATTCTTTTTTTTGAGACAGAGTCTTGCTCTGTTACCCAGGCTGGAGTGCAGTGGCTCAATCTCAGCTCACTGCAATCTCTGCCTTCTGGGTTCAAGCGATTCTCCTGCCTCAGCCTCCTGAGTAGCTGGGATTACAAGCGCTTGTCACCATGTCCAGCTAATTTTTGTATTTTAGTAGCGACAGGGTTTCAGCATGTTGGCCAGGCTGGTCTTTAACTCCTGACCTCAAGTGATCTGCCCGCCTTGGCCTCCCAAAGTGCTGGGATTACAGGCATGAGTCACTGCACCTGGCCTGGAGCTTGGATTCTAACTCCTGTGTGTTTTCTCCAAAAACTGTATTTCAGCCACTATTTTCATTGTGTCATGCATATATCATTTTGGATCCTGTTATTTTATTAGTATTTTACCAGAAATGTTCATCCTCATTTTCTCAATGATCATATTAAATTTTATTTATAATATCATCTTTCTTTTAACACAATTAAATGACCTAAACCAGATTTCAATAAGAGCAAGTTAAGAATATTTTTTCTTCAGTTAGTATAGAATCTTGGCTTCTCAAAGAAGTATCTTGAAAGTGAAATATAAAATAGAACAATTATGGACAAGGTCACCATGAGACAGAAACACACATTAATTTTATAGACATGGTTGCTGCTAAGTGTTTTACATGATGTTTAGAGAGCATTCACTTTCCTGTTTTAATTGAACTTGGAAGTTTTGTTTATGTCAAAATTTGCATAAGTTTCTTAATTTTTCCTAGCCCTTCTAAGATCCACATTGTCTCAAAATCCAAGTTAAAAATGAGGTACGTGATGCATAGTAATGTGTGGCCAGCATGTGAATAGTTCGGACTTTTTGCATACATTGAGAAATAAATAGACATCCCCTGAACAGTCTCAACTTTCAGCCTAATTCAGCAATGCTCCTTCTACCCTTTGCTTCTGTTGTGACGCCAATGGGTATATCAGTGAAAAAGATGAAAAATTCTTTGCCATTATGGGTTTGTGCCCCTCGAGAAATAGTTCAGAGGACCCTTGAAGAAAGAAATGAATGGAATGTATCAGGCTAATGTGAAAATACAATATTAGTGATTGTTAGAGGACAGTGTTTTGCCTGTAACATTTTAAGTGTAATTTTGTGTTTGTGTGTATGCTGGGTGAGGACAAAATGGTAGACTTTGGACTTACAAGCTGATTTTCAACTTCATAAAAAGTTAATGTTCTTACCAGCTTTGTGCTAGGCACACATGGATAAGTAGGCTAAACCAGGTCTAGTTCCCATAATCAGGAGGGTTATAATTTAATGCACAGAATGTATTTTTTTTCAGTATACAGTCCCTTTCACTAAATAATAGTCTGAGTTCATTCCCTAGGATATTTTATATTTACTATAAATTATATGCACATGCTTTGTAAAGTTTTCTTTTTTGAATGTTGGAACTAAAAAAAGTCAATAAATATTCTAAAAAGTCTAACTTTTTTCCCCATGTCAATACACTGCAGGACTTGTATATTCTTTTTCAAATATTCATAATGTGTCACTCTAGTGGTAAAGTATAAAATAGCCTATTGCCTTGAGGAACTTCAGATGGGCACGCATTTTATACCTAAGCCAGGTTAGAAGCTTTTAATCAAGAGAATATTTGAAAGTTAAATCAAGCCAGGCGTGGTGGCTCACACTTGTAATCCCAGCATTTTGAGAGGCTGAGGTGGGTGGATCATTTGAGGTCAGCAGTTCATGACCAGCCTGGCCAACATGGTGAAACCTTGTCGCTACTAAAATTACAAAAAAATTAGCCAAGTGGTAGTGGTGCATGCCTGTAATCCCAGCTACTTGGGAGGCTGAGGTAGGAGAGTCTCTTGAGCCTGGGAGGTGAAGGTTGTGGTGAGCCAAGATCGTGCCACTGCACCTGCACTCCAGTCTGGGCAACAGAGTGAGACCCTTTCCCAAGAAACAAAAGAAAACAAAAAATTAAGTCTTTTTCTTCTTCTTCAGAGCTATCTAAGAAATATTTCGTAATAGAACTCTAGCTGTTTTTATATTTTTAATTATTTAATTTTTAAGCGATAGTTTGCTTCTGTTTCCCTCCTTCCCCACTTTGCAGTTTCTCAGGTATAGTTGTTTTTCAGAGTTGTATAGGTTAAGGTGTTGGGAACTCCATAACCCATGGTTCTTGCCTGTAGTTCTAAAATTCTCACATTTAGCAGTCTGCACTCATCAAACATCTAGTTGAACTAGATGACTGATTAATCACCTCGTGATTCATTGTGTTTTACTTCTCATCTAGTAAATAAAAGATTATTTCTGAAATTAGGGCTGACTTAGTTAATAACGGTTTATCGTAGAAAGACAGTCTGTTATGTCTTACTGTCCTATATAACTAAGTGATAAGGTTATGACAACATTTGGTAATGCAGTTTAACAATTTTGTTTTAAATAGAATGTTCGTTGAATACCTGGATATAAATGTTTGGTTAGCTTGCAGATCCAATTCAAAAGTTTAAAAATTTCAGAGCCTGCCCTTGGGGAAGTCAGTGTGGTGATTCCTCAGGGATCTAGAACTAGAAATACCATTTGACCCAGCCATCCCATTACTGGGTATATACCCAAAGGACTATAAATCATGCTGCTATAAAGACACATGCACATGTATGTTTATTGTGGCACTATTCACAGTAGCAAAGACTTGGAACCAACCCAAATGTCCAACAATGATAGACTGGATTAAGAAAATGTGGCACATATACACCATGGAATACTATGCAGCCATAAAAAATGATGAGTTCATGTCCTTTGTAGGGACATGGATGAAATTGGAAATCATCATTCTCAGTAAACTATCGCAAGAACAAAAAACCAAACACCATGTATTCTCACTCATAGGTGGGAATTGAACAATGAGAACACATGGACACAGGAAGGGGAACATCACACTCTGGGGACTGTTGTGGGGTAGGGGGAGGGGGGAGGGATAGCATTGGGAGATATACCTAATGCTAGATGCTGAGTTAGTGGGTGCAGCGCACCAGCATGGCACATGTATACATATGTAACTAACCTGCACAATGTGCACATGTACCCTAAAACTTAAAGTATAATAATAATAATATAAAAAAAATTTCAAAGCCTGGTTCCTTGCATATATAAATGTCTAACAAGTATTTGTTGGTGAAGTGTTATTACAGTGATGGGTTCATTTATTTTCATTCATTGCATCCTTGGTCTGTACTATGATAAATAACTTTTACTGAGAAAATATATAAAAGCCAGGCATGGTGGCTTATGTCTGTAATCTCAGCACTCTGGGAGGCTGAGGTGGGTGGATCACCTGAGGTCAGGAGTTTGAGACCAGCCTGGCCAATATAGTGAAACCCCATCTCTCCAAAAAAAAAAAAAATCCCAGCCACTTGGGAGGCAGAGGTAGGAGAATTGCATGAGTCAAGATTGTGCCACTGCATTCCGGCCTGGGTGACAGAGTGAGACTCCGCCTCAAAAAACAAAACAAAACAACCCCAGAAAATATATGAAAAATACATCTTGAGAACCATTACCCTCAATGTATAGTAAATTTGGTATTAAAATTGTCTCAATTATTTGAAATTTCCATTTCTATTGTTTTTACTCTGTCATCAATTTCTGTCTGGATATGCAGTTACCTGTAGCTCAGAATCTGACTAGGTTATCGTTAAATTCAAAACCCACAAGAGGACATTATGTTAACAAACCTGGAAAATATAAATGGAGTTTTAAAAGAAATATATAAACTACCAAAATAGACTTGAGGAATTAGAAAACCTGAACAAAGCAATAACCAAGGAAAGCATTGAACAATATTATTAAACAATTCGCTTTATGAAAGGTTCCTGTCCCTGATAAATATTGTATTAGGAATGTTTGCTTCCAAGGAATGACTAAAGGGAAAAGGGATTTATAGGAAACATAGAGGGTAATCTCATAGAAAACCTTTGCAGTAAGTAAGGCTGGACTTCATGTAAACTGTGAAGTCATTAAAAAGCAAATCTTGTTCACTGTATCTTTTAAGGTTTCTATGGCTCTTGTTCTCTGCTTTTCTCCAAATACACGTTTTCTTAGCCTGTATATAGTTGAATAATAGCGACCCACCCGAATTTACCCAGCATTTAGCTCCAGCACTTACTGACATCGAATTATCCACAGCTAAATGTCTCTTAGTTCAAACGCGCAAAACACATTCTCATTGGTCACCAAATGACCAGTGTGTTTCCTCTCCTCAAGTGCAGTGTCTGCTTTTGGTCTGATGAGCTGTGGGTGGATAATCAGGGTATGTGATTGATTCATAGTCTGTGCAGAGGAGGTTGAACCTGAGTGTAGTTTGCACTGGTGAATTTATTGACATGTCTGCTATAGCTCTATTGATGAGTCTATCCTGTTTTCAAGAATGACCGTTTCCAAAATATGTATATTGGTATTGAGCACAAAAAAGGCTAACAGCCTGAAAAAGAAAACTCCAGTTTTTGAACATAAATGGCTCCAGTACATGAGCATAAATATTCATTGTCTCATATATATGATTGTATAAACAAATACTATAAGATCATATTCATTCAACAACCTACCACAGGCAAATAGTATTTAACCCAAGAATGCAGGGTGATTCAATACTGGGAAATCTATTAATATAATAAAATTAATATGCTATTGATATTGATCAAAAAGTCAAATATACCATCTGATGCTGGAAAAGCAGCTGATAAAATTTAACAATTCCTGATACGATATTTCGTACACTTGGTTTTTGTACTTTTTTGCTATTTCCAGTAAACTGAACATTTTTTCATTTTTATAACCAGACAATATATCAAAGATGTTTAAAACCTCTTAATGCAGATAATAAATATTTTTATATTCCAAGTTCCTAATTCACGTAACGATCTCTTAATAAGTACTTTTAATGAAGCATTCCATTAAAGTGGTCTGGTTTTTGAGAATTATTAAGAAACAGAATAGAGTTTTTCTTTGTCCCACAGGAGACCTTGTTTCAGGAGTGTACCTTTTCTGATGTTCAATGTGAAGGATCGGCAGTGCCTTTTAGGAATGAATAATTGCTTTTCTTCAGCAGGTGCCTTTCAAAATTGTTCTCTTCACTTACTCTAGGAATTGCCTGTGGCTGTCTGAACTCTGACTCCCTTCTCTAAGCTGAGTCAATGCTCTAATCATGACCTTTGTGCAGCTCTCACTGATGGCTGATCCTCCACCTGGATGTTCTATTTCAGACTCAGTATGTTCCTCCCTAAGCCTATTTCACCCTCTGTTCAAAACAATTTACAGCAGGGCATGGTGGCTCATGCCTGTAATATGAGTACTTTGGGAGGCTGAGACAGGAGGATCATTTGAGGCCAGGAGCTTGAAACCAGACTGGGCAACATAGTGAGACCCTGTGTCTACCAAAAACCTTAAAGCCTGGGTAACAGAGAGAGACTCTGTCTAAAAAAAAAAAAAAAAAAAAGAATTGGCATACTATGGCCCCCATGAGGAACAAGTTCAGCATGGCATAGGGAAAGTGAAGGAGTAAAGATTGAAGGAAAGGCAGAATGCAGACAGCTTCAAATGTCAAGCCAACAACTGCGTATATAATTCATTCAGAAATCTCAAGTCACAACGTTTTAACCAGGGGAGTGACATACAAATCCAATACAGAAAGAGTAATCTAGGTGCAACGTAAGTAGGAAATGCTGAAATGAGAGGAACAAGATATCAGGTCTGCAAAATGACCTAGAGGCCGGCAAGAGATAAAGACTTATACTGGATTCATGAAAGTGGTTGATAAAGATTTGAGAGATATTAAAAATGTAAACAAAGCAACAGATAACATGTGAAGAATGAGAAAAGAAAGCTTGTGTTGAGATACTGTAAGTTGTTTTTGTTTGTTTGTTTTTAAAGACAAGGTCTCATTCAGTCACCCAGGCTGGAGTGCAGTGGCACGATCGTAGCGCATTGCAGCCTGAACTCCTAGGCTCAAGTGATCCTCCCACTTCGGCCTCCTGGAGTAGCTAGGACTACAGGCACACACCACCACACCCAGCTAATGCATTTTTATTTCAAACATAGCAATGCCATTGACTTGCTTTTCTTGCAAGCCACGTCTGTGAGCATTCCTCTGAGACATGGTAATACAACGGAAACTATAAAACAGAAGCAATATAAAAAATAGTTGTGTTGGTTATCTAGTTTATTTTTAAAAGTCATTTTCATGTTTTTACATTTACATTCATATTTGCAGAAAAACTAAAATAGTGTTAGTGTGAAGAATAAGAAAAGTTATTATAACCGTAAGAGGGAGAATGTTAATTAAATTGGGAGATAAAGGTGGTGTTTAAGATAATAATTTATTTCCCCATTTGCGATGACACGAAAACTTATTTTTCTTATATTGAGTCAAACTGCCAAGAAATTTTTGCAACAGACTGAATGCTATGATAAATATCTGCTTTTTAGAGCCTTTGACGGTGTTGTTGCTTGAAAAGCAAGCTTGAACTCCTCATGAGATCATTGTGGAGATAAATGCTTAAAAGCTTTTCAAAGTCATACTCTTGGCTCTATCAGAATTTAATTTCCCACTGATGATGTTTATATCGATTTTGGAACACATAGTCATGAATACACTAAGGATAGCTACATCACTGATGATTTCCCATGCCTTGGGAATATGTCCCTATTTTATGTACATATAAAATCCACTTATACTTTCTTATTTATATGTACTTGAGTTAAATGCTCTAGTTTTAAAACTAGACTATGAGAATGTCCTTGTAGTTGTTTGAAGACTATGGTTTTATAACAGTTAAAAATATTTTGATGTGTATGGTAGTAGGTTTTATAAATGTCCTATACTTTATTGGCCATTCAGGCATACCTGGTTAGTTTCTGAAATGTAATCATAATACAAAGAGAGTTTTAAAATGTGGGTTTCAGCCATTTTCACAGTGTTGAATGCTCACAACGGGTATATACATTTAACTGTGTTGAATGCTCACAACAGGTGTATACATCAACATAGAAGATCTTATTCTAAGTTTGTTCATGCTAACTTTGAACTTCAGTTTGGGGATCCTGATAGAATTTACTTTCCAGAGAGTTTATGAGTATTTTATGAGATAAGATGTGTAAAGGACTTACTGCAGTGCTTACTCTTTGCTTACTCTTTATATTTTGTTTTTATTTTTTGAGACAGGATCTTGTTTTGTTGCCCAGGCTGGAGTGCAGTGACACAATTACTGCTCACTGCAACCTCCACCTCCCAGGCTCAAGCAATTCTCCCACTTCATCCTCCCGAGCAGCTGGAACTACAAGCTCACAACACTACAGCCAGTTAGTTTTTCTATTTTAGAGACAGGGTCTTGCTGTGTTGCCCAGGCTGTTCTTGAACTCCTAGACTCAAGCCATCCTCCCACCCTGACCTCCCAAAGTGCTGGGATTACAGGCATGAACCACCATGCCTGGCCAGTGCCTACTCTTTAGCATAGGTTACTCCTATCCCCCTTTGGCCAAAAAAAAAAAAACAAAAACGAAAAACACCAAACAAAAAAAGTGGTTTGACAAAAGAATTTGTTAATAGATGAGGTTTTCGTCTTTGAATTCCTTGTACCCTGGTGATTAGTAGATAGGTAGATAAATTTGGTAATCATACAATCTTAGAACTAGGAAGATTGGTCTAATTTTTTACAGTGTAGGGATTTTGAAGGTAGGTCTTAGGACTCCTTCTGTGTTGCATGCTTTCCACTGCCCACCCCAAATGTGGCCCTTCCAATGCTTGCTCCTTTTCAAACAGTGTCTCTCTGACCATGGTTCATGCAGTGAGGGTTTAGCTGCCTTCACATCTCTTCTGTCCTTAGTCATCCTTGTCTGATCAGTTGTAGTGTTACTGCCAGGCCAAAAAACAGAATACAGTTCTGCCATCAGTCATTGTGGACTACAACCTCATGACATCTGATGCATGTGTTTTAACTTTTCGGTATAACATAAGGAACTTAAGTGGAAGCTACATGATTAAATAGCTCATGAGTTAGTTATAATCTTTGTCAAATCATGGCAGATAAATACTATAAAGAATTGTCAGAGCCATGATAACATATATAAAAGAAATACTGCTTTTGTATGAACCTTGAGCTGAAAATGACAATTTTGCTTAACTATATAGATAATTTTTAAAAAAGTATGTCCTCAACTCATTTCTTCTAAATCTATCCATCTGAAAAGCACAGAGAAGCTGCTTTAAGACTTTCCATGACAAACTGCCCAAAAAATTCAACTTTTTAAAGTAGAGTCCTACCCTGAGAATCTTTTTTATGTCAAAATTTTTACCTAAGTGTAAAGTTTGCTGAAAAGGGGATATTTTTGCTGACACACAGTGAAATACAAAGGACATATTTATTCACTATTTTAATTAAGCTTTGATACTAGGCAAGTATTATAATTCTATAAAACACTTTTTTTTTCCTGCAGATATATCACTATATGTGCTTTGGATCAGGGCTGTACTAGGTTCCTTAATTTAAGACTTAAAGCCATTGTATAAATTGTTTCCTCTGACAATTCTGTATTTCTTTTGTATATATTATTGTTTCAATATTTTATGGTGAATTTCTCCTAATACTCTATCCCAATTGAGAGAATTGTTGAGTTATTCTGTAAATTATCTTCATTAGCTTTTTGCAAATCAGAGACTGTATAGTATAAAAGTCACTACTATAATACTATTTTCAATTAGCATTTACTATATTCTAAATTTTTATGTATTAGATCCTACTTAAAGAAAATTTTAAGTTTTAATCCTTTTCGGTGTGAAGACAGCTATGTAGAAAAGGCAGGCTCTATTTGGGTACAAGAAAATCTGCCTCTTAAAAGTATTTTCCATTTCATTTGCTTCATTTGTGTGTCCAATATCTTAGAGGCATCTAAATTATTAAGAGTGCCACCCAGAAAGACAAACATTGCATGTTCTCACTTATTTATAGAATCTAAAAATCAAAAGAATTGAGCTCATGGACATAGAGAGTAGAAGGATGGTTACCAGAGACTGGAAAGGGTAGTGGGGGTGGTGGTGGGGAGGTAGGAACTGTTAAAGGGTAAAAAAAAAAAAAATAGAATGAACGAAACCTACTATTTGATAGCAACAGGGTGACTGTCAATAATAACTTAATTGTATATTTTAAAATAATGCAAAGAGTGTAGTTGGATGTTTGTAACTCAAACGATAAATGCTTGAGGGGATGGATGCCCCATTCTCCATGATGTGATTATTATGCATTGTATGCCTGGATCAAAACATTTCATGTACCCCATAAATATATATACCTACTGTGTACCCAAAAAATTAAAAATTAAAAAAAAGAGTGCCACAAACACAAATTTTATGATCTCAGTGTCTGGTGATCAGTACAAAAAGTGTAGCACAAATAAGTTTGAAATCTTACCATTTAGAATGAGTACATCAACATACAGGTAAGGAACAGAATAGCAGCAGGGCATAACTGTATACCTTGAAATGCCCATTTAAAAATGTGGAAGATTAGCCTCAGGTTGATTGGCATTTCTTGGTCCATTTAACATTAGATATAGGCTTTTGTTGTTACTCACAGTGCTGTGTGGCGCTGGCTGCTATCAGCTTACCAGAGCAGAGTGTGTTCATCTCTTCCCGACTCCATGATTATGCTGCAGAGCAGAGATTGTTTTTTAATTAAAAATTTATTTCTTAATTAAAAAATATAAACCCTGAGAGAGTTGATTGTTAAACATTTGCCAGCTCACTACTGCTCATAAATGTGCCATTTAATGAATGAAAAGCAGGAAAAGCTCCTCAAATTAGGTTCCTGCTAGATCAAGGATCCTCATAATGCTTTCATTATGGCCTGCCTTTCCTGTTGCTTCTAACGCCCATGGGGGCTTGTTTTCACTGATCACAGGGACCAGATTGTCTCCATACCACAAGGACTACTCTTCCTTTATATAAGCATCCGTAATGACAATTCCTTTGAAGTTGGAAATTGAAGGAGATGAGAGAAAGTAATATCACTACCAGAAAGGAATAAAAAGCATCCATCCATTCAATGTTCTACTGCCCTATGGCCTAGCAGATTTGGAAGTAGTAAGTAGTAAGATCTAGGTATGAATCTCTTACTGTGAGAACTTGGGCAAGTTATCAGTCTAAATCCTAGTGACCTCATCTGTGAAATGGGTGTCTGAAGATCACATGGGTTACTGTATATAAAGCTCACAGCACAGTGCTTGGCATGCAGTGATCATCCTTTGGTACCTTTTCTCGGTACCTGGTATAGGTCAGTGGAGAGTTCAAGAACTTCGAAGACTTCATGGCTGCCTCCCATCATTTTTATATGGAGTTCCTCTTTCCCAAAAAATGTCAGCATAGCTTGGATGAGGTATAACACAAATAAAATTTAAGACCTTGAATATCATTCTGCACAACAGTATTTTTAGATTCGAAGCACTTCATTGCATTTGGATATTATTCAAGATTCCAGCAGTTTTAAAGTACCAATTGTGCTGGCTCTGTCAGGGCAAGAGATGAATTTGCTGGGAGCAGAAATCAGAAATACTGTGTTTTTCCTCACTGATGAAGGTCTTTTCTGTTGAACACTTGAAAATTTTTAAATTTCTTTTAAAATAGGAAAATCTCGTTTCAGTGAAACTTAGGTTCTTTTCATGAGATGCCAACCTCTTTATTAAAAATCTCATATACTTCCTGGTGACATTACTTCACAATATTGTTTAAAAGGACTTACCTAGCCAATGTGATGAACGAATGGTTTGCTTAAATTCGGTTATCTGAGGTAAAAATGGGAGTATCGATGGAAGATATTTCACTATTTGGACTTTTTGCTATTTAGATAGAGAATTATCGAATGTTTATTATTCAGTCATATAAGTATGTATCAGACAGAAAATTAGAGGGTGAATATCCTGAAAACTAGTGGGACTTTACGTCATTTCATTAATGAAACAAGATAGCATTTTGAAAATACACCTTTGGTAAACTTAATTAAAACATAATTTTAAAAATTAATTCATTATTTATAATAAAAATTTAAACCCTTAATAAAATACATTTCCACACTGAAGACTTATTTAGACAGGTCTGGAAATTAAAATCAGGTTGTAGACTTTATTGCTTGCTTATTAAGACCCTGAGATCATTATCTTAAATGTAATTTTAAAGGTTTTTTCCATGCTTAAGGTATATATGATCAAATTGAAAAATAGCCAATTATTTCCAGTCTTATAGCATTACTATAGAGCTATACTGTCCAACATGGTCACCACTATCTACATCTGACCATTGAACACTTAAAATGTGGCTAGTTGGAATTGAGTTGTGCTGTAACTGTGAAGTTCAAATACACAGGATTTTAAAGACTTAGTAGGAAAAAATATAACATGTCTCATTGTAGTGCGTAGTATGAAGTAGATAATCATAGATATTTCATAAATGAATGTATGATTGAAATAGGAGAGAAAGTTAGAGATTTTTGTTGGTTTTGTTCGTTGACTGGAGAGATTAACATGAGGCCTGGCCCATAGAATGCACACGAGAAACATTTGTGAACTTATTAACAAGTAAAATTTGTTGAATTATATTTGTTATAATTCATTCATGTCCATCTTCATTCATTGGTATAACAAATGAGTGAATGATTGAATGAACATAGACACACCCACACCCCCAACACACACCCTCACACAAATAATAAAGAAGATAAAGTCCTCAGAGAGAAATCACCCCAATATACGTTAAACTAGTTCTCACTCTTCAGAGAGTACCAGTTATTTTAAAGCATCATTAACTTCATAGCTGTTTTAATGATATATTTACTTTAATTATAATTTTATTTTGATATTATCTTATAGTTTAAGTTAAACATGGAAAAGCTCCATGGAAATAATTGGAATAAGGCTCATAAATTAGTGTTTTAAAAGTGCCAAACTTCTGAGCATCAGTAGTATTGTTTTCCCTGGCTTAAAGTGGGATGAAATCATGATTTCAGGAAGAAGGATTCCTCAGTGAACATAGGTGTTAGTAACTTGATGCTTAAGGTTTGAGAAGGAACATTGACATCACTTGTTTAGTAAATAATAGAAAAAAGAGGTGCATTTTAATAATAAAGCTGTAATTATAGAAATGTAAAAGTGTGAAATGTATAAACACATTTAACATAAATTTTATTTCAGGGTCTACATAATACGAATGAATTTCCCTTAAATATTTTTCTTCCAAAGATTCATAAATCTGGAAACACTTTCTTCACTAAGAATTTTCATAAAGTCCACATACACAAAGAGTATTCTGAAGGGCAAACAATAACCTGAAGAAGGAAAAATTATGTTCAAGGCACATAAAGGGAATAGAGAAGCTGTGGTAGTGCTGCTTCCACAGTTAATTGACTAGGAATTGTTATAACTGCAAAGGCTTCATGGTTCAAACTGACTTCAGCTTTTTGTGTTAGGATAAGTGATTTCTATACATTTCCGTCATGTAGCTCTCCCCTGACATCCTGGAGGCTGAAGGGTCCTCAGCTCCTCTCCTTCCCTCATCTCTGTCCTATTGTATTGCTCCAGTGACATAGAACTTTTGGTTCTTTCAACTCTTGTCTCTGGGTCTTTGCAAATGCTCTTTGGATGCCTTATCATCATTTTGACTAATTCCATTTTCAGTATCCTTTTCTAGGGGAGATCTGGTCATTTATTGGTGACATGGTTTGGCTTTGTGTCCCCACCCAAATCTCAGCTCCAATTGTAATCCGTATGTGTTGAGGGAAGGAGGTGATTGGATCATGGGGGCAGTTTCCCACATGCTGCTGTTGTGACAGTGAGTGAGTTCTCATGAGATCTGATGGTTTTATAAGGCAGTTTTCCCTGCTCTTGCTGGCTCTCTCTTGCCTGCCACCATGTAAGAAGTGCCTGCTTTCCCTTCTGCCATGATTGTATGTTTCCTGAGGCCTCCCCAGCCATGCAAAACTGTGAGTCAATTAAACCTCTTTTATTTATAAATTACCCAGTCTCGGGTATGTTTTTATAGCAATGTGAAAATGGGCTAATACACTTGGTTTCTGCTAAATCTTCTTGCTATGGGCTTATATAAATCTCCTATTCCCTTTTAGGAGCACTATATTACACTTTCTCCAAAAAGTGCCAAATCATCTAGTTTTTCATGTGTTTGTGTAAGTTATAGTTCTAATGGTTGTTTGCAATATGCTCTACAACCCCCAAAACCCTTTCCTTTGTTTCCTTGAATGTAAAAACTTCTTCATTATTTCCCCATTTTAATGTGTGATATTTTTCCTCCTAGAAACATGACAAAAACAGCTTTTCTCCATAAATTACTAGGAAACTATTTACATTGCTGTGTTTTCATAAAATTCATAAATCACATAAACAGGACATGTTACGAATTAATTGGTAGATCATCTATCTCTGAATGGGTTAAAGAATTGCCAAGAGTGATCAAGCCTGCTCTCTTTCTGGCTCTTGATACGGTGTTGACAGCCAAGCAAAGAGCTTCTTCAATAAATCCACTCTCATATTCAAGTTTTTCCAGATGTGAGAAGTAATTAAGTCATTGCATTTACTGAAGCCTTTTATGCTTTTCAAGCAAGAACTTGCGGCTGTGGTGAGTTAACTCTGCTTGTTACATGTGTGTGTGTTGCATGTGTGAATGTACATATGTACAAGCACACATGTGACATTTGCCAGTAGTCAAATGAGACCCCACCTGAAAATAAAACAAAACCAAAAGCTGATATCAATAAATGCTAGAAATTTTTACAGCTAAATTTCACAATTGAGAGGTGGGCTTTCTCCAGTAATGCCTTTTTTCTTTCTATTTTTCCTGAATGTTAAAGAAATGAGGGTAATCAAATCACTTGCATCATTAAAGAATTTTTTAAGTGGTAAAGTCATGACTCTCATAAAACATAAACACGTTTCAAAGATTTTTAACTCATTAATAAATGAGGGTACCCATAAGACCTTACAGTTGGTTCAAAGGTGAATCTGAAGAACCACATATAAATGCATAGTAAGGAATGCTGAAATGCATTTACAAATAGGTGCAAAAAGGGTCTGTCTCATGGACAGTACTCAATTGCCTTCCCAAGAACACAGCTACAGTAATGCTCCCTTATCTATGGTTTTCCTTTCTGAGGTTTCAGTTACTAAGGTCTGGAAATAGGTCAGTACAGCAGAAGATACTTTGAGAGAGAAAGAGAACACATGCACATAACTTTTATTATAGCATTTTGTTATAATTATTCTATTTTATTACTAGTTGTTCTCTTGCTATGACATCTTAAAATTTATTTTTATTTCGATGGTTTTTGGGGGTACAAGTGGTTTTTGGTTATATGGATGAATTTTATCATGTTGATGTCTGAGATTTTAGTGCACTTGTCACTTGAGTAGTGTAATTGTTCCCAATCCGTAGATTTTAATCCCTTACCCTTCTCCCTTCTGAGTCTCCATTGGCCGTTACAGTACTCTATGTGCCTTTGCATACCAGTAGCTTAGCTGCCACTTATGAGTGACAGACAACATGCAGTATTTGGTTTTTCATTCCTGAGTTACTTCACTTAGAATAATGGCCTCCATCTCCATCCCAGTTGCTACAAAATACGTTATTTTGTTCTTTTTCTGCCTGAGTTGTATTCCGTGGTGTATGCATACCACATTTTCTTTATCCAGTTATTGGTTGATGTCCAGTGAGTCTGGTTCCGTATCCTTGCCATTGCGAATTGTGCTGTGAGAAACATAACACATGCAGATGTCTTTTTGATATAAGGACTTCTTTTCTTTTGGGTAGATACCCAGTAGTGGGATTGCTGAATCCTATGGTAGCTCTACTTTTAGTTCTTTAAAAAAGCTTCATATTGTCTCCCGTAGAGGTTTTACTCATTTACATTCCCACCAGCAGTGTATAAGTGTTCCCTTTTCACCACATTCACACCAATATCTATTGTTTTTTGACTTTTTAGTAATAGCCATTCTGACCAGGGTAAGGCCGTATCTTATTGTGGTTTTAATTTGCATTTATCTGATGATTAGTGATATTGAGCATTTTTTTCATATGTGAGCCATTTGTATATCTTCTTTTGAGAAATGTCTTTTCATGCCATTACTATCCTAGTTTATAAATTAAACTTTATCATAGGTATGTATGTATAGGAAAAACATAATATGTATAGAGTTTGATACTATCTGCACTTTCAGGCTTCTATTGGGGGGCTTGGAACACATCCTCTATGGATAAGGTCTGGGGGCTACTATAATTTGCATTTCTATGGATAAGAATCATTCTCATTCTTATCAGTTTTCAACAGTTTATGGAATCGTGAAGTAGTTCAAAGATAATGAAAGAACAGTATAGTCCTGAAGGGAACACTCAGTAATTTGTTTTCTATGTGCCCATTTCAAAGTCTTTCACAATTATTCCTGACACATCTCACATAAAACTCTAGGAAAGGGACACTCTGTGGGAGTCAAGCTGTTTGATCCTGCCTGACCCTTTGGTTCTGGGTATAAGCCACATACAGACCAAGAAGAGCTTAGGTTTCTTCCTCTTGGTGGTGAAGATTGCGGGAGTGATCATGGTATTAGCTTAATTGCTATGAAAACTGAACTAATGTCTCAAGCTGTAAATGAAACCGAAGACTTTCAGCTCAATGGGCGCTATGTTAATGTAGACATTGAGAATACTTTCCTGCCCCCTCTATAAGCAGAGTACATCGTTTTAATTTGGGCTTCCCCACCACACCCAACCTGGAAATTGTTGTGCCCCATACTATTTCCAGTTTCTTGTTTTTCACTTCCTCCAACATCCATCTAACTATGTAGCTCTCATTTGTGAGTGGGATCTACATCTGTGAAAAGGGGAATATACATATGGAATATACCTTATTAAATTTTTTTTTTTTTGAGACAGTGTCTTTGCTCTGTTGCCCAGGCTGGAGTGCAGTGGTGCGATCTTGGCTCACTGCAAGCTCTGCCTCCCAGGTTCACGCCATTCTCCTGCCTCAGCCTCCCGAGTAGCTGGGACTACAGGCACCCGCCACCATGCCCAGCTAATTTTTTGTATTTTGTTTAGTAGAGACGGGGTTTCACAGTGTTAGCCAGGATGATCTCGATCTCCTGACCTCATGATCCGCCTGTCTCGGTCTCCCAAAGTGCTGGGATTACAAGCGTGAGCCACCGCGCCCGGCCACCTTATTAAATCTTAATAGCATACTTGGTCATGGTGACACATGTTTAGGTTGCTTTGTGTTCTTTCGATTTCTGATTATTAAAGAGTAATGAAATAGCTATTAAAAAGGAGAAAATATGTTCATGAATTCTAAATTGTAAAAGTTGATTGGACCAATATTAAGCAAAACTCTTCTCTTTTATAAAGGAGACAAATTGTCCTAGAGTGCTTACATTTCTTCTTTCAAGAAATGATTTATCTTGCCTCGTCCATCAGTAAAGTTCTGTTCTGGGAAGATACCAGTTACTGAGTAAATAGGTGAGGCAAAGATGGAATGACTAGGGATTCAACTGAGAAGCAGGAACCTTCCGGAAGACGGTCATCAAAACAAAAACCAGGCAACAAAAAATGAGTGTGAAAAAACCATCATGGCAGGGAAACAAATCAGGCAAACAAATTCTTCTTTCACCTAACCATTTGGAATGAATATTTTATAATAAGAAATGTTGAATTCATTTTTAAAGTTAAAAGAAAAGCAGTTTATCTCTGTACTTTTTTCCCCCCACTCAGAACTGAATTTGGATCTGTTTTAATTGTTTATTATAAATTTTTATTTTTAAATCATGTATCACCATGTTGAGGAAAAGTACATGTTCTATCATTATGAAAAAAAGGAGAAAAAAGTGAAATAAGTGTGAAACAGTCAAAAACCAAGAAAGTCTTGTCATAGGCGACCTCAAGGAAGGTGAAGACAGTTGTGCACTGCACGACTCCAGATGGTGGCACAGATACGTTCCCTTGGCCACGGCTGTGTCTCTGAGACTTGAATTACCCACCTGACAGTTGCTAAGGAAATACATTTGCTTACGTGTAAACATCAAGCTATCAAAAGATCAGAAGACTTCTGAATTATAAATAAGCAAGTGAGCTCTTATCTTTAAGCTGTCTAGTTGCAGAAGGCCCTTCTTGACTTTAAAAGGATATTAATGGCACAGAGAATGAGAAGACCTTTTCATGCCAAATGTTTTTCACATCACTGTGTACCTTTATTGGTGGTTGAAAAAAAGCTTGTGTTTGTGAGGGGCTCCACTATTTTTAAGGTGCTTTTTCTTTTTATTTTTTTTAAGAGGGAGTCTCGCTCTGTCACCCAGGCTGGAGTGCAGTGGCGCGATCTTGGCTCACTGCAACCTCCGCCTCCCGGGTCAAGTGATTCTCCTGCCTCGGCCTCCTGAGTAGCTGAGATTACAGGTGTGTGCCACCATGCCCGGCTAATTTTTTTCTTTTTTCTTTTTTTTTCGGGATGGAGTCTCACTCTGTCACCTAGGCTGGAGTGCAGTGGCAGGATCTTGGCTCACTGCAACCTACGCCTCCCAAGTTCAAGCGATTCTTCTGTCTCAGCCTCCCTAGTAGCTGGGATTACAGGCGTAATCCCATCTACTGCCATCACACTCGGCTAATTTTTTTTTTTTTTTTGTATTTTAGTAGAGATGGGGTTTCACCATGTTGCCTAGGCTGGTCTCGAACTCCTGAGCTCAAGCAATCCACCTGCCTTGGCCTCCCGAAGTGCTAGGATTACAGGCGTGAACCACCGCACCCAGCCCATGCCCGGCTAATTTTTCTATTTTTACTAGAGACGGGGTTTGACCATGTTGGTCAGGCTGGTCTCGAACTCCTGACCTTGTGATCTGCCTGCCTCAGCCTCCCAAAGTGCTGGGATTACAGGCGTGTGCCACTGCGCACCCAGCCAGTGCTTTCTTTTTATTAACTTCTGTCAACTCAGTTTTTCTGTTTAACTATGAAGAATTAGAGGTAGTGAGGGGTTGAATAATTTGCCCTAGAGGACATGGCAGAGCCAGACCTGGACTTTGAGAGTTTAGCCATAAGTGATGTCTCTTGGTCTCATTCTGTATCAAGGCATGCGTAGAGTACTAAAGTAGAAAAGTAAACAACATAAAAGAAGTGCCCAATAAGTAAAAGCTATGAGCAGCTACAGAGATTTTGCCTTTTGGAGCAACCCAAGGTGAAAATATCTATTAAAATACATTAAGCTTGGTTTTTGGAAAAGTCGATAGGGGATTTTGAAACATGATAGCTGTCCATGAGGAACACTTTCTTCATATTCTCCATGTCATATTTTAGAGCTACTGACAAGAAAACTTTGCTGTGATGAAGTGCAGGGCTTAACACTTTTTTAGAGAAAACTTTGCATGAATTTTATATTATAGGTGAGAGGAAAAAAGATGTATTCAATCAAAAGTAATGGTGTCTCTAGCTTGCCAAACGATCCATTAAAGACTTCATCCAGCAAGTGTTGAGTGATGAGTATTTTATTTCCAATTCTATCTTAGTATGAAGAATATTTTATTCACCATTCTATCTCTAACACCAAGCACAGTGCCTGGCATAACAACATTTATTTGTTGAACAAATGAACACAGGTCTCTAGTTAGGTTCTGATCCTAGTGCTTCATTGAATGGCTTTGTAAATGAGACACATAATTTTTCATAGCCTTCATTTTGTCATCTGTGAAAGAGAGGGCTTTAGGTGTATTGATTTCTTAAGGATCCCTTTGGCTTGAAATTCTGATTCTAGAATCTCAAATGGAAAATTTGTGTTCACATTGCACGTGGTGTTTGGTTTTTGTTTTCAAAAGTTTGTGCATTAAATCTCAACAGCTTATTTTCTTGCAGCACAGTGAAGAGTCCCTAAGAACATATTACGTGATGGGAAATGAGAAATAACTGCACTGCAAGCCTGATGAAGGTAATTCACCTTGGGGAATAGGTGTCACCCTGAGTAACACCAGTACTGTCTCCTCAAATATGAGCCAAAAGGTGTGTCTCAGGCAGTTTTGGCAAGATTTTCTCCCTACACTCCTAGAAATTTGCAAGACAAGTTTACAGAAATTACTCCTCCCTATTTCCAAATAAAGATAATGTAATAGATCTATAGAATATTAGAATAGTCTTCTGGCCAGCAGAGGACTTGAGGGAAATAATTGGAATGCACACATTCTTTCCTTTTACGGAACAAATAAAATATACAAGGAATGTCCTTGTGGAATCCACTACACTGGGCCAGCATGATATGGCTGTAATCTTAGAGTTGTGGTTTCCAAGTTCAGCATGCTTGAGGCAATTTCTTTTTGGTATTTTGTTGGTGAACAGGATATGTGATACCATTAATTTAGCCTGTATCAAAAACTAGTTCAAGACCAACAGCTCCTTCTAGAACACAACATTTTAGGAGAATAGAGCAATGTTTCCCTAAGCAGTCGGTCATATTTCACAGAGGAGTGTTAGTTTTCTGGGGTAGTGGGTATGATTAAAAAAAAGATAGGTAGATAGGTAGGTAGGTAGATTAGATTAAATTGGATTAGATTTGATGAGATAAACAGGTTTGTGTTCAGGGGAACACGAGGTTAAGCAAGCCTAAGCAGGTTTTTTGGTTGAAGGTCTTCTCAGAACTTCTAGTATGTCAATATGCCTTGTAGATCTCTAAGTGGCAGGGACAGAGACTGGGGTACAGATTTCCCAAACATATTTGTTTAAGAAACCTGCTTTTTTCCCCCAGAATCTTTTGTGGAACTTTTGCCTCATGGAACACAATTTCAGAAATAATTTATACGTGATGACTGTGTAGAATGTTTTTCTTGTCAGGATTTTCAGTTTAGGTAAGGCCAAGGCATTTTTTTTTTACAGTACATTGAAAACTAGATATGATATCAAGAGAAAAAATTATGCTTGGCTACTTAGAATGACATACTATTTTTAATAAATTTGTATTTTGTATCATCAGTATTACTATTCAGTGTAGGGTATTTTTTATGCCCAATGCTAATGTGCTATGACTTGGTAAAATTAATTTACCCTAGGATTTACATAACCAGATTAATAAATTGTGAGTTGTAGGGAGTCTTGGAATTGCCTGAATTGACATTAAAATATTTGTTTTGAGAAATTTTTTTTTAACCTTGGTTTTACGTAACCAAGGACATACACTACATTATAAATATTGTGATGGTTTATTTTTCCAAACTTTTCTGAATGTGGGGTGCCCATTGAGTAATAATGCAAATCACCAATGACTTTGTAAAAATTGACATGATGAGTAGAACTGCAGAATTCAAAGATGATGATGATGATTTTTGAAACGATGTTTCCAGAATTGTTAAATTATGTATCAACATATGTTAACTGCAACTTCTCATGTTTAATGATGTTTACAATTAATACAATACCATACTCGCCAGTATAATACTAACAGTCATAATTAACTCAGAATAGATTCTTTGAAGTGGTTCAAAGGGCTTTTCATAATAAATAAGTAGCCTCTAATCAGCTAATATAAAGTGGGTATTTTTTAGGATGTGAGAAGTACTGGTATGTCTGATAAAACATATAATTTAGGTTGACAAAATGAGTTTGAATGATCCAGATTCACTACCCCAAGTCAGAAGGAAGTCTGACATTCCAGTGAAAGCTTTATTTAGACAGAGACAAGGAATCTTTGAGATAACAGGCTTTGGACTGTGCTATCTTGAGTGTTAGAGCTGAGTAGTTTTCCCAGAATCTCTAAGTCCTTTTTATGCTCTTTTATGAATGAATAGAATTAGTAAAAGATAAATAAATTTTTTCTTTTGGATTTCTTAACCAGTGGAAAAAATGTTGACTTTAAAAGTTCATAAAATCAAATTTTGCTTAAGAATATGTTATTTCCACTTGTGAGGCCAGCCTGGTAGACCTCTGGGATCCTTTTCTGTTCACTCACACACCACTGAGATAAGGAGTGAAGTGTGGGCTAAATAGGGCTGAGGCTTGGGCAAGGGCATTTCTGCCAGAGCACCAGAGACGTCAGCATCTCAAGGGCACTGTGGTATGGAAAAGGACGCCACATGAGTAAATTTTAAAAATATAAATATTTTAAAGGGTAAAAATGAGGGTCCCTGTATTTGAGGATATAAAAGATGAAACTGAAGAAGAAAAGATAGGGGAAGAAGAAAATGAAGAAGACCAGGTGAGTGAGAAAACACATACTCAGACCAGCGTTTGTTCCTCTAAATTGACAATGAGAAAAATGTTCTTTCTGTTCTTTTCTTTTTTTTCAAATAGGTCTTCTATAAGCCTGTTATTGAAGACTTAAGCATGGAATTGGCCAGAAAATGCACGGAACTCATTAGCGATGTAAGTGGCTGGAGTAATTTTTGTCTTATTTTGCATTGCACCTGTGGTATTATTATGTTATAGAGTCATAGAGCTGTGGGGGAAACCCTGAAATCACCTTTTAAAACACAGTCACTTTCCAGATCATGGAACAAAGTCCTGAAATTTTCAGTGATTTCCCCAAGGTCACCTATACAGAGAATTTCTGCTAGAGCAAGTCTCCTCATTCTTAATCCAGAATCCTGTCCCTTATGAGTTTTGCTGTCACGCTGGCATGAAATCATAAGGCATTGAATTGCAGTATTTATTCCATTTGAGAACCCCCAAAGATTTTAAAATGAATATAATGATGTAATTTGTCTTGGGAGGCCCTCTATCTAAATGAATAGTCATTTTTTTAACATTTTGGGGCCTTCTGAACAATCTAATGAATGGACTTGTCTTCCAGAACAGGAAAATGCATATATATATATATATATATATATATATATATATGCATATAATATTTATTTACAATTCAGGATTTGTTGATTACTGACCTGCTTGCTAAGAACCCTGATATTAGTGCAAGGATATTAGTGCAAGGGGTATTTTTGTTGTGACATTTTTTAGTAACTGGGATTGGTTGATATTACACTTTAAGGGAATCCCAGAATTATTGAATGATTGAACATATAATTTTATGTTAAATATGTAAGCTAGAATTCAAGAAGTACAAGGAAAAATGTTGCTCACCAGGGATGAGAATTTAGATGATCCTCATTAGCGGTTCTAAGAGGATTGCTGGTCCAGAGAAAGGGTAACTCCTGTAAAGTGAATATGTGCCTGTGTCTTCATTTAGAGAGATGAGCACAATACTGGTTGTTTCTGTTGTTGATAATAAGCAAAATGATCAGAATGTTTTGCACGTTTGTTTTCTAACGGAAGTCAGTCCTGGGCAGGAGGGTAGTGGTCTGGCACATCCTCCAAAGTCAACCTGCCTGGGTTGACTCCCCAGTAACCTTGGGAAGGTTATGGAACCTGGCTTGGCTCCATCCCTCAGCTGTAACATTTATAATAAGATTAAATAATGGTAATGCATATAAATGCTGAATAAACTATCTGGAACATTGTGAGTACTCCATAAATGTTAGCTGTTATTAACTACTCTGTCTGTTACTTCCTTTTACATCCATCCAATCACAATTTAGATATGACTGGCTCTTTCTGACAAACCAGAAGGCAAGCACAAAGGATGCTGGTGGAAATCATACCCTTTCCCATATACTTGACATGTGATGTAATTACCCTTTAAATTAAGTATTTCTTTGTGCTATTACTTAATAGTCATTAGCTATTGTATGTGAAAGTTCTCTGTAAATTGCAGTAATAATAAGTGACAATGACAACAACAACAACAATAACACTATTGGCAACAGTTAAGATTTAGTGACTATTGTGTGCCAGGGATTGCAGCTTGCGAGGTAGGCGCTAGGCTTTTTCTCATTTCTGAAGCGAGGAGATAGAGGCACAGAGAGGTTCAGTACCTTGCCTGGGTCACACAGTTAAGCAGAGGCAGTAATAGTTGAACACAGAGGCCTCCCTCTTTACACTGCCAAGTTATCTCTCCCTGTAGATTTCCATGAAATGTTGTTCTTCGCCTTATTATTATTATGTTACTATTATTAGTAGTAATGCTACCAACTAAAACCCTGAGTTCCTAACCTCTTCCAGCTTTGATATATTTTTATTGAAGTGCAATTATAGCTGAGCTAACTTGTGTTACATAAACCATCAGGACTAAAGTGGTAACTGTAGTTAGTAGGTGATTTGGTTGGAGTTGTTTTGGATAAGATTGTCTATCAGTGACTTTAAAACCAACATGTTGTGAGGGGTGGTGGCCTTTATCATTATGCAAAAGCTAAATCCATACATTTCACACCCACGTAGGTAAAATGAAACAGATAGGCATACTTTCTGTTTATTACAGATTTTTGTGGCATGGTAGAATGTACTACTTAAATTTAGGACATGATTATTCTGCCTTAATTTTTTTTTTTTTTTTTTTTTTTAGACAGAGTCTCGCTCTATCACCCAGGCTGGAGGGCAGTGGCACGATCTCGGCTCACTGCAAGCTCCGCCTCCTGGGTTCACGCCATTCTCCTGCCTCAGCCACCCGAGTAGCCGGGACCACAGGCGCCTGCCACTAAGCCCGGCTAATTTTTTTGTATTTTTTTTTTTTTTTTTTTAGTAGAGACGGGGTTTCACCGTGTTAGTTAGGATGGACTCGATCTCCAGACCTCGTGATCTGCCCGCCTCGGCCTCCCAAAGTGCTGGGATTACAGGCGTGAGCCACCATGCCCGGCCTATTCTGGCTTAATTTATATCTGTATACACATTCACATTTTGCTTCCGAATAGAATTCTATACTTGCTAAGATACTTATTTAATTTTTAGATTTTTTTCCTTTTTCTCTTCTTTTCTTTCTTCCTTTTTTTCCTTCCTTCCTTCTTCTTTTTTATTTTTCTGGACAGAGTCTCACTCTGTTGCCCAGGCTGGAGTTCTGTCATGTGACTGCAGCTCACTGCAGTCTCAATTTCCTGGGCTCAAGTGATTCTCCAGCCTTAGCCTTCCAAGTGGCTAGGACTACAGGTGTGTGCTACCATGCCTGGCTAATTTTCATTTTCTTTTTCGTAGAGATGGAGTCTCACTATGTTGCCCAGGCTGGTCTCAAGCTCTTGGCTTTAAGTGATTCTCCTGCATCGTTCTCCCAGAGTGCTGGGATTACAGGTGTGAGCCACCGGGCTGGCCCTGCTTCGTTTCTGTAGATGAGAGGGATGGTTTCATGGACTTCTCTTCATGGTGCAGCCTAATTGTTACTCTTTGGACTTCTTCCAGCTTTCATATATCCTTAATAACCAATATGTAATAATCAGAACTGTGCAGAGTGGTACAGATGTGGACGGTCTAGATCACGTGTAGAGCAGGATGATGTTTTGCTTAGCTTCTAGCACCCTTTATGATGCTATGAAGAGTTTCTTAGACTTGGGAGCTGCAGAAAGCTGTTAGATCAGCTTGATAATCTGTAGACCATCAGAGCCATTTCATTCCTAATTTCTGACCTGTAGCTGATAGCTTAGGACCCATCATCTTTAAATAATAGTTTGAATTATTTTAACCACACTAGGGCTAGATCTAATCTGTAGTTTTCTGCCCTCTTGCCTGGCCCTTTGAGAACTTCTGAAGTTCATCTCAGTTTGCCGTTTCCCTTACTGAGACAGCTTGGAGTCAGCAGACCTGTAGACACTGCTATATCATCCCCTTGTCAGACAATTTTATAGAAATGTTAAGCAAGATTGGCCTAGAGATCAGCCCTAGGAAGCCTGCACTGCTTAGAATTCTCCATAGAGAGAAATGTCCGTTTTTCAGGTCAAGTGGCTTCACTTTGGGCATCAGTATAAGGCATTTTTCTTTCTTTCTCTTTCTCCCCCCACCTAGTTTCTGCTTTGCACTTGCTCTACCCACATTATGGGGTTCCTCTTTGCACAACTCACTTCCCAGTCTTGAAGAACAGCTGGTCTTCTGAGGCAGCCTCTTTTATTTTTCTGTTAATCACATAATACTATTATTTTCTCAGATATATTTTCACAGATATTCTCTCTGTCATATTTATTCCTGTTAGTCTAACCTAACATTATCTAATCAATCCCTTGAATAAGTTAAACCTATCCTCTCTATTGAGCATTCAGAATCCTGGATCTAGTAGTCTTCTGATGGGGAGTCATAAAAAAGATTGGGCAAAAGGGAATCTTTTGTATGTTTCTTGTAGATTAGGCAGAAAGAGCCTTCTGCAGAGCAGGTGGACCACATCTGCATGCAGCCTCTCAGTGTTTAGTTCAAGGCTGTTTAGGGTGTTCATCTGCATGGCAGCAGGAAGAATATTTTCCAGGCAAATGAACGTTGTTGTGGGTAAATCCTTTCAATGCCAAAAACATTAAATTCTGTGGTTACTCCTCCAGAGAAAGCTTAGATGGTATCAGAAAACCTGGGAGAGTGATCTTAGCTATGTCCAGCCCAGTTAAATAATGATGGAGCCATTGTTTTTCCTTCCAGGGTGTATTGAATTTAACTTGTATGATTTCACTTGTGAAGAGCCTTTCCAGATACTTTCAGTTAAGAATTCTTGTGAAAGGAAAGATCCGCAAACATCTCCATGTCTGTCATCCGATTTCAGCCTTTAGCTAATCTCATACTCATTCAAACAAACTTGGCCAGGAGGAGGAAGCGACCCTGCACTAAATTCATCCTAATTGTAATGGAGACGTGGGATTTGTGGGTGAGGGCAAAAGAGAAGGTCAATGTTTGGGACATCTTAATGATCATAAAGTCATCAATTTTGCCCTTTTTGTCTTTTGGTGTTGGGTTGTGTATTCGGTAGGAGTGCAGATGACTGTAAAAACAGGAAAACTCTAACACAATGGCTTAACAAGTAGGTTTTTGTTTCCCCAGCCTCCACATATAAAGCCCGGAGGTAGGTAGTTCAGGCTGGGTACTATGGGTGTTATCAGTCTCCCAGGCTCCTTTCCTTCTATTCTGTCGTCATTAGTATGGTGGCTTATTCCTTGGTAATGACATCATTGCTGCTGCCTTCCCTTTGATTGAGAAAGAAAAATGTGGAAGACAGAATGTCACAGGGTTGTGCAGCATCTCTCCCTTTGTACCAGAAACACTAGAAGCACTTCTGGGAAGATTTCCACTAAAGTCACAGAGAGTGTGGCTCCCCAGGCCAAACACTGGATGGCATGACCATGCCTGGTTTAGATCAGCTTGTCCTCTGGGGCTGGGCAGGAGCCTGGCTGCTCTCATTAATCCATCTGGGCTCTTTTAATAGGAGATAATGGGAGTGGCCAGTCTATCCAATAGATGGTGTCAACCCGAAATTGTAAGATGTAGACATGGCTGTAATAAAATATAGCAATCTATTCAGTGATTTTTATTTTACCTAAGATTTGTTTCATTGACCAATATAGTTCCCTTTCAATGATCATTTCCTGTTATCTTGGTGTAGGAAGGCTACTAATATGTATCTAATATTTATATAAATATTCCTTATGTATTTAAAAATCTAACATTCTTTGCTTATTGTCATTCATATTGCACAATTCACTTGAAATCACACATGATTGTGTGTGACTTCTAACAAATTGTACAATTTCTCTTGAATTGTACAATTGTAAAGGATCTTAAATTTTAAATACACCTTCATTTAAAATATACAAATATGTGTATCTTTTTAATAAAGACCCAAGAAAAAAAAATAGAGTCTACAATTAAGACTGAGCTATTTGTCTGCCTAACAGAAGAAGTAAATACCTCACCCTTATCCAGTCCTCCTGTCCTGAACGTTCTGCATGTGTCAGACTTTATCAGGAGGCTGTAGCCACAAGCACATACCACTGCAGTGAAGAATGTGAATGTGATGGGGAATAGATGGTGGCAAAAGATAAAAATAATGAGTCAAACTTAAGCCTAATGATAGGCTATTTTCTCTCACACTTAATTATATAACGGAGATACTTTTTTCTCCATATGATCAAAATAGCCTACTATTTATCATACTGCCATTAACAGTTTAATTACTAGTGGCTGAGGAGGGTGATTTGCAGGAACCTAAAATTATGGCTAATCTCTGAGAAGAAAAAAAAGTAATTTAGTGCTCAGATAAGATAAATATGTTCTCGTGTTGATTTCATGAATAAAGCAAATGTTTAATGTGGTAGGCATCTGATATCCAAGAGTCACAGCAGTGAAATATGGGATTTTGAAATAACTTCACTTAATCTGTATCTAGTTCTACCACAGGTTAAGTAATGCCCGTCAAATCAGGCTTGCATATGGGAAAATCTCCATGTACCATTAGTGTATAACATCAATATTATTCACATCCTCTAAGAACCAGGTAGTATATACAATTCAGCTCCACTTTTGGGTTATAATTAGGGAGAACATATAATTTATCATCTGAAACAGGAACACTTTTTCAGTTTAAGTATTTATGGTCTTGGGAGGATAAACACGAGCATATTACAGAGTGATACAACTTTTAGCAAATTACCTGCATCTTCTCAATGAGTCATAGTTTTGCCTTCCCAGTTTCCAGATTGTGCAGCAATTAGTGTGACAGTGTGATTATACTTTAGGTCCTTCTCCACATTTCCTGACTTCTTTTGGGCTCAAATATCCACCCGGGTCTTCCCCCGGCATAACAATTCTGGCCTATCCCCAAAGGGGAAGAGAGTGAGTCATTTGACTTGTGAGTTGCAGAGAAGAGATGAGCAGGTTTAGCTAAGCCTCACTGGGCTTTGTCTTGCTGATCTCCAGCAAGAAGGCCTTCTGGAATGATCTCCACCACATAGCAAGCTTTCTGGGCAGGTTCAGTTCTTCTCTGCGCTCAGGAGGAGGATTGGGAAGCCTATGGGTGCTCATAAATTGGGAGGAATTAGTAACAGGAAGCCCACGTTGGCCACAATTTAAGCCTCTTCCTCTAATCAAGCATGTCTAGGTAATAACGGTAATAGTGATCCCCATTTAATTTCGCCTCTACTTCTTAATTGGTCACATCTGTCATGCTGACTACTTATTTTCTACCTTGAGGTAGGCAGCTGTGTTTCTGTTTGGCCAAAGGCTTATGTGTCAAGGCTTAAAAGCAACAAAACACCAGGACACTTGTAGGAGCGAGATGGCACATGCTTGCTAATTGCACTGGGCTGGCTGGGTAAACAGGACCCATCACCCGTAGCCAGCACGCCTGGTGTTGATGCTTAACTGGACCCTCGCTTATCTAAAGAATGGTCTTTCCTCACTATGCCTCATCATCTTTGCAATCCTGTGCTGGATAGCCGTTTATTTAACTTGGCTTGTTTTGAGGTCCCTTTCACACTTGAGTATTTACTTCAGTAAATGGACTTTATCAACCTAATTATCATTCAAAAAAGGCCATTAGAATTGTTTTTCTTTTTCTCTTCTTATGTAAATCATTCTCTTTTTTAGATCCGTTATAAAGAAGAGTTTAAAAAGTCCAAGGATAAGTGTACATTTGTGACTGACAGTCCTATGCTAAACCATGTAAAAAATATCGGTGCTTTTATTTCTGAGGTAAGGTATCAAAAGCTTGCAAACTGGCTTGCATTTATCTTTTTCTTATTATATAGATGAAAGTCTGTGCATTAAAGAGATGAAGAATAATATTTTCAAAAGCACTACTGAATGTTAGTAATAGCTACATAATTATCTAATGTGATGCGCTGTCATTTAACTCATATAGATTGACAGATTTTACTATGTATGCTTCATACATTTTATTATATATGTCTATATTTTGACTCTAAATCTTTCTTATTTATATACGATTCCTCTTGAAAAGGCATCTTTTTATTAAATAAGTAAAAGCACTGGCACAATAGTTCACTTTAGAAGTTCCATTATTTTGTTTCCTAATAGATATATCAGAGATAAATGATTGAATATCATTTTGGAAATAAATAAGATTTACCAGTTTTCTAAAATGTGATATCTTTGATAAATAATTTTAAATGTATTTAAACTATTTTGGAGTAGGATAAAGTTCAGTTCAACAGTGATACCTATTATAAAATCACAGACTGAGGAATACGCTATATTCATTTTCCAGCTGAAAAATTATGTAGTTTCTTTCTGAGAGCATTTAGAACTACAGTTTATGTTGCATTGTAAAGCACAATGTTAACGATGATGATTTCTGTGGTGAGGCATTACTGTAGTCTGTGAATAGATCACTTAGAAGAGATACGTTTGAAAAGAAACGGAAATGAAATAGTGTTGTAAATGACTGACCTCTAGTGTTTCATAAATTATGTTGGAAAAAGATCAACTGGATGTCCTTGGGATTATTTCTGCTAATGCGAAACAATTTTGAATGAAATCAGTACGTTTTCTTTCATTAAGTACCAAAATCCAAAGAGTGTGGTAGCAGAAGGCTAGCACAGGATCTGTGCTCAATAAATCAATACTGAAATCTAGCTCTGAGCAGGAAGAACATCAGGAACTCATCTGCAGATAATGGAAGAACATAGTTTGTTTGTCTTAGCTATGTTCCATTCTCCCGTGCAGATAAATACTTGATGTTCTCAATTATTGATTATGTTTCCTGAAGGAGTTAATTGCAGAGCAAAATATTGGAAGTGAGCAATCTATTGTGTTCCCTTGAACCTTAGTTTTCCCAAGAGGAAAGAGTGTTTGTCTTTAGAGTAGTGACTGAGATGGCTTAAAGACAGTGCAGGCTAGAGGTGGGTAGGCACATAAACAACAAAAAAGCACTCACTCCCCTCTCCCCCTGGAGCAGGAGGAGGCTGAGAAGACCTGAATAAAAGAACACTGTCCTTTGTCAAGTTCTAGATAGTAGATTCTAACGACTTGCATTTTCTGGAACAACTCGAATTGTTTGCTCACTCATCCAGCATGAAACTGTCAATATACACAAATAGATTTACTTTTAGAAATGTGCTTGCATTTAAATAGAAAGCCATTATGTCCTTGCATGTCTCATTGAAAGCGTTCTCTATGATAAATTGGATTTATTTCTATCTCTTCAGAATCCTGGAGTTTGTCAGCTCTGGTATCTAAAATTAAAATGGTCTGCAGATTTTAAAATCAATTCTGTTTTGGGAGAAAGTTTCTTCTTTTCTACTTATAATCACAGTTTAAAAAAATGGAAGTTTATTTATTTATTTTTTTCCTGTTTTTTTTTCCCCCAGGCAAAATACAAAGGCACCATTAAAGCTGACCTTTCTAATTCTCTTTATAAGCGGATGCCAGCCACAATTGACAGTGTTTTTGCAGGAGAAGTTACACAGCTCCAGAGTGAGGTAGGGTTTTTCTAAAGTGTTTCATGATTTTGTAGATAAAACATATAACTGGAAAAAAGCTACTTAGCGTTTTAATAAAACGTTTTCATCATGGGTGTTAAATACCAAATGAAAGTTGAAAGCAACTGATTAATGTGCTGTCAGTAGTTGCTGTTGAAATTGCAGAAAATGAAAAGGACACGCAGGTTTATGTCAGTCACATGGTACTGTTTTCTGAGTCCCATTCAATGCAATTTATAGAGCAAATCTTAATCTCATTTAGACAGCTTACATGGATGAAATTCTTATAGTAAATATTAAACTGTTCTCTAATTTGATATATGATCCCTAAGTAGAGAATATTTGAATAGCTTGTTAAAAGCCACATAAAGAGATAATGGGGCTGGACACTCTGGCTCAGGCCTGTAATCCCAGTACTTCAGGAGGCCAAGGTGGGCAGAATGCTTGAGCTCAGGAGTTGAAGACAAGCCTGGGCAACATGGCAAAAGCTGGTCTCTACCAAAAATACAAAAATTAGCCGTTTGTTGGCATGCACCTGTGGTGCCAGCTACTCAGGAGGCTGAGGTGGGAGGATTGCTTGAGCCTGGGAAGTTGAGGCTGCAGCGAACCAAGATCATGCCACTGCACTCCAACTAGAGCAACAGAGTGAGCCTCTGTCTCAAAAAAAAAAAAAAAAAAAAAAAAAGGTTGAATTCAGGATCCACAGATCTGCTTCATCAATTAGACAAGTGTTTCCTGAATTTCCTTTTCTGTAGATTGTGTTTTTCCTTTAGGATATCTCAGGCTACCAAAAATAGCCCCCATCAGGTGGAAGTTACTATTTGGTGATTGCCAGTTGCAGAGGAACTTAAGAATTGTCATCAGGTAAACTCATTTTGAATCCAGAAGGGTTTAGGAGTAATTTTCTCTTTGTAGCATATCAACACATAAGGCATTCTTAATCTATTGCATTTCCTAAAACAGACTTTCTAAATGGAATGTTTCACCTCTTTCTGGTTCATCTTAATGTTGTGTTTTCTTCACAGAACAATCAAATTTGGGGAGGTTATTTTGTTAATCTATTCTTTAGCTCTCTCAGCTACGTGAGAGCAGGGACCTCATCTGTCTCGTTCCTTGCTCTGGTCTTGTGCTCGGAAGAGTTCCTGGCACATAGAGAGTGCTCAGTAAAAACTTGTAAAATGGATTTTGTGGAATTTTAAAATTTTCTTTCTAAGGATATGCTTCCTTTTACATAGTTTGTATTCTTCATTTCACATTTTAGGTTAATAATAGTAAACACACAGAAGTTGTTCTATGCATTTCACGTGTATTTATCCCAGTCAGTCCTCAAAACAACCCAATGAGCTGTCCCCAGATTAGAGTTGTGGAGACCGAAGCACTGAGAGGTTAAGTCAGTTGGCCAAGGTGGCACAGCCAGTAAATGGCAGCGCCGGCACATGAATATGGGCAGTCTGGCCCCAGAGTCTAGGTTTTTAACCACACACTATGCTATATTTTTCCTACCATTTCTAACCCTCTTTTTCTTGTTAAGCAAGCAGTTTACTTCTTTCCCCAGAATTTCTTTTTTTAAGATGGAGTCTTGCTTGGTCACCCAGGCTGGAATGCAGTGGCTTGATCTCAGCTCACTGCAACCTCTGCCTCCCGGGTTCAAGTTATTCTCATGCCTCAGCCTCCTGAGTAGCTGGCATTACAGGCGCACACCACCACACCCAGCTAATTTTTGTATTTTTTTTTTTAGTAGAGACGGGGTCTCGCCATGTTGGCCAGGCTGGTCTTGAACTCCTGACCTCAGGCGATCTGCCCACCTCAGACTCCCAAAGTGCAGGGATTACAGGTGTGAGCCATTGCGCCCTACCTTTCCCCAGAATCTTTTTAAGTAGAGATACCTAGATAATCTTATTAAAAAAAATTTTTTTTAAGTTCTGGGGTACATGTGCAGGATGCGCAGATTTGTTACATAGGTAAACGTGTGCCATGGTGATTTGCTGCACCTATTTAATATGAACCCGTCCCCTAGGTATTAAGCCCAGCATGCATTAGCTATTTTTAAGTAGTCTGAAAATACATTACTCTTGAAAAATGCTGAGCATAGTTATTCTTTGCAGAACACCTTTAAGTGTTTCACTATTACACATTTAAATGTCCACTGTGTACCTGACTTGGCAGTAAACTAATCTCGGTTATGCAACATGCAGCTTAAAATATATGATGTCAACGTTCTGCATGGGTGACTGTGACTAATATGCCCTTTATTTTTCCTGCCAATATCTGGCCACCTAAGCACTTGCTGATAATGTGGGTCACTTTAAAAAGCAGATAATTACAACCCAACACTTGATATGTGACAAGCAACAATTAAGCAATAACGAAAGAAAAGGAAAACAATCTATTATTGCTTTTATACTTCCTTGGGAAGGTAACTTTTCCGATGTTTCCATCCTCATTTCTTTGAAAGCACACAACAGCTCTCAACTTCTTATAGCATAAATAGGGCTGTAATACACAAATCCCTGCAACATAGAACTTAACATGAAAAATAATCCAGGTTGTATATTTTGGAATCTATCATTTGTTTTGTCAGAATAGGTTCCCACTGACATTGTTAGCATGTTATCCTATACTGAAATAGACACCACTGGGAAAGGTGCATATGTACTCACAATTAGCATTGATTTCCATTGTTGTAATTAGTCACTGAACTTATTAATAAAGAAAAACCTAGACTTTGAATAAGGCGGCTACTTCAAAGATTTATGTAACTGTCATAACATTTCTTTAGATTTACGTACATCGATTTTATTATTGTTAAAATTGTGATTCTTAGAGTTTACCTAATAAGCGGGGCAAGAAAGTAGAAGAACTATTTGACAGTATCTATGATAATTAAAGGACTAACATTTACAGTGTCCAAATAGTATCAGATTTGTGATGTCCTAACTCGGAGTATTGGATGAATTCAGAAATTTAATGACATTCTGGGTTCTAATGAAAAGTCTCTTTAACTTTTGACAAATTATTAAAACAAACTTATCTTAAAGTCAATTTGCAAACACTCTCAGATGCTTAAATTCAAACTAGAATGATAAAGTTAGCTAGATGAACACTTACAGAAAATGCCTGAAAGGAAGAAATGCCAGAAAAAGAGAGAGAGATGTAGAGTTTTTAGGAGGCCATTTTATTAGCTATCCCCTGTTAACAATTTTATAAGCACAGATTACAAAGAAAGCTTCTGAAAATGAACTGGACCATGCCATGAGGTGGCGAGATCCTTCTCATTAGGGCTGTTTCAGGCAAAGGCTAAATAATGCCTTATCATAGAAGCAATTCACGCTACTCAGGCATTGGAACTGCAGCTTAATGAGAGTCTATGTTTCATCCACGGTGGTCACAGGATTCTGTTTCAGAAGTCCAGAGGTGTCTATGCTATGGGGTTAACAGCACATTTACCTGTGTCATATAAAATATAATGTAAGTTATGTTATTATTCTGATCGTCTTTGTAGCATCTTATGCTATGTTGTTAGACACTATAAATAACCATCAAGTAGAATTAAGGTGCCAGATAAATCATACTTTTCAGAGGCAAAGCCATTATTTTAATTTGCATACTTGACCTCCTTGGCCAGTAAACTTTAATTTAGAGATCTATGAATTTTCTGAAAGCGAGGGCAGGGAGAAGCTTCAGGGCATCTGTGAAACCCCCAATTTCAATGCCACATTTGGCCAGATGCTGTGGCTCGTGCCTGTAATCCCAGAACTTTGGAAGGCCGAGGTGGGCAGATCTCTTGAGCCCGGGAGTTGAAGACCAGCCTGGGCAACATAGTGAGACTCCATCTCTAAAATAAATGAATAAATAAGTAAATGCCAAAAAAATCTATAAGTGAAACATAAATGTACATTTTATCTGTATACATATGAAATATAAAATATGCTGTAAGATCAAAAATATAGAATAAATGTATTTATCACTTATATAAACAAAGTGTATATGACTATTGCAAGTGGACTCCTGTCTCCAGGTTCCTAGTAACATGGCAATCTCAGTTCTCAAAGTATGAAGAAAACAGCATTAATCTAGGGAAATACCATACAATAATGACAAATCCTAAGAAATCAAATTTATCGGCAAATTTATTAGCTTGACATAATTTTCCATTAGCTATTTTAAGGAAGAAAATGAATATGATAAATTAAAGTTCAGCTCCCTCTAATTTGATGTAATCTTAATTCTAAAGTGGTACTTAGTAGCGGCTGTAAATGAAATGACGATGTTAATGCTGCAAGTAGAAAATTACATAGCCTTTTTAAGAAAGAGTGCCTTTTAAAATTGTGCTTGCTGACTCATCATTTCTGTGATAACCCACAAAATGATCAGCTGCATTGGTTACATTTATAAAGTCACAAGTATATGTTAGTAGGTCTAAAGTACAAAATAAACCAGGCAACCATGAAAAAGGAAATAGGCATATACTAGTTCTTTTCATTTAAGAAGAAGGAGCAAATCTCATAGAAGTTTTTCCTTAGCTTTGTAGACTTGGGTACCCATGAAACTCCTCCTCTCCCTACCTCTGAGTTAAAACACGGAATGTAATAGAACTGAGATAATGGACTTTCTCCACCTGAATGGAGGTTCTTAAAGGGTTTCCTGCTTAACATAATTAATTGGTGAAAATTGTAAAGATACAGTCACCAGAGGGAGATATCTTGATGGAGTATGTTGGTGGACAGACTCTAACAAGATGAATTATCCTTGGAACAATGTGAGGTGCTGCTTCTGATTTGGTAACCAACCAAATCCACAGGATTGGAGGTAGGAACATGGCTGGGCAGGACTGAATAAGACTTAAAGGTATCAGTTGACAGAAGTCTCAGCATAGCCATCAAAAGAAAAATGTTGTGGTCCGTGGATGTGTTAATAATGTTTAACATGTGGGAGGTGATAACCTGGATTAAATCTAACAGTTCTAATTAAGAATGGTCCAACCATTGTGAGCACCTTAAGAAAGAGATTGATAAATTCGGATTTGGGCTGAAGAGAGCATGTAAGGTGTTCAGGAGTGCAGCACTTTAATCCATACTGCGAGTCTGGAGGAACAGAAGTCAGTGACGGGTGTCTTCCCACATTGGAAGTTCTGTCTCATGAAATAGGCTCTTTTCATAAGGCCACATAGACGCAGCTAGGGGGAGATAGATTGGGGTTTCAGTAAAGAAAGAAATTTTAATCTGAACTTTCAAAATTTAGAGGCTGTGGTGGCCAAGGTTGAGTTCTCTTTCAGTGGAAGTTTTTGAAAAACTAGATGGCAGTCCAGAGAGGGCATTAAACATTGTTAGTTATACCAGATGACATTTTTTTTTTTTTGGATGACAAGATTCAATGACTTTAGTTGTAAAAATCCGACTTATCACATTAATCCTTTAGATAGGTATATTATCCAAGTGGAATGGGTGGTTAATACTGTTTATAAAAGCCAATGAAGAGTTTAAGCTCACAAGAATGTTTAGTAAACTCATTTATTCATCTGTTCACTAAACATTTATTGCATTTCTACTCTGTCATTCACTATGTTAGGCACAGGATAAAAAGGTGTGAGACAGACATGCGCCCAAGGAGCTCATATTGGTAAAAACTTTCTCCTTAAATTTAATTTTATATATTATTTTCATTGAAAACTAGATCTTGTTTTGTTCTTGGTAAAGCCTGTTCTAGTTTTTCTTTTTCTTTTTCTTTTACTTTCCCTTTCCCTTCCCCTTTTCCTTTTCCTCTCTCCTCTCCCCTCTTCTTTCTTTTCTCCTTTCCTTGTCTCCTTTCTTTGCTTCTTTCCTTTCCTTCCTTTCCTCCTCTCTTTTCCTTTTCCTTCCTTCCTTCCTTTTTTCTTTCCTTCTTTACTTCCTTCTTTCTTTCCTTCTTTCTGTCTTTCCTTCTTTCTTTCTTTTGCAGGATCTTGCTCTATCACCCAGGATAGAATGCCGTGGCTCACTGCAGCCTCGACCTCCTGGGATCAGGCAATCCTCCTGCCTCAGCCTCCCATGTAGCTGGGACAACAGCCATGTGCTGCCACACCTGGTTAATTTTCGATATTTAGTAGAGATGGGAGCCTCACTTTGTCGTGAGCAAGTCTCTCTCCTTGACTTCCCTAATTACAGGCATGAGCCACTGAGTCCAGCCTACTTTGTCTTTCTTAAGTTGCCATTTTTCTCATGTCAAGTAATTCCAACTCCATTTAACATCCTTTTAGTATTAAGCTTTTAGTATATTTTAAAATTAATATTGCCTTTCTGTCCTTCATTTGTTATTGTTTTATTCTCATTCTTTTAGTTATTCATTCACTTATTTATTTATTCATTCACTGAACAAATGTTTTGTGCCAGGCACTATTCTGGGTTCTGAGGATTCAGTGAACACGACAGTTGTGTTTAGTAAGGGAAGATAGATAAGTAATTATACATAAACTAAACAAAGTAATTAAACATTATGAAGGAAATAAATAGGTTAATAGTATCAGTGGAGACCAAGGGGATAACTTGGTTGCTGTCTTTAGGTTCTTCTTTAATTTCCAACTTTGTGGTTGAGTTTGGTTACATCTACTTCTGAGATATCTTTCTCATATCCCCTCTCCATCCTAGTATGGAGGAAATTCAACATGGTGGTAATGGATGGCACTGGTCCATTTCCCTAATGGAGGCCAAGACTTGACATATCTGAGAATTTTGCCTGCATGCTATATTTTCTCCCAAAGGTTTGTGCACTTAATGAGGCTTATATTATCTTATAGCTGTGCCTACATAAAATCAGACCCAATCATTTGAAAACAATTTACTTTCAAATATCCTATAATTCCCCTCTACTTAGTTGTTTTTCCAAGATTTAAATCTCTGACATCTATATCCCAGAAAGCTCTTGGATATGGATGATTTCCCAAAACTACACCCGAGGTTTAAGCTAGATGAATAAAAATGGAAATTTCATCTTTGGTCAAGGACATTTTGAAGTAAACAACAAAGAGGTAGAATTAGGAATCTAAACAGAAGCATAAAGATGAATGCATTGTGGATATTGTCTTGTTACAGAGATTTAGGCAAATTAACTATCAGTGGTGGTATTCAAATATATAAAGTCCTGGCAAAACACTGAAATTAGCAGGCAAGAATTTATATGCCTCTAAATGGGACTAAAAATTATTTGTGTTTTTCAGGTGGCCTACAAGCAGAAACATGATGCTGCCAAAGGATTCTCAGATTATGCCCACATGAAGGAGCCCCCTGAGGTTAAACATGCCATGGAGGTCAATAAACACCAGAGTAATGTAAGGAAGCGCATTTCTCATGATTTTCTAGCGAACTGTAGTTAAGTCATATTAGGGCTTATGTTTATTTTGCTGAAATTTAAACATTACAACAGCCCTGTTCAAAAAAGACTTTAATATTTCTTATCAGTCAGAGGTACATCTGAATTATTCTATCCACAGTCATTAACACCTTGCCGAATGCCTTTATGTTGTCAGGCACTTTCAGGCATTGGAATTTTGCTTTGTACAAGACAAATGTAGATCCTTCAGACCTATTGGGTTATCAAGCATTTCCAGAGCTTCCTTGACTTGATGCTGAAGCTCATGGCTTCTAAGTCTAGAATCACAGAAGAACTGGAAGAAAGGCCATCAGGAATCAATGGCCCACAGAAGGATCATTCATGAACACCAGCTATATTGTACCCACTACTGTTTTCTTTTCTTTTCTTTTTGACACAGAGCCTCGCTCTGTCACCCAGGCTGGAGTGCAGTGGCTCAATCTTGGCTCACTGCAACCTCTGCCTGCCGGGTTCAAGTAGTTCTCTGCCTCAGCCTCCCGAGTAGCTGGGATTACAGGTGCCCACCACCACACCGGCCTAATTTTTGTATTTTTAGTAGAGACGGGTTTTCACCATCTAGGCCAGGCTGGTCTTGAGCTCCTGACTTTGTGATCCACCTGCCTCAACCTCCCAAAGTGCTGGGATTACAGGCACGAGCCACCGTGCCTGGCCTATTGTTTCTTTTAGGATGTTTGTAAGAACAGATGGTCCAACCTAAGACCCATGGGGAATATGACAGCAATAGATGCCTAATGGCTGACTTTAAAGCCAAAACGGAGGAAGTCAGTCAGTAGAAAATCAGTTTCTTTTTTGGTAAAAGTTAGCAGTTGCATCAAGGTTTGCATGCATTTGCTCGATTACCACCACCATCCTGGTGGCCTAGAAGAGTAATTTCTTCCTGGAATTGTAGGGAAAGCTTTTTTTTAAAATCTCCTCATCCTGACTTCTCTCCAGGAGGAATGTGTGAACTGTTGGTCAGGTTCTTTATGCATTAAAATCAGTTAAGATAAAATGCCTATCTTTTTTGGGTCAAGAAACTCCCTTTCTTGGAAAAGTACCTGAAGTACAGTTGCCATCTCACATCCAGTCTGTTCTGTCACTTAGTCCCTTTATGGAATGGTGCTTGGCTGACCATGTGCCCCCATAGTCCCACTGTGCAGAGTGTTTTCCGCAGAACGGCAACTGTTATTTGATATTAAATTGCAGTAAGCAAATGTTTAAGTAAAAAAGTGGAATGAGGTTTTACGTTTTAACCCAAATATACAAACATATGCCAAAAGCAGAGCACTTTTCTAACATAGTTTAAGATTGCTAGGAGATGAAGAGGCTACATGTCTGTAATTATTTTAGGGGGGTGCTTTATAAGAACTGTTTGCTTAAGGATGACTGTAATAATCATAATAACTACCACTTACTGAGCACAGCCATGCACCAGGAACTATGCCAGGACTTTGATCATTTCCGATTCTCATGAAAACCCTGTACTGATTCTTATTTTGTAGATGAGGAAAATGAGACTAAGAAATCAAACTCCTGAGTCTGCTCTTTCTGTTCCACTTTGCTGTCTCCACCTTAAAGGTTACTGTCAATTAGTCAAGGTTTTAAATGCAGTTTTTAAAAATGGGGAGCAAAATAGGTTATCTTCAGATTTCAAACGCACTGCAGGAAAGAATGACAGAGAAATCCCGAGTTTCCAGTATTTTGACACTGAAGAGACGAAATTCACACAAAAGGCCACGGGTTAGAAGGTGGTCTGGTGATCTGGGGTGAGGTCTGGTGTTACACGGATCCCCGGGAGGCTCTTTCCAACTCTATAATTCAATGAAATTCAAATACGGAAGTTCCTTATCATAGAACTGGGCTTATTATTTTAACTCTGCCTTTTCTTCTAAAAGGTCTTTGATTGAGGGATTGAGGGAATAGAGTATAAAGCCCTTTTCTCCTTCATTCAATACTGTGTACTTATGGGAGAAGGCTGTGTTTACTTATACTCCTCTGCCGACTTGACTCAACCTTTGCATGCAAAGTTTGTACATATAATAGGATTTAGAAAGTGTTTAAGACTATTTACTCAGATTTAAAGTGAGAATGATATTTGTATTCTACCTGTGAAGTAGTTGATATTCCTCTGGAGTCAAGCCACTTAGAATAATACATTTGTTGTCCCTACAATATGAAATTTAAACATAGGTCTTGAAAGTACATCTCTTGGTTCAGTGGGTGGATCTATGGAATCTCTATAAAAGACAATCTCCCATAAACCTGTCTCCTGTAAAAGTTCAGCCAAATGAAACTCATTGCAGAGAATTTACTAGTGGAATTACCCTTTCATAATGCAGACTGTCACTTTGCACTATGGCTATAAATGACTTCATTTAATTTAAAATAAAAGTGTGTCATTATATGTGTATCTGATTCACCTGAAAACAATGGAAGTCAACATCTTTGCCTAACTTTTTTATGTTTCCACCAAAATCAAGTCAGATTTCTAATATCTTTTAGTGAACCAAGATGTCTCTCTCTTGTGCCTTTAGTAATGTGAGTAAGCAGAAAAGAATGAGGGAGAGGGCTCATGTGACTGTATGGATGAATTTCCACCTCTGAGTAATGGAGTTCCCGGGCAAGAGTTTTCTGGAGGCAGTAGTCTTTTGCGCCACCCCAAAATTAAATGATCTCCAAACAGTAAAAATAAGTATTTCTTAGAATATCCTCTACTGTAGTGAAGTGGCATCATTGTCTGGGGTAGTACCTGAGGTTCATCGTCTCATGTCAAGAAAATTAAGGACACGGACACACACAAGGAATGAATTTAGGAGTGGAGGTTTACTAGGCAAAAGAAAGAGAAAGGAGAACAGCTCTCTTTGTTGTGAGAAAGAGGTGCACCCAAATGGGACTTGTGCCTCGTGGCAGAGTGCATCGGATTTTATAGACAGGCTTGAGGAGTCGGTTTCTGATTTACATAGGGCCCACAGATTGGTTGGACCAGGCGTGACTTTCTACATAGACTGCAAGGAAGCTGTTTGCTCCGCCCTAATTATATTATGCAAATGGGGTCTTTGCCTGGCGGTTTCCATGTTGTCTGCTCCCTACTGCACACATGGTTGGAAAGGAAAAGGGAAGATGGAGCTGCCATTTTGAACATGTCTACTCCCAGGCAGCCTTTTCCTATTGTCACAACTGTCAACATTCACACGTGCAAGCTTACAGCTCACTTGTGTATGTCTGCAGCTCGATTTTACAGGCTGCTCTTTGTTAGAAAAGAAAAAGACTTCGGGGCTGCTTTTTATTAAAAGGAAAGTCTTACGAAGGACTTCCTTACCCTCACTATCTGCCTAAATACTTTATTCTTAACTCCTATATCAGTAGCATATACTAGGAAAGGAATTTGGAGTCAGACATTGGTTAAAATGTTTCTTGGGCACACGTTGCGTGGATGACCCTGGATGAGTTACTTAATGTCTCTAAATCTCCATTTTCTCATCTGTAAAATGGGGACAACGATATCTACCTCTGAAGATTCTCACAAGTATTAAATGAAACATTATGTGTAAAGAGCTTCACAGCAGAGCCTCCATCTTAAAAGTTGCTGGCATACATTACTGGTTCTATTTCGTCCTCCTTCTACTTTTAAAGGGTGATTTGGGAGTTTAGGGTGATGTCATAGTTAATTTGAAACAAGTAAAGGAAGTTCAATTTATAAAAGGCCAAATCAATGTGAAATTTATGTTAAGAAATGTTTAGGTCGGAAGGGCATATCCAAAAGTTTCCTGAACCTATCTTATTAATACTATAATCAGAAAATGATTAAAAACAGCCAATCGAAATCTTTTTGTACCTTAAGGGACATACCCCTGCCAGTTTTTTCTAATGTAATTAGAGAAATTGGAGATATTCTATCCAGTGACTTTCCCCTAAAGATGGGCTTATAATGAAAGCCCTAGTTCCATTATTAGTTCTCATCAGTCTTATGAGAGACATGAAGTCCAATAGTTCTGAAATAAGTCAAACAAATTTTAAACTCTATTTTAAGTTTTGTAAGTAATGTGGTCTATACAGACTTGTGATGAAATTGGAGTGGTAAGCTTTTCCAAAACACCATATTGGTAGTCGATTCAATGTGTATTAGAAAGAAGTATTCAGCGTGGGAAATGAAAGACTTACTGTTCTTTTCAAGAATGATATATGTACTTTCTTAAAATTAATAAAAACTTATCAGTAAACAATTTCTATTCCATCAGAAAGTGAGAAAGCTTAAAGATAAATCAGTAAAATGATACTAGAAAAACAATTATGGCTCTCTGTGGTTCCCCGATGAGACTTACAATAATAGTGCTTTAGGATTTAGCATTAAAATTAGATATATTAGTGTTTTATTCATCTCTAAGACAGAATAGTTAGTAATACTTATTCTGCCTTCTACACAATATGGTGGTGATAAAATTAAATCATGAATAAGAAAATAAGACAACTTTTATCAACTATAGATTTATAAACAGTGACAGCAATCCTAAATGATAAGCCATTCTGGCCATAACTCTGTATTTTACTCCTTCTTTTGGAAGACTGAAAACTTTTTCTCTCTTCTGAATAGTATCAGAACCTACTTTTACTTATATTTAAAAGGCTTATATTCTCTTACAGAAAAATAATATTTACAATTTAATAATTTAGTAGGTTTTTATGCACAGCATGCCTAGACAAAGATAAGCATCATTTGAGATGGAATTAGCAGTCCACATGCCTATTTGATGATACCTGGAGGGCTTCTCTAATGTGAGAGTTTTGCTAAAGACAAAGGTTTTCCTGAGATGGGTTGAACCATTGCTTAAAGATTACCACTATATACCAGTTACATGATTTGCCTCTGTTCCACAAACTTAAAAGGTTATATATCCTGTCTAGTTTCTTCTCACCAAGAATCAGTTTAACCTTCACAGGGTTCTGGGTCAGCTGGATTTGTTTTCTTTAAGGTCTGTCTGCCCATGCAGACTTTAGACCCCATGGCTGGCTGGCTGGCTGGCTGGCTGGCTGGCTATCACTCCTGCAAGGCTGCCATTCCTGAGCTGTCTCAATCTTCTCATCTCCAAGTGAAAGTCATCTCCTTGACTTCCACTTCAAGGAGAGTCTGTGGAGGTTTTGCTTTTCTCTGGTTTATTAACTCACCTACCAGAGAGTCTCAAATCACTGTTGCCTGAGTATAAAAAGCTTGCTGGAAGGCCACTGTGAATCCTCCAGCTGCACATGTGTCTGCCTATACCTGCAGAATAAAGATGTCTATTTCACATCCACTTTCAAAATCTCATATGCATTTCTCTTATTGGCCATGTCTAACCCAGAACTATTTAAGGAAAGGTACTCTGGAGGATGTAGTTCCAGTCTTAAAAGGGAGTGTTGATGTAGCCCAGTTGAGTCAAGACACATCAGGGATGAAGTGAGGATTTAATGAATTGATGCAGAAAAGGATAGCCGGGCACCTTGGATGCTCTGCACGAGCATAGGGAACATGCAAAAGACATGGCTCTTATGAAACAGAAGTGGGAGGATTATAAGGAGAGAACAAGCTGAGATTAAAAGACAATAAAATAAGATAAAAATATGAGCTCAGGGTGAAAGTGAATATGGCGAGATAAAGAAATTCAGAGACAGATTTTGATGGAATTCAAATATTCGTTGGAAGCAACAAAGAACAGATTTGGCACTGTAGAAAAATGTGAGGCTGGGTGCAGTGACTCATGCCTGTAATCCTAGCACGTTGGGAGGCCAAGGTGAGAGGATCACTTGAGGTCAGGAGTTTGAGACCAACCTGGCCAACATGATAAACCTCATCTCTACTAAAAATACAAAAACTATCTGGGTGTGGTGGTGTTCACCTGTAATCCCAGCTACTCAGGAGGCTAAGACAGGAGTATTACTTGAACCCAGGAGGTGGAGGTTACAGTGAGCTGAGATCATGCCACTGCACTTCAGCCTGGGTGACATAGCAAGACTTCATCTTCAAAAAAGAAAAAAAATGAAAAGTGAAATGGAGGCTGTGTTAGAACTCTCTAGATTTCGTGACGGAAATCTATCTCAAGTTAGTGCAAGTGAAAAATGAGATTCTGTTGTGTATGTAATTGACAAATCCAAGCTATCTTCAGGCATAAGTGGGCTGGAGGCTTTACAGTGTTACCAGTACTCTTCCTCTCTTCCCATCTTTGGGCTCTGGGCTGTGTATGACACTTTCAGACAGGTGCTTTCTCTGTGGCTTCAAGGTGACAGCTGGTGTTTCCAAACTTTAATCATCCTTACAGCAGCTGATCTCAGAGAAAAGAAGAGAAGCTCTTTCTCCTCCAGCCTCAGATCATTCAAATGACTCTGGCCTTGGTTGGGTTACGTGTCTGTCCGATTTCATTAATCATGGTTTCCAAATGGATGGGGTATCTGGCAGGACAGCCTAAGTCAACATGAAGGCAGGCTGAACTTCAGAGGCCCACCAATCACATGGAGTGATGGGGGAGCTGTTTCCAAATTAAAAAACCTAGGCTGACAAAAAAATTTAACACATGCCCACTACAAAGGGATTAGATAGGAGAATGACTTAGATAAATGAGAAAGAATAAAGAGATAAATTCAGTGAAAAGAAGCTAAGAGGAAGAGATCAAGCACATAAGGTAATAATTCTAGGTGTTCCTATGGAAGAAACCAGAATCACTATTTTCAGATAAGACTCTATACTGTTATTCACTATTAAAAGGAAAAAGTGGATCATCTTGAGTACAAGATAAATGTATAAAAATGATAGTATGATAATTTCTTTGCCCAGTGACAGACATATAGAACAAAATGATGAAACTTCATTTAAAGTTATAATAAAATATTCGAAGAAATGGAGGAATATACCACCTTCTCATAGGAAAAGACTGACATTTTGTTATGATATCATTTTTCTTTAAGGCATTTTATAGATTCAGTGCAATGCTCATTAAAATTACAGTTATTTGTTTTGTGGAATTGACTAAAATTATTCTAATAAAAATAAGAAAATAAATGAAATAGATGAGTAGTAAGGAAATGAAAATTTAGCAGATGTTATGATTGTTTGAAAAATTTCATACCGTCATACCTTGAAAAAATGTATGAGTGAGGGAGTGAATGTTAAGTCCTTAATATGGTACATAATAGTCTAAAATTGAGACTATCATTATTATTATTTTCTTTTTCTCCCCTCCTCCTTCCTTCTTTCTTCTTCTTTAATCTTTCTTTCTTCTTCCTCCTCTTTTCCCCCTCCTCCTCCTGTTCTTCCTCCTCCTTGTTTGTTCTCTGCTATGATCTGAGGACAGAGTAGGGAACAAGACATTAAGGAAAATAATGTAAAAGCAATTATTGGCCCTCAAGTTCACATCTCTGCTGAGTTGATGATTTCTTCTTTTCCCTGTCCTTATGCAAAACAAGATTTATAGAGCACCACATTGTCATGAGAAGACTGAAGAGTGAAGGCCAGTCCACTGTTCCAATATGGTTAGCATTTAGGGTTTGAATTTATTAAGGAATAGAAAAAAATATGTATACACACACTTTGAACTCCAAGCCTCTCTTCTGCTGTGTTACATTTTTTATTCTTCCTGAGCTCTGATGGATGGTAGATTGGAGCAAATACTTATTGAGAAATGTCAGATGAGCTTCCCTTAAACCTAGTGTTACAGGAAACGGGTCCTGATTCAGACCCCAAAAGACGTTCTTGGATCTCACACAAGAAAGAATTCAGGGTGAGTCCATAAAGTGAAAGCAAGTTCACTAGAGAAGTAAAAGAATAAAAGAATGGCTACTCCGTAGACAGAGCAGCCCCGAAGGCTGCTGGTTGCCCACTTTTATGGTTATTTCTTGATGATATGCTAAACAAGGGGTGGATTATTCATGCCTCCCCTTTTTAGACCATGTAGGGTACCGGCCTGATGTTGCCATGGGCACTTGTAAACTGTCTTGATGCTGGTGGGAGTGTAGCACTGAGGATGACCAGAGGTCACTCTCGTCGCCATCTTGGTTTTGGTGGGTTTTAGCTGGCTTCTTTACTGCAAGCTGTTTTGTCAGCAAGGTCTTTATGACATGTATCTTTTGCCAACCTCCTATCTCATTCTGTGACTTAAAATGGCTTAACCATCTGGGAATGCAGCCCAGTAGGTTTCAGCCTCATTTTACCCATTCCCTTCTCAAGATGGAGTTGCTGTGGTTCAGATGCCTCTGACACTAGCAATGGGTTACGTGTAGGAATCTGTGTGAGAAGCCATGTTGCCATTCCATATATATTCAGACACCCTTGGAGATAGTGACATCAAGAGTGTCACCCTCTTGAATGTCCCCCAACATAAGCCCCCTTTCCTATGGAATATTCCCAAGGAGTGATATTCTGGAAGATCTGACAAGTGATCAGGCGCGGAAGCTTTTTTCTGTGTGGCTCCGTGGTGTCCTCTTGTTTGAATTTGCAGTTCATGTCAATCTTAATATTTGTTTTGAGTCACATATGCCGGCTTCTACTTTGCAATTTACATGGATGATGGGGCCCTATTCAAAGTCCTGCTCCTGCTGCCTTTGTGCCGTTCACCTCTCTTCACGCAGTCATTAGGCTGAACACCATATAATTAGGTAACCCATGTAAAGCTTAGATTTCTGAAAGGTTGTGGTTCTTTTCAAAAAGTAAGGGTTTCCATTTTTACCCTCATTCTTTTCTAAACAAAAAGACATTTCCCCCCTGCGGTTTTCATATGAATGTAGTAACTTAGAAACAGTTAGTCTTGTAGGTGGGTGATAATTTGGGTTTGTTTTCACCTGAGAGCCAGTTTTTGTTTACACAGCTTGTATTTAACTCAGGGTAGGATGAGATTGATTTACCATCATTTGTGGATAAGCATGTTGCTTTTTGAAGCCAATGGAATTGGCCTGCTTAAAAAAAAATCCCTAAAGATTTAAAATCCACCCAACAAAATAACTCAGTTTCGGCCTTATTTTTATGTTCCTTTTACTACCTGTGTGCATAAAACCTACCTGAAATGACTTGTTAACATAAAACCTCTGAAAATATAAATGTGGAAGAAAACAGATGTTCTTTCTGAAATTATACTAATTGTGTTTCAGCTGTGTTCACTTGTCAGACAGATTCATGATTATAAGTGTAGTTTAAAAAATAGTCTTGGTGGTGAAGCAAATGTAAGCTCATAAAAGAGTAAGTAGAAGTGTATATAAATGTTTCATTGAAATAAAATAACATAACGCACAGGGAGCCTGTTGATGTATTAATGCATTGTCACTTCTTACACTTGATCTTATTTTTAAAAGGAGTAAGAAAGGGTGAAATTTTTAATTCTGCTAGATTGAAAGGAAACTAACAAGATATATGAATATTACCCAGAACACTGGTTTATAGCAGTCAGCTAGGGAATTCATTAAAATTAGATTTTTGGGCACCATCTGTCAAAATTCTGTTACAGAGGATTGTGGCTGGACCTCAGGAATCTAAATCTTTAATAAGTACCCCTAAATGATGCTATTTCAGAAAGGTTGCAGGTGACATTAGAAATATTTGTACACAATGTAATTAAGTGTGCATTTTGTACAGATGTCCAGTGACACATTTCTGTGATCTTTCTGTGCTCTGAAAAAAGGAAGATGGGTTTTAAGAATGTCCATGACTGTACACTTTGCATTATGACTTTAATAGAATATATTTTAATTGCCAGCTGGTCCCTGGGGATATTGCCAAATAGAACCACATCTGGCAAATATTGCTTCAGCTCAAGACAAATCGCAAGAAATAAAGAAGTGAGCTGACCAGTGAAACATGGGCCATCGGACATTATGCCAGTTCAATTTTTGTCTCTCTTTCCAATTGTCAGTCAAGTTAATCTAAATGACGAATGTGATCTAAAGTACATTTGGCAAAGTTTATGTATTTTTCTCTTTAAATCTCTACTTACCATACTTTGGTTTGTGTCTAACATGCATTCAGAAGGAGAATGTTACTCAATGTAATTGTTTTTATTTTGGGAGGCTCAAGTCATTCCAATGATATTTATTGGGTGATAAAGCTCTCAGTACCTTAGATCTCCTAGGCATGGGCCTTTGAACATTTGAAGGGAGAGAAGTGTGTAGTTGAAAGGGCAAATGCTGGAGAACTACAGAGCTTCACCACCCACCATCCCCAAGGAAATAATTTGCAATATTCTTGTGCTTGGGCTTATCTTGCACCCACTGGGGCTTGAGACTTTGTGATGGGCAAGTTGAAGTTCTTGATGAGGATATTCTGCTTATGAATATAAATATATGCACTTAGATACAAAGACATACTCATAAAGTGGTAGATACAAAGACCCTTTAAGATTGGTTTTGTGCTTTGATCTTAGTCTTATTTCTTAGGTAGCATAAATTCAGTTCAAGTTTTTTTTTTTTTTTTTTTTGAGATAAAGTCCCACTCTTTTGCCCAGTTTGGAATGCAGTGGTGCTATCTTGGTGCACTGCAACCTCTGCCTCTCGGGTTTGAGCGATTTTCCTTCCTCAGCCTCCCGAGTAGCTGGGATTACAGGCGCACACACCATGCCCAGATAATTTTTGTATTTTTAGTAGAGATGGGGTTTCACCATGTTGGCCAGGCTGGTCTCGAACTCCTGACCTCAAGTGATCCGCCCACCTAGGCCTCCCAAAGTTCTGGGATTACAGACGTGAGCCACTGTGCCTGGCCCAAATATGTTAATATCAGTGAGACATAGGTATAGTATAAAGAGTTAATATAGCTATACAAATAGATGCACAAAAAGCCAACTTAAGGTCAGTAGGCTCTCTAAGCTATTATTATGAGAATAAATAATGTTATGAACACTAAGACTAGTAGCTATGTGAAATTACTAATTTATTTATTTTTTAACCAAAACTGTCTCTGATCAGATTTCTTATAGGAAAGACGTGCAGGACACCCACACGTACAGTGCAGAACTTGACCGACCAGACATCAAGATGGCAACCCAGATCTCTAAGATCATAAGCAATGTAACTTCTCTTTCTAAACCTTGAACGGAAATGATTTCTTACTTTTGTAGGAGGCAAAGCATAGCTTCAGTGGTTGGATGGTTCATTTAATTAGTGTAACTAATCAATATAAATGAATACATCTCAATTTCCCCCCCTAAATTATCTATTTTATTATGTTAATTATTTGGGTATATGCAGAAACAGCCCAAACTCAAATTGGCTGTGGTTAGTGTCATCATACTTTTAGAGAAATAAATACTATTTAGGTATAAATTGACATTCAGATGTCTCAGCCTGAAAGTCAGGGTTATCAGTCATATGGTCCCATATAATCTCTCCCCTCACCTTGCTCCAAAGGCTCTTGCTTGGCCTTGTTTCCATATTGCTGCTGTTCATTGTGTACATTCTCTTCCACCAACACTTACCTTTGTCCACTTCCTACATGGCGTAACTGTTTCTTACCTTCTCTAAGGTGCCCGCTTTAGTTAATACCATTTTACTTCAACATGCTGAAAACCCTGGTTGGAAATGATGATTTAACTTGAACCAAAAATTTTCATAACATAGGCTAAATTCACCCTAAAATCAATCATTACTGTATTCAACTGCATGTCAATCAAGTATGGCCAGAACAGTTCCTGAGAATAAACGAAACTATAAAAGCTACCTATATGGAGAGTACAGGGTCTCAATTCCCCAGAAAATTTCCCTAATATTTTGTTTTAGTATTTATATATAATTACAAACATGATGATGACTGAACACTTAGCCTCAAAGTTAGTAATTATTTTACTGCAAAAAGTTGAGTTTGTTCATGTAAGCACAGGATAAAATCAATTTCTGCTTTAGCAGTCAACATTTTAGTGTTTGATGTGTTGTAAGGAATATTAATGAGATGAAGGTCTGTTATTTTTTTTTTTTTTGGCTAATGTCAATGTAGTTCATCATTGGAGGGTAGAAATATTTAACATTGTCTTATTTATTCATTTTAGGCAGAATACAAGAAAGGACAAGGAATAATGAATAAAGAGCCCGCTGTAATTGGAAGACCAGATTTTGAACATGCCGTGGAAGCTTCTAAACTTTCTAGTCAAGTAAGGCTTTAGTGATGATTCCACAATGACTTTATTCAGATATTTTGTTTCTAACAGCACAGGAGAATATTGCATTTTAGATAATATCTTTAATTGCAAGAATAAACAGAGATAATGTTTCTGAACCCAGTTCAGATGGGCTTGCAATCATTATGAATTTCAGTAAAGGAAAAAAATTAAGTCTAATTTTAAGCATAAAACAAAGTTTTCTTTTCTCCAGGCATAAATCTGAACATTTTTCAATGTCTCTAGCCATGTTGTCACATTTCCCTGGATTTCCAGAAGTCATTAATAGTCATACTAAATAATTGTGTTTTAACCTACACACACACACACACACACACACACACACAGTTTTTAACTTAGTAATAAAAATATTAATTTTCCCAATTTTCAAGTGCTTTTGTTTAATCACAAAATTTAAAAAGGGAGATGAAAATGAAGAAAACTTTGAAGTCTTATCAAAGAGCATAAAATAAGATCTGAAAAAGTATAAAGGCATTTTATGTTTTTGGCTGAAAGTTTCAATAGATAAAGATGTCAGTTCTTTCAGAATTATATAAACGTCATGCAACTTCTGTTAGACTCCAACAGCGTTTTTTTTTTTTTTTAATATAGATAAAATGATCTTAAAGTTTGTGTGGAAAGAAAATACCAGGGAATAGCCTTTAAAAGTATGAAAATGAAGACCAGTGAAGGGGAACTTAAGTTATGAGTTACTATAAGTTAATAGAAAACCACTGAAATTAAATCAATATGGGATTGGTGTAGTGAGAGATTAAATAATCAGTAGGATAGAATAGGGAGTCCTGAAATAGATTCCAGTATGTATAAGAATTTAATATATGATAAAAGTGTCGATTCAAGTCAGTGGGAAGAAGTTGGATTAGCTAATAAATGGTGCTGACATAACACACCGTCTGTCATGGGAAGAGCAAAATTGGACCCAAATCTTAAACCATATACAAAAATGAATTCCAGGTGGATTAAAAATGTGAATGCAAACAATAAAATAATTTTAAAATCTTCAAAGAAAATCCAGGAGACTCTATATACTACATAAGGATAACAGAGTTGTTCTTAAGCAAGACCAGAAATCCAGAAGCTATAATAGGTAGGCACATTAACTATGTAAAAATGAAAAACTCTCTGAATGAAAAAGGTAATGTTTGCAGAGTCAACAATAATGTTAACAAACAGTAAGTTTTACACATTTATAGTTTTTTTGACTTTGAAAATACTCATTTCTCAAGTTGCAGAAGTCTTACTTGAATTACATTTCAAAGTGGAGAGATGTAAATGATGAAAGGTATGAAGTCTGATTGAAGAGCATAAAATAAGTCCCGAACAAATGAAAAGACGTACTATTCTGTTGGTGAAAGAGCCTTGATACTAAACATCCTAAAAAATGTTAACTCTTTCAAAGTTAATGTTAAAAGCTCTATGCAATTCCAATTGCAATCCAAAAAGAGGGTTTAAAAAATTTAAATGAAATGAAAAACTTGAATAAATTAAATAATTCAGAGTTTATACAGAGAAGGATGTGTCTGAGAATAGTTTTTTAAAATATAAAAAAAGAGAAGTCTTCAAATACTTGGAAAAGTACTTCTAATGCATTTGATGAGAACATTTTAATATTTTAAATATAAGATCTATAGTGTACAATATCTATAATATATAAACATTCTTGAAAAGGAATTTATTTTTGTATATAGTTTAAGATTTGGGTCCAATGTTGTTCTTACCATGAATGAAAAAGATTAACGGCTCAGTAGAAAAAGGGGTCAGTGAAATAGATAATTCACAGAAGAGCAAACATAAATGGCCAATCAACAGGTGAAAAGATGCCCAAATTTATTAGTAGAAAGGGAAATACCAACAAAGTGAAAGCAAAATGTCTTTTACACCCATTTACACCCATCACAATGTGTCTTGTTAGTGTGGAGAAGAAAGACGCGTCCTTAGAAGGTTCATGTGTAGGAGGTAGATTTTAGCTAATTTGGATTTAATGGGAGAAGTAAACTCTACTCAAGGGGAAGGCCCCAAATACAGGCTGGGAGTATGCCTGCCAGGGGACAGAAATCTGATGGCAGAGCCTCTGGGCAAGAGGATATAGTTGTGCACGTATAAAAAGGATTTTGAGAAGAGTTTAGATATTGTGTGATGATGAATGGGTCAATGTGTATTGATTTTGAGTATAAGCCATTGCTTAGAGAACATAATAGGAATAATGTGTTCATATATGTAATTTTTCCCCATTTTTTTATCGTGATAAGATTTATATAACATAAAATTTACCATCTGAACCGTTTTTAAGTGTGCGGTTCAGTGGCATTAAATGCGTTTGTAATGTTGTGCTACCCTCACCACCATCCATCTCCAGGACTCTTTTCATCCTGTAAAAGTGAAACTCTATACCCGTTAAATAATAACTCCCCAACGCCCCCTTCCCAGAATGGTGTGTTCTATGAAAAAATAATGATAAAAAAGTGATTTCAGAGCGCAATTATAGGAAGCATTTTAGGGTTCAATTCCAAAAAGTAAACATCAGAACTACTTTTTGCCATGTTAACTGTAGTCTCTCAGGGAAGAAAGAAGACATCACTGAAGATTTTGAGCAAAGATTGATTGTGAAGAAAACACTTAGGGAAGGTTAACATGGTGACACTGGGCAGGAAAGTCTGGCTCACAAATGGTGAACCTCCCAGAAGCCAGCTGGGCTGTGACAGTGGTAATCTACACATAAAGTGATCAGTACCTGAATAGACTCTGTGACAGTAGGAATGAAAATGAAGTGGACACAACTGCTCCCTGGGAGAGGCAGACATGAGAGATGCCCAAATGCAATTGTGCCTCATAGTAATTGTTTTACAGTTAACAAGGGACTTTCACTTATAAAGCGACTTTATAACTCAGGAGGCTACTGATGTGCAAGAGGTTGGGGACATGTCTGGGTGACACTTGCATTAAAGGGCGGTGACTCTAAGCTCTACATATTCCCAGTAATGCTAGTTGAAGAGACAGGGGATATGGGCATCACTTCAGATTTCCAGCATAGCTACTGGCCTCTTACAACTTCGCCCTTTTCTGGGGACAAAGATTCCCCATCAGTTACACAGGAGACAAAGCAAATCCCGGAGAAGCAGTATGGTTTGGTCTAGTGGTTAAGAAAATGTACCCTGGAGCTGGGCTGTACCTGGGTTAAACTCCTGGTTCTGTTGCTTGCCAGCAGAGTGATCTTGGACAAATTGCTTCATTTCTCTATTTTTGTTTCCTCATTTGTAAAATAGGGATGACAGCAACAGTATTTACTTCTCAGGGCTGCTGTGAAGGTTAAATGAGTTACTGTGAGTAAAACACTTAAAATGGTGCCTGGCCCATAGAAACATGACATAATTTCATAGGAATAATTTTACTTTAGGTATTCAAAATAGTTTTCTGTTCTACATTTTTAGATGAATTCATGCACAGAGTGGAGAAGGAATATGAACACTGTCTGTGAGATTCTGGCCTTAAATTCATTCCATCACAATCCTATTTGAGAGCCCTTAGAAGAAAGTTTTGACATTTGAGCTTTATTTTCACATTTCAAATTCAATCCACAAAAATTCCCCCATGTGATCCTTACTTGGACTTGAAAGCAGATTTTTTTCCTTCAATCTCAAATTATTTAGCAACTGAGTGATCAGATTCTTAAGCAGATTTTAATTTTTAACTTACATTATAGCTATCGTATTCATTTTTTCATGTCATATAAGATTTTATAAGCTGTATAAAACTCACAAGAAAAGGGGAAAGCTGGGAAAATAAATAATAGGAATTCTGGGATGAACTCAGTGTATTCCATTTGTATTTTCAGGTATATCAATTATAACAGAAATTTGGGCAGCAAGTTTAGTTTCTTATTTTCACTGACAGCATTAAAGTTTTTAGTTTGCTCCTAAACTAATGATAAAGGCACATAAATACATAGAAGGCAAATGATTTAGGGATTTAATAACAGGGAGATGAGAATGGATAGAATGCAGGGAGAAAAAGAGCACCACAGCACCAGAAGCATTGTAACAGAGAAGGCAATGACAAGGCAATGGTCAAAGTATGTGGAGATAAGACCTGTCTGATGAAAGGATGGGAACAGAGAGTGAATGGGCAGGATTCTCACCTTTTATCTGTAAATTGAACTCTGTGGGATTTTACCCAGGAAAGGTAGTGGGAACACATACCAAACCCTTCTTATATTAACTTCTACAATAGCTTTGCTCCCGTAGTTGTAAACTTTCCCTTTTTAAAATTTGCAATATACATACAATTATGGCCAGGTTATTTTAAAAAGTCATTAAAAAACTAAAACAAAAATCTCCTATGCGAAGATGAAGGGATTGGTGCATATGTATCTCAGATTTAAGTACAGTAACTGTTGAAGTCATTGACTTTAAAAATTCTAAGAGTAGTTTATTAATTAATATATCCATAGATCATCTTGTTACTTGGAATTTGTCTATATGATGAATAGATTCCTTGTTCAGTTTTATAACCTCAAGGAAAAGCTATGTATTTATAATAATTAGCATTGTTTTAAAATTGCATTAATACATTGATAAGAATGGGTTTTAAACCTAAAAATCACATTATAAATTGCCATGAAAATTTAGTAGTAAGCAGTGGCCTTAAATTGCAAGGGGTATTAATTGGTTTGGGGAATTTACCATTCTCCCATCCTGGCAAGCACTCCCTCCTCCAACCTCATCACACCCAAGTATCAGCTCAAATATCATGTTCCTGACTCGCCAATTTAAATATTGCTCTCCTCCCCTTTATTCTCTCCTCTTCTTTACAGTTCTTAATACGATTTGTAGTAGTTGCATAATATATACGTGTATGTGTGTGTTTTCGAAATCCATTTCACTTCCCACAAGGCAGGCTCCATGGAGACAGGGCTCATATGCCTTTGATCCACTATTATGGGAAAACAGATTAGGCTGCCAATAGGTGTATGGAGCCTGGTTAAACCAATATTCTCTGGATCATTAACATTTGGTGCAAAGTCAGTAAGACGTTATTTTGCAAGGAAAATAAGAGCAGAGATATTGTGTTGTGTAAAATTAAGACTTAAAGATATTATTGATTTTATGATGAGTTCTATGTAAAAATCTGTCCTGTCTTCCTTGACAGCTTTTAGTTTGATTTCATCCAAGATTGCTGGGGATTGATATCTATAGATACGTAGTATTGTGTTATTTGCTTACTTTTCATTTTCAATGATAATTAAGGTACACTTATCAAGCTATTTCTTTGCTAAAATGTGTTTATGTGGCTATGGTGAAACACCTTCATTCAGGGTCTGCTTTTTTGTGCCTTTGCTGGCTTTTTGCGATTCTGAGTCACAGATGATGTCAGTGTAAAGTTTTGGGTTTGCGTGTTAGACTTCACACATACCCAGGTGCAGTTATGAGGATCTGGATCCTCATATGAGGATATGCAGATGTAACTTCTCATTTCTTTATATGAGAAGTTGTGCAGTTATGGGGAGCTACAATGCCGTCACTGTAGCTTAACAGTATCCGTGTTTTCTCCAAGTGTGAGCCTCTGAAAATCCTGCTGTCTCTTATAATTCTTTAAAAAACATCTAGGAGTTTGATCCTATATACCTATACAGTATTTTTTCAAAAGGTGTTATTTCCCTGATGTGATTATTATGCACTGCATGCCTGTATCAAAACATATAATGTACCCCATAAATATAATACATACACCTACTGTGTACCCACAGAGATTAAAAATAAAAAAAATTAATAAAAAAAGGTGATAAATATTGGGACCACTAGGCACACTAGTCATAATGTAAATAAAGCCAGTCATATGGAGTAACTTCATTTGTTTCCAGAATAATTATGTAGGTATAAGGAGTAACATTGTGTCTTAAAACCATGGCAAAGTCACTCCAATACCTGTTCCTCCCTTTCTCAAATGATCTTAAAACTGAAAGGGTTATGCCTTGTTCCATGGTTGGATAACAAGTTATAGTCAAGGAAAAGCATTTCCTGGATCTCTCAGAAGATGCAAACCTGCATGAGGAGGTAGACACACAGATGTATGAACTCTAGATTGAAAATACAATAGAATGTTGAGTGTGTCTGTGTAGTTGGCGAGTGAACAAGTCCGAAGGTGAGTGATGTGACTCACTGCAACCATTTGGTGATCTTAGTTCATTTTACCTGCATTCCTTACAGAAAGAGCGAGGTTAGAAACAATTGGGTGTCAGTGTCTGGTCCGTGCATTTTTTTATATAATGTAGTTATGTTACTATTGTGGTTCATTAATGAGGGAAACTTGTGTTTTTGTTCCTTAGGCATCTTGAATCAAATCACTCACTGTACTGAACGTTCAAACAAGATAAATTTCACAATACAATGCTTATTATTACATTTAATATAAATATATGAATAACAGATTGATTATTGTTTCTTAGAAATGCATAGATGGTCCCTGACTTCTAGTGGTTCAGTTTAAGACTGTTTAACCTTACCATGGCGTGGAAGTGATACACATTTAGTAGAAACCATACTTCAAGTACCCATATAATGATTCTGCCTTTCACTTTCATTACAGTATTCAACAAATTATATGAGATGTTCAACGTGTGTAAAACAGGCTTGTTATTAGATGATTTTGCCTAGCTATAGGCTAAGGGAGTTGTTCTGAGCATGTTTAAGGTAGGCCAGGCGAAGCTGTGATGTTTGGTAGGTTAGGGGTATATGGTGCATTTTTAACTTACATTTTTAACTTACGGTGGGTTTACTGAGATGCAACCCCATCATAAGTTGAGGAAGGGGTGTCTGTAACATTTACTTGGGAGAGCATATGCAAGGTTTAATAACAAAGGAATTTATCAGTATCATTTTCAAATACTCTAGTGTAATTATGCTGGAAACCTCAGAGTTTGCAAAAACAGTATGATGGGCTCTGTGTGTGCAAAGATCATATAACCTACTTTTACCATTTAGCTAATACAGTGTTAATGAATCTGGCTGAGTCAGAAGTGTCATTCCAGCGGAAGGCTGTTGAAGAGTCCACCATCTTTGTTCAGTGAATATCCTTTAGGCACTACAAACTTAGGAGAGACAGAACCAGTGACGAAAATATGGTAAAAGTATAGCAGAAGGGTGAAGAGGGCAATAAGACTGTGGCTGGGCGCGGTGGCTCACGCCTGTAATCCCAGCACTTTGGGAGGCCAAGGTGGGTCAGGAGATGAAGGTCAGGAGATCGAGACCATCCTGGCTAACATGGTGAAACCCTGTCTCTGCTAAAAATACAAAAAATTAGCTGAGCGTGGTGGCGAGCACCTGTAGTCCCAGCTGCTTGGGAGGCTGAGGCAGGAGAATGGCGTGAACCTGGGAGGTGGAGCTTGCAGTGAGCTGAGATCGTGCCACTGCACTCCAGCCTGGGTGATAGAGTGAGACTCTAAGACTATATATTTAAGGGACGACCAGGCAGAGTGAATCATTGCTTTTGTGCCACCTACTGTATAAAGTACTGAAGGAAATCTAAATTTATTTCATTTGTAATTTTGTTATTGATTTCAAGACACAAAATAATAAAAAAAGTCAGTTTTTCTTTTTTTAAAGAGTTCTTGCTGATTACTTAAAATCAGTTTGTAAGGTATTGAGAATATCAGAAATTTTTTATTATCAAATGGAACCAGAACAGAAAATATTCCCTGTAAACCATCTCAAAATATTTACCAAATGCTGTATTCCCACCAAGATTTTCTCTAGCTCTCTCTAATAGGTTCCAAACATGTGTCCCTGAAGGAGACCATCACCCTATGCATGCCTAAAATATTTGATGAGAGTCATCCCAAATTGCTTTTTAATAAAGTCTTCTGCAAAGCAGAGCCTTTAGATGTATGAATAAAGGTGCATTATCAGAATGTTGTTAGAAAACCAAACATGGTAATAATTATAACATCAGAAAAATATTATGAGAGAACAAAACAGCTTACTTTGACCTGTGAAATCAATACACCCTTTCCTGGCTACAGTAAGTTAAAGGGGGTATGACATGTGAATAGCTAGGTTTTTTTTTTTTTTTTTTTTCTTTTTGTAGTGAACTTGTGTTTATATTCTAATTAGTTATGACATGCATTCTCATATTTCTCTATACATGGAGAAAAATATAGTCCTACCAAATAAGTTGATAATCCCTTTTTGGTTGTTTTAAGAGTGCTTTAAAAGGAGACAAACAATTTAGAGAGAGTATTGGAGATGGTTTTCCTGCTGAATTTAGTGGAATTAAAGCAGAGAAAGTTTTACATTGACATTAAGTTGACCCAGGACATTTCAGAAAATGTAATTCCTAAAACTAAATTTTTGAGCAAATGAAGTATAGGAAATGATGAGAAAAACTGTGGTACACGTCATGCTCTTTATTTGGAATAATTCCCTTAGGAAAAATATTTAAATTCTGGGGCCTAGAATCTATTTTCTAAATGTGTTAGACCTTAAGACATTTGTGGTCTAGGTTTCTAACTGATCATAGATTATAGAAATGCAGAAATGAAAACTGACATTTAAAAATGTTGGTATTTTAGTGCATAATTCTCATTAATAGGATTTGAGTTCATGCCTAATTGCATTTGTGATCAATGTAGAAGCAGAGTTTTTTTTATTAAAGATAAAAACTTTTGTGCCTAATTAAGCTTTATAGAAGGCGATGGATACCAGGAATTTACACTTGGCAACATTCATTTTTAAGGTAGCTTTTATTTTATCTACGTGAAAATCATATGTGTTACTTTTAAATGTAAAGTTACATGTACTATTTCTCTTTTATGACAGATTAAATACAAAGAAAAATTTGATAATGAAATGAAGGATAAGAAACATCATTACAATCCTCTTGAAAGTGCTTCTTTTAGGCAGAATCAGCTTGCTGCTACACTGGCGAGCAATGTAAGTTGTAATTCATAGAAAATTATTTTCAAAATCTTTTGATTCTTGTTTTTTTTAGAATCGACTGTGTTGTAATTACTGATACTTAGCTTCCAAGTAATTTGTAGTTGAACTGAAGCATATTTTTCTAAAGCTTTTTCTGAGAAAAATATATTATTGTAATTAATTTTTAATGGTTACTGATTACTAATTAGTTAATAAGTAGGAATAGTGTTGCAAATGAAGTTATTATATCTGTTCAAGAGTGGAAATAGATTATAGAATTTTGCAGAGAAGTGGTCTGTATTAACACAAATTAGTGGTTAGGACAGTAGTTACCTCATGTAATTATGGCTATGAAATTGAGTTTATTGTAAAGTACTGCCTGGTACATGGTAATTTATCATATAAAGAAATTTTTAGAAATTTTACTGTAATGCCTCACAATTTATTTTTTATCCCTTGTGAAAATGCTGTGAAGTACTTCCTTATGTGATTTGTTTTCATTCTGTGTTTTTAAAAATCATCAAAATTCATTTTACAAGAAATGATGTTTTAAATTCTTGTTAGAATTAGAGTATAAAAACAGCAACATCAAAAAATTGATTACTTTGCTATAGTTGAAAATATTTAGATTTCCTTCTCAAGTATAAAAATTATGTATTATTGATCTGTTGCTTTCTTAGAAATAGAGATGAAATATACTTAAAGGAACATGGAACATAGTGCTGAAAGCTAAAGGTTTGGAGTCAGATTGCTTGGATCTAAATCCTGTTTTATCAAGTATTACTATGTCTTTGTCTTTCTATGCCTCAGTTTTCTTATCTATAAAATGGGGCTACTTAAAGTACCTACTTAATAAAGAGGTTATTGTGGAGATTCAATACTTAATACATATAAAGGAATTTAGAAAAGTGGCACATAGTAAGTGTGTGATATGCTTGCTATCAATGGTTTATTATTACTGGTATTATATTTTCAAAAAGTTGCTTTAAAAAAGCCTGTGGTGATAGGATGGGAAACATCAAAATCCTCAGATCTCCACAAAGCATAGTTGAAATACTGTAGTAATTTCTAAAGAATAAAGTGGCTATTCTCTTTATTTTTTGAAAGCAGAGTTACTGTGAAAATTACTTTATTCTATTGACATTACCCTTCCTGAATATGTGAACAACAAAAGGAATTATCCAAGTATTCTCAAGCCCATATAGAAATAACTTTTTAAAATTCATTCAGTAGTAAATCAGCACCATCTAGTGGCTCCTTGTAAATTCGTCTGTCCATTTACCACTAAATAGTCCTACTTTATGATGTATGAAAAATGCAATAATGCAAAAGCATAATATTTTCTTCTCCTCGATGGTATTTTGTTCCATGTTATTTTCATAGGTGAAGTACAAGAAAGACATTCAAAATATGCATGATCCAGTTTCAGATCTCCCAAATTTGTTGTTTTTAGACCATGTTTTGAAAGCCAGCAAAATGCTCAGCGGCGTAAGTGGTTCATCTAGCGGCAACCGTAGTTGCCTTGTGGCTCCAAGAAGCCAATATGTCTGCAGCGTTCATGTGCTCACCTGCTTCCTTAGAAGGCCTGTGCCTCACTCCTCCCTCGTTAACTAACTCATTGAAAAACAGTCCTCTGCTTGCAGAAATCCCACCAGAGCTGTCACTTTGCAAAGGAGGTTCTTGCTTGCTCTCCAGTATCTCCTGCATACAACTATACTTCAAAGTGTCTGCACAGTGGCCTTTCCATCATTCTTCTTTCCCTTACTTCATCTGTGTTAGATTAAAGCCACTTGAAGTTCAGGCTCTCAAGTCAGGGATATTTTACTTTATGCAGGCCAGACCAGAGTGTCTTGTATTTAGTACGCCTTCAGTAGCATGAAAAATTGTCTTAGTCTAAACTGTATTTTCTCTGCAAATAATTCCTAACAGCATTTATACTGCATTGACACATCGCTTTTAGTCTTGTCATGGTTTCCATGTTCTCGGTCAAGGCAACCAGAAGAGAAAGGTGAGTTCTTCATGTCTTGATGAAAATATCTGGGTGCACTGCCCACGTGGTCAGTCCTGCAGGACTCTCACTACGCTGAATGCTGTTTCAACCCATAGCACATCAGGACCCTGACTTCGCTAGCTCTCGTAACTGACAGCCCTAAGACACATTTGGCTCCATTTTGTACATCTCATGGTGGCAATGAGCTCTTATTTGACCATAAGTTATTTCCATACCTATTTTAATAATCACTTTCTCACTCACTTGCTCAAAATTAATCATAATTTATTGAATATCTGCTTTGGGCCAGGCATAGATTAGATGCAGAAATATATGTTGGGGAAGACATGAGAAAAAATGAAGATAGTTGTCTTCAGTTGATGGGCCTAGACTTAGAAATCTATAGGCAAAACTTAGTTTCCAGACAGTTAAATAAGGAGATACAGCTTCAGGTCAATTTTAGAAATAATCTATACTTGGCTTCAGTGTTTTGAAATGTATGTTTATTATTTTGTAAGCCTCCTTTCTGGAATATCACTGCCACTGTCTTCCTTCCTTAATGGTATTATGCATGCAAATAATTCATACAGAGTTTTTAAAAGTTTATTTTTTTCTGGCTGGGCATGGTGTTTCATGCCTGTAATCCCAGCACTGTGGGAGGCGGGTGGATCACCTGAGGTCAGAAGTTCAAGGCTAGCCTGGCCAACATGGTGAAACCTCGTCTCTACTAAAAATACAAAAATTAGCTAGGCGTGGTGGTGGGCATCTATAATCCCAGCTACTCAGGAGACTGAGGCAGGAGAATCATTTAAACTTGGGAGGTTGCTGTGAGCTGAGATGGCACCAATGTGCTCCAGCCTAGGCAAGAGTGAGACTCTGTCTAAAAAATAAATAAATACATAGAATAAAATAAAATAAAAATAAATTTATTTATTTTTTTAATCATTGGTCCTTGGATGAAAAGCAGTACATTAATGTTCCCAGGCTATTGAACAGGGAATGGAGGTTAGAGGAATATCTGGAGGGCCCAGAATTGGCAGTCAGTTCCAGGACACTTACATCATGCTGGCTTGCACTTCAGTCTTCATTCCCACACCTCTTTTTACATTCCTCTATTCCTTGAGTGTCTCTATTTCTGTCTTTTTTCTCCACGACTCATAGATATGCTTCTAAAATTGATATATTTCTATTCCCTGAGCCCCCTGCTTTCTTCACATTCATTCTTTGGCATCCAGTTTTCATCATGGCAGTGGCATTTGCCCTTGACCTTTCTCTAGCCATACTTAAATTCAATTTCCTAGGGACATGGGGATTCATGTGTAAATAAGCCAATAAAAATATCATGGTGGTAATTTCAACATTTGGTGGCTGGAAGAAAGCGTGCCACTCCTATGCAATATTGCTTTTCAAGAACGTTGACCTTTATTTTATAATAACAGAGAAAAAAATCGCAGTCTAATATAAATTGTTTCTATCATCTCTTCAACAGAGAAAACACAGCAAAGTCATACGTTACTTATTTCATGTATCATATATAAAGTTTAGATCTTCATTTAGGTGGTGCTTTTGCCTAGAGGACAGATTTCTTTTTCCCCATAGACAAATTGTGATTGACTACTTCCTGGGAGAGAAAGACTTAAAAATGTGTTCCTTTTGAAGTGTCTCCTTACAAAGTTGTGTACATTGTATAAAGCTGTATACATTTGCTCAACTTTATTGTATATTAGAATGGCCTCCTTTATCTAGCATTTGTGAAGAAACAAAGAATAGCCTACTTTAACATTTTAATGTAAAAAATTGGAGTTGTGTTGATTTATAAATTAAAAGATTGAATAAGATTGCTCAATAAGAGATATTCTGCCAAAATTATCCATTTGTCACAGTAGCTATTGTTTTAAAGACCCCTAGATGTCTTTAGCAACATCAGAGTTACTTTTATTTTAACCCAAACTCTAAAGAGTGATATGAGTGCCTTAATTACTGTGTAAAATCATTCTAATTAAAGTTTTGGAAAACATTTTCCCCTGGAAAATGGACCTCTGGTAGTGTTGAGTTTCTTTCACAACTTTACATAAATTAAGAAATATATATTTTGTGTTACTCCGTGTATCTCCCACTAGGAGGTAGCAGAGACTGTTATATAAGGAAAGACACGCATTCGAAGTTCTTTTGCAGATCTTAATTCAATTAAGTTTTCCTTCGTTTTTTTTTTGTTTTGTTTTGTTTTCTTAAATAGGAGTTTCTGAAATTCTTTGTAACTAAAATCGATAATTGTGTTGGGAACAATATTTACTGAATTTTTCAGTATATATTCATTATTTTACATATATTTATATGTATTTGTTGTGGATTTTAACTCAGTAATGGACTATGTTGTAGCTTGTTACATTCATGATTATTTTATAAATACATATTACAAGATAACTTCTAATCAAATTATAAAGTCTGTATTATTATCTTTCTTTCCAGATTTTAACTGGTTAAAAAAAAAACACTTTTTTTTTTTTTTTAAGACGGACTCTCGCTCTGTCTCCAGGATGGAGTGCAGTGGCACGATCTCAGCTCACTGCAACCTCCGCTCCCAGGTTCAAGCGATTCTCCTGCCTCAGCCTCCTGAGTAGCTGGGACTACTACTACTAGGTGCACCCCACCACTCCCAGCTAATTTCGTATTTGTAGTAGAGATAGAGTTTGACCATGTTGGCCAGGGATGGTCTAGATCTCTTGACCTCATGATCCGCCTGTCTCTGCCTCCCAGAGTGCTGGGATTACAGGTGTGAGCCACCGCGCCTAGCCAAAAAAAGGCTTTTTTAAAAAAACATTAGAGGAGCCAAAATTTATAACTTGTTTCCTTCCATCACGATGTACTCTGTGGGCTAGGTGCAGTAGCTCCTGTCTGTAATTCCAGCATTTTGGGAGGCCAAGGCAGGAGGATGGCTTGAGGCCAGGAGTTTGAGACCAGCGTGGGCAGCGTAGTGGGACCCTAGCTCCACAAAAAATAAAGAAATTAGCTAGGCATGGTGACATGCACCTATAGCCCCAGCTACTTGGGAGGCTAAGATGGGAAGATTGCTTGAGCCCAGGAGGTCAAGGCTGCAGTGAGCCATGATCCCTCCACTGCACTCCAGCCTGGGTGACAGAGCAAGACCCTGTCCAAAAAAAAAAAAAAAAAAAAAAGTACTATATGAACATTTTCATGTCCTTCCTGGGGGGTGCTTTCCTCCCTGATTTTATTCTGGTTAGGTTTGGGGGAACATATATTGCAGCTCCCTAATTGAGTGGAAGCACCTGAGGCCAGGCTCCCTCTGGGGACTATTGCTTTGTCCCACTAGAAAGGGTAGCTCTCTTGTGGCAGGCCACTTGGTCATCTGTTCCATTCCTAGCACTGAGCTTTCTTCCTCTTTCACTCTGAAATCCCTGGAGTATCCCCTAAGATCAAAATGCAAATTTCCTTATGGCCAGCTCTTTCCCGCTCCCTTTCAAATACTGTTTTTGGATCCCTCCACTCTATTGCCATTTTTACTGGTACCCCATTGTCTAATAAGCAGCTATCTTTAGCTTCTTAAGTCTCTGTAGCCTTGAGTCTTTAAGAGCTACCATTTACTACTAAAGGTCTTTTCCAAATAAGGCAAAATAACAAAGTGTCCAATCTCCAATGATAGAAATCATGAAATAATTATTTTTAAAATTTTCTAATTTATAATTGTTATTGATACATAATGGTTGTATATATTTATGGGGTAAATGTAATGTTTTGATACAGGCATACAGTGTGTATTGATCAAATTAGGATAATTGAGGTATCCATCAGTTCAAGCATTTGTCGTTTCTTTCTGTTAGGAACATTTCAATTCCACTCTTAGTTATTTTAAAATGTACAATAAATTATTGTTAACTATGGTCACCCTATTGTGGCATTGAATACTAGATCTTAAACTCATTCTCTCTAACGGTATTTTTGCACTCCTTAACCATCTCCACTTTATCTCCTCTCCCCACCACTCTTCCCAGCTGCTGGTAGCCATCATTCTACTCTGTCTTCATAAGTTCAGCCTCCCGAGTAGCTGGGGCTATAGGTGCATGTCACCATGCCCAGCTGATTTCTTTATTTTTTGTAGAACTGGGGTCTCACTATTTTAGCTCCCACATATGAGTGAGAACATGTGAAATCTGTTGTTCTGTGCCTGGCTTATTTCACTTAACATAATGACCTCCAGTTCCATCCATGTTGTTGCAAATGGCAGGATCTCGTTCATTTTTGTGGCTGTATAGTATTCCGTTGTGTATATGTGCCACATTTTCTTTATTCATTCATCTGTTGATGGACACTTAGGTTGCTAATGAAACAATTTTTGTCATATTGCTGCCTGTTACATTTAGCTTCTTTCAGTGGCCAAACTTGGCATCCCTGTTCAATTTGGTGTCTTCCAAATTCAACTTTTTGTCTATATGTCCAAATAGTAGCCTTCATCCAATTTTTTCACCTTAAAAACTCAACTGACTGTTCCCAGATTTCTCAATTTCTCTTTCAGGCACCTTTTACCCTTTCCTTTTAGGAACAATAGTTGCTTATTTCTCTTACATTTTCCTTGTGCCTCTCAATCTTCTTTGTGGTGGAGTCTTTTTGTATAGGACTTTTTTATTCCTTGCCTCTGGGTTTCTTTTCCTCTGTTCTTTTTGCTTTTCTTTCCTTCTCTTCTTTTGAACAGTATTAAACATATTCCTGTCATAAGATAAGAGCAAGACAAATTGCTTTTATTTTTCCCCACTTTACCTTTTTCCGCATGTCCTAGCGCTAGCTTTCCGTTGCCACACGCTGGTGTTGTGAATATCCTTTACATTATGTTTGCGGTTAATTGTCCTCTGCCTCTCTTGCGTGTTTCATATGCTGACCTAGAGCTGGTCTGTCTTGCATTGTCTGTGTATCTCAGTGTCAGAAACCTCCTACCTGCCAGCCAACTGCAGATGGGGACTTGGCAACAGCTTTGCAGCTCTTGGTGGCTTGTAATGTGCAGTTTGTATTTCTAAGTATTTATTGCTCTAATCAGTCTCTTTGATTCTAAGTTGATTTCCCCATTCTGTATTTTAGCGAGAATATAAAAAGCTCTTTGAGGAAAACAAAGGAATGTATCATTTTGATGCAGATGCTGTGGAACATCTGCACCATAAAGGCAATGCCGTCCTCCAAAGTCAGGTACACACTTGCCCGTACGGTACCTACCCTCCCTGCCAGCAACCCGTAACCATCCTGAGGCCCGCCGCTCACTGCCGTGCGTCTTAACTGAGAAAGTACAGTTGCAGAAAAGAATAAATCCTGAGAATATTAACATTACTTTTGAAAATCTCAAACACTATTTGCTGTGTAGGTATTGGGGTCAGGGGAGCTTGAACCATATTTCAATCTAAAGGCATTTTGTAAAATAACCGTTAATTCACATAATTAAAAAGTTACAAGATAGGAATTAATTAAACTATGGTCAAACCACATGATGATTTAAATTTTTCTAGTGTCTTGATTTGTCATTTTGAGCAGTAACGTTAATTTTCCAGGTGCAAGGTTTATTATAATTTCTTATTTCAATTATAAGTGTTATTAAAAGGGAATACAATATGACTAATGTATTCTTGATTAATATTTTTTTCCAATATGAAATTCTAGGTACCCCCTGAATAAACTTAAAAAATATCTTCTCTCTAGCATACTTTAAAGTCGTTATTTTTTTTTAATTCTGAGCTTAAATAGTTGCAAAGATGTCAGTTCCAGCATCTGTTAAGATAAAATATTATATCACTCTTTTAAATGTATTCTGTGGAACTTAAAGTCCATAATAATTTCGTACTCACCTTCATTGGTTTTAAAAATATACGAAACAGTTCCCCTTTAAGTTTGGAAATATACATCATTTCTAAAAATTACTTATTTTCATTTCATTTATTTCACAAAATTTTTGTTTGAGATGGAGTCTCGCACTGTCACCCTGGCTGGAGTGCAATGGCGTGATCTCGGTTCACTGCAACCTCTGCCTCCTGGGTTCAAGCGATTCTCCTGCCTCAGCCTCCCGAGTAGCAGAGATTACAGGTGCATGCCACCACGCCTGGCTAATTTTTTTTTTTTTTTTGTATTTTTAGTAAAGACGGGGTTTCACTATATTGGCCAGGCTGGTCTCAAACTCCTGATCTTGTGATCTGCCCGCCTTGGCCTCCCAAAGTGCTGGGATTACAGGTGTGAGCCACTGCACCCGGCCATTTCACAAAGTTCTATCCTAGTGTTGTGTGTTATTATACTTCCCGATACTTTATTGATTACTCTATCATACTCTTTGCAACAAAATTATGTCTACAAATAGGTATTTTAAAATGTGTCATATTTCCTGTTTCATAAAGTTCTAAGTTTGAAAAATTTCTCTTGGGTTGAATTATCATTAACATTATTATTTTAATAACTTAAGAAATAATTGTATAGATATTATTAAACATAAATTTTATCAAGAGCACATTTCTGAATGAAATGAAGTATAAAAACTTCTATGAGTTTAATTTTAAACAGTATATTGCTTAAAAAGCCAACCATTGTGATGGCTTACATATTATTTTTTGTTATTGGAAGATAAAAAATATCACTCATTTTATAAACCGAAGTAAGATGAGGATTAGACTGTAATTGAATTAAACATTTCATAATATGATATTAAATATTGCATAGTGAAATTGATATAAATCATATAAGGTCTGTGTGAGTGTTTTACTCAGTGTCTATGAAAAAATTCAGCATCCCTGGAGGACATCCTCCTCCGTTTGACAGAAAAAATAGAGAATCATACCCATGTTTTCTTTCTTGTTCTTGATTTACCAATAGACATCAATGCAACCTCAAGGATCTCTCTCTTTCTCACACCTGCTACCTATGTGTGTATGCCATTTGCATATACATGTATAACCCCATATATACGATACATATCTATATATTCCAGCCATTTGACAAGATGCTTTATACAACTCCTAGAACTACATTAGTTAGTTGTTCTAAATTATTTTTATCCCTTAAGATATTTTATATTACCTGTTTACTTTCCTTGTATGTCATTAACCAAAGGGAACCCAGTGCTCAACCTAAATGGCCAGAATAATATGATTTTAGACAACAAGATGACTAGTTTAGAACATATATTTTTTCTTAGTTTGCTCTGTTTGTATAAGGACTTTCGATTTGTATATGCTTTTCTTTTTCCAATGAAGGTGAAATATAAAGAAGAATATGAGAAAAATAAGGGAAAGCCAATGCTTGAATTTGTTGAGACACCATCATATCAAGCTTCAAAGGAGGCTCAAAAGATGCAAAGTGAAGTAGGTCAATTAGTTTGTTACTAATTGTTTAATGTAAATTTGATGTTTTGTCATTTGAAAGGACGCAGAATGTTCAGTGGGTCTGGAAGGAAGAGTGCTGCTGTGGGCAGATTCAAGGACCTGCTTTCTAGACCCAGCCACCCACTGCCTGGGATCTTGTCTAGGTCATTGAGTTTATCTGGTCCTTAGCTTCTCTCATTGGTGAATTGGATCTCAAGCTAGATGAGCTTTTAAAATCCCCCTCAGTTCTAATTTTCTATGATAATATAACTGACACTTTCAAATGTTAATTTTACCTTTTGCCTTTCAGATATTAATGTAAAACTATGATGAGTTCATAAAAACTAAAAACGAATAGCTGGTTGCTTTATTTACCTGGCCCCCTTTTTTTTTCAATGAAAATAGAACTAACATTTTTAAAATACTTACTACATGCTAGGTAATATGCTAAGAGTCTTATATATGTCAGCTCATTTAGTCCTCAAAGTAATGATGCTAGGAAGGTGTTCTCTGTAGATTAAGAATGTGTCTACTGAAATTGTCTTAGATGAAATTCTGTATCCAGTAAATGTTAATGTTTTAGCACCTGGTCAAAATCATGAATGATTTCCTTTTCTCTTTAGTTTATATTTTAGTCCATTTTGTGTTGCTATAACAGAATACCACAGACGGGGCAATTTATAAAGAACAGAGATTAATTTCTTTCAGTTCTGGAGGCTGGAAGTTCAAAATCCAAGGATTCACATCTGCCAAGGGTCTTCTTGCTGAATCATCCCATGGCAGAAGGTGGAAAGACAGAGAGTGCTTGCACATGCCTTAGAGGAGGAGATGGGAAACTCATCCTTTTATCAGGAACCCAACCCCATGGTAACAAAACCATTCCCATGATATTGGCATCAATCCATTCATGAGGCAGAGCGCTATGGCCTGATCACCTCTTAGAGTTCCCACCCCCCAACAGTGTTGCGTTGGGGATGAAGTTTTCAACACACGAACTTTGAAGGGACACATTCAAAGCATAGGCGGCGTATTTGATTGATTTTTTTTCAATAAACAATTAAGAGTGTTTTCTACTTACCTACTTTATTCTCAACCTAAGATTATGCTAAGTAACATCTCGATATTCCCCACACTTTTTTTTTCTCTGTTCCAGCGAGACTTATTTGTGTGTGTATGTGTGTGTGTTTTCCTTCTTACCTTTTCAGGATCAGACACACAAGGTTTTGTCTGCAGCCTATATCAAAGTTTTGTGGGTGCAGCTGGGTTCTTAATGCAAAGGGATAGAAATAGTGGATGCTGGTCTCAGTCCAATACAACCTTGATGCTTCATGCTAGGCATGCTCAATGAATAAGATCCTTTCTGTTGCCCAATAACAACATCAAAACAGGCAGAAATGATAACTTGTAGACAAAAAAACTCTCAGGAATTTTGTAAGCATTAACTATGCTATTTGTTGAAATGTTATAATTCATATTCTTGGGAAAAAGGCACTCAGATATTACTATGGTTTACTGAATAGACAAAATTGTTTAATTTCTTCTTCAAGCAAAAAGGAAAAAGAATTACTTGTATTTTTTGTGTCTTATTCAGTGGTCTCCAATCTTTTTGGCACCAGGGATGGGTTTCATGGAAGACAATTTTTCCATGGACTGGCGAGTGGTGGTGGTGTTGGAGGGGATGGTTTTAGGATGAAACTCTTCCATCTCAGATCATCAGGCTTTAGTTAGATTCTCATAAGGAGTGCACAGCCTAGATCCCTTGCATGCACAGTTCATAATAGGGTTTGTGCTTCTATGAGAATCTAATGCCACCGCTGATCTGACAGGAGGCAGAGCTCAGGCAGGAATGCTCCCTCACCCTTGCTCACCTCCTGCTTTGTTACCGGGTTGCTAACTGGCCATGGTTGATATTGGTCCATGGTCTAAGGATTGGAGACTCCTGTCTTGTATCTTCTTAAGCCAATGAAGAGGAATCTGATAAAGAAATATGAAGTAACCATTTTGATTAAATTAGTTATTTGTTTCAAGTGAATTGATACTAGTGAATTTGGTCAAAGTTCAGAAACCCTACAAAAATTTACATTTAATGGAATAAATTTCCCTAGATTACCTTTTCTTCCTTTAGATAACAGTTTGTAAACACTGTATAAAGTATATAAAGTATTTTATACATTCTTTTCATTGCTTTACTATCTTCCACTGCAGCAGCACTTTTTTCTGCAGCAGCACTTTTTGGATGGAGTAGAGCCACCCAATGAATGTCCCTGTTTTGTAGAGATAATGTGGCCATTGTCACTGACCCACAGCCCAGAGAAAGGTTTCTGTTTTCAGGAGCTATCATAGTGCTTTTGCTTAGTGGGTCTTCTGAAAGGTTAACCCATTTCCCATTTAGAAAAAAAATGTGCAGTTTGCTGCCAGCACTCATTTAATTTTACATAAACATGCTCTTTGGGGCTGAAGCAAATCGGACCTGATTTTCAACGTGAAAATAAAATATAAAAACTGTTCTTGGAGTTATTTCTAAACAGACCTTGTCTCTAATTCTAATGGAACAGACAGGTTTATAATGTTACGTTAGGATTAGAGACAAGAATATTCTTGAGGCAAAACGGAAATGGGTTAAGACAGTATGAAGCTGTTAACATACATTTTCACTGAAAGAGACAGGGATCAAAAATCACTTTCCTTTTCTGAGAACATTTCTGGCAGCATCAGTATTTCAGGCTGGACCTCCTTCTAGTTTCCTCCCCTGCCCCTTTCCCTTTACCCCCTCCCCTCTTCTTTGATCCTCAGCCCTAGAAACATTCATGCTGAGCAACCTTTTATCATTCTGGTTGCACAGTTTCTTAACTTTCTTATTTCCTTCTGTGGATAACTTTCCTTTCACTGATAAATCCAGAAACTTATAATTCATGATTAATATATTCAAATACTATGTTTCTGTAGTAGAAATAACAGTAATTTATGATTTGGGATTTTAGATAGTCTCTCTTTTCTTCACCCAACTTCTTCTCTCACTCTTGCCAAGTGAGACATGTTTTCCCTGACATATATTCCCTTTAATTATAGTCATTGACTATTAGATGTTTTAGGCTCAACCATCATTTCTTGAGGAGAGTGAAATCTTTCAGTAGAAAGTATCTTTGGACCCAATTCATATGCTAAAGGCCAGAAAAATAAAGTAGCTAAAAGTCTTAGACAAAGTTTGGTGTAAAAAATATTTTTAAATATAGGACTGATGAAGTAGGTATAAAGAGAATCATTTGTCTTAGAGATGTTTTTTTATTCCCAAGAGGTAGGTTTGACTATGAGTTCCTCAAGGAACCTCTTACAGGTAAACTTAAGTATTTATGATCCCAAGAAAAGCCACTGGTGTCTTTGCTATGGCCTATAATTAAGTTTATCATACTTTCTTCCAATGGCAGATATAGGCTTAATGTGTGTGTTTTCTGGAGGAAATCTTTAAATTTGGCTTGAAAAGTTCTTTGTCTTATTTCACAAATACTGCTTTCTTCAAAAAGCATACCCAAAAGGTTTTTTTTTTTCTAGCTATATATTTTGGCTACTTCTAGTCGTAATTAACCTCCCTTAATGACTTACTTCAGTAAAATAACTTTTTTTTCCAGAAGGGCTTTTTGAAGTGAATTAGCTGATGTAAATGCATGCGTGAATGCATAGACATATTTCTATTTCACCATTTAAAGAGTCCTTTTTAGCCTAGAGATGCCCTAGATTCAGCCTTGTAACTGTTATCTCTACTAATTCCACATAAGGAAGAGGAAAGTTTCTAGTCGTTGTTTTTGGTCATTGTATCTCAGTTCTTTAGTTCAGGATGTTCTCAATGCAACTGGTTATTTAACTTTGTTAGACTTTCAGAACATCCTTTGTTTCTCTCCTTGTGGCTATATCCACGTTGTTTGTTAGATTGCTGTATGGAACACATGTGCTAAGTGAGGAGACAGCATGCTTCTCTTATTCTCCTTCATGGTTTAGAGACATTCTTTATTTATAAAATTACCTATCTCTATAATGAATAAATAATCAACCTGGAAACAGCTTCTCTTTTTGCCTGAATAACAATTTCATGCAGAATTTATTTACTTTTATCATTTCAGGGATGCAATTTGAACAAAATATTTGGCTGGTAAAATCTGGGCCCTTGTTTAGTAGATATTTCACATGGATGGATATTTTTGTTATTTAGAGAGGCTGTCTTTATAGTCATAAAGCATGCATTATCACTGATTTTTCAAATGTGTAGTTCAAATGTTAGAATTTAGAGAGTCATAGCCAAAGAGTGGCTCAGTGTTTTAAAAAGGCTAATGGTGGTCTGAATCTAAGCCCCCAGCTATCACCGTCGCATCCACCTTTCATTTCTTGTTGTGAACTCTCACTTAAAGGAGGAGTTCAGTTATAAGGTTCAAGATAAAATTCTCCTCACAGCACAACTTCATTCATATCAAACACCATAGATGGTAGAGAAATATTCTCAACTCCAAAATCATTAAAGGGAAACCCCCTCCCTAACCCTCAGGCATCATTACATTTTAGAAGTGATATTTCCTAAATTTGCAAAAGTCTGATGAAGAAGGATGATGGGGACATGAACATTAATGCTGCTTGGGTTTGAAGGTGGTTTGAATGGCTTCCGTGCCACCAGATTTTCCCCCAGTCAGTGGATCCACTCACCTTGGAGTAAACCAATTGGGGGATCCAGTCAAATAGCCAGTCTTGTTGGTTCTCCTCCAAAAAATGGGCTGATATTAATCCTAGGCTAGTAAGATGTTAGGAAGCCTCACTTAGAATGATTTACCAGAGGAAGAGTCCACTTAATAATTCTCCTTTGTTTGGTAGAATTCTAAAATTTATGACAAAGTTGAACTTATTTCCCTGTTGATAGGATGACCCTCAGGTGGTAGAACTACCTAAGAAAACATCATTTTTGTTCTGGGAACTCTTGTTCAAATCTCTTTTCAATGGTCACTGATATTTGCTAACTTTAAAATTATGTGGTCTTATTTAACAGAAAGTTTACAAAGAGGATTTTGAGAAGGAGATTAAAGGAAGGTCATCACTGGATTTAGACAAGACTCCAGAATTTTTACATGTAAAGTACATCACCAACCTTCTGAGGGAGGTACGATCTTGGTGTTTATTATTAAATATTATGAAGAAAAGTAAAGAAAAAACCCAGGAAATGTTTACCTAATTCTCTACTAATTCAGTGTTTCAGATATTAAGGCATTACTCTTTTTTTTCACTTTGATCTTCACTAATAAAGTGTTGCATTTTCATTAGAAACAAGAAAGTGTGTGTTAACATTTCCCATTAAAGTTGCGAGAAGAAATTACCCAGATTTCCTGGGAAAACTTGAAAAACAGCCTAGTTTTTTGTTTTAGTTGTAGCTCAGAAGCTCTATAAATAGTTTTATAGCTTTATAGCAGTTTTTAAAAAAATGTTTTGAATATGGGTGGAGAGAGCTTGATTCTTTCAAATTTAGTTATTATAAAAACATTTTAGAACCAACTTTTCCTGTCGCTTTCCTGCAGCAAATGTCTCTAAAGGAAGGAGGAAAAAGACCAGAGTTCTCTCCCTTTCTTGACATTTGATATCAGAAATAAGATGCTCACATGTGAAGGTCTGGATAAATGCTACATTACTTATAAGTAGTTTGTGTTCTAAGTAGGGAAAAATAATATATTTAACATATAGAATAGAGGAACTCATGTCCACTTTTCATTTTATTCTCTGCAAAAATTTCCCCAAAAACATAATGGTGCACTTTTTGCTCACAAGTAATATATTAAATTTTCTTAATATTAAGACCTTAAAACTAAAAATATCATGTCTATAGTCCACCTTTAAAAGCTTTTTTTTTTTTATGTTTTTTAAATGGTCAAAAAGTAGCTCATAGCTTTTCCAAATCTGCTTATATACTCTTTATATTAAGGGAAAGTGTTCCCTAAGTATAAATGTAGTATATCATGTAATATTTGTATATATATCTTATACACAATATAATATATATTTTATGATATATAAACGGAATGTATATTACATACATACATATGAAATTTCATTTCATTTTGAATTTTTGAACTGAGGAAACTATTCCTGAAGGAAATCTCTTAGACCAGTGAAATAAATTTGAGATTAATTGCCTATAGGAGCACATCATCATGAACTTCTTTAATAAGCAAATGCTAACTGGTCATACCGTTTAACTGGTTTTAGAAATTTAATGTGATTCAGTGTTGTAATATGTAATGTGCTGAAATAGACATGTAATTTCTATAAGAGTTCTCTTGCTGCACTATCTTTTCTCACTTCTAGTTCCTAGTAAAAATTTTTGAAGTTGAAGGCTAAGCAAATGGCAACTTCCTAGAGAGTAGAGCTGTGGGTATTAGAGGCTAGGACACAGTGGCAGGAGGAGAGGATGGGGAGAGGTTGGTTAATCGATACAAAGGAATGAGCTCTGGTGTTCTGCAGCACCGTAAGGTGAATATGGTTAACTATAATTGATTGGATGTTTTTAATAAGCTAGAAGAGAGGATTTTGAGTGTTCACAACACAAAGAAATGATACATGTTTGAGGTGATGGATATGCTAATTACCCTGATGGGATCATAATATGTTGTGTACACATATTAAAATATCACTCTGTATCCCATAAATATGTACAATTATGTGTCAACTAAAAATAAAAGGAAAAAAGAGAAATAGTTGGCCATAAGGCTTTTTGGAAGAAAAATGTTTAATAATTATTTTTAAAACAATTTCAAATAATGGCAACTTCCTACTACTGTTGTCTTCCATTTAAAAATACACTATTTATGTTAATTTTTTAAAGGAGAATCTTTTTTTAATCACTTATATACAAATGGCAATGTGAAGTCTATTTTGAGATTCATAAATGACTTTACTATGTGCCATTGCCTTTTTCTTTTATTCCTGTTTTGGAGTGAGTCTTAATTTATTAATTCAGAATACATGCATCAGGGTAGGAAAGGGCTCAGAACACTGTATTGTATTGGTCTGTTCTGGCTGCTATAACAAAATACCACAGACTAAGTGGCTTAACCAACAGACTTTTCTCAAAGTTCTGGAGACTGGGAAGTCCAAGATCAAGGTGCTGGCAGATTTGATTCTTAGCGAGGGCCCTCTTACCGGCTTGCAGACACCTTTGTACTGTGACTTCAGTAGAGGGATAGAACTGTGGTGCTTTTCCTCCTTCCTTTAGAGATATTAATCTTATCAAGGGAGTCCCACTCTCACAATCCCATCTAACCCTAATCACCTCCCAAAGGTCCCACCTTCAAGTACGGTCACAATGGGGGCTAGGGCTTCAACATACGGGTTTTGGTGGGACAGAAACATTTAGTTCATAACGACTATGATGCCAGGTGAAATAAGCCAGGCACTGAAAGACAAATCCTGCATATTCTCACTTTTATGTGGAATCTAAAATACTTGAACTCCTAGAAGCAGAAAGTAGAATGGTGGTTACAGAGGCTGGAGGGTGGGAGGAATGGCAAGGTGATAGTCAAAGAGTTCAAAATCTCTAAACGGGAGGAATACTTTTTTTGAGATCTAGTGCACAGTGTGGTGAAGATAGTATATAGTGCACTTCAAAATTGCTAAGAGTAAATTTCAAATGTTCTCGCCACGAAAAAGTAAATATTTGAGGTAATGGATATATTATTTAGATTGATTTAATTATTCCACATTGTATTCATAAATTATGGCAATTCTGTACCCCATAAATATATGCAACCATAAATTGTCAACTTCCAATAAGAATTTTTTAAAAATTAACTTAAAAAATAGTTATAGCTTGTCTAATTTGAAAAAGAGGACTTTTGGTGACTTAATTAAATTATTACTTCCCTTTGTAAGTGTAAGCATTTAGCTTCAAATGAACTTTGCATTTTTTACTTTGTGGTTTTTACATTGACATTGCATTAGAGTGTTCAAAGTATCATTTTATACTTCATTTCCTATGATCCCCCCATTGCCCTTTGACATTACTAGAACAAGTATTTTTATTTTCATTTCACCAAGGTGGAAATCAAGGTTGAGTTACTTAAAAGTACTCCCGAAGGTCACACCACGAAATAAATGAAAGAGGTCTGACTTTCACTCGGGTCATTTGACTCAGATCATTCCAAAATTATAAAACAGTCCATTCCAATGTCTAGTAAGCTATTAGTTGAGCAGAGGACAGGCTAATTTAATTATAATGGATGAAGGGAAAGTAACATGAAATGAACCCTAGAATTAACTGGAACCTGATTTCTTATCAATAAAGGAAATTTCATCTTTCATCTGGCAAGTTAATCATAAATGCAACTTAGTTGAATAGGAATAAGATATTTATGATTTTCATACGCAATTAAGTAAGAAAACAAGCAACTCATTAGCAGAGAAAAATAAGTTGTATGTAAGTATTCATAGAAGGCATTTGGATCTACTTAAAATATGACATTCAAATGGGTGAAATTCAAACTATTATTAATGTGTAGAAAATGTTTTGGTTTTCCAATTCTTTAAATTGCATGGAGACAGCCTTCCAAAAGCAAAGCCAATAGAGAAAACAGAACCAAGAGATGAAGAAAGAGAGACATCATGTGAATTCCAACTGGACAATAACTCAATCTTTGGATTTTCTATTCCATGAGTGATTGCATCTCCTTTTTGGTCTACCCTAGTTTGAGTTGGGTTTCTGTCATTTGCAACCTAGGAGTCACCATCACCATCATCATCGCTATCATCATCATCATCATCGTGAGCCATAGATTCCATCATCTATGCACATTTCATTATCTATGGATGATTCCATTCATCATCATGAATGTTGAGCCATAGATTCCATCAGAGATAGTAAAGGGGGCCTTGAAATATTCTGAGGCTTGTAAAAGGGTAAAGTAAATACCTAAAGTAATTGTGATGGATAGTGCTTGAAGTATCTGCTTTCAAGTACCATCTATCAGGCTGTGGTGAGCCCAAGTAATTGAAACTCCTAATAGCTTACTAGACATTGGAATGGGCTGCTTATAATTTTGGAATGACCTGAGTCAAATGAAAGTGGTTTCTGCTCACTTTTTAAACTTTAAAAAAAACCTTTGGCTACATCACTCCTTTTGATTTTGTAATTTTCCATTCTTTTGCAACCATGTTCTTTTTTGGTAATGCATGTTTTATAGAACTTTCAAAAATAGTTTTAACAATTAATAAGGAACACGTGTTCTTAAGATCTTCCTCACCATTGAAAGAGAAGATGTCTTTAAAAAAAATCCACTATGGTACCAAAACATATTGACAGAAAGTATGAAAAGGAAAAGGCTGAAAATATTGGAAGCCACTCTGAACTTGGTAGAGGGGAAAATGAAGTGTCTGTAGGAAAAAAGCATGAATACTTAGCTGTGTGATTCATTCCTTCCTAGTAATATTTTCTCATTTCTGTGATCTCTAGAAAACATGTAGAATAGCACACTGAATAAAGTGATTCCTGCTAAGTTTTGAACTGTGATATTCTTGTCTCATAGAAAGAATATAAAAAAGATTTGGAAAATGAGATAAAAGGGAAAGGAATGGAACTTAATTCAGAAGTTCTTGATATCCAAAGAGCAAAGCGAGCCTCTGAAATGGCAAGTGAGGTGAGTATGTTTATTTAACACCTTAGATGAATATGTTTTTAGCTGACTTTCTTATTTGTCAATCTTTCTCAAAGGTTCTATACATCTATAACTTTTATATGTAAGTGATTGTAAACAGCTATATCCTTGTAGTCTTTTCTTGGACTATTAATTTTTTTTAAAATCCCCTTTCTATGTGATGTGAAAAAAATGGCCGTTTCCCCACTTTGGAGAAAATCCATATAATAAACGAAAATAGTTTAATGAGATTTAACTTCATCTTTTAAGCAGGTAAAAGGCAGATGATTGGGAAGGTATGTTATTATGGTCCATCAGTAACTGCAGGTAGAAAGTTCACATGCTTTGCCACTCATAACCCAACTGACTCTCCCAGTCTTGCCCTGGGCTGCTGTTTGAACCTTATTCAGCCTCTTTATCAAATGAAAGTGGTTTCTGCTCACTTTTCATGCACTTTATAAGGAGAACTGAAATGTCTCTGAAGTGTTTTCAGTCCTGTAATCCTTGTATTATGTCATTACTTTGGGTCATATGGTGTCACTGTGCTTTTAAGAGACTTTGGCTGAATTTAGCAGTGAAAGAGCTTAAAGCCTTGTCCCCATATTTTGAAACTCTGATGATAATGATGATGATGATAGCGATGACGATGGTGATGGTGACTCTTAGGTTACAAATGACAGAAACCCAACTCAAACTAGGGTAGGCATCAAAGGAGATGTCTTCACTCATGGAATAGAAAATCCGAAGATTGAGTTACTGTCAAGGTAGAATTCAGATGATGTCTCTCTTCCTCCATCTCTTGGTTCTGTTATCTTCACTATTGGCTTTGCTTCTGGAAGGCTGTCTCCATGCAATGAACCCACTTAATAAAAGGATAACTCATATCTATGGCCAGTAATCCCAATGGGAAGTGAACATCCCTTTTTATAGTTCCAATCAAAGTCTTAGGTTTGAATCTCCTTGGATTAATCTCTATCCTGTGCTTACACCTGGCATAATCATTGTGTCTGGGATTGGGGGAGTAGAATGTGCTGATTATCCTCTCATGGTCACCCATTTGTTGAGGTAGTTTAACAGTGTCTTATAGAAAACATTCTAAATTTTTATGTGTTTAAAACATGACCTTAATCTCAGCTATATTCACATTCTTTAAATAAAGGAAACATTTAAAAGGCACTTTAGTAGAATTAAAAATATATGTGGGGACTAGGGAGGTGATGGAAATCAATCCTTCCCAAGGGTATGGATTGAGAGAACTTAGAGGTCATTTCCCAAAAGGAAATCATGGAGCTTTTTGCCAGAAGGAGGAGGAATGGATGCTGGTCAGCCATAAACAACACGTGCCCCTGGTGAGGTCTGTGGCTAACATTGTCATCACATTAACCCTACATTAGTCATTTTCTGCAAATTCTTCTGTTGCCGTGACATGTCCAATCCACATGCAGAGATTGTCTTGTAATTACTTGTCAGTAGCATGTGTAAAAGTTGTTTTATTCTCTCAATGGCAAAGTACAGACAGATGCAGTTGAATGGCAGGATGGCGGCAGGAGCAGCATTAATTAGGCCTTATTAGGAGAAGGAAGAACCGGCCTAGGAGAATAAGATTGAAAAACTGGAAGAAGGTGTCAGGTGTTGATCATCTCCTCTGTGCTATGCACTGTCATTGATCCTCACAATGGATCCTACATGGAGGTACAGACACACTGTGGAGATACTATGGGTTCGGTTCCAGACCACTCTAATAAAGCAAATATCACAATAAAGTGATTCGCATGAACTTTTTGGTTTCTCCATACATATACATGTTATGTTTATACCATACTGTAGTCTAAGAAGTATGCAATAGGCTTATGTTCAAAATACATCCATATCTTAATTTAAAGTACTTTATTTATAATAGTGCTAATGATCATCTGATCCTTCAGCAAGTGGTAATCTTTTCACTGGCGGAGGGTCTTGTCTCTATATTGATGGCTGCCGACTGATCAGGATGGTGGCTGCTGAAGGTTGGGTTGACTGTGGCCATTCCTTAAAATAAGATGACAATGAAGTTTGCCACATTAATTGCCTCTTCCTCTCATGAAAGATTTCTCTGTAGCATGTGATGTTGTTGATATATTTTACCCACAGTAGAACTTTCAAGATTAGAGACCAACCTCTCAAACCCATTGCTGCTTTAATGACAAAGTTTTTGTAGTATCCTAAATCTTTTGTTGTTATTTCAATAATGATCACAGCATCTTCACAAGGATTTGATCTTCAGAAACCACATTCTTTGCTTGTCCATTGGAAGCAACTCCTTATCCATTCAAGTTTGATTATGAGATGGCAGCAGTTCAGTCACATTTTCAAGTTCCACTTCTAATTCTAGTTCTCTTGCTATTTCCACTGCATCTGCAGTTGCTTCCTCCACTGAAGTCTTGAACCCCTCAAAGTCATCCATGAGAGTTGAAATCAACTTCTTCCAAACTTCTATTAATGTTGATATTTTGTACTTCTCTCATGAATCACTAATCTTCTTAATGGCATGTAGAGTGGTGAATCTTTTTCAGAAGGTTTTCAATTTACTTTGCCCAGATTCATCAGAGGAATCACCATCTATGACAGGTATAGCCCTATGAAATGTATTTCTTAAATAATAAGCCTTGAAAGTAAAAATTTTCCTTGATCCATGGGCTGCAGAATGGATGTTGAGTAGCAGGCTCGAAAACATGAATATCCTTATACATTTCTATCAGAACTGTTTGGTGACCAGGTGCATTGTAACTGAACATTAATATTTTCAAGGAGTCTTTCTTTTATGAACATTAGGTTTTGGCAGTGGGCTTCAAATATTCAGTAAACCATACTTTAAACAAATGTGCTGTCATCCAGGCTTTGTTATTCCATTTATAAAGCATAGGCAGAGTAGATTTAGCATAATTCTTAAAGACCCTAGGATTTCCAGAATGGTAAATGAGCATTGGCTGCAACTTAAAGTCAGCAGCTGTGTTAGACCCTAATAAGAGTCAGCTTGTCCTTTGAAGAATTGAAGCAGACATTGACTTCTCCTCACTAGCTATGGAAGTCCTAGATGGCATCTTTTTCCAATAGAAGGCTGGTTTGTCTGCATCAAAAATCTGTTGTTTAGTGTAGCTACCTTCATTAATTATCTTAGCTAGATCTTCTGGGTGACTTGCTGTGGCTTCTCCATCAGCACTTGCTGCTTCACCTTGCACTTTCATATGATGGAGATGGCTTCTTTCCTTAAACCTCATGAACCAACCTCTGCTAGTTTCCAACTTTTCTTGTGCAGCTTCTTCACCTCTCTCAGCCTTCACAGAAATGAGGAGGGTTAGGGCCTTGTTCTGGATTAGGTTTGGTTTAAGGGGATGTTGTGTCTGGAATGTTTTGTCTGGTTTGACCTATTCAGACCACTAAAACTTTCTCTATATCAGCAATAGGGTTGTTTCACATTCTTATAATTCATGTGTTCACTGGGGTAGCACTGTTAATTTCCTTCAAGAACTTTTCCTTGGCATTCACAACTCGAATAACTGTTTGGCACAAGAGTCCTAGCTTTGGGCCTGTGTTGGCTTTTGACATCCTTTCCTCACTAAGCTCAGTCATTTCTAGCTTTTGACTTAAAGCACGTCTCTTCTGTTTACTTGACCATCTAGGGGCCATTGTAGGGTTACTAATCGGCCCAATTTCAATATTGTTTTGACTTAGGGAATAGGGAAGCCCAAAGAGAGGGAAAGAGATAGAGGAACGGCTGATCAGTGGAGCAGCCAGAACACACACAACATTTCTCGATTAAGTTCACTGACTTATAGGGGTGCATTTGGTGGCATCTCCCAACAATTACAATAGTGTTGCAGGACTTCTTCTTGGTTCAGCTAAAGACAGGGTCCTTGTCCCATGGCCATGAAAATTTAGGCTTGCAGAGAGTTTGAAGGGTGAGTAAAGCAGAGTTTTATTGGGTGTAAAGGAAGAAAAGGGGGAAACAGGGACTCTCTGCAAGGCCAGAGTCCCTGCTAGAGTGCTTCCCACCTCACAGTTTGAATCCCAGGTTCCACACAGGAATAGGAGAGGCCAGGCTCCTCCCTCTTGCAAACTGCCGGAACTTCTGTGGCTCCACCCCAGCGCATGCTCTTCCCAGTGCACAGGCCAGTTGGAGTTTTGCCAGTGACCCCCTCCTATCTGTCTGTCTCAATAGTAACATCAAAGATCACTGATTGGCCAGATGCGGTGGCTCACACCTGTAATCCCAGCATTTTGGGAGGCCGAGGTGGGTGGATCACCTGAGGTCAGGAGTTCGTGACCGGCCTGGCCAACGTGGTGAAACCTGGTCTCTACTAAAAATACAAAAATTAGCTGGATGTGGTGGCGCATGCCTGTAGTCCCAGCTATTCGGGAGGCTGAGGCTGGAGAATCGCTTGAACCCAGGAGGCACAAGTTGCAGTGAGCCGAGATCACGCCACTGCACTCCAGCCTGCGCGAGAGAGCAAGACTCTGTCAAAACAAAAAAATCACTGATCACAAAGCACCATAACAGTTTGAAATATTGTATTACCAAAATGTGACACCGAGACACCATGTAAGCACATACTGTTGGAAAAATAGCACCGATAGGCTTGCTTGACAAGCAGAGTTGCCACAAACCTTCAGTTTGTAAAAAAAAATGCAATATCTACAAAGCACAATAAAAATGAGGTATGCTTGCATTACTACCTTCATTTTGCAGATGAGTAAACTGGAAAGGTTAAGAATTCTCAGTGTCATACAGCTGGTGAATGCTCTGGCTTCTAAGTTCATCTGTTTTGTACAACAGCAGCTCATTTACACCCACCTCCCTATCCTCCAGCCCCAAAGAAAATTGTCAGTGAAGATTTTCACATGGCAATTGCCTTTGTATACTAAACATTTTTGGAGCTTTGCATGCCCTTCTTCAGTGAGAATGAGATTATCATTCTAAGCAGTTCAGAAGTTAGTTGTGAGTGATCATTCATAGTACTCAAGGAGCTTTGTTACCTCTTTTGTAAAATATGTCTAACTATTTTTTTTTTAGTATCATTGACTGCAGATGCATGTTTGCCCACTGAGTGTTTGAATGTTGTAAAATGTTGTCTTTTGCAGAAAGAATACAAGAAAGACCTGGAGTCAATAATTAAAGGGAAAGGAATGCAAGCTGGCACTGACACCCTTGAAATGCAGCATGCCAAGAAGGCTGCAGAGATAGCGAGTGAGGTTAGTAGGGTGCGTGATGCAGGCCTTAAGACTCATATTTTGGAACCTAACAAATCGTATTAGCAACTTGATTACTATATGGAATTTCTCAAAGCATTGCAGCTGGTTTAACAGTTTGGAATGGAGACTATTCCGAAGCATTATGCCAGTTTGAAAAATTACAGTTTTTGCTTTGCTCATATCCTTCCAATATATCAAGAAAGCTTGGTGGAAGGCATTTTAATTGAACAGACACACATGCACACATGCACTCCCCTGCACACCTTATTTCAGAATACAACAGATTTAATGGTAATCTAGGCTATGATAAATGTTTTCATGGTATTTTTTAATGGATCATGTGCTGCTTGGCATATCTGTATTTCCAAATTTCTGAGCAGAACTTCATATATGGACACTTTACATGAGAACAATAGTCATTCCTGTCTGATTGCATGTTCTTAAAATAGCCTTTGTTGACATGATCAGCACGCATGAAATTTCTACACAGTCAGCATTTTGGATGGAGGTCTGATATAACCTGAACGACCATGTTCATTCATCTGATAACACCAGTTTTTTCTTCATGGGATACAGGATATTGATTTAGAAGTTTTGTCTTAAATTCTGTGACAGGCTGGGTATCACATCACAAGGTTGTAGGAGTCAGACCATATGCATATTTTTCAAAGGAAATACCCTAGAACTTTCTCTACACCTCTTGAACTTCCCCAGAAAATCTGAGAATATAAAAGGATCACTGGAGTAAAGAAGCTTTGGGATGTGATGATTTTATAAAAAGTGTATGTGAAGAAAAAATCGGGGTGCAGGTGAAGGGGTCCTGTTCACTTATCTCAAGGTTGGTTAGGTGGGGGCTTCAGTGGAGTATCCTGAGACCTGTTGTGTGATCTTTGCACTTAGGAAGAGCTGACTCAGGACTGACACCTTACAGGAAATCTGGAAGGCCAGAGGTAGCTGCTTAGCTGCTAGGGAAGTTACTGTTGTTTTGAAAATGACTGACATCCCCAGAGTTAGGCACTGGCCAGGGAAATGGGATTGCCATGATTGAATAAGACAAAGGAAGTGGAGATGGTATAGGTTTCCTGATCAATAAGTGTTCCATTTTGAAGTGGTGGCCAGGGGTGGACGGCCAGGAGCATGAGGAACTTGAAAACCTGCTTTATCCCTTTCCTACTTCTGTTCTCGTCCTGAGAGATAGTCATTGTTATAAGTTTGTTATGGAACCTTCCAAATCTATTTTGTGTTTATATAGATAAACATACACATGTACACACAGCGACTTAAAAAAATCTTAAATGGGGTCAGACCCCATTTAAGTGGTTGATTGTTTTCTCACTTTATATTAAGGATTTTTTTCCATGTTCCTTCATATAGGTCTACCTCATTCTTATAGAAAAATTAAGTGTTCTGTAACATGGATGTGAATATGTGACCATTTATCTTTTGTTGTCTGCAAGGGAAATGTATAATGGGATCTCAACGTTACAGGCCAAAACTAGAATCCCTAATTTTCCCCTAGGTTAGCTTTCCCCAATCTTCAAATGGCGCCAACCAAAGCATAGAAGTCACTTTGATTCCTGTCATCAGCATACTTTATTGATGCCACCCCCATAGTGGTGGTCTAAATCCATCTTTCTTGCCACCCTAGTCCTAAGCCACTATCTCTATCCTCTAGATCATTGCCATAGCTTCCTAACCAGAATTCTGCTATTATTGCCTTCCTAGTAGACATTCTTTTTTTCTTTTTTTTTTTTTTTGAGACGGAGTCTCGCTCTGTCGCCCAGGCTGGAGTGCAGTGGTGCAATCTCGGCTCACTGCAAGCTCTGCCTCCAGGGTCCTAGTAGACATTCTTAACCCAGCAGGAGAAGAATCCTTGAGGCAATTAAATGAAATTTTGTTACTCTCCTCACATGCAATTCTTTAATGGTTTCCAGTCACATCCAGTGTAAATTGATTCACGTGGCTCTGGTGAAGTCTCCACTCTCAGGCTGAGAATCTTAGTCAATAAAAACCCCCCAAATAATAATAATAAAAATCTCATTTGCATATAATCATAGTCATGTCCCATTTTGCCTAAATGACAGGCTCAGATCATTTTCAACCAATGTTCGGGACTTTGCCATAGTTTATTTTTAATATCAAAAGTTTATTTTTCAAATAAAGTCAATGGATCTTATTGTGACACAAATGACCCTCAAGAGTCAAGCCTTCCCATATCTCTGGGCTTGACCATGTGACTTTCTTTAGCCAATGAGACATCAGCAAATGTGACTCAGACTATAAACACACTTCTGCATTAGGGTTTGCCCTCTTGGAATGTAGATGCCGCCATGTTGTTTTAAACCTGCTAAGTTTTGGTGTGTTTTGTTATGCAGACAACAAATAACTGATGCAAAGGGTGTCTAATGTAGTCTATGTGCTTTAGAACACATTTACATTTGAAAGTTCATATTAAAAAATTGTTACATCCTTTTACCATCAGACCTTGGTGGCTGTCTGTTATCAGTGCCTCAGTTTCATCATATTTGTTGGCCTTCAAATGAAACATTTCATTTTGGGGCTTTGAACAGGCTGACTAAAACAGAGTGCTTTTTGTAGACATAGTAATAATTGAATATTAATATTTTGAAAGTTAAACATAATTATGTAAACTTTTATTTAGAAAAGTGATACTGGGAGTGTAAGTCAGTAAAAACAGGAAGGATTATGAGTGGAAGATAGGAGGCAAAATACTCCAAGACTGAGATTTTTGTTTACCACTTACCTAAATTTGAGGATCTCCTAATAAGCAAATCAACATTTACTTTGCAGCAGAGAATCTACAAATCTGGAGTGTGTCAGCATAATAAGAAATAATTGTTTTAAAGCAAATTTAATTGGCTATAGTTAATAGTTTTTTTTAATAACATTTTTCTTTGAAGAATAATATACATATAGAAAAAGCAAATTTATATATGTACAGCTTTCTGAATTTTATAATCAGTTTTCAAATGTGACAGAAGTCCCTAAAGACATGTGTGTCTATGTAATTATGACTATCTTGTAAGCAATTGGTAATCCATTTCCCACTGGCTTAAAAAAAAAACAGAGATAACTTATTTGTTGTTCTTATGATTGAATAGTAGAGAAATTCCTAGGCACGGCTTGATCTAGGACTCAAATAATGAGATATAGTTTCAGCTTGCAGTTCTTAGGTAGACATTCTTGTTTGCAAAGAGGCTTCCAGCAGCTCTTATATGGAAAAAAAGATGCATGCATCCCAGAACCAATTCTGCAGTGTGGGTGATGGGGTATAATGATTTATTGAGTCCAGCAGATCCCAGAGACTTGGGCCAGTTTCTGGATGGTTTAGGAGTGGGGAACATTGACTTGTCCAGTGGCAAATCAGAGAGCCAGTGAAGGGAATAATGATTTATTTAAGCCCAGCTAAGTCCAGAGATTTGAGCCAGTCTCACCGAAGCTGGATGGTTTAGGAGTGGGAACATTGAGTTGTCTAGTGGCAAATTAGGGAGCCAATGAAGGGGAAAAAAGGGGTGGATTCCAGAGAAGCAACCAACACTTATTCACTACAGAGTGAAAAACAGCAATTTTACAATCACTCTTGACTGACACTTAACTAAGCCATATATGACCCAATAATATATCAAGTTTATCATATTGAAATGTTAAATTTTCCCCTTGGCTAGCTGTGTTTTTTCTTCTTCTTAATTCAGATTAGCTGAAAAAAATTGTTCTGATTACTGGTGAATAAGTTATACTAAGTCGTATTCCTACCACAAGTAAAAACTCTATTATTCTATAGAAATAAAAGAAATAAGGATTCAACTTCATTCCAAAAGACATGGTCTTAATGTCAAAATGACATCTCGATTTTTGAGCAGTTTCTCAAATGATTGGAGAGCACTAACTGTATGTTTCATTTTCTGCAGAAAGACTATAAAAGAGATCTGGAGACTGAAATTAAAGGGAAAGGGATGCAGGTGAGCACAGACACTCTTGATGTCCAGAGAGCTAAGAAAGCATCCGAGATGGCCAGCCAGGTAAGACAGCAGCAAGATACAAAGTTTAAAATAAATGCCGTGAATCATAGCTGGAAAGAGCATAAGTTTTCTTTCCACATGGGTGGCTTTGAGATTCAAACATGTAAATTTCAACATCGCTATTAAAGCTTAAGCAAAGCTCTAAGATTATTTTCTGTTCTTTTAGAAACAATACAAGAAGGACTTAGAAAATGAAATTAAAGGGAAAGGAATGCAAGTGAGCATGGATATCCCAGATATCCTTCGAGCCAAGAGGACATCTGAAATCTATAGCCAGGTTGGTCATGAATGAAGATGCTCAGAATCGTGTATTCCAATGTCATGTTGCCATGTGCTTTGTATGTCTCTATGAATGATATCTTTCTGAGGGCATTGCATTCAGAGCTAGTGTACTCTTTCACTAAGAAACCATTGGCCAAACTTGATTAACCGTACTAATTAATAGGACAACAGTCATAGATTCAATGCAACAGACATTATGGAGAGCTACAGCCTCTCTGTCGGGGCTCCTTGTTTTGAGTCCAAGGACATTAAACCTTTTTTTTTTTTTTTTTTTTTTTAAATTTTAGAGATGGAGGTCTCACTCTTTCACCCAGGCTGGAATGCAGTGGCACCATCATAGCTTGCTGCAGCCTCAAACTCCTGGGCTCAAGCTTATCTTCCTGCCTCAGTGGGCATGAGCCATTGTGCCCAGCCCAAGGATATTTTAACCTTTTCTTTCTTTCTTTTTTTTTTTTTGACCCTATTGGACACTTGGCTCAAATGCTTTTGCTAATACTACAGAAAAATAAATTACAAACGTTTTGTCTTTTAACCATTTCATAATGAATATTAATATTAAAATAGTTCCAAATAAAGCTAACAGTGGCTAAAGCTGCACAAGGTATAAAGTGAAGTTTAGTGTTAGGTAAAAATTAAGGGAACAGTGAGGTTTTCTTGGTAAAATTTAGATTTGTCAAATATACTTGTCCCATATTCTGTAAACAAAGCTGGATGTGGGAGAAGTAGTGACCACAAAAATTTATGGAAGAAGAATTTATTTATAAAATCTGACTTGGGCAAAAACATTCATTAGCAAATAATATCTTTGCTGTAACATTTACTAAAAAAGAATGACTCCCAATGGAAAAAAATAGAAGGAATGAAAAAAATGAAAATGGTTATTTAAAATTGACCATAGCATTTAATTTGATTAATGGAGTTTATGCAGAAAGGATTGTGTAACAACATTTGGTGAAATTTGTTAAAATTCTGATTAAGACATAAGCAAGGACATTAACCATCCACTAGTTCAAAAGGGTAGTATCAAGATGGCAGAGTCAAATGTCAGAGGACTTGTGTGCCTCTCAGCCTCCGCAGCCGACACAGCCGCTGGGATGATCCTGAAGTGTGTGTTCTGTTCTCAGTGTTCGTGAACTTGGAGACATTGGCTTGGCCATATCAGCTTAACTAAAATCCTAAGTCAATGCATTAAACAACAAATAGACATTTGAGTCAGTGGAGAAGAGTTACTTACTCTCTCAAGAATGCCAAATTCATTCCTTCAGTAGGTAAATACCTCCTGAGCACCCATTTGCAGGCAAAACTAGACATGGCTTTGCTCTTGGAAAGCTACAGATAAATCTAATAATCATGTAAATATAGTATTACAACCATGATATATACACCTGAAAGTAAAAGTATTGAGAGTGAAGGTGCCTGAGCTGTCAGATTTCCTGCATTAACTCAACAGCATAGATTTTTTTTTAGTGTGGTGTGAGAATATATCTAATTTTAAGGGATTTTAATCACTGAAATACAATTGGGATACTTACGAGGGTGTAATGAAGCCTGGTGCATTTCAACATGAATAGTAGTTACCTTTCTTTTTTTTTAATTTTATTATTATTATACTTTAAGTTTCAGGGTACATGTGTACAATGTGCAGGTTAGTTACATATGTATACATGTGCTATGCTGGTGCGCTGCACCCACTAACTCGTCATCTAGCATTAGGTATATCTCCTAATGCTATCCCTCCCCCCTCCCCCTACCCCACAACAGTCCCCAGAGTGTGATGTTCCCCTTCCTGTGTCCATGTGTTCTCATTGTTCAATTCCCACCTATGAGTGAGAATATGCAGTGTTTGGTTTTTTGTTCTTGCAATAGTTTACTGAGAATGATGATTTCCAATTTCATCCATGTCCCTACAAAGGACATGAACTCATCATTTTTTATGGCTGCATAGTATTCCATGGTGTATATGTGCCACATTTTCTTAAGTAGTTTGCCAGAATAATTAACTTCACTGATTTTGGAATCAGAGAGCCTGGTTTTAAGTTGAGGCTCTGATACTTACTATCTAGTACTTCAGTTTCTCCATCTGTAAGATGGAAATAATAATAGTATCTGCTTGTCAGGTTGATTAAATGAGTTAGTGTGTGTTAAGTATTTAGAACAATACCCATTACATAGTAAGTACAATGTAAGTGCTGGTACTAGGATAAGATATTGCCTGGGTTGTATTAGAGCTCATAGTAGCTCATTTAGTGGAGAGAAAATTAAGATTTTAATCTCAACTTCAAAATACTGTTAACTTTCCCTTAATCAAATCTATCTTCACATGAAGTAGGAAGCAAAGCGTAAATCTAGAAGCCATGTCGTATGGTAGAGATCGAAGAATGGTATCATTCTATCTCTGTCTCTCCACCTCTCTCTCTCTCTCTCTGGGAGTGTAAGTCAGTAAAAACAGTTTTTTACTCTCTCTCTCTCCCTTCCTCCTTTCCTGCCTCCCTCCCTCCCTCTCACATGTGCGCACACACATAGTTTCAGATTTATATTAACTGTTTATGTTTTTAGAGAAAGTATAAAGATGAAGCAGAGAAGATGCTTTCTAACTATTCTACCATAGCAGATACTCCTGAAATTCAGAGAATTAAGACAACTCAACAAAACATTAGTGCGGTGAGTAGCCATTACTTCTTTTAAGTTGCCACCTTGAAATTTTGTTTTGTAAGAAATGGTCTTTTTTCCTCATTGTCTGATGTTTTCTGCTGTCTTAGTTGAATTTTCTGTCAAGTGTATTATCTTTATTTCTTTAAAATAATAAGAATACTGATAATTTTTACAAATTATCATTTTTCATTATTTTTTTGGAATTACAAATTCAAAATTTCCTCTTCGGTATAAATGACAGTTATTAACTAAATTTTAAAATTTAACTCAGGAAAGAAGTCTGTCTTCTACACAGATTTTACTTTGAAGGTGAAAATAGTCATATGAAGTGATTTTATTCCTGGTTATTGATTGTTTTTACTGATAATATGTCTAACCATTTACTCATTCTTAATAAATTTCTAAACTTCTATATTTTTATTTTGAGGAAGAGGAATTGCATCAGCACTTTTTTTTTTAACTTTTATTTTAAGTTTGGGGGTACCTGTGCAGGTTTTTACATAGGTAAACTTGTGTCATAGGGGTTTGTTGTACGATTATTTTGTCACGCAGGTGTTAAGCCTAGTACCCATTAGTTATTTTTTCTGATCCTCTCCCTCCCCTCCTTCTTCACCCTCTGATAGGCCCCTGTGTGTGTTGTTCGCCTCTGTGTGTCCATGTGTTCTCATCATTTAGCTCCCACTTATAAGTGAGAAAATGCGGTATTTGGTTTTCTGTTCCTGCATTAGTTTGCTAAGTATAATGGCATCTAGCTCCATCCATGTCCCTGCAAAGGCCATGATCTCATTCTTTTTTATGACTGCATGGTATTCTGTGGTGTATATGTACCACATTTTCTTTATCCAGTCTATCATTGATGGGCATTCAGGTTGATTCCATGTCTTTCCTATTGTAAATAGTGCATCAGCACTATTAATTAAGAGGCTGAGTCCATTAATAAATGTATAAACTTGACTTCTGTTCTAAAATTGTAAAAATTGACCATACAACTAATATTTTAACATAGAATTAGCTCAGTCATTAATAGTTAAGGAAGCATCTCATCAAAATATAAATTCTAGTAAGTGTGAGGACTTCTGGAATATTTCCTACCTCCTAATTAGTTGGCAAGCGCCAGCTCTCAGAGTAAGCTGGTCAGATGTCTGCTGGGTCTCCACAGGGATGGCCAGGCTGTACTGAGAAATGGGAAAGTCTTGATGGAAGGATGAGGAAAAGAGGCTGTGTGATTCTATAGTGTTCTGTAGTTCTAGCCTTTGGAGGAAAACATCTCTCCTACCGTGCTCTCCCACCCACGCGGGGGCCACTGGATTACCAAATGTCAAGAAAGGGAGTAATTCTATCCTCATTTACCTTTCTTATAATTACTCTGTTTTTCTGCAGAGTACTCATAACGAGGGCACTCATAAATACTCTTGTGTTTTTGTTCTGCTTTGGGTTTGGAAGGGTAGACGTTAGTAGGGGTGGAGACACATGGGAGAGGGTTAACAAATAAGTGGAAGATGAAGAAGATAGACTTGAAATTAACATTGATATTGATGATGAGCTAACATTTTCTTGGAAGAGAATGTGGGCATCCTTGTGTTTGGAGCATAGAAGTTGCCTAAAATGTCATTTTCTTTTTGAATTCAGTGATAACGGCTTAATGGGCTTTTGTAATATCTGCTTTTTCTCAAATACACATGGGACATATATTTATATTTGAAGAAAGGAACTCTGGTTTGCCAATGTGTATTCTTAAAGCAAATAATCTGCAGTCAGCCATGGTAGTGGTCTAGACCTAGAGCAGGAGAGGGTTATTTGTGAGATTATGGGATATAAAACCAAAGTTTTCATGGATTATCTGAATGGATTATTTAATTTGTTCCTATAATTCCGGCACTCATAAATAGATGCAGTATTCATATTATTATAAAACCTGAGAAATTGTCTTTCTAAGAAGCGGATCTAGGACTTGAATTCTGACAAGCTTAGTTATTCTTTTCCTTTTCTTATAATAAAGGTATTTTATAAGAAAGAAGTGGGAGCTGGCACTGCAGTGAAAGATAGCCCAGAGATCGAACGAGTGAAGAAAAATCAGCAGAATATTAGTTCAGTAAGTTCTCTACAGCATTAATTATCTTTTCTAAAAGCAAACCAAAACTATAGACAAATGTTTTTAGTTCTTTACTCAACTGATGGCTTTTTTCCTTTTATTCTTCACTTTATTGAAATGCTATTTCATCATATATCAAAGATCTAACTTTCAGAACAAAAACTGTATCCTTGTTCCCCTTGACTCTGAAGCAGTGTTTCATTTTGATATATCACAATGAAGAAGAGCTAGGTCATTTTAATGAAACCTAGGGTTAGATTTCATCTCTTTGAAGAGAATTTTAACTCTATTAAATTTTGCAGAGAAAGGATACATTTCAGTACCTCTCCACAAGTTGGAAGAAAGAAATTTTTCCCTGATACAATGATTAAAGGCCCCAGAACATTTATTTGGCAGCTTAAGTGAAGGATTAGATTTGAAAAGGCAAATAGTACCAGTTCATTTTTAACCGATGTCAGTCACATCTCTAAGCTTTTTATCAGACACGCTTCTGCCCATTTCTTCTTTCCAGCCTGTTTTACCTTCTGCTTCTTCCAGCAGAAACGAAAACAAATCACACATCTTCACTATAAATTGTGAAATAACTTAGCTTCCAGTAACCTTTAGACTGGGGGGAGGGGTCCTCTTCTGTTGGAAGGGTCCTTCTAACATTAAGGTGCTTAATATTACGGATAAATTGTTTTTTCCATTGAGTGTTTGACATTTGCTGTGGATAATTGCTCTCCTTACCAATTTGATATTCTCCCATGTATATTTAGTACATTGAGTTTCTTTTTTTTTTTTGAGACAGAGTCTTGCTTTGTTGCCTAGGCTGGAGTGCAGTGGCGTAATCTCAGCTCACCGCAACTGCCTCCCAGATTCAAGTGATTCTTCTGTCTCAGCCTCCCGAGTAGCTGGGATTACAGGCACACACCACCACACCTGGCCATTTATTTTTATTGTTTTTATTTTTAGTAGAGATGGGGTTTCACCATGTCGGCCAGGCTGGTCTCAAACACCTGACCTCAAGTGATCCTCCCGCTTCAGCCTCCCAAAGTGCTGGGATTACAGGCATAAGCTACTGTGCCTTTCCGTTACATTTAGTTTCTTGAGGAAGTAAAAAGGATTCGTTCTTTAAATCCCTTACTCTGACTTATCTTTTCACCTTATCCTTGGAAAGAGCACCTTCCCTTTAAGTAATCCAAGCAGAATTGCCTTGATTAGACTCATCTGTGGGTCACTTGGTCATTATGCAGCATCCAGAGAATATCAGTGTGGGTCAGCGTTTGTGAAGAAAGTGTAGGAGAGGTAAGAGAATGCAATAGTAAAGTATACTTCAAAATAAAAGCATAAAAAGTCTACAGAATATGAGTGCAATAAAACCTCTGTAGCACCATGGAGCTGTCTCTTGAATAAAGTGTAAGGAGGACCTAGGCTTAAGGTGTGGATGAGAGTGGATGAATGTGTTCTTCTGATCTTTCATGGTGAGAGCCTGTGTTAGCCTGGTAGATGAATTAGGTTGGGAGAGAAGTATAAAATATTCATTGCTTCTCTTTCCAATGATAATATTTAAAATGCACCCATCGATGTACTGTGGTTTAATATTATAAATATTCTGTAGTGTGCAATTCTATAGACTACAGTGAAATAACTGTGCCATTTTGATTAGAGTCCCTTTGAAAAACAAAAGTGTTCATCTTTAATCATGTTAAGCTTCTTACCTGAGGAAAATCCCAGAGTATTACAGTATATCATTTCTTCTCTTAGCATCCCACAGCCTCTTCTAGCAAACAATAAATGCATAGTTCTGTATCTGCATGAGGTTGGGCCATAAACTCCTGCTTAGTATTCAAATGGAAAGTTGCCCTTTTAAGATTAGCTAGATCTGTCAAACCAAGATATGATTCTCTAACATTTAAAGATCTCGACATTTTCCACCTCCAGAGTACAAGCCTTTTAGCTGTTAGCTCTCTGTCTTAAGAACTATTTTTGAATTTTATTTAGAGGTAGCCTGTCTCAGTGAACTTCCAATTTAACTGTTTTGGGTCTGGACTAATATTGGCATTGTTACTTACATGAAATCCACAGATACTAAGACATAGATGATATCTGAGATATTTAGGTACTGTTTCTTTATGACAGTCTGCATGGTTTTCACCCTTAATCATTTTAAACATTACCAGGTGATTTCTGAAACATGTTTCATGTAGATTTAGATATTTACTAAATTTCAACACGGCCTCTTAAGTTGAGCCTATGCTTTCATATACTTACATATATATGTATCCTTTTCATTCAAGGAAGATTGAATTTGAATTATCTTCCATGAATTTTAGACATATTAAAATACCACCTGAATTGATAGTATCACTAATCATTTTATGAGTTCAAAGAACTCTTTCTTGTCCCGTGCATAACTGTATGCTTGTATTACCATTTGCCTGATTGATCTTCCTCTAAATATATGTGATGGGGGAGATTTTGAGTGAAGTAGAAGCCAGGATAAAGGTGAGCTTTTCCTAATGTGATTGTGTGGATAGCAGACATCTCTGACTTCCTGGCGCTGACCTTCCTTATACTGATGCAGGACCCAGTGGTCTATGCTTTTAGTACATTTCCTTCCATCTCCCTTTTTCTCTTCTTTTATTGTGCTCACTTTATTTTTTTCCTTATTCTATAAGGAATTCCTTATTTCCTTATTTATTTCCTTATTATTTATGTGCTCTCAGTCAGACAAGCAGTGCTCCCCAGACTCTGTGGCTAAATCAATTTGACTTTTGCCTTTAAATACTTGTTAAATTTTAATTACCATATTAATAGAAACTGATTTTTGGATAGAAAATAATCATTTTATTTACGATAATGTACAAGGTTTTTTTCCTGCATCTGCCTAATGATAAAATTTATTTTTATAAGCAACATTTGCTTATTTTACTTAAAAAACTCCTATAGTGATGAATAAGTGAATAGATACGGATTTATTTGTACCTTAGGAATAAGGAATCCTGAAAGCATCATATAAAATTAAGAATTATGTCCCCAGTGAAGGAAAAGTAATGTTGGAATTAATAAAATTCAATTATGCAATAGTTACAATTGAAGAATTCTCAATATTTTAAAGCCTTGCATAGAATAAAGTTAACGTTATATTCTTATAAATTATGCAGGTGAAATACAAAGAAGAGATTAAACATGCAACAGCCATTTCTGATCCTCCAGAACTAAAGAGAGTTAAAGAAAACCAGAAGAACATCAGCAATGTGATCATATTTCTTAAGTATTTTTTAAAAATTTTATTGTATATCAACACGTAATGACAGCATAAAACCTGTACAGGTCAAATGCCATCACAATGAACCTCATTGCGAGAGGATCGGTTCCTTAAAAGTGGAGCTAGCATTTTACACATCTGTATGCCCTCCATGACACCTAGCCTAATGCCTTGTGTCAGCATTTATTTATTAAAGACACATATTATTCAGACATACAGAGTGGAATCATAGACATTGGAGACTCCAAAAGGTAGGAGGGTGAGAGCAGGATGAGAGGTGAAATATTGTTGGGTACAATGTACACTATCTAGGGTAATGGTTACACTAAAAGCCCAGACATCGCCACTATGCAATATGTCTATGTAACACAACTGTTCTTGTACCTTTGAATCTATAATAATTAAAAAGGAATGAAACCTATTTTCAGAAACATATATTGATATTTTCTTTTTTGTTTTGTCATTTATTTTGTTTTGTAGACATATATACGTATCTATAGTCTCTATATATCTATATATCTATAGTCTCTATATATCTATATATAGCCTATATTAGATAGTCTGTATATCTCTATATAGTCTATATTAGTTTATATATAGTCTATATTAGATAGTCTGTATATATCTCTATATAGTCTTTCTATATCTAGTTAGACTACTACCTATCTATATAGACATATGGACTATCTATATATTAGTCTACAAAGCAAAACAAATCACAAAAAAGAACATTTTCTATTTCTTTTATCTATACCTATTTCTGAAAATAGGTATAGATATCTATGAATATATATATTTATGAAAATAGGTATAGATATCTATCTATAGATAGACCTATAGATAGATAGATAGATAACATATATATATATTAGTCTACAAAACAAAACAAGTGACAAAACTAAACATGAAATGTGTTATTGAATGTCTTCTCTGTTCTTGTTCTTGGGGGATTTTAAAGATGAGAGGTATGCCCTGAGATTAGGGGTCGTGGGCATCCTCAAGGTTTGTAGGAGAAACAGAGATAGGAGTATATAGCTATGTTCACTGTTTAAGTTCCATTACAATAACTGTTATTTGTTGGGTGCTTACTATGCATTTTGGGTACTTTACATTGCAATATCTCATTTAATCATAAGTAATAATGCCTCTTGCAAAGTGCTGTGCAAACGCAGAAGGACGGCTATGCAGTGGCAGAGACAAAGAGCCTTGGGGAAGGGGTAACGTTGGAGTTAGATCTTGAAAAGGTAATAAAGGTTTAGAGCTGAGTTTTGTGAGGAAAGGCATTCCTGGCAGAGCAAACCAAATATGTTCAAGATCCAAGGCTTGTTCCAGGATTCAAGAAGAGGGTTTAGTGTGATGAGTACTTGGGGTGAAAGATGGCAGGAGCGTATGCTGGAGAGGGAAGTTGAGATACAGATCACAAAAAGGTAGTATGGATTCCCACAGTGTCTCTAAAGTGTGGTTCATATACCATTATGGCATTCCGGTAGATATTATGTGGCTTACTGACAATCTTAATGTTTAAGAGCAGTTGACTTCGTGATTAAATTGTTCTAATGTTTACCTTCTTCCAAAAGAAGGGTGACTAGTTTTCAATTGATGGTAGAAATATAACAATCTCTTAGAAATAACTTTATTTGAAAATAAACAGTGAATTAATTTAATGAAAAAGTATAACATTGTAGGTGTTATTTGTAGTATTTATCTGGTATGACATAGAGAAAGGGGCATGCAAATGGCAGAAATTTGGGAAATTTGGATAACACTCAAGTGGTGGAAAAGAACATGAACCCTGGATCCTGGACTGTTGGATGATTTGATCCTAACTCCAGATCTTACTTGTTGTATAATTGTTGTAAGCCATTCACCTCTTGAAACCTAAATTTCCTCTATATAAAGCAAGGATAAGAGTATTGAAGAGATATTGCTTGTGAAGCACACAGCATGTTTGTGAAGGGATGAATACAAGATGTGAAGATTCTATCAAACTTATGCACCCAAACTTACATCCACTAGAAATTGGCAGTAAGAGTTTCTCTTTGTCAATAATGTGAATTTACTATTCAGATGTAACCCCTTTGAGCTTTAGCCAGAGTGATTTCTTTCAAGCTTGATACAGATTAAACTGAAACATTCCTCCCTTTAGCTCAATCACCCGGTCACAAGAATCTGCGTAACATCTCAAACTACATACCATGGCACACAGAAAGTTACATATCGAGGAAAGAGGCCAGAGGAACCTTACCCCTTTTCATTTATTTTTTAAACTTATTCAACTTCCCTTCACTCTCATGTTCACTACTAAGAGTATGCATCTTAAGTCTATTTCTTTTTCTTTTCTTTCTTTCTTTTTTATTTTTGTTTTGTTTTTTGAGATAGAGTCTTACTCTGTCACCCAGGCTGGAGTGCAGTGGCGTGATCTCAGTTCACTGCAACCTCTACCTCCTGGGTTCAAGCAATTCTCCTGCCTCAGCCTCCTGAGTAGCTGGGATTACAGATGCAAACCACCATGCCTGGCTCATTTTGTATATTTAGTAGAGATGAGGTTTCACCATGTTGGTCAGGCTGGTCTCGAACTCATGACCTCAGTTGATCCACCTGCCTCGGCCTTCCAAACTGTTAGGATTACAGGCGTGAGCCACCAAACCCGACCTCAAGTCTGTTTCATCAGCAGGCCCTGCAGGTCTTGTGGGGATTTCTTGTAAAAGAAAATTCCCTAACCTGAGCTTTAAAGTCTAAAAAGACACTAAAACTGTCCCTGTGAAGTTTCTTCTAATGAGATCTTAACCTCCAGCTCTACTTTTGTCTGCCAAAAGTTCATTTGCCATTCTGATTTTCTCTATTGATGCTCATTTATTTTGGGAGGTGTTGTGGAATTGTTGGGAAAGATGACCACAAACAATGGAGTTAGATCCCCAGCTAAGAAAAACACCTCTGTGCATTAAGTCAGGAAAATTTCTATAATGCTAGGTCAGAGATGGGGCTTCCAATGTTAGAACGGCATAGAGAAGAACCTTTGAAGTTCAAGGTTTCTTTATACAGTAATAGTCTATCACTAAAGTTCAGGTACAGGATTTTGTTACTCTCCTTCCCAATGATAAGAATGTAGAATTATTATTTTTAAATATAAAATGGCAATTTGATAAATGTTGCTTTAGTGCTATGAAGAAATGAATTCATAGAATTCATTCTTACTGATGAGGGGATTATTCATTATTACTGATAAGATCAAACTCAGAGAGGCCACCAATAAATAATATAATCTGAAGGAAAACAACAAAAAGTGTGACTTAAAACATTTGATAAGGGTTGGGTGTGGTGGCTCACACCTGTAATCCCAGCACTTTGGGAGGCCGAGTCGGGAGGATCGCTGGAGCTTGGGAGGTTGAGGCTGCAGTGAGCTGTGATGACGCCACTGCACTCCAGCCTGGACAACGGAGCAAGACCTTGTCTCAAAAATAAAACAACAACAACAACAACAAAACCACTTGACAAGGAAAAGACTGGCATCGCCAAGAAGATAAAATCTATAAGCAATACATATTTCACTATGAAATCCTGATGATGATCTTATTAATGAATGTTCTGTAGCCATGTGACATTTAAAAAAAATCTGTTGCAATGTTTTGGGACGTATTTATTTCCCATAATCTCAAACTGTCTTGCACCTTGTCTCTCAGCTCCAGTATAAAGAGCAAAACTACAAGGCCACTCCGGTAAGCATGACCCCGGAGATAGAGAGAGTGAGGCGAAACCAGGAGCAGCTGAGTGCGGCAAGTCGTTTCTGTTTCCTTTTATATTTTCTCAAACATAACATATTTTTATTTAAAAATATGCCCTTTGGAAGGCCATTATCCTTAGCAAACTAACACAGGAACGTAAAACCAAATACTGCATAATAATGAGAGCTAAATGATGAGAATACATGGACACATAGAGGGGAATAACAGACACCGGAGCCTGTTGGACGGGAGAGGATGGGAGGAGGGAGAGGATCCGGAAAAGTAACTGTTGAGTACTGGGCTTAATGCCGGGGTGATGAAGTCATCTGTACAACAAACTCCCATAACACAAGTTCACCTGTGTAACAAACCTGCACATGTACCGCTGAACTTAAAAGTTTTAAAAGAAAATGAATTTGAGCAACATGCAATTATATGGATGAATCATATCATTATAACATGAAAAAGTGAATATGTACATGCAGCATTAATTCTTTTGTAAAATTTAACAACTGCAATAATAACGATGATGATAAACGGAATATCTCCAGATTTAATAAAACTATCTAAAAATTTAAAAAGGAAAAGTTTTACACCCTCTGCATTTTTGGATGTTCCTTTTCACATTTCCTTGTTGAAGGGCATGAACTGCGTGTCCAGGAAATTTGGGACTGTGTTGCTGTACCTTAGCTGTGTTTGCTTATTCAAGAGATCTTCATTAAGTACCCAAATGTACTGGGCATTGTCCTGGTCACCCAGACACAAAGATGGGTAAGACCCACTTTCTATCCTCAAGGACCTCATAGTTCAGTTGGTAAATCTCTTTAAAAAAATGCAGTTAATGGAGAATACTGGATCTGATGTCAATATGAAAAGAAAAATATATATATATTGGAACAGGGCAAAAGAAGACCTGGCTTGACTGGCATTCTAAGACATAGTATCAAGTCAAAGAGCCTTATAAATGGAAAACATTTTTCAGTCATTCAATAGTCTGTTGTGAATAAAGCAAAAATAGTTAACAAGGCAGCGCTACTCTGTGCTGGGCCCTGTACTAATGTTCTATGTAAACCCATGAGGTCAGCACTGTTTGTTTCTCTGGTTGGTAGATGTGGGAAACTGAGTCTTGGGGAGGTCAGAGGACATGCTGGCCTCCCACCCCCAGCCCCCCCACCCAGCTAGTAAAGGCAGAGCTGAGATTGGAACATATTGTTGAACTTTCACCAATACAAACAAAAGCCTTCTTTTTCCAAAACAAGTACCTTTGAAAGACTTCAAAATGTAAGAGTAGGTTCTCCTGGGTGGAGATAATGAGGCTCAACACTGTTTATCCTTATAATATCCCTGGGAGGTGGTAGGAGTCAGAGAGCTTTAGCTTCTATTGAAGGGAGAAGCCCCACGGTCAGAAGACAGTAAAAAGCCTTCTAGGGTGACAGGGAATGGACTTCACAAGAGTTCTCTTGTAATGACTTCATTCTGGCGTTTCTTTTAAAGCATGTTGCCTTATGATTCCATTACTTTTATTTGTGGAATTTATGGTTAATTTTGATATTGAAGAGGAAAGCATTTATTGAAGACATATTTAAACAGTACCAGCAACAACTTGTGCTTGCTAAATCAGACCCATCGGAATGTGGGCGTATATGTAAGCGTGAAGGTTGATGTAATCAACTGTGGAAAAAAATGTGTAAAAAGATGGTGCTAATTTTGAGCCTTGTCCTTTGTGGTATTTCAGTGGAGCCCATTGTGCTATCTGTTAAAGTTCTTATTTATCCTTCTTAGGTAAAATATAAGGGAGAACTTCAACGGGGAACTGCAATTTCTGATCCACCAGAGCTGAAGAGGGCAAAAGAAAACCAGAAAAACATCAGCAATGTGTGATCATCTTAGTAACTTTTTTCTTACACTATCAAATGCATTGTCCACGTGTGAATGAAGGGATTGTATTTATAGAATTTTCATAACCTTGAGCTGATGTCCTGTTCTCATTTGACTAACAACTTATTTGAAAGATTTCGGGGACTTTGGTATTGTGGGTACAGTCAGGTGTTCCCCACCTCAGGGTTCCCAGTGACTCATCAGGATGACTTTTTTCTTTTTGTTTTTTTGAGACAGGGTCTTGCTCTGTCACCCAGACTGGAATGCAGTGGCACAATCTTGACTCACTGCAACCTTTGCCTTCTGGGTTCAAGTGATCCTCCCAGCTCAACCTCCCAAGCAGCTGGGATTACAGGCACATGCTGCCACACCTGGCTAATTTTTGTATTTTTTGTAGAGACGGGGTTTGGGCTGGTCTCAAACTCCTGAGCTCATGCAATCCGGCCACCTTGGCCTCCCAAAGTGCTGGGATTACAGATGTGTGCCACCGGGCCTGGGTGACTTTTTTTGACAGGTTGTTGTGTATCCCTTCTATCTTGTCATCTAGCTGATGGGTGCTATGGTCTCCTCAAGTCCCACAGTCGTAGCTTCTGGCATCCTGGCCCTACAAACAAACATTTTCCCTCCCTTTTCTACCAGCATGTGTTCCTGTTCTTGCGCTTCCTCCGAGCCCCACTTTCCACTTCCCACAATCATGACTCCATTTTTGGGCAAAGTCTAGGAAGAAATGATAATGTGTGCATGGCTGAATAGGTTATATTGGACAGGACCATTTTGGGGGCACTTAATAAGGGGCTGGCAGTTTTTACCTAGACACCAACTTGTGGCCTGCTCCGATTCCCTGTTGTTGAAATAATTCACGGATGCAGTTCAAGAAGAAAGTCCTCTTTTACAGTCATTAACATATAGATTGGGTTCTTTGGAAGAGGAAACTTGGAAATCTATTACGTTCAAAGAAATCTTTTATTCTTCACACCTTTAAAGTCATTTTACCAGTTTATAATGCAAAGGCAGGTGATTGATACTTTTCCTAACAACTATATTTTAGAGAAGTAGACGCTCATCTTTCCCCCATATATTTAGAGTCATACTTGATGTGACTCCATTATTCTCAAAAAGGAACATGGTTATTTAGACAAGGAGTGGACCAGTGAGAAGCATGCTGGCTTTTTAAAGGATGCCCACAGTCACCTATTTAAACACATCTTTACAAAAATTCTGCCGCAGTTAATTCCTAAGAAACCACGACCATGTAGTACCAGTCTACGGTGAATACCTTTAAGTAATCTCCATGAAGACATTTATTCTCATTTCCTTTTGTGGTTAAATATTTATTACAGCTTTACGGATGGTATGCCTATGTATTCGAGTACATCCACAGTGATTTGGACACATGTACTCTCTTATGGGATGAAATGAAATAGATTGATTTAAGATGCCAGCATTTTAAATACAACTCAACCTCTGAAAATATTTTTTGTAGTTTCCTACAAAACTTCCCTGACTAACTCATTAAAATAAATACTGTGAGCCAGGCACTGTGGCTCAGGATTGTCATCCCAGCACTTTGGGAGGCTGAGGTGGGTGGATCACTTGAGCCCAGGAGTTTCAGGTCAGCTTGGACAACATGGCAAAACTCAATCTCTACAAAAATACAAAAATTAGCCAGGCATGGTGGCAGGTGCCTGTAATCCCAGCTACCTGGGAGGCTGAGGTGGGAGGATTGCCTGAGCCTGGGAGATCGAGGCTGTGGTGAGCAAAGATTGTACCACTGCACTTCAGCCTGGGTGACAGAGCAAGACCCTGTCTTAAATAAATAAATAAGTCTCTTTGTTGAATTGATTCATAGTATTCTATTTTTTGTTCTCTGAAATGATAGGTTTATTACAGAGGTCAGCTGGGAAGAGCTACCACTTTAAGTGTAACTCCTGAAATGGAAAGAGTGAAGAAGAATCAAGAAAATATTAGCTCGGCAAGTGGTTTTCTTCATTTTAGACTATCACAAAGGATGTGTCTTTTATTATTTACTTGCGGTCCTCCTTTGCTTGTGAAAATAAAACTTATTTTCAAGAAACATTTGTGATGTGTCCAATAAGTACATGTGTTATTTCAGATGACTTCCAAAAGCTGCCACTGCAAACATTTACATTATTTTGCAACTCTTTGTTATTTCCAGATGTGACCAACAGTTACATTCAAAGCTTAGGTTAAAATTATATTCATTTAAACAACGATTCATGATATGTTAGCCGTGTCTTTGAAGGTGGTAAAGCCTTTGATGTGTGCGTTAAATAATTGTCATTTTCCTGAAATATTTCATTGAACATGGATTGTTAAATGCTGTCTGCAAAACAAAATAGGAGATGGATCATTACCCCCACTAAAGACTTACAGAAAAGAATCCTTAAATACAGTTAACGTAGAATTCAGTTGCTCACCAAAGTCCAGTGGTGTACATGAGTATCTTATCTGAATATTGTGCTTCCTCTTAGTGAATATCAGGGCTTCAATTCTGAATTGTACATAATGCCCTCAGGTCCACAGTAAGTGGTATCCATATCTTACACCTAATCAGTTTCATAAATGGCGGTGTTCTGATGGGCAGTTGTGAAGAACACAGGCCCTTTTCTTAGCATACCCTGAATAGCTGTTTGCCTGAGAATCAGCATTTAGGCTTTGCAATTTACAGCTTCCTAGTGACATTTCTGTCCAGAGATGCTGTGTGTATTTAACATAAATTACCTTTAAGTTGTGGCTGCTTAGAAGAACAACTAAATTTGTTCCTCATTGTTTCTTATTCCCTAAGCAGAGAAAAAAATAAAAAGAAATAGAGTAGCTTGTATGCATTTTTTAACACTCTTATGGTAGAAAATTGGGAAATTTAGAAACAAAATAACTTTGGGTTCTATTTAATAGTTTTGGATTTTCTCTGTTTAACTTAAATATGATAACCAGTTGTGTGTGTGTGTGTGTGTGTGTATGTGTGTATGTGTGTGTTTGAGACACAGTCTCTGTTGCCCGGGCTGGAATGCAATAGCACAATCATAGCTCATTGCAGCTTTGAACTCCTGGGCTCAAGCAGCTGTCTTGTCTTAACCTCTCAAGTAGCTGGGACTACAGGCACACGCCCAACTAATTTTTTTTTTTTTTTAATTTTTACCTGTAGAGATGGGGGGTTTCACTGTGCTGCCCAGCCTAGTCTCAAATCCCAGGCCTCAAGTCATCCTCCCACCTTAGCTTTCCAAAGTGCTGTGATTACAGATACGAGTCCTCGGGCTTGCGCAGGTTTACAGACTAGATAGATAGTTACTATTGGTCATTCACACATTTGTTTAGAGTTGATAGATTTAGGTCATTTAGCAGTAGGCGGTGGAGGAGATCTTTGATTGTAAAATTTTAGGTTGCTATTCTAGAACAAAATTTAATTCACTGAAATAGTTACCTGGAAAATAATTTCAAGTATGTTGCATATGTTTCACTCATTTGTAAAGCTTAAAAATGTTACATCATGTGTTTTCTTATCATTGTCTTATGCCTACTATTTACTTTGCAGGTAAAATATACCCAGGACCATAAACAGATGAAAGGTAGACCAAGTCTGATTTTAGATACACCTGCTATGAGACATGTTAAAGAAGCACAAAATCATATTTCAATGGTAGGGTCCAACCAGATCATTCTTAAAACATGCTAAGGAATGGGCGGATCCAGTGCACGGATGGCATTACTTCACTATTAATCCGATAACTAACAAAGCATGGAAATGTGGTTGGCTTGTCTTTTGAGGGAGGGGCATTTCTAATCACACTGAAATGCAGTGGAAACATTTAGTCTAATAAAATGATTTTTCTCAGTGACTTTTTCTGGTGTGTCTTTATTTCTAACGTGACTACTGTAAACTCATAGTGTGAAAGATATTTGTGTAGACTTCTTTCCAATTAATTCTAAGACAAAATTTGGTCTGTTTGCCTGTCATAAAGGATATGAAAAGAAGTGTGTTTTTAAAGCTGTGTTTTTAAAAATGTGTGTTTTAAAAATTATATTATCAGATGTAATTTACCTACCATAAAGTTTGCCCATTTAAAGTGTTCAATTCAATGGTTTCTAGTATAATTTACAGTTACACAACTATCTCCTGGACCTAATTTCAGGACATAAAAAAAGTATATTTTGAAGTATAAGTTTTTGTAATTATATTAAAAGTGGTATATATTGTTACCTATAAAATTTCAAACTGATTTTAAATAATGCCATTTTCATGAATGATTGCCTGGAAATAGATATCACTTTATTGCATACTGAAGTTGAAGAGATAGGAAATTTAATTTATATTTAAATTAGTATATTTTAGGAAGTAACCAGGATTTGAGAATATGTATTTTTACAAGCTCTCATTAATAATATATATATAGTTTTATATATAATTTAAAATAGATATGAGCTATAATGATTAAAAACTTTGTGAAAATATCAGCACTTGATTTCTGATGCTAAGAAACTGAAGTTCCAGACTTTAGTTTTGGAGTATTTGGAAAAGATACATACATGTAGACAATCTGCACGCAGCCAGTGCAGTGTACACCTGTCATTTAATAAAAATGTTGTGAAAGAGGTAACTATCCGCAAAATTCAGTATGATGATTTTTCCTTTTTCAGGTAAAATACCATGAAGATTTTGAAAAAACAAAGGGGAGAGGCTTTACTCCCGTCGTGGACGATCCTGTGACAGAGAGAGTGAGGAAGAACACCCAGGTGGTCAGCGATGCTGCCTATAAAGGGGTCCACCCTCACATCGTGGAGATGGACAGGAGACCTGGAATCATTGTTGGTAAGCTGACGGCGTTTGTCGGCCGGTGTGTGTGGTCGAAAAGATCATGCTTGCTCTAGCTTCAGAATTACCCTCTTGAGTCATCTGACTCCTCATCACATGTTGGTTGTGGTACCCAATTTAAAATGGACCGCAGGTAAAGTATTATTTTTGTACGATGTGGAATGGGATTTCTGGCATTCACCTGGTATCATCTCAAGTCTTTTCTATTATTGGAAGCTCTGTCTTTAATACCTTGCTAATTTTAAGAATGTTCCTCCTTGTATCACACACCAGGGCCTGTTGTGAGGTGGGGGGAGGGGGGAGGGATAGCATTAGGAGATACACCTAATGTAAATGACGAGTTAAGGGTGCAGCACACCAACGTGGCACATGTATACGTATGTAACAAACCTGCATGTTGTGCACATGTACCCTAGAACTTCAAGTATAATAATAATAAAAAAAAGAATGTTCCTCCTTGTTAAGCAAAGAAGCAGCAGAGATATGAGTGATCACAATGGTTGAACAATTACTTTGTTTTTCTTTAAAAAGAAAAACAAAATAATTGTTTTTCTGCTTGGTTGACGTGTTGTTCTGTTGACCTCATGTGCATAAGTGGCAGAAATAACCATATTGCGTTTAGGTCCTTTTATCAAAAACAGACACGCCATGGGCGTTCTGATGGTACTCCATAATAGTAATAGCTCATTTTAAAAATATTATTTCTGGACTGGAATAGTTGAGAGCCATCTGAAAGTCTTGCAATTAAGAGAGCAAACTTTTATTCCTGCTATCTGTTCCTTATAGTCAGGAGAAATCCTAGAAGGATATTTGTTGAATGGTGGCTGAGATATCAGAAAAGATCATACTGAAGTATAAGGCAGGGCTAGGAAGGATGATTATTGATTTTTCAGTCTGTATCAACAACTGAAGACTATTGTCTCCTTCAGAGCAGTTAACCTCTGAATTATGTAGTTACGTAGCTTAAAGAATATTTTTGGTATATGCCACTCAGTAATATCAGTGTTAGGTTTTCTTCATCTTCAAAAGTAGGAGCTTATTTTTTGGTACTAGTGAAAGGCCATTTAGAGATAAGCTAAATTTGACAGGGTAATGTCTTTACAAAACCAGGGTGCTAAAGTCAGAGCAGCACTAAGTAACTTGGATGATTATACTAAAGTGACTCTGGAAGTATTTTCTGAAGAAGGATTCCAAACATGTTTGTAGGCAATTGATAGCTTTGCTGATCTGCCTGAGTTGATTACTTAAAAGGATCACATTAAGTTGGATGGATGAGTTGTGATGTTTTCATTCAATGTGACACCAAATTAGAGTTTCATTGCTTTGTGCTAAAGGGATGGAACTATCTTAAGGGATAGTGCAGGGGTTCTGATTTATCTCACTTAGGGTGGAACTGCTAAAGTCTGTACAGCTTACTTCCAGGCCCTGCACACATCAGAGGTCAGGAATGATGGTGAGGTCGTTGCTAAAAACCATGAAACTGTCTAGACCGTGGGCTCTCAGAATTCAGTACTCAAAACCATTGAGGTTGAAATTATGATTGTTTTATAAAATATAAGATGTATGACTCTAAGTTATTTACTTACTTGGCAATCCAGAAGTCAGTTTATTTGTTCTTATTGGGAAGAACTGTTTTCCATTGAAATTTCCATAATTGGCCAACATTAAACTTTCCAATGAGCCAGCTTCTGTATCAGGCATGAAAATACACGTTTAGAGATTTTCTGAGTAATTCAGATTAAGCCAATTTGTGCTGCTTCTATTTTTGTTGGAGGCTCTGCTACTTCTTACGAGCTGTGTAACCTTGGCCAAGCTACTCAATTTCTCTGTGCCTCAGTTTCCTCATCTACAAAATGAGGATAATATGTATGAAACTTAAATTAATTAGGTGTTAAATGAGAAGAGTGCCTGGCATATGGTCAGCACTACATAATATTAATTAAAAACAGACAAGCAAATTTCCAGTTCCATTTTACAAATTAATTGTTTTTGCTGTAGCCCCATTTCTGCCGTATGTCTATAACTAGGTTTTTCTTTTCCAGTTGTTGGTACAGCTGTAAACAGCTTATTTTAGGATCTGATGCCCTTTTGTTGGAGAGACTGGTGAATTCAGAAGTTATTAAAATAAGAGGAGAATAAAGTGGTTTGCACAGTCTGATCACTGACTATGGCAGGGATCCATTGACAGCAGGAAGCTGATATTATTTCTCTTTTCATTCATCATATTTCCTTGCTGTGTGCCTTGCTTATAACACTTTTTAAATAAGTGTATCTAATAAGATATGCATTCCCTAAGATACACTTAGCTTGCACTCACAGACTCAGAATGAAAACTAGGCTTGCCACCATTCCACATTTTAAATATTCATTTCTGTTATAGAAAGGGACTTTTTTTTTGTTTGTTTTGTTTTTTAAACATAAACTTCTCAATTGTTTCCTATGAATTACTCACATGTCCTGAATCAGAAACTATAATCAAACATTTTGCTTGTTTCAGCCTGTGGAGAGCAAGAGTGACTGGGGATTCAGGGGTGCTGTGAGGGGATGCATATAGCTGCCCCATGTGCTCCTGTGTTGTGTGATGGGTCACAGGTACTTCAGCAAGGTCTGATAGGGCAGCTCAATGAATAGAGCAGGCAACTTCAATCTGATTACAAAGATTTCTTAACAGATACTTGTGAAAGCAAGTATTTTTTCATTCTCTTCTGAAGTCAGCAGCACTGTGAGTTTGTCTGTTACATGTTTGCTTCTTATATCTATTCCTTTGCAGACTTTGTCTTGACTCTTTTGGGTACTGGCTTTTTTTTTTTTTTTTCCTTTTTTAAATTCCTTCTTGATGAGTGTTGATTTCTTCCTTTTGGCAAAAGACCTCAAAGTTTGGCGCACAGATCCTGGCTCCATCTTCGACCTTGATCCCCTGGAAGACAATATTCAGTCTAGAAGTCTCCATATGCTCTCTGGTATTACTCACTTTTTAGTTCATCCCATTTATGTGGTTTTGTCCCAAAAGTGAACCACTGTGAACTGTAGAGGTTCATTGTACTGTGTAATGTAAATTTTAAAGCTGAGAATTTGGCAAACCAAAAAAATGCTATGCTACTTTTAAATACAATTAGTCATTTATGAAAAGAAAACTTTTTAATATATCTTAATTAGTCTGTCCTAGATTCATTTAAATAAGCTTTTTATTAGTAAGAATGCTTTTATATTATTTCTGGGTTTACAAATACAGTTATTTGGATTGCACTAAAGTGCTGAGACAAAAGGAGGTTTGTTTCATGAAATACATTGTTATAATTTTTTAAAGGTAGATTTAAAGAATTATATATAGAACAGTAGAAAGGTTTTTTACAGGGCATCATAGATGTCTTAAAATAAATTTTCAAGTATCTTTAAAATTTTCTTTGACATTTTATATAATGTAAAATGAATAGTTTACATGGCAAGCATAGTTGGCTTTTAACTTAGATTGCAAGTTCATAATTAAAGGCAAAAAAATGAATAGTTGGGGTACGAATGATGGCTTGATTTGACATTTCAAATTTTCTCTGACAGTTATGCAGTTATGTTAAACAATAGATAGCTATGTCATTTAGATCTTGCTCTAACCCCTGATTTCTACTCTATATTTAATTTTTGATGTGAATAGAATTGAATACCCAAGGCAAAGCAGGAATTCTAGTACTTTTATAGTCACTTTCATTCATATAGTTAGCCAAACAGTGTCACTTGATTTTCTAAAAATAAAGAAAAGGCAACACATACTATATATCTGGTGATAGTTTAAAGGAATTATTGAAAACCAGGCATTACAATTAACAAAAATTTATTAATTTACCAATGTTTTCTTTGTCCTTGTCAATTTCCTATCCCTTACCCGTCCTTTAAAATTGAGACTTAAAAGAGCATAAAACGATGGTTAAGTTATTCATGTAGTTGATGCAATGCATGCTGAAGTTTGGGAATAGGTGCCTAGCGCTGAGATTTTGAGTTATTCTTTACTAAGAGATGGTTTTTCTTCTCTGTTAAGCTTTTAAGTAATTTTTTGTTGATTTTGTTTTTCGAGTCACTTAATCACACGTGTAAATATTTTCCCTCCAATATAGAAAAGGCGAGTCACTATAGGCGACACTGGTCTCGATCCCATTCCAGCAGTACTTTCGGTACAGGTCTCGGAGACGACAGGTCAGAAATCTCCGAGATTTACCCTAGCTTTTCATGCTGCAGTGAGGTAACAAGACCGTCTGATGAAGGAGGTATCAAACATTCACTGCTTACAAAGAAAATCGATTCATTTTTTAAGTGTGTCACAAGAGTGTCTTTAAAATTCTTTTCACTTTTGCATGAACATCTATCCTGGCTGTATTTGAGAATTTAAAATTAAGTTCAGAAAGTTAATAGTCTTTTTTTTTTTTTAAAGAAAAAACCCTACTAATTTGCATTTTTGCATGTTATTTTCCCCCCGTCTTACTTCACTATTATCGCAGCAATGGATTTGTAATGACAAAAGGGTCTTGAGACTTGCTGCTTGAGTCTGTTTCACAGGAGTTATATGTGATAAATATACACACTACACAGTCATAGGAGAAACTTGAGTTCTGCATAGTTTTTATATGATTTCCATTAAGGAAAAAAATCAATCTTACAGTAATATTGGGGTACCTCAGAGGTTATAATGAATGTGTATATTTTAAATATTAATATAAACTTGCAGACAGAGTTAGACCTTGCCAAAAGAAATTGGGCATAATACTTGGGATATGAGAGGGTTTTTTTTTTTTTTTAAATGAGAAATACTATTGATTGTTAATAATCTTGTCACTATTTTATATACCCACTCTTTTCCTGTATCTTCTGTTTTCTGTATCCAGGCTGATGGATTAAGCCTAGAACTTCAATGAATTTCTTTAGGGTATTAAACTAATTTTACTTATAAATCTGTTTTTAAAGGTTAAGACTAAAATGTTTCCTCACCTCATTGCAGTTATATTTTAGTACAGCAAGGAGGGGGAAAGGACTGAAGCATATGAGAACAAAAGCAATACTGAATTTCCCTTTCAACTCAAAGGCCATATTGTTGAAATCCCAAAGGTAGGAAATTTTGAGGTTGAGCAACTTAACACCTTGGTGGGTAAAAAGTAATGTGACTGAGGAAATGACCAAGCTGCGAAAGATTGTATAATTGTGTAATTAGTTTTTCTGCACTCATTACAGTGAAACACTAATGGGAATAAAATTTATTATATTCTATACATCTTGAATTGTAAAACTGGACTGACCTTATTTTGGTAGAAATTTATTAAAGGTCTCCTTTTTGTGTAACTAATGAAATCATTATAAACTGGTTGTTTTATTGTGGGTAAAAATACATGAGAAAATCTCCCCTTTTTGTGTCTGTCTGAATTGCTAATGAAGGGTTCAGTAACTTCTGATTACTTTTTTGATAGAGTCTTGCTCTGTTGCCCAGGCTGGAGTGCAGTGGCACAATCTCAGCTCACTGCAGCCTTCACCTCCTGGGTTCAAGTGATTCTTGTGCCTCAGCCGCCTGAGTAGGTGGGTCTACAGGTGTGTGCCACCACACCTAGCTAATTTTTGTATTTTTTATAGAGACGGGGGTCTCGCAATGTTGTCCATGCTGGTCTGGAACTCCTGACCTCAAGTGATCCACCCACCTCAGCCTCCCAAGTGCGGGGATCAGAGGCGTGAGCCACTGTACCTGACCTCTGATTACTTTTTTTGGACGTGGGGTCACTGATTTATGCCCTCAGTGTCCTTCCTGGTTCTGTAGATGCAGAATAATATTGATATTTAAAGAGATAAATAAAACCCAAAGCAAATACAAGAACTAATGTTGATCAACCTTATTTAATGTTACTCAGTTCAGCATACTGGAATTGATGTCTCTCCCAAAGGCAATGTACCAGAGAGTCTTTGTTTCAAGAATGACCCTTTACTTCATGTCTATCCTCCTCAGTCCATCATTCATTCATTTAGTCACCAAATGTTTACTGAGTGCTGTTTGTGCACTGGCCAAGAGCTTAGATCTGGCAATGCACACAGCAGTGAGCAAAAGAAACATGCATCCGCTGTAAGGGGCTTAGAGGCTGGTGGGGGGACCTTGACATTTAGCAGACACTTAAACAAGTAATACATAATGAAGAGCAGAATCAGGCCTGTGACGGGGTGGAATGAGGGCTACAATAACAGCGCAGCTGCATCTGGCCTTGATGTCAGGGAAACCTTCCTTGGGGAGGGGATATTTGAGTAGAGATGTGAATGCTGATGGACGTTAACGAGGCTGTGGGGCTTTGGGAGAAAAATGTTTCTGATAGGACAGACGCATGCATTGGATAGGGCAGAACATTGAGATGTTCAAATGGAAGCATCACACACACAATTAGAGTTTAGAAGAGGAGGCCGCACCCGAGGTCAGTTTGGAAATCATCCATCCAAGTCTATGATTTAGGTCCTAAATGAATCTGTGTAGAGATCAGGAATTCGGAGGGCCTCTGCTTGGATGCCTCTACTCCCTCTGCAGCAGCAGACCATGCCCACGTCACTTGTCTCTTTGCATTCTCTCCTCCAAGGCTGTAAAAACCTGCTGCTGTTAGTTAATCACCTCTTTTTCTTAAGCCCACATTCCTTCTCTTTTCTAATTATTTCTAGCAAGAGGACCCTATCCTAAGCCAAATTGAATGAGAAAATGTCTCATTGGAAGAAGGTATAGGCAAATATTCTTGCATTTATACTAGAATTTGAGTAACACATGGATGGGTAAGAGGGAATAATCATATTTTTTTTTAAAGGAGGAATTTCATACTTCTTCAAAGATGGAGGGAGATTTTGGACAGCAGCGATGACTCAGTGACTCAAATAATGCCTTGTAAGAAAAAGTTGACTTTTTTTTTTTTTTGAGACGGAGTCTCGCTGTGTCACTCAGCCTGGAGTGCAGTAACGTGATCTTGGCTCACTGCAACCTCTGCCTCCCAGGTTCAAACGGTTCTCCTGCGTCAGCCTCCTGAGTAGCTGGGATTACAGGTGCACGCCACCACACTTGGCTAATTTTTGTATTTTTAGTAGAGATGGGGTTTCACCGTGTTGGCCAGGCTGGTCTTGAACTCCAGATCTCAAGTGCTCCACTTGCCTCCGCCTCCCAAAATGCCAGGATTACAGACATGAGCCACTGTGCCTGGCCAAAAAGTTGACTCTTTGGGGTCATTTATAAATTTCTGTTGTTCTCAGTCCTCTGTTTTGAGGCCAAGATGCTCTGTCTTTAGGGACATTGCCTATTTTAAAAAATAGATATTGGGGTATGAAGCAAAAGTCAAGATGTACCAATAAGTTGTATAACATAAACACAAGTGACATGTGCCCACAAAAGAGCCATATGAATTTGAAAAGATTTTAGGATACATTGGAATATGCTAATTTAATTTAAGTGAAGCAAAGCACATTCTACCAATTGGCACCTGATGTCAGTATTCAAATGATTAGTGACATATATCAAACCTTATAAGTTCAATACCACCTCTCTGCTTCCCCCTTCCCTGCAGAAATCTCCTTTCTGAGCTTCCCAGTTTGCTAAGTGACAACTACAACTTTCCAGCTACTTAAACCCTTTGGAGTCATCCCTGACGCTTGTCTTTCACTCATACCCCATGTCTAGTTCATTGGCAAATCTTGTCAGCTGGACCATGACAAAAATATCCAGAATCTGAGTGCTTGGCCCTACCTCCATTGTTGCTACCCTTATGTCAGCCACTGTCATCTCTCATTTGGACAATGATAGTTGCCTCCTGACTGGTTTGCCTGCTTCTGCTCTGGCCACACCATCTTCCACCCACCTCCTGCTCTGATCTGTTCTCCACCTGACATCTGGAATGATCTTCTTGAAACCCTGGTGACATCATGTCACTCTTCTATCATTTTATTCTGAATATAACCCAAATTTTCATCATTGCGTACAAGACCCATATCTGATCTTGGGCCCCGGTCACTGCTCTGAACTAATTTTCTGCCATTCCAAGTATATCTGTCCACTCTCACCATTTCTGGTCCCCTTGCTTTACTCAAACTTTCCAAGAATGCTTCCCCCTAGGGCTTTTGCACACACTGTTCCCCCAGCCTGGAATACTTCTGCCACCCCAGATATTTGCTTAGCTAAGTGCCATTTTTCTTTATGTTTCAGTGGGCCTGCAGCATATTCAGCATTGGAGCCCAAGATTAATTCTGATTCACCCTCTCTTAAGTGGAACGGTGCTTGGTTAGTTTCTGCTAATGTTGAAATAAATCATGTTACAGCTAGAGGCCATAATGGTAGGGTTAGTCATGTGAACCTTTGTGTAGTGATGAGGGTTGATAAAGCAAATGATCCACTTATCAAGAAAACTAACAGGAGGATGATTGCTAGGGGAACTTTGTATGGAATTGTTTGGGCTACTGCTTGAAGTGCGCTAATGAGTACATATTTTGAATTGAATGTCCAGTGCTCAGATGGTACCCTCTCTAACTACTAGAGATAAAATAGCACCCCTTTCCTGACTATCTGTCCCTTTTCTCTGAATTTTTTCCTTCATAGCACCTGGTACCACTTCAGATATTATATATTGATTTATTTATTTGTCTCTCTCTGCATGCCCAACAAGATCAGAGGTACTGGCTGTTTTGTTGACTGTTGTATCTCTAGCTCTTAGAATAGGCATTCAGCAACTATTTGGAGAGGGAATAAAATGGCCAAATGAATATTTTAAAAACAAGGACCACATGCATAAATATATATAAGTATAATTATTTTTATAAAATAAAATTCTCTTGGGGAAGGCTTTCAAGAAGATTCTTACATTTTTATGATGTTTTGATATGTTTCAATGACATTAAAGCATAGCTGAAAAAATACTCTAAAGTGAAAACATTCCCAGTATGTGTGCATATATATATATATATATATATATATTTTTCGTACAGAAGGAAAGAAGTCTCCATGATTTCTCAGTGGCTTTGAAATTTAGGGTCCCCTTTGAAATGTGTGCTCTGCTGGGCTCTGGTGAGAAGGTGCTGATTGACTCTATAAAAAGTGGAGTGATGAAAATCGTTAGTGCTTTTAACAGTAACAGTCAATCATATGCATTTGTTTAAATTCTATCCTAGAAATTGAAAAGAATTTTATAACAATACTAGTTAGGGGTAAGATGAAGAAATGTTTATAAATATTTAGAAACGCTATTTTTCTTCTGGATGTTGTTGATTCTTTTAAATTTATTTACTTTTAAAAACAAAATGTAGTTAAAATTTTTTGGTTCAAGATCATCTTCTGAGTACCACTGCTATAATGGACTATTTTAAGGATTGATTTTTCTTTTTTAATGTTTCAGTGGATAAATAATAATTATACATATGCATGAGGTACCAAGGGATGTTTCGATATATACACCATATAGTGATCAGAACATGGTAATTAGCATATTCATCATCTTGAACATTTATCATTTCTTTGTATTGGGAACATTAAACATCCTTCTAGCTATTTGAAACTGTATAATATATTCTTGCTAACTATAGTCATCCTACAGTGGTATAGAACACTAGAATTTATTTCTCCTGTCTAGCTGTAATTTACATGATAAAATGTATTATGTCCCAGAAAGACGTCCTTTAATATTTGGTTGCCTGCTTGTGGTCGAGGTGGGGTGTGTGGCAGTGGTGTCCTGCGGTGGCCGGAACCCTGAACTGGAGGACGAGACATTGGACTTAAGTCCCAGTGCTCTCACGACTTGGTCCGGGTTATCAAAGGGGTCATTTAACCTTATTAGGCTTAAATTTTGCATCTGTCATAAGAATGGCGCAGAACAAGAAGCAGATATTTTACATTTCCTCAGCTAAGTGCCCTAAATAAACTTTTTTTCTTTCTTTTCTTTCTATGTGTAAGAATGTGTTTATGTTCTGAAAGTGGTCTGTTTTACTTTATGAATGAAGTACTTGGGCAGTTATGAGAGTCACAGTTTTCGTTCCTTCTTTCGAGTAAGTTCTGATTGTTAGGACAAAGGGTTGAACAATCAACTCATTTCGTTAAGGCAAAAGTACAAGGTTTTCATCGTTCACATTTGGTTTTCATGAGCATTAACAGATAAGCCTTCTCCTTTAAGTTTTCATCATCATTTTGGTTATGTGTTTTCCATGATATTTTCCCATCTTACTTTGATTGTTCAGTATTTTCATTTTCCTATGTGATTATTTTGGACTTTCTTTACTTGTCAATCTACTTTTCAATGTATTAAGTTACCAAAGGGTTTGCATTTTACATCTCTACTGTGTTACTTTGATTTAAGAACAGAGGCTTTTATTTAACCTCTACCCAATTTTGTTTTGATTCATGAATAGTATTACTTGAAATTATCTTTACTGCCTTTTGGTATTAGATTCGCTTAACTTATATTTTATTTGACACACAGCTCCTTTGGTGAAAAGGATCCTGATGATTTCAGCTTATTTCACTGTGAGGTTTCCTTTGATCTTTGTGTTTGCCTCTAGTTCATTGCCTGCAATGTGTATCTGCTTCCCGGTATTACTTTGTGTTTCTTTGGTTTTCCTTAACTTGCAGTTTTCTGGTATTGAAAGTATTCGTATGTGCTTGCAATCTCACCTGGTGTTTACCTGCCTTGATTTGAACTTGTATTCAGTTTTGCTTCAGGTATGCTATGTGTTTCTGTTTTCCTCCGGAAAACGTAAAAGGATATGGGAGTGTGATGGGGAATGAAAAACAGATGCACTTTTCAAAATAAATATTTTCAGCTTTCCAACCTCGTGGCCTTTCCCATTTTGCTGTGAGAGAGTCTTATGGGGATGGCCTAGCCCTACCTTAACTGACTGAAAGTAAGTTTCTGAATTTTGTAGCAGTTTAACCCACCCTAGCCAGGCTATGCTTCCGGCGTTTCATCCCATGTAATACGTATTCAAGAGTTGCAAGAGATGCTTCAGTACATTCTGGAACTCTCAGTTTATTGTTCATAGCATATATCAAGAGGGCAGTGCATCAACTGTGCGGCCAATTGCCCTGGTGTTTTACTGGTACCCATAACTCCATCTGCTCAGTCATCAAACATTTATCTAGTATCTCTTGTATGTGTGAGATACTGGGAACACAAAAATAAAAGAAACGGGTACTGTTTTTAGAGAGCTCACATTCTGTTAGGTGAACCAGTTGCATAAAACCATTGTGCTCAGGAAAGCATTGTGATGAAGTATTGCATAGGGTTAGAAATAGCCAAGTAGAGGCCAGGTATGGTAACTTATGCCTGTAATTCCAGCACTTTGGGAGGCCCAGGCAAGCAGGTTACTTGAGGTCAGGAGTTCGAGACTAGCCTGGCCAACATGGCAAAAAACCTTCTCTACTAAAAATACAAAAATTAGCTGGTTGTAATCCCAGCTACTCAGGAGGCTGAGGCATGAGAATCGCTTGAACCCAGGAGGTGGAGGTTGCACTGAGCTGAGATCACACCACTGCACTCCAACCTGGGTGACAGAGTAAGACCCTGCCTCAAAAGAAAATAAAAAATAAAAATAAAAATAAATAAAATTTAAAGAGAGAGAGAGAGATAGCCAAGTAGAGAAATGGGAAAGGAATGTACTAGGCAGAAAAAGGGTAGACGAGAGAGAGCATAGCACGTTGGCAACTTGGTATAGTTCAGCACATCTTGAGGCTGTGTGTCTAGATGAGCTGAAGAAGAAGTCTGGAACTAGAGCACGGGCAGTGCTGAACCCCAATCTCTGCAGAGATAGGGCTCAAGGGAACATGGTCCCAGCACACTTTCCTTGGATTTTATCCTGTAGGAGACTTAAACGCTATTTAGAGGACCAGTGACCTACACTTGTAGGTGAGTGGAGTCTCTTCCTTGGAGGTTTAATCCATTCCTGGAGCTTTTCTAAGAATCTGGTCTGCATTGCGTTGTTTAGATTTTTACCAAGAAATTGACTCCTCAGGCATCAAGAGACCTTCTCAGTGGTCCGCTAGAGGGATTAATGATGTAGAAATAGTATTGGTAGATTTTTTTTTTCAAATATCGCAACCTCTCTTATTGTGAGCATTTGTCGTTTATGCAGAAGAGCAGAAACACTGAAATTAGATAACCAGAAAAACCTATTAGAAAATACACTCCTAGAAAAGGAAACTTTAGCACACAGTGGGAATGTAGATTGGTAGAGCCGTTGTGGAAAACAGTATGGAAGTTCCTAAAGAAATTAAAATAGAACTACCATACAACTCAGCAGTTCCTCTTCTGGTATATACCCAACCCAAAGTAGATGAAACCACCACCCTGTAAATATATCTGTACTCCCATGTTCATTGCATTTTTATCGTAATAGCCAAGATATGGAAACAACTTAAATGCCCATCAAAGGATGAATGGGTAAAGAAAATGTGTATATATACACATACAATGGAATATTGTTTAGCCTTTAAAAAGGAGACCCTGCCATTTGCCATAATATGGGTGGAACTAGAGGACATTATACTAAGTGAAATAAGCCAGACATAGAAAGAAAAATATTGCATGATCCCACTTATATGTGGAATCTGAAAAAGAAAGGTCAAATTTACAGAGATAGAAAATAAAACAATGGTTACGATGGGGTGGGGGGATGGGGAGTTGTAACTCAAATGATACAAAGTAGCAGATATGTAAGATAAACACATCTAGAGATGTAACATATAGCATGTGGACTGTAGTTAATAAAATTATGTTAGAGATTTTTGTTAAGTAGATTGTAGCTGCCCTTTGCTCGCTCTCTCACACGCGTGCGCTCTCTCTTTCTCCGTCTCACACACACACACACACACACACACGTGCCAGATGGTAGGTATGATAATTTGCTTCACTATAGTAACCATTTTACCACGTATATGTATCCCATACCATCATGTTGTAAACTTCAAATATACATGAGCTTTATTTAAGAAGAAGAAAATACACTCCTGATTTAGAACTATGTATCTTCATTTAAAATAAACTTGCTGGTGTTTCTATTTTAGCCACTGCTTCGGTTTTCTGACTACTGATTGGTGACCCTTCAAGATCACTCCCCAATCCAACTCCTTGCTAGCCTGACTTCTGTAAAGAATGTGCATTCAGCAAGAGAATTTCAGAATTTCAGTTGTACTTCCCAACTATATTTGAGTGTTATTTGCAAACTGAATTTGAAAAGTTGGTTTAAATTTGTCCCAAAAATGCTGTTGTGTTTACATTTGTCCAAAAAAGTGCTATCTTCATTTAAGTTTAGGAAGATATGAAGAATTGATGATTGAAATACTAAATGTCTGTGATGAACCGGGCACGCCTGCAATCCCAGCACTTTGGGAAGCGGAGGTGGGTGGATCACTAGAGTCCAGGAGTTCAAGACCAGCTTGGCCAACATGGTGAGACCTGGTATCTCCTAAAAATACAAAAATGAGCTGAGTGTGGTGGCACGTACCTGTGGTCCCCACTACTTAGGATGCTGAGGCAGGAGAATCACTTGAACCCGGGAGGTGGAGGTTGCAGTAAGCCAAGATTGCGCCACTGCACTCCAGCCTGGGTGACGGAGCAAGACTCTGCCTCAAAAATAAAATAAATAAATTTCTGCGATGAATCTAATCATTAGAAAAATGAATTATTTCTTTATAATGTAAATTCCAATGTGTAGGCTATCATATGATTATATTTTACCATCTAGTCTGTACATCTAGCCTGTGAAAAAAACACATTGTACATTGTTCGCAAGTATTCGTTCATTCTGTTACGTCCCTAAGAAAAAGTTTCGGGCAGCGAAACTTGTATTCCTAGTCTCAATAGAAATGGAATGAAAGAAATGTCATACGTTTTCTTTTCTGAGTGTGAAGTTGGGGAAAGGATCAAATACTAATGAATAGCACTTGTTCTAGAATGCACATGTGTCTTTCATCGATGTGCCAAGATTCAGTCAAAGGGTTCCGTATGTGTGTGAAGGAGAAACATCTGACACTTAAACTAGAAACAATACAACATTAAAAATACATTTCCTGTGAGGCTGAGTTGATTTGGAGAAAGAGAAGTTTTGATCTTCAGGAAGAACATAAATGTGGCTCTAGCATGTGTGTCAAATGAGAAAGCTTTTCGGGAAGAGCTTCATAAACTGTAAAGTGACATGCATGTAAAGGAGAAAATAAATATTCCTGCTTATCGGATGGTTGAACATTAGCAAATGAAATGAAAATAGTTGTTTTTGATTTATATAGATTAAAATCAATATCCAAGTTGGATCATAGACTGAACAGATATGCATACTTACCTGTCTGTCTCATGTGCAAAACAGTAGAGTCATAATGTGATCTCCACAGTCACAAATTTCCCTGCTTTTCTCCCACTTTCCATTTCAGCCAGGTGCCCCACATTAAGCCCTAGGCGTGTAGGTTGTGGGGATTGGTTCCTGACTTTAGAGGAACTCTTTAATATTTCCACGTGCTGGAAATAATACAGTGGGGAAATAGTGTATGAATTTTCTGCATTTTGCTTGCCCGTTATCTGTGGCCCTGGCTCTTTGTCATGTACTTTATCCCTTGTGGCGAGATTTGCTACTTATTACTGCCTGATCTTTCCCCCTAGTATTTCTGATATGCCCATGCTACATTTTTTTTTTTTTTTTGTAATTAGAAACAGGGTCTTGCTCTGTCATCTAGGGGCTGGAGTGCAGGGGCACAATCCTAGCTCACTGCACCTCTAACTCCTGAGGTCAAAGGATCCTCCTGCCTCAGCCTCTGGAATCACTGGGAGGACAGGCATCCTCCACCATGCCTGGTGAGTATTTTTTTGTTTTTTTGCGGAGATGGTTCTTGCTCTGTTGCCCAGGCTGGTTTTGAACTCCTGGCCTCAAGTAATTCTCCCATCTCAGCCTCCTGAGTTGCTGGGATTACAGGCATGGAACCACCATGTCTATATTTTTCATTCTGGTCCTTGATCTTATTCTTGTGCCATACCTGACCCATGTGTGTTAAACTTGTCTACTGTTCTGTCTGTCAAGTTCTTACCTTGCTCCTGTCTAACTATCCTTACGATTGTGTGCAGTCAACCTGTTGACCTCCCTACCTGGCAGGGAATCTTCATACCTGCCTGTTTGTTCAGACCCACATAGAGAATTTGGGCCCTCTGAGACGCAGACAATCATTCACATTTACTTTCTCGTATTTCTGTATCTTGAGATCATGTTGGGGACACATCGAGTCAGTTTTATATATGTCTATTTGTTGGAAAATATATATGTGCCCATTCAGCAATTTAATCAGCACCAAGATATGTCTATTTATGATATTTAGTGTGGCTTGTCACTTAGGATGTCTAGTGTAAAACTACGTATCAGAACTCCTTATGGATTGATGGTATTGTCTAAGGGTCAGTATTAGAATACATTAGTTCAAGAAAAACCAAAGGCAATGCCATTTTAAGTCTTTAAAAAATGTTACATGCATTGATCCAATACATATTTCTAGAATATCCTCTGCAGTGGAATAATGACAATTTCTTTCATTGTACTCGAGTAATGAATCTTCATATTAAATATTGATTTATACAACATGGACAGTAGTATTCACTGAGGAAAATTGGGATTTGCTGTTAGCTGACTCTTCAGTCATGGCATAATTTGCATCTACAAGCTAGTCTTGGTGATAGGGATACATGAGTGGAAATAGCATCTCTGTCTACCTGCCAGTTGTATGTTCTGAATTGCTTTCCCCTTATCGAAGAACTGCCCAGAATTACGTAGTTCTTATCAGGAAGCTACATATGTGTCTGCACTGTACATTCCTTTCTTTTCTTTCTGTCTTGTTTTGGGGGATAGCTCACACGTGTTCATGTGCACACAGACATATACCATATGGATTTTGTGCCATGAGAATAATTATTAAAGACTCTATAATTTGGGGAAGAAATTATTTTCTTTTCCCTCACCGACAATCCTGCTTATATTTGTGGTTTGAATTATAGTTACAACTTGCAGAGTTTATCCTAAGAGAGATAAAATGAGAAACAAATCTGAGGGAAAAAAATGGAAGTGGCAATTCGAATCTAAATGTAGAAGTAAATGGGCTAGATTATTCTGAAGTAAAATAGCAGAAATTCTAAAATCTAAAGCTATCTAGTTGTATTTAAACCATATTATGGTTTAGCTCAGTTCTGTCAGAACATTTGCAGACTAATTTTTTCTAGAGAAAAAGCAGTTGGCTTCAAAATCAAAATGTACTGATTTTCTTGGTTTGTGAGGCTAATTAAGTTTAACTGGTGGAAAATTAAAAATACAACTAATGTTGTGTGTTTTTTCAATATTTAGGAACTGCAGAGTCCCCAAGATAATATTTTAGAGAAGTTTTTTTTTTTTTTTTTTTTTTTTTTTCTTGTTTTAGACTGAGTTTCACTCTTGTCACCCCAGGCTGGAGTGCAATGGTGCAATCTCGGCTCACTGCAACCTCTGCCTCCTGGGTTCAAGCGATTCTCCTCAGCCTCCTGAGAAGCTGGGATAACGGGCGCCCACCACTACGCCCTGCTAATTTTTGTATTTTAGTAGAGGTGTGATTTCACTGTGTTGGCCAGGCTGGTCTCGAACTCCTGACCTCAAATGATCCGCCCGCCTCAGCCTCCCAAAATGCTGGGATTGGAGGCATGAGCCACCGTGCCCAGCCTAGAAGTTCTCATTTGAGACAACTAAGTCAAATATATCAATGAAGTGCTGAAATGTAATGTCTGCATATGTAGTTTAAAAAGTACAAAGTATGTATGTTTCCTTTTGCAGTTCACAGGCAATAAAGAATCTTTAATCCATTAATATTTAAGGAATATTATAAACCTGGTTATTTATATTTGGGGAAGAAAATGGTTAAAAATCTCATGGAATTAATTGTATTTTCAACTAAATCTTTCATATATTGGTGACAGCATTGCTTATTCTAATACTGATGGTGGGAGATCTTTTTCAGGCAGCGTTGTACACAGTGACTTTGAAGATTGTTAGGTGCCATCACTATGCAGCTGTTGTCACTCAGTGGGAATGTGGTTGAAGTCACATTAGGAGACGTGATATTGAACATAGGCTTGAAATTTATCATACAAGATAAGGCGACTAAATATTTGCCCTGGATAAAATAGGTTGGTATTGGCAATGGGAAAAAGAAAAATTAATCTGACATACACACACACACACACATTGCACACGCACACTCTCTCTCCCCAGAGACTTGTCAGATGCTAAAATGACTCTTACAATAAATCTAAAAGTCATTGCTTCAGAAATGATGCTACTTTATTTGAGTTTGCTTTTCCAAAAGTGGGTGAATTTCTGCCTCTACAATTTCTTCCAGAGATGTTTTAGCATACCTCATCAACCACATACACATAAACTTCTGGTTGGATGTTTACCACACATATACACACAAATTAATGACAAATAGAGTAACCTCTATGAGCCTAACAAGCCTGGCTGGCACATATCCTGTGCATTTAAACTCATTTTTCTTTACCTTTCCCTCTTTCTCACTTCTACTGCCCCAAGCAGGAAGGGTTGACCGCCTCCTTTTCAAACTTCAGATCCAGTCTTCTTACTCCTAGAATCTTCTCTGCTCAACATGCCATAGTACTCTTACACTTTTCTGAATTCACAGTGGTTATTTTGAAATTAATCTCACACTGTTTTGTCATTTCTTCTGTAATAATTTAGGTTTAGTATAGTCAAGAGTTTGGGTTCTGAAGTCAGATTTTTGGCATTAAATTCTGGCTCCCCCTCATTTCTGATATTTGACCAAATTACTTAATCTGCTAACCTTCAGCTCCTTTGTTGGTGAAAAGAAGATTGTGGTGACAGTTACACCAACTAAAGCATGTGACATCCTAAGCGCAGGGCTGGAACATTGTAAGGAAAAAAACCGAACATCCCAAATTGCCCGAGACTAAGGATGTTCCTGAAAAGCAGAACTTTAAGAGCTAAATTAGTAAAATCTTGAGCTAACGGGGTTGTAAGCATTTTACTTATATTATTAAACTTTTATTGTGTGCAGATTCAGTATTCCTGGGGAAGTAGAGTCTTATGTTACCTCTTTCCCCCACTAACTTTCACAGGGGTATACACCTGAGTGCTTAAATACTTTTATGTAGGTTGCATTTTCTTATAAAGATGCAGGTTGCACAATATGAATATGCTTAATGTCAAACAACTGTACACTTAACGATTAAAAGGATACATTTATGGTATGTATATTTCACCAAAATAAATAGATTTGCAATCTTAAAGTAATAATGGCGATAATTGTTTTATCACTATAAGTAGTATGTATTACTGTAGTATGGTCAGCAGTAAGCAGGATATAGTATATACTATAAACAGGATACATTATAGGAATAGAAATAACATTTAGCTAAAACTAGAAAATTAAAACAAAGATAATATGAGAGTCTAGAAGAGGAGAATTGATTATTAGGATCCTAGCATTGGCTTGAGAGAGGATTTTTGATTTTGCAAAGATATTTTAGGCTGTACACTTCCTCCTTCCTCTCAGCTGATGACCGCCAGGTCCTGCTCTGCTCCACCCCAAGGAAATGGGGTCCGCTTCCCCTCGCCTCGTGGCACTGGCTTTCCCAGGAATGTTGCACGCTAACCTCCAAATTATTCTACAATGAGCTTTCTCTTGACTTGGATTTCTTCCTGCAGTCCCAGGCTGCTTCCCGAGGCCCAGGTTCAAACATTCGCCTCCACAGATATTGGAAACAAAGCACTGGGGGAAAAGAGGGAATTGGGGAAATAGCATGTTTAAAATAGAGCCACATATACCCCTAAATTCCTGTCAAATGGGGGTGAATGAAGCCCGCCAGTTCGGTAGGTCCGCATTGTGGCTGCTCATTTGAAAAAACAAGACACCAGCCAGACACAGTGGCTCACTCCTGTAATCCCAGCATTTTGGGAGGCCAAGGTGGATGGATGGCTTGAGCCCAGGAGTTTGAGACCAGTCTGGGAAACATGGAAAAACCCCATCTCTATGAAAAACACAGAAAAATGAGCTGGGTGTGGTAGCATGCACCTGTAGTCCCAGCTACTTGGGAGGCTGTGGTGGGAGGATCGCTTGAGCCTGGGAGATGGAGGCTGCGGTGAGCTGAGATGGCATCACTGCACTCCAGCCTGGGTGACAGAGCCAGATCCTGTGTTAAAAAAAAAAAAAAGAAAAGAAAGAAAGAAAAATAAGACACCATTATGCAATTTCCTTTACCGCCACCCTAGATTCTGATTTATTATAATTGGTGTGGGGGACCTGAACGTCATATGCAGTCAGGGTTGAAAACACTGCAAGTAACTGATTCTTCCTCTGTCCTCAGTCCTTAATCTCCTGTCCTTCCTTTCCAGGGTTTGTTGCTCCTGCTGAAACTGAAGATTTAACATATAAAACAGTAATGACTGCTTTTATTTTTAAATGATTCCCAAAGCTTGAGCTTAATTATTTTGTATCACGATGATTAGGCATGTCTTTAAAACTTGGTGGTTTTAACTCAATTATAGAGCACTTCATTTTTATATTGAAGTCTGGGTATTCTTAGTTTATTATGCAGTAAGCCTGTTTCTTCGGCACTTCCCTATTCAGAGCTTATAATTAAGAATCTGCAAACTAAAATCTAGAGGCAATCTGGCTTGCTTCTGTATCCTGCAGGGAAGGAAAAGGGGTTTCTGTAGTGCTAAGAATCCTTTCAGATTAAAAAATAGCATCTTGTTTCTAGATTGCATATAAACTTTGTGGACTTAACTCCCACTTATGTCTTGTGATCAGATGTGAATAGGACTTGAGGCTTTGACATGAAACTCTCAGTGACACGTGTAAAAGCAATTTGAGCAGAAAGGTCCATACCATGGCCGTGTGTTATAACCAAGCAGCACAGCCACCTTGCTCATGGACTAGACAGGAGTTTTGTTTTTTTTTTTTTTGAGACAGAATTATTTTGCTCTTGTCACCTAGGCTGGAGTGAAAAGGCACGATCTCAGCTCACTGCAACCTCCTCTTCACAGGTTCAAACAATTCTCCTGCCTCAGCCTCCCAAGTAGCTGGGATTACAGGTACCTGCCACCAAGCCCAGCTAATTTGTAATTTTAGTAGAGTTGGGGTTTCACCATATTGGCCAGGCTGGTCTCGAACTCCTGAGCTCAAGCAATCTGCCTGCCTCGGCCTCCCAAAGTGCTGGGATTACAGGCGTGAGCCACCATGCCCGGCCAGGACTAGACAGGATTTAACTAGGATCTAGTTCATTATTTAATACTTACTTCAAAACTAGCAGCATAGTCCTACTTTCTCTTTTAGCAATTCCTCTCTGATTGTCTAAATAGGGGTTCTTTGTCCTAAAAAGAAAAACAAAACCTCATTAAGTTATTTGACATACATTAGCTGATAAAACAGTAGTCAAGTGTTAGAAAATATGACAATAATTGCATTGTGTCCTAGACTCTTTATTGGGAAATTTCTGAATGGTGATTTTCTCCCTTTTTCTGGATTTTTTCAAAAAGTAAGCCCATAGGAAAAAACCCAAATTATTTTCTCTTTTCACATTACATCTATAGTTAAAGTACCATTTTTTTCTTTTTCTTTTTCTTTCTTTCTTTTTTTTTTTTTTCTATTTGGAATTTGGCCATCGACTGTATCTCTATAGTCATTGAGGGGCCTTCAAAACCTTCACCTTTTCTTTGATGACTTGAAACCTTAACTGTGGCTTCACTGCACAAATAATTTTTTTGCTGCCTTCCTGTTCAATCTCTCAGCCTCTGTTGTATTTTGTTCTGTAAAGTGGGAATGGTATCTGTTTTAGATAGTTGTTGCAGTAATTAAATGATGGCATACAAAGCACCATGAACACCAAGGACACTTAATCATATTCTCTTCTTTCACGCACTCTGCGTACATCCCCCCCAGTGAACTTCTTTTTGAGTACTCTTCAACGTTTCTTGTGGGTACATTTCTTCCTTTCATTTACTCTAATCTTTGTGTATTTACGTATATTTCCTCTTTTCCAGTTTCAGATTTGGTGAGCCTCTTAACATGTTCTTAGCATGGTGCAGTGCTCACGCCCATAATCCCAGTGCTTTGGGAGTCTGAGACAAGATAATTGCTTGAGACTGGGAATTTGAGACTAGGTTGGGCAATGTAGCAAGATCCTGTCTGTAGGGAAAAAAAAAAATCAGCTGGGCATGGTGGCGTATGTCCAGCTACTTGGGAGGCTGAGGCAGGAGGATCGCTTGAGTCCAGGAGTTTGAGGCTGAAGTGAGCTGTGATCACATCACTACTCTACAGCCTGGGTGACAGAGTGAGACCCCATCTCAAAAAACACAAACAAACAAAAAAACAAAACTTTTCTTCCTCCCTTTTCATCTTCTCTTTTATGATCTTCACATGTATTCACTTCTTTATCTTGGTTTTATCTCTTTCCATTTTAATAATAACCATTAAGCAGAAAATAGCCTATCTGTGGAAGTACTTTATTGTACAGTAGAAGAGACATTTTGATGTTATAAATGTTGTAGAATATTCCATATAGAGCCTGAAATGCTTAGAGCTTTAGACAGCTTCTAGATCTTTGGTCAATAAATCTTACCAATGTGAAGTGAAAGTTGAGTCACACTTCTGTGTATTTTCATTGACTTAGTATAACTAAAACTATTATTTGTGGCTTTAATCTTGTTGACATAAAACAACCTGTCAAACTCAAACTCTTTGGTTAGAAAAGCCATTGTCCCCCATTTGTAGCAATGCTAATGGTATCTGATGACTAGTTTAATAAACAGGGCACTATGCTTTTACTCTTTGATTGAAAAGCCCTTGTTTGTTGCCAAATGAACCTGACATCTTACTTTTTAAAAATCCTTTGATTCCACATGTTCATGGAAGAAATCTCATACATGGAATAGCTATCTTTCAACCAAATTCTCAGTGAACCAAATGTGAAGCCATTGCTTTAGATTTCCTTTTGCTTGTTTTATTTACCTAAGTTTCCAAAAAAGGCATTCCTGTAGCATAACAATAGAAAAGCAGTGTTTATGCCTCTTCTTAAATTGCTGTTTGCTTTTACTAAGTTGATTTCTTTAGGCTTTCAATTATGTTTGTCTTTGTTTTTTTGTTTGTTTGTTTTGTTTTTTTTTTTTTGAGACAGAGTTTCACTCTGTCGCCCAGGCTGGAGTGCAGTGGCATGATCTCGGTTCATTGCAACCTCCTCCTCCTGGGTTCAAGTGATTCTCCTACCTCAGCCTCCCGAGTAGCTGGGATTACAGGCACACACCCCACGCCCAGCTAATTTTTTGTATTTTTAGTAGAGATGGTTTCACCATGTTGGCTAGGCTGGTCTTGAACTCCTGACCTCCAGTGATCTGCCCACCTCAGCCTACCAAAGTGCTGGGATTACAGGTGTGACCCATCAGTTATTTTTTTTATAACCCCTATAGGAGTTCCCTAAAAACTCTTTTATTGTACCAAGTATAAGGTAGATAACTAGGTTTTATAATCCCAAAGAAACTTTTTAATAACTAATTCAGCCAGATGGCAAATGAGAATAATCAATAAAGGCATGAAGATAAACTGCAAGGGCTAGATAGATGGCTTATGTTTATTCCAAAGTTTCTCATTCTAAACTCCCTTCCCTGCTGTCTGCAACATATACACATTTAGAACTAATACATTACTTTCTTTTCTTGCTATATTTAACAGTAGCACAGGTTCCCTTTCAAAGTCAGATATAAGTAAGGAGTAGGCATAAATATAACTTGTATGTGTGTGTGTGTATATATATATATATACACACACATATATATATACACATATACACACACATATATATATACATATATCTATACATATATATATGTGTGTGTGTATGTGTATGTATATATATATATAAAATTTGAGATAAGATTGCTCTCTGTCACCCAGGCTGGAGTGTAGTGGTGAGATCACATGGCAGCCTTGACCTCCCAGATACAAGCAATCCTCCCACCTCAGCCTTCCAAGTAGGTGGGATCACAGGCATGCACCACCACACACAGCTATTTGTTTTATTTTATTTTTAGTAGAGACAGAGTCTGCTATGTTGCTCAGGCTGGTCTCAAAACTTCTGGGCTCAAGCAGTCCTCCTGCTTTGGACTTCCAAAGTGCTGGGATTACAGGCATGAGCCACCATACCCAGCATACTTATTTTTTGAAAGCCAAAATGAGAAAACATTGTTAAGCAACATTCTTGAATTGTCAGCACTTAACAGGCACTAAGCTGGGACTGTGATGTATAAACTAGGTGAACCTAAATGTATTACAGAGTGTGAGATAGCCTATTTTCCCAAATTTTTCAATGTCCATTCCTGAAAGTTTTTCTTAAACATTTAAAGATGGCTGTGCTTACCTCTACACATTAAAACTTAAAGTTCACAGTTAAATGGTGTAACAATGAATTAGAATTTAATTTTTATAAATTTACAGAGATGTTTATATTTAATCTTTCAAACTTTACAAATAGATTCAAGTAGTAATTAATGAAGCCATGAGTTGTTTAAATGGTTAAAAACCAGTGCAAGACTAACAGTCTGGAGTATGCAGGCTGAATCATTTAATTGGAAATACCGTGAGTAGCCAGTGCCATTTTGTTAATTGGGTAAAAGGCCAGGTGCCCAAGACCCTCGGTGCTCCAGGAGAGCAATTGTTTTTGTCACCCCTTTTCTTCCTGGCATGCCTTGAACATAGTGGACAGTAATAATTATTGTTACCATTTGTGAAGGCTTACTATGTGCCAGGAAATGCAGTATGCTCTGTGCACGCATTAACTGATAAATATTTGCTGAGAGCAGAGACAGTGAATGAATCAATGGACAAGGCTTCCAGAGTCTAATATAGAAAAGCCTCCCTACTCAGCTAATTAAGTGGGCCTGGAGATCTATGGGAATTTCATTCTTTTTTCTTCGTGAGTGGATTTTGACAATATCTTTAACATCTGTTGATATCAAATATTTAAATTTTGTTGATAATGTTAAAAAGTGTTCTTTTCTGAAGTATTTGATATTTAATGATGTTTTAATGACTTTGCAATATACTATAATTCAAGTGGAGATCTTGGCAGTTTCTCTTTGGTCCCCTATCTGGACATTAAGCATAATTTGTAATAACTTTATAAGATAAATTCACTCAAGAACTATTTAAAAAATCCCCTTTCAATCTAATATAATTATCATCTGGAGAACATATTAAATGATTTGTAATTTTCTGATGATTAAACTTCTTTAAAGTATTGATGTTCTCACTTATTAGAGTGAATTTTCTACTTATAAAATATTAATTATTCATAACACTCAGAATTAAATCTTATTTCTTTTATTATAAAAACTGTTCTGAATAAATCAACCCATTATAATTACTTTATATACTCAACCTGATTAAACAAAAATGGCAAACTATTATATATTTTATAGCACATATGACTATAAGTTTTACTAATGTAGCACATAAATTTTTCAAAAGACAATGAAGGGCACGCTACGAAAATACCCTCATTTATAGCTCATGTTTCTGGTCACAGATAACTTAAACACATTCACAGAGAAACACACAAGCATATGTCTGCTGATTCTGTGGGGTTTTAAAATCTAGCTTCTGTGTTGGCTTCTCTAGAATTCCGAGTTCTTCAAAACAGGAACTATGCCTTTTGAATGTCATAATTAGTGGTTTGGAGAGCACATACTAAATGAATACTATTTTGATACTTTTTTAATATAGAAGAATAATGTTTATGAAATTCTTTAAGGATTTGGTTTCTCAGGCTTTTGTAACGTATTTAGCTGACTTATTTAGTCTTGATAAGTCAGCTGAATATCACTCCTTCATAAAACAAAGACTTCATATATTCTAAGTAAATGTTTCTTTAAAGGGTATGGACTTTTTGTTAACTACCGAACAAACGTGTTGCTAAACATACGTTATGTTTGCCGTCTTTGTAAAAGTAACATTCAGCTGTATGTCTTGAAATATTGACAGTATCTGTTATATGAGAAATACCCTGTGAAAACACTTATACTCTATCATTAAATTCCTTTAAAATTCTTATTTTTCTTTTGGAAAATGCCAAAAAGGATCACATGGTCGAATAAAAACATGATTTCATTAAGGGAGTATGAAAAATTTTTGTTTATGTTTTTAACTGAGCATCTGCAATAGAGCCACAAGAATATTTAAAGCATATTTAACTGCATGCTAAGCTGAGTTTCTTTATGTGTCCCTAATTACTAAGATTTCTACTAATCTAGAGATCACTTATAACACTGCAACTTAAATTTCACAACACTGAAAAGGCATTTTGTTTCAGAAGCTTCTAGCAGAGCATAACATCACTCTGAGGGTTTGGGATGGGTATTTCGAGGCTAACTTTAAGGAATCTTTGTGTGTGTGTATGTTTAACATGCAGCACCTGTTCTTCCCGGAGCCTATCAGCAAAGCCATTCCCAAGGCTATGGCTACATGCACCAGACCAGTGTGTCATCCATGAGATCAATGCAGCATTCACCAAATCTAGTAAGTGTCCATTTGATACGTTCCTCCTTAGCTGGTCTTCCCATTTCCCCTCAAGCATGTAAATACATGTGGAATAGAGTTGAATTGAATATTGGGTATTTTCATTTAAAGATAAATGATGATGTGTTGCCATTTATACAACTCTTTTGAAGGAAGCAAAAAACTTACAGAGGTAAACTGTTGAGAAAGGAAGGCATTAATAAGCATTACATAAAACAATAAAACATACAAAGAATCTACCAGTACAGTATCCTAATTGTTACTTCATGATTGGTACTAGCCGATTATGCTCTTTACTCATGCCTTAGGAGCATGGATATTTGATGGTTGTATTTACAAGTTCATCTTAATCAAAATGAACACAAAAGCCTAAATTATGTGGCCAAAATATATCTTCAAATCCCCCATTGGAAATCTTGAAGAACTGGTTCATATATTCAGTGTAAAACTTGGAAGAAGTGTTCAACATTTGCTAGTTATACTTGGCTTCTCATGCAGAAATTTCTTCTACAAGCCCTCAACATAGTCTCTTGGTCTTTGCCTCAACACCTAGAAAACTCTTCTACACTGTCCGGTAACTTGAATTGCTCTAAAATTCTTTGGGTCCCAGCCATGTCCTCAGTCTGTGAATGTACTTGATTTTGAGATTGTCTGATGTTAATGTTAGCTAAATGCTTAGCCTTAAACAAAAACAAATATAGGAAAACTCATTATAATCATAATATAATAAGTACAATTGAGTATGTATCTTAACATTCAGGACACTTATATGCTAAATTTCTCTCATAGTGATACAGAAACCTATATAGTGAGTATGTTATGAGTTTTTTCTTTCATTTGTTTTACATAGTTTTAAGAGGAAATGAACATTTTTAGCATCAACTTAAGAAAAGTACATTGCCAGGAGAGATTTGAACTTCTCTGACATATGACGAGTTTTGTTCTCTGAAGAATATGAAATCACATATTATCTAAGGTTTCTGGGGTTATCTGAAGTTGGGGGGAACTTGGCTTTATTATTTCAAAGCCTACTTTTTGATGGGCTACCTGTCGTATTTAGTGACTTTTCTATCCCTGTTCCAAAAATATTAAGCTATTTGCTAGACTAGTAAACTTGAGATCAGCACAATGAGATGCTAGGTTTACAGATTTCCAGAGATACATGTGTTTGAAAACATTCCTAATAGTTACTTTATGTGTGGGTCGGTGTGTTGTGATTGGAATTTGTGGCTGTAGCTATTTCGGCATTCATCGTATAATCCCTTCTTCCTTTCTCAGAGGACCTACCGAGCCATGTACGATTACAGTGCCCAGGATGAAGACGAGGTCTCCTTTAGAGACGGCGACTACATCGTCAACGTGCAGCCTATTGACGATGGCTGGATGTACGGCACAGTGCAGAGAACAGGGAGAACAGGAATGCTCCCAGCGAATTACATTGAGTTTGTTAATTAATTATTTCTCCCTGCCCTTTGAGCTTTATTCTAATGTATCCCAAACCTAATCTTTTTAAAAGATAGAAGATACTTTTAAGACAACTTGGCCATTATTTTACAATGATGTATCCTTCCTTTGACAATTAGACACACAGGTACCAGGAAGAAGGAATGACCTCTGGGCTGAAAACAGCAGCATTTTCAGTAATTCCTACAAACAAAAATCTTTGTGTCTGGACACCTGGTGCTGCTAATTGTGTTCATGGTTTCCTTTGATTGGCTATTGAACCCTTCTGGGAAATGTATTTTTGTAGACTTTAATAGAGAAGTTGATTGTCCCTTAAATGTAGTGTGTGTTTGAAACTTCTTAGCTGTCACTTTGGAATCACCCCAAGCCAATTCTCTTAACTCTGTAATGCAGCCAATAATTTCAAACCCGTTTTGCTTTTGAGTCATGAGGCAATTTCCAATATTAGTGAAAATTGCCCAATATAATAAGTGTAAACAGTGGCAGAAGGACAGTCTGGTTAAAATTATATTGACTGGTGGCCTTAGGGATCTAGAAACTTCTACTAAACAGAGAAATTTCCTTGTTCCCTAGGCTGACTGGTATCTATTTATTTCTCATTTGTACCAAGGCATCTCCTACTCTCCATTTATATTCTATGGACCCAAGTCTATGCTCAGTTCCACAGAATGTCAGGACCAAATAACTTCACAGCTACTCTGCAAAGGGCAAATTATAATGTCATTGATATAATTTCCCTAGTAGCATTTACCCTGTTGCATGTCATGTAGATTCAAGCTTCTGTAACATAGGCAGCTGCACTGCGCGTTCCTATTATTGAAGCAAAAAGGGTGACTGATACCTAAAAGCCCTTTCTTCCTCTAGTCGCCAGCTCATCAGAAAAACATACTTTGAAAAGATGCTTGAGATTTTCCTGCTGCATCGCACTCTAGTTTTGAAGGATTTACATCTTAGGAAATAACATGTATACTCTAGTAAATAAGCGATTTAGGTGTTCCATTGAACAGCTTTGATTAACTTAATGCCACCATTGATTTCAAAGTGAAGAAAATGTAACAGAAGCCAGTGAAGCAATGGAAGCTGGAGTGTGACTGGAAAAATACTCAGCAAACAAAGTTACCAATTCCATACAGAGATGATCTGGTATCTTCTTTTGGAAAATGGTATTCAAATTCTGGAATGGAAATCTAGCCACCAAAACGGGTTAATCAAAAGACGTCCTTTTCCATTTTTTTTTGCTTTTATTTTCTAAATCATTTTTAAGGGAATGAAACAGGAATGTCATCAGAGATTTTTTAGTACAGGCCCAAGAGCCTGTTCTCTAAGAAAGAAATTGTTGCCATGTTTTGATTTTCGAATAAGTGACTTTGCAGGCTTTATGCTAGCCCTTGCTGGTGGGTCTTGAAATTTCATCCAGAGTCTGCAGTCCAGGTCACCAAGCCAGCGGCACCCGTCGGCAACCCTGTGTTTTTCTGATTGTGCCGTTTACTGTGACCTGCAACGGGGTGGCATTCACTTAGGGTCTGACTTCACAGCTATGACAAAACCGAAAAAGCAAAACTGCAAAAAAGTACTAAGATGTACGGGTCTTGGGGATATCTGCCTTATATGTTATATTCAAGGAAATTAACAAAACATCCTGTAAAACATCGTTTAAGGAAACGTTTACTAGTCCAAAGGCCAAAGCTAATTTATTTCCACTTTAGAAAAGTTAGCACATGCTTTTGAAAATCTGTGATTTCATTTTATTAGGCTAAAAGGGTAAATAGGCTTTATTACACTGAAGCTGCATCTATATGTCACTGACATAAAGTTGAAAAAATAAATGCAGGCAAATAACTAGAGACTTCTTTTAAGGGGGTTTGGCTGGTTTTCTCTCACTGAAATGGCCAGTCGTGATTAAAGTGATAAAACCCCATATCTGTTTTGGTATATTGTACACAAACCTACAAAAATAAACTGAACTTGCAATATTTTTGCAAAAAAATCTGTCGTTAAAACTGAGGATAAAATACCTGCTCAATTTTATTTTACTAAGTATATATTTACATTTCACCCAGGCAGGCCATTTTCTTTTGTGATTATAAGAAAGAGTAGTTGTTGATTAAATTTTCAGACTAAATATAGGACAGGTACAATTTTGGATAAATAGCACATTTATAAGAACCGCAATGAAAACTGACTTGAAATAATGCTTGTAATCAGGAAAGTAATTTCATCCACCGATTTCAAAACCAGATTCACTGAGCATAAAAGTCAATACATATTTGAGGAATAAGTCTCCTAAAATTTTAAGCTTCACGTAATAATGTTTGCATAGCAAAATATTTCTGCTTCAAGCCTTTAGGAATTAAGATCTGATCAGAATTTAACTAAAGGGTAGTTGTTTTACAATGAAGACTAAAACTGAACAAGATGTTGCATGCTCTTGAGGCCATAATTTGGTAGTGTTGGCAGTTGTTAATAAAGCTTGTCAGGATGTTAAGCATCTCAGGAGAAATATTGGAAAATTATATGTATAAAACCAAAGTGCTATTTTTAAAAGCATCATTTAAAAAAAAATGACATGCCTGAACAACTTTTCCACTTTCCACGTGCTTCCCTCCCACCTTTGGTTTGGCAACAGGTATCTCGTGCATGAAGCTGACAGCTAAAGAAGATTTTAAAAATTGAGTTAAAGATGACTGTGTAAATGTCCAAGCACAGAGAGCATGCACCTGACTTTCTAAAGTTTGATGTGTTCTCAAGCCTGACAGAAGCACAAGGAACAGTTTGATACACTTTTAAAAGGTTCTGAAAACAAAGCTGTATAGGGATCCTCTCTCTCTTGAGCAAAGTATAGCAACAGAATATATTGCTTTTGTTGTAAGCTTTTGTAGTACATGTTTTTACTAATAATTCTTGTTCTCTAGAAAGCTTTCTATTTCTAACCTATGGCAAAATGAATCCTTCATGTCTTCTTGTTATTGTTTACACACTTGCAGTGTAGCCCAGTTTGAAATATTTATTTGGTTATCAACTGCCCATGGAGGAGGCTCTTGATGATCCCAGGTCTCCTCGACCTCCATACACCACACAGGCATTTGTAAGCACAGTTTCCACAAGCACCTTGTAGGAATATGGATAAGATTAGACCAGCCCCTCTCTGTCCACTGGGTTTATTTCTTGAAGAAGATGCAGATCTGGTTTTTCCAATGTGCCACAGTCTTTCCTTATCCTCTCCATGCTGAGCTTGACAACACTCTGGGAATGAGGAACAAGACTTTTTCTAAAAAGATAGTGGAAGTTCAAGGGATGTACCTCGTTTTCAGGTTCATCCATCTCCAGTGGAATGTTTTCAATAAAAGATGAAGAAAATGTGTGTGATCTTTAATAACACATCCCTATAGAAAGTGGATAAAAGATATACCAAAACTGTAATACAGATATATACAAATATAGGTGCCTTTTTGATTACTCTTGTTTGTCTAGTATGCTCTTGGAAAGAAAACCAAGCAAGCAAGTTGCTGCCTATTCTATAGTAATATTTTATTACACATGATTGATATTTTTGTGGTAGGGAAGTGGGATGCTCCTCAGATATTAAAGGTGTTAGCTGATTGTATTTTATCTCTAAAGATTTAGAACTTTAGAAAATGCCGACTTCTTCCATCTATTTCTGAAAGGTTCTTTGTGGATTTATATAGAGTTGAGCTATATAAACATTAACTTTAGATTTGGGATTTAAAATGCCTATTGTAAGATAGAATAATTGTGAGGCTGGATTCACTACACAAGATGAACTTCACTTCATAAATTAATTATACCTTAGCGATTTGCTTCTGATAATCTAAAAGTGGCTAGATTGTGGTTGTTTTGGTTAAGGTGATATGGAGGTGGGAGAGCTTTTAGTTAAGTAAGAAGCTATGTAAACTGACAAGGATGCTAAAATAAAAGTCTCTGAAGTATTCCATGCCTTTTGGACCCTTTCCTCGCAACTAACTGTCAACTGTTGATCAAAAAAGTCAAGGCATTGTATGTTGCTTCTGTGGTTATTATTCTGTGATGCTTAGACTACTTGAACCCATAAACTTGGAAGAATCTTTGAGCAAATTTTCTCAGTTGTCTGTATGACTTCAGTATATTCCTGGGAATGCCATAGGATTTTTTGTGCTTGATACATGGTATCCAGTTTGCATAGTATCACTTCTTTGTAATCCAGTTGCTGTTAAGAATGATGTACTTTAAAGGAAAAGAGAAAACTGCATCACAGTCCCATTCTCCAGTGTCCATGCAATGAATTGCTGAGCATTTAGGAAGCAGCACCAAGTCTATTACAGGCATGGTGTGAAACTTGATGTTTGACCTGTGATCAAAATTGAACCATTGTACAGTTTGGCTTCTGTTTGCTTCAAAATATGTAGAATTGTGGTTGATGATTAATTTGCGAGACTAACTTTGAGAGTGTAACAGTTTTGAAGAAAACATTGAATGTTTTGCAAATGAAGGGGCTTCACGGAATGTTACAATGTTACTAATATAATTTGGCTTTTGTTATGCAAATTGTTAACACCAGCTATTAAAATATATTTTAGTAGAAATGCTTTAATTCATATTTTTTTCCTCTACACTGTGAATCTTTAAGCCTTGGTGGACTAGAGCAACATCGTGCTGCCCAAAGGACTAACCTATGCAAACTAGTTCACATTTTAGTGGATGTCGCAGTTAATGTGTAATAAGACATTATTTCCCCTGCATAATGTACAACAGCATTGAAATGACACATTAAGCCTAGCATCACATTGTATAGTACAGTCACTCACAAACCCTTCAAGGCTACCCTAATCATTAACATTAATATTTGTTTAAAAGCAAATCACCGATTTATCTATTGAAACTACTTAAATGACGGCAAACCAGGAATGACAGATGGCTGTGTCAGCAATGGCTTTAATGTGTTCCCTGCAAGTGGTCTCCTATGATAGAACTGCGTTCTCAAATGCACTCTCTTCAGGGTCTTAATATTCTGTGTTTTCTCTCTGTATTTGTAAAACATTATAACACATTAATTTCCTATCTCTACACATTTGGTTTGCTTAAATAAATGCAGGATATAAAAAAAATGGTTCACTTCTTGGCTCTCACCGTGGTTTCTTGGAGCATGGGTTGTTAGATGCAAGCAATGCACCCTAATAATACCCCGGGTCTGAGATTTAACATGACAACTCACATCAAATCGCATCAGAGGTGTGTGCTGCCTTCAGTGCATTTACATTGGTGAATCAGTCAAGATATTTTCCTCCCCCAAATAAACTTAGTTGTAAGTGATAACAATATTATGCTTCTCCAAGCTCAGTATCTTTCTGATTTTATATCAAAGTACCGCAACAATGCATCATTGTAGTTAATTTATTTCAAGAATAAATTCCTCATATGTCCTCAATAGTACAATTCTAATTTTCTTCTATTCATAAGATGAAAGAAATGGTTTGGAGCATAGAATAGAAAGTGCACAAATTGAGTACATAAAATGGGAAGCAACTGATTTCTCAGCTAAGAAAGGCTCATTTATCACAGAACACAATTGCTTTTCTCCCCCCACTACGCTTCCCATAATTGAAAAAGTGAGTCCCTATTTTTCACACTCATATAAATCTATGCGATTTGGATGCTAGTCTTATTGTATTATTTTGTAAAACTTTCTCTTTGGCTCATAATCCTTCCTAATTGTAAATTGATAAACTTTGCGGATGACATCTGCTCGTAGAATAAACACTTCTTCCAAATATTGGATTTTCTGTTTTTCATATTCCGTAAGTATGAAATGAATATTTTAATAGTATTATGAATCAAGCACACTGTATTTGAAATCACAAGACAGCACAGTTATTTATTTGAAGAATTCACTACCTTTTTTCCCTCTGAGACTTTTTTTTTTTCCATTCGATTATAAATTTACTCTTTGTAACCCAGGCCACAGAGGAAATGAATACCTTAGATTTTTTTTTTTCTGACAAAAAATAATTTAGCTTTTAAACAGACTGTGCTTATAATTTTATTTTCTTAAACATTTGTGAGGTTTTACGGGTAACTATGACATGCGCACCAAACAACTTTTCTACCAAAATAAGTTTCTACAAAAATATATAATAAACTAAAAAGTAGGTAAAAGGGGATTTTTTTTTTTCTTCATATAATCTGCTTTGATATGGTTTGGCTGTGTTCCCACCCAAAATCTCATCTTGAATTGTAATCCCTATAATCTCCATAATCCACACGTGTCAAAGGAGAGACCAGGTGGAGGTAATTGAATCACAGGGTCGGTTTCCCCTATGCTGTGCTCGTGATAGTGAGTTCTCACGAGATCTCATGGTTTACTAAGTGTTTGGTAGTTCCTCCTCTGTTTATTCTCCTTTCTGCCACGTTGTGAAGAAAGCGCCTTGCTTTCCCTTCGCCTTCCGCCATGATTGTAAGTTTCCTGAGGCCTCCCCAGCCATTCTGAACCGTGAGTCAATTAAATCTCTTTCCTTCTTAATTACCCAATCTCAGGCAGCTCTTTATTGTAGTGTGAAAATGGGCTAATATATGCTTCTCCTACACAGAGGGATTGAATATGAGTTTTGTTGTGGCAGAAAACTGGATATGGTCCAGTTGTGAACTTTAGCTCCTTTCTGTCATTCTAAGCAAAATTCTCAGGCCTTTGTCTATTATATTTGTATTTGGCAGCTGCAGAGTTCTGACAAAAAAAAGCAGAATGAGAAAATGGATTCAAAAGGTGAAAAGTCAATATTAGAACCAAGAGTCTAGTTGCTGATTTTGTGTTTACGTTGTGGCATTTTAATCTTTGTAGCTTCCCCTGCCCCCCACCCCCCAGTTCCTTTTCTGTTTTGAGCAGCAAACATGAAAGGGAATAGTAAACTAAAATAGAGAAATGGACAACATCTAAACTCCTGTTATTCTACCTGAGGAAAGAGGAAACTTTTCTGCATCCCAAATTGAGTCATAAGATCACTCTTGAAGGGAACTAGTTTCTGATTCTTAACACAAGACAGTCACACTTCTTGCCTTTTTTTCCAGAGGGCTACTGTCCAAGGCTATGTGGCCCCAGCTAACTTTTTCATTAATTTTTGTGGATAACCATGCTCTGTCCTACATGCTCTCACTTCCCTGGTCCCAGCTGATTGGAATGAGGTGACTCTGCAGGGCTACACAAGGACTTTGCCTAACAGGGATGGTGGTGGCTGAACCTGCTCAGATCCCCCTGAAGAGGCCTGAGTTCAAGAGGGAAAGCAAGTTGGCTCTCAGGTTGTATGGTTAAAAAACGTAGAGAAAGAAGTCAGGAGGAAGCCTAAGCTGTGAGTAAGCAGAAAGTATAAGTAAAAGAACTCATGAAATGGGGGAAAAGATACTTAGCATAGACAGAGTAAAGTAGGTGGCTGGCAGTGGAGGAGTCACAGGGCCACGGGAGAAACAGGTTCTTGTTAATGGTGGTCCCCTTACGAGGGAACATCAGCTCCTGCTTCCCAAGGAGTACCCACTCTCCATCCCAGGCATGCAAAGCTCGCCCACCCAGGAGGCCACCTCCTCTGCTGTCCTGTGTGCCCTTAGGGCCCCCAACAAGGCCAAATCCTACGTTCCTTTCCACACTTGTACATAAGGTTTCCTGGAGGTGCCTTTGAAAGGCTTTCTATGGCTTATAAGCAATCCGAGACTTAGACTAACAAAGCGGCCATATACATCCATTGGCACAAATTATAGGGTTATTATTTACTTATACATTTTTGGGACAGTGTATCGCTCTGTTGCCCAAGCTGGAGTGCAGTGATGCAATTATGGCTCACTACAGCCTTGATCTCCCAGGCTCCTGAGTGGCTGGGACTACAAGCACACACCACTGTGCCTAGCTAATCTTTTTTTATTTTTTGTAGAGATGGGGTCTCACTATGTTGCCAGAGCTGTTCTTGAACTCCTGGGCTCAAGCGATCCTCCTGCCATAGCCTCTCAAATTGTTGAGGTTACAGGCATGCTTCACCATTCCTGGCTTCATAGTTTTCATATCTGACAAAGTAAAAAAATAACATTTTGACAAGGAACAAATTTTATGGATAAGCAGGAGAGTTGCACAATGTACCCCCTCCCCCAAACAAACCACTATATAGAAAATGTGATTGAAATGCCGATTACATTATGTTAAAATGTCACAGAGTTGTTTTAAATTTTACTGTTTTGCTTTATGATATGTTATTTATATATCCTATCTAAAATCACTTTAGTAGTTAGAAGTTGTTTCCCCGGGCCCTGGGAAGGGCATCAATAACTAATATCAAATGAATTTCACTTTTACTAGTACATATGTACAAAGGAAGGATTTGGGGGTTTAGACAACGTTCTCACTCATATTTGAATGTTTGGCAAAGAAGAAGGGGATAGCAGAGACCACCTTAGAGAGTGTCATAGGCTCTGATGATAAAAGCGGAGTTGTTTTAGCAGAGCTTTATTCAGAAGTACTTAATTCTTCCAGGCTTACTCAGTGACGGCTCTTGATGAAAACAGAAGAAACAGTAATTGTAATTTATTCATTCGACATATAATTATTCAGTGTTTGCTTGATTCAAGGCACAGAACACAGGCACTTTCTTCATAAAGCTTTCATACTAGTAGGGAAAGACTGACATCAAACGACTAATTATATACTTATACAATTAATTACTTAATTACAGTTTAAGAGATGTCATGAAAGGGAAGCCTAGTGTGCCTGGAGTCCTTGTAGCTGGGACCCACGATCTGTGGACTCAGGAGGGAGGGCCTGGAAGAGTTCTTTGAGGAACTGCTATTTGAGCCCTGAGAGCCATCCAAGTTCATGTAAGCATGAGACACATGGGAAAATGTAGTCACCAGCAGTTAGTGACAGAAATACTCCAGTCTTCTCCCAAATTTTAATTTCAGTAGCAATGCTCGGTTTTGTATTTTTAATACCATTAAATTCCTTGTGGACAAAAGTCAGTGCATCCATATGGACAAATTTATGTGTCAGCACACCCTTTTATTATTCGAATTATGACTTATTTCACTTTAATAAGATTCAGCAGGTTGCAAAGAGTTAATTATATAAACAAAGCATTACAGATGTGGAATACTTCACTTCCCTTTTTTGGATGATTGGTTATTACATAGGCTTTCCTGTGTATCCTTACTTCCTCCCTGAATATTTTGGGACAGCGTGTGCTTACTGGAGTTTATTATGGTACAGTCTGATTAAAAATACTGTGTTCTCCCATTTTAGATTTAACATATTCAGGGATTGTCATTCCCATCTAATATGTGGTATGAGTTAGATATGCTACAATACCTGGGCAACATACAGAAAAATAACTTGCAGTGCAAGAAAGTTGTTTGTAATCATTTAGAATACATCCTTGCTGTGAGGTAAGTCACAGCTTTGTTTATAGAATTCTAGCAAGAATTTTGAACACCTGCCTCCTTTAAAAGTCTAACTGTATGCTCGCACACTTTACCTTGGGCCATTTAAATTAACAATTGGGAATATTTTGGACATATTTGATTCCCATAGTCAATGCCTAACAAAATGCTTGTTGTAGGAAAACTCATTGATATTTACAAACGTTTCCTGGTTGCATGTACTTCTTTCTTTCGAAAGAAATGTTTTGGCTTCCAACAGTGCTACATAAAATGATTTCTGGACCTCTACATCTTTTTGGTATGTTGATTTTTGTAAAAATTTTTAAAAAGTTAGCTCTTATGATCTAACTATAGTGTCACATCTATATTGTAACTCAGGATTTATTCACAAGTCATATTTCCACTGTTTATGTTCACCTCAGTGGGACTGGGAGGAAAGGAGCCTGAAAATCTTGCAGGATAAACTTGTTTTGTGCATTTCACCTGCCAAGCCTCCTTCCAGGAGTGTCTGGGCCACAGCTCCAGCACTTCAATGTGGCTTTTACCTGTAACCAACCTCTAGCTGGAAAAACAAGAAGCAGGCCCAGGGGGGATTTTTCCATCTTCTGTGATTTACATCCTAGAAAGACGTGGAGGTTGGGTAGGAGGTTGGGTCCCTGGGATGATTTATTTTCAAAACCGGCAAACAAAACATATTTATGGTATAAGAACTATAATTATATTGTGCAGCCTCTTAGGATCATTCAAAGGTTTCATGTTTGGAAAACACTAAAACATTTTCAGAGCTTTGAACAGGGCTTCTGGTCTTGATATAAGTTACTTGATTGTCACTGAGACACTTCAATAGTAGTTTCATAATATACATAACCTTTAAGAATTTGACAGTCAATTTAATGATATTCATGCACAGATCAAAGAGCTGGATTATGATCCACTGGGGAGGATGGGGCTTAGCAGTAAGTGAGAAGCCTTAATGCCGAAGGTGACCCTGACAGGTAAGTGATTATCTGTGGGACGGGATCATCTTTGGCAGAGAAGAGAAGGAAGAAAACATTTGAAGCCAAGGCAGACCTGAAACTCCGAATATCTCACTTCGGTGAAAAAGTCAAAGTTTTAGTTTCAAGCAGAAATGTATCTTTCAAAATTATTTTAGGATCAGGAAGTTATTATTCCTTACTTATTAATAATAATTATCTCAGAATCAGGAAGTAGAATCTCCGCAGGTCGTCCTTATTTATTTTCTCATGCCTTTGCAGTTTAGTGATGTCTCCAAAATAATGCTGCACTCTGTTTTGTAGCTTAGCCTTTCTTGATTTAGAAAGCACTGGGAAAATGCTGAAAATTGACTTCATGCGTTATGGAATGTATCAAGGGATACATTCCTTGATTTTGGGATTCTATGATTCCTCAGCCATTTGTCGATTTTTTTTTTTTTTATGTTTGAGAAACTTACGGAAGTCAGAGGGAAACTGAGCAGACCCTCTGTTTTCTGCTGAATACTACTGAGGCAGATGAGTTTCAGCCGGCAGTATCTCTCCACTTCCAGGCACATTACTCAGACTCACGGGTTTTCAGGCAGTCGGGGAGCTTTAGTCCACCCCCACCTTCAGGAGGACATCGCATAAGTGTGCCATTTTACAGATTGGAAGACGAGGACCTGAGCCAACTGGGAACTTAGTCAAATGGCAGTTGATTTGAAGGGCAGATAAAACCCCAGCTCCCCTCTCTGTCTTTTGCCGTTGTGTCCCTTCCGTCCCCCACTCTGCTTCCCATGCTATACTCCAAATCTACCTAATACACGGAGGACAGGAATGAGCGCCTGTCTGAAGCTGCCCTTCTTTTTCCTTTAATGTCCCAGTAGGGTCATCAGCCCAGCTATATGCCCTGAGGAGCGTGATCCCAAGCAGTGGCCTGACTTTGATCACCCAAACCACAGCAAGGATGCTTTGGAGTAGCAGAAGTCTTCATGGAGTCTAGACTCTCCTATCTCAGGCCAGGAAGTCAGTGTCTCATTTTCTTTAAGACTCTGCACCTGCAAATTAAGATAAAAGAAGAACAAGGTCTTCACGGGATGGATAGGAAGTCAGAATATCTTCTCCTGTTCCAAGTCCAGTACTTCCTTTTCCCAAGTAGAGTATAGTATGGCGCTCTAGGCTGCCATCTGGTCCTCTTGTAGACTGGGCAGTTAGATTGCCTTGGGACTTCTCATCTGTTTTTTTAATGGCATTTTAACTTGGATTTCTTAAACATCTAATACATATTTCTTCCACATGTGATGCTACACATGATGCCAGCAGGGCTCAGACTAGGGCCTGTAAGGCAGATTTGTGGCATGTTGCAATAGATCGTCCCTTTCTCAAGTGTGTGTGCTTCATTTTTGTCCTTCCTTTTCTTTCCTTCCCATGCCATTTTTTTTTTTTTTTTTTTTTTTTTGAGACAGGGTCTCACTCTGTCACCCAGGCTGGAGTTCAGTGGTGTGCCCATGGTTCACTGCAGCCTCAAACTCCTGGGCTCAAGTGATCTTCCCATCTCAGCTCGCTGAGTAGTGGGGACTACAGGTGTGTGCCACCATGCCTGCCTGATATTTTAAAAAAAAATTTTGTAGAGGTAGGGTCTCACTATGTTGCCCAGGCTGGTCTAGACCTCCTGGACTCAAGCAATCCACCCACCTCGACCTCCCAAAGTGCTGGGATTACAGGTGTGAGACACGTGCCTGGCTTATTTTTCCATTTTTAAAATGATGTGTTGCTTTTCTACTTAAAGTAACCCCGCCTTACTGGAGAACATTCAGAAGAGTACAGAGAAGAAAAAAAAATACGTGGGGAGATTCATGATCAGGAATTGTGGGTGTTGATGAATATTTTTCCAGAGTATTTTTACACACATGCATACATTTTTAGCAATACTTATAGAAACTTTTTGTACTTTTTACCCATTTAACATTGTGTAAGAAAAATTTCTGCGATCATTAAATCATTTTTGTAAATGATTCCATCATATGGACAAATTGTTATTTATTTAACCCTCTCATTGGACATTTAGATGAAGTAGCTCAGGAATGGAAAACCAAACATTGTATGTTCTCACTCGTAAGTGGGAGCTAAGCTATGAGGATGCAAACACATAAGAATGATACAACGGACTTTGGGGACTTGGGGGAAAGGGTGGGAGGGGTGTGACGGATAAAAGGCTACAAATTGGGCTCAGTGTATACTGTTCGGGCGATGGGTGCATCAAAATCTCACAAATCACCACTAGAGAACTTCTCATATAATCAAACACCACCTGTTCCCCCCAAACCTATGGAAATAAAAATACTAGAAAAGATAATCTCCCTCTTAAAATATTGCAGTAAATATGTTCTTACTATTACTTTCATTATTATTTCATTGGGCTAAATTCCTTAAAATGAGATTGCTGAGACAAAAGGAAAATATAATTTTAAGATTTTAATAATGATTATTAATTTGTCTCTTGGCAAGATTAACCAATTTAGCTACCCACCATTAATAGAGTGTTCCTCTTTCACACATTTTCATTTCTGTGATTTCTAGTGAAGTTGGCCATTGGAAGTTCAGTTCCTCCCCCCGCCCAACTTCCTCATCTTTCATTTTGTTTCCTGGGATATTCAGCATGTGGGTATGAATGCTTTTAAAACTTTTGATGTATGTGGCCAAATTAACCTCCAGAAAGTTTCCTCAAATATATACTCCCACCAACAGTTTATGTGAGTGTCTGTTTCACCAAGCCCTTCCTGGCATTGGATGCCATTGTGTGTGTTCGTTTTCATGTGTACTCTTTTAGTTACAGACACTGCTTTGTGTATGTTGTATGTTAATGGCTTCATTTCTCCATATACAATTGCTGTGCGTTATAGAACAGAAAGAGAGAGAGAACTTTAGTTTATTTTGGGTTGTTATAAAGGCATACCTGAGGCTGGGTAATTGATGATGTAAAATGGTTTATTTTAGCCCATGGTTCTTCAGGCTGTACAGGAGGCATGGTGCAGGCATCTGCTTCTGTTGAGGCCTCAGGAAGCTTCCCAACCATGTTGGAAGGTGAAGGAGGAGCCTGAATGTTACATGGCAAGAGAGAGAGCAAGAGAGAGAGAGAGGCGGGAAGTACCATGCTCTTTCAGACTACCAGATCTCGGGTGATGTCATAGACTGAGAACTCACTTATTATTGTGAGGATGGCATCAAGACACTTGTCAGGGATCTGTCCACATGACCCAAACACCTCCCACTAGGCCCCACATCCAATATGGGGGGTTACATTTCGACATGAGATTTGGAAGGGGCAAATATCCAAACCCTATCAGAGGGAGAAAGATAATTGTGTTGAGGTATGGGGAGAGGGCACAATGTGGACTTTGCCCATGAGTGTTTAAGGTTGCTAAGTGGAAGAAAATATAAATAGAAAGGAAAACCCAGAGGGGAACTGAGTACAAAAGAGGATGGAAATGTATTTTTTCACAGTGAGGTTAGAAGTCCGAGAACCAGGTGGCAGCTGGACCGGTTATTTCAGAGGCCTCTCTCCTTGGCTAGCAGATGGCTGTCTTCTCCCTGTGTCTTCACAAGGCCTTCTCTCTGTACCTGTGTCCTAATTTCCTATAAGGACACCAGTCATATTAGACTAGGGCCCACCCGTATGACCTTATGTTACCTTAATCATCTCTTTAAAGACCGTATCTCCAAATATAGTCACACTCTGAAAGCTGGATCCTAGGGCTTCAACATATGAATTTTAAGGGGGTGCACAGTTGATCCCATAACAATGTCAACCCAAATAACTAACAGAGAGTCTCTTTAAAAGAAAAAGATATTTATTTTGGAATAGAGTACTGTAATGGGAATCTGCATGCTATAGTAAACTTTGTGCATATTTGGGGAGGGAGAGAAAGCCAATGGATTTTAAAGGCAGAAATGAGGAAGATTACATAGTTGTTTTGAAATAATCATCCTTGGCTACTGAGAACAAAAACAAGGATGACACCAGCCCCAGGTTGACAGGCAGTTGCTGGACACATGTTCTTGCAGAAGTATTTTTTGTGTTAGGCTGCAATGGCCTTTGTGCAAGGTTGTGGTTTTGTAGAGTTCTTTTATTATCAGGCATACAAACCTGAGATCCCTCCCTTCATATCCTTTCGCAGCTCTATTTGTCAGGATTTCCATAACATCAGTGATTTCAGTTTCATTCTGACAACTTTCACAACAGGAATAAAAAAATCAGTCTGGGCACAGTGACTCCCAGCACTTTGGGAGGCTGAGGCGGGCAGAGTGCTTGAGGTCAGGAGTTTGAGACCAGCCTGGGCAACATGGAGAAACCCCATCTCTACTAAAAGTACAAAAAAATTAGCTGGGCATAGTGGCACATGACTGTAATCCCAGCTACCTGGGATGCTGAGGCACAAGAATGGCTAGGACCCAGTAGACAGAGGTTGCAGTGAGCCAAGATTGCTCTACTGCACTCTAGCTTGGGCAACAGAGCAAGATTGTCTCAAAAAAATAATAATAATAAAACAAATCAGTCCCCATGGGTGGCCACACACAACCAAGCTACCTTGGAAGGGATTGAGTAAAGAGAGCATTAGGAATGGAGGGACTTTCTGAGCGCCCAAGGAAGACATGTGAAAGATGAAGAAACAGAACAAGGAAGGTGAGGCAATTGGCTCAAGGTCACAGAACAAGTTAATTACAGAGCTAGAATAAGAGCCCGGGACTTAGACTTTTGACTCTCAAGGCTTTCCTGTTGCCCCACCCTGCCTCAGGAAGCTCAGCTCCAGAGCTAGACTGGGCCCCTGTGTCTCTCCTCTGACTCCAACCCTTGGCAATGAGTGGGCATCCGCTTGAGCTGGGCATCCGCTATTGCATGCCCCACATCACTGTTGTTATGTTACAGTCTCCAGAAGGACCGTCTTCCACACATCCCATCTGCAGGTATCTCTCCCCTCTCTATGGAGTTAGAGTCAATGTTGCAGGATCCATTTCGCTTTGTGCCCACTCTAGAGGGAGCCCACCACCAGTGTGTGCATTAACACAACAAGAAACACAGACACCTCCTTACTCTACATCTCCCACCCTGCTCCCACCTTCAAGGCACCCTTGGAACCTCCTCTTTCCACTCTCACAATGTCTGGTTTTGGTCACAGGATGTCACATCTCAGCTTACATTTTATACATTGCATCTTATTCCTATGTCTTTGCAATAAGTGCTTCCAGGGACTCTACCTCCCAGGAGATGAGGGACTGAGGCTGTACAATTGGTTCATCTTCTTGTGTCACTACTGGATCCTCTCTCTACCCAGTTATTGAGTGTAGCCACCAAACCAGTGTTGATTTGTGCAAAAGTACAGTTCCTACTTGTCCCAAACCAATATGACTTGTTTTCAGTTTTTTATATCTACTCTTCCATAATGCAGAGAACTGTGATACAGAGCTGGAACTGTAGAGTACTCAATAAGGAAACACAACGTAGTAAAGAAACAGAACATCCATTAATTATCTCCATTGTTTAAACTTACTCTCACTTTAGTAAGATAGTTTCTGGTATGTTGAGCAGCTGGCTGTCTGCAAATTCGTGTATGGTGGCTTATTATCGTAGATGGATGTGGAAGAAAAGAACAAACAAGCCTTGGTTTGCCAAGTTACAATGTGAAGAATGAGACCATCATTATCCTTTGGCTTCTGGGAAGGCATTATCTAACTCTGATAACTGGGTTTCTTCTGTTACATGAAGATAAGCTTTCTGTTTTATGCATATTGTTGTATATTCTGTTTGTAAAGAATGTAGCACAGTACTTAGCTCATAATAGGTGGTTAATAAATGGCAACAGAGACCACAAGGGGCTCTTTGTGAGGGATGCCCTTGGCAATTATGAAAGAGAACTTGCTTCCATTTCATCTCCTGTGGGGTCGTGGAGTGGCCAGTAGTGAAGAATTAGTACAAATCCATACACTCATTAAGAATGGATTAAATATTGATTAGGTATTAATTAAGTATAATGAGATGATGCAGAATCATTTTAAGACATCTGGGTATTTGGATGAGGAGAGGACCTGGAGGACAGAGTAAATTATATTACCTCTTCAATATTTAGATGTTTATGCCACTAAGTTTCATTGGTAGAGAGAACTGGTATCTTTCCACATATCATACTTTGTAAATGACCATTTAGGATATTATCATCAGAAGTGGAAGCGTAGTGGTATATGGTGACCTTTAAAAATGCAAAGCTAATTGAATCACTGGTAAACATTAATAGATTTAATTATATGAAAGTGACACAAGAGGGCAGCTGCGTACTATTTCTGAATACTTTTTGCTACAATATATTAGGCTAAAACCAAATATGTGAACGATCAGAATGATTGGAAATTGTCTTTAATGAATTTCTTATTCTATAGAGGTAGTATAATTACTTAATTAGAAACCAGTTAATTCTCCTTTGTAGCACTCAAATCCTTATTGATAATGGTTGACAAGCAATGATACAATAAACATCCTACTGATTAGCTATAGTGCCTGTGTTTACACAGAACTTCCTATTGATGTCTTGACAATCACTTGACTGAACTGCAAGTGAGATGGGGGAATGGATGGAAGTGTTTATCAATTGCTGGGTATTCTGGTCCCCATGGAGGTGTATATGTTAGAATGAATGGTGTATCCTGTGCATTAGAACTTAACAGTCTTGCAGAGTTGGACAAGAATGTCTCAGCTGCTGTTTTCACACATATTCTAGAAGCTGATTTACTTCTTGTCATCCTTTGAGATTCATGGCAGGTAAATAAATATCCTGTATGGTATTGGAGGTCTCCTGCCTGAGCTGCGGTGTGGGTTCTATGAGTGAATTATGTCCTAGGAGGCAGATAGGACCTGAGCACTAGGATAATATACTCTGAGCCAAGGGATTCAGAAGATGCGAGAATGTTCCAGGTCTGAATTGCGTTCAGTTTAAGGGTTTTGTGCAGTTGTGTGGAGGCAGCAGAAGAAAGAGTTCTGTCTCAGCACAGATCAGGAATGGAGCTGTTAAGGATCCCCCAGGCTTTAGCAAGAATGAAATTGGCTTTGGAAGGGTGTAAAACTTTATACAAATAGACCCTTACAAAACTTACCAAGCCTTCTTCAAAGTGAATGTGGATACGCAATTGTTACTTAATTCATTTCAATAAACATTTATTAATTATCTACACATGGCAAGGTACAGAGAAGCCATACCGGGTCTTCTGGTAGGAACTAATTGATCAAGGAGGAGGTGGCATGGGGTGGGGTATGGTTTAAGCACCTGGGTCTTGGGACTCAGTATATCCCCAGAGAGCAGGTGCTGTGGCCCCGGAGTCAGTCTGTACTGCAGTGCATGCTGGTTCATAGTGATACCAGTGGAGCCTGGGGTGAACTCCTGAGACACAGTTACAGAGACAAGTACAGTGGAACCGATACGGGGAGTAAGGGCAGACTAGGCTGGAAGGTGGAGCTGCAGAGACTCAAGAACTGGTGGTGGGACCATTCATCCAGAAACAACAGGGCAGGGCTGTGCGTCTTAAGGTCTTAACGTTATTCCAATCCAACCATTAGGGACAAGATAGGTGTTCAGCAGTATGAACTGGAGATTCCAAATGGGTGTGCTATTTAAAATAAGCATGGTGCAAGGGGATGTTCAACACGAGAAAACAAGCAGGTAACAGTCTAAAATGGAGAAACCAGGAAAAGCATCCAGATTGCACACACACGCACACACCCATGCCACCATGTATCTAGGCATCACTGCTGATCATACATCAGGAAGTGATTTGCCTTCTGTGCCACTTTGAAACAATTTCCCCTGTAAGGACAACACCACCCACAATTGTTGGTTCTCTCAAGAGTTTCAGATTCTAGCAAAGTAGAATAATCTATATAGTAAAGAAATTCTAGCCCAGGATGACTGGAAAAGGAGAGCAAGACTTAATTCCTGTCATGAGGTCATGTCTTTTGGTGCAGCCAAGTTTCATCCCCGGGTGCTGAAGGAATTTAGATGTGTAATCAGAGTCACCACTGGTAATCTTAAAAAAATTATGTACAACAAGAGAGGAACCAGAAGATTGATGGCAAGTAAATGTCACAAGTTTTGAAAAAGGGTGGACTCCAGAAACTACAGACTAATAAATTGTTCAAAGTTTGGTCAAATTATAGAATGAATTTTTAGCAGATGTCTTATGAGTACTTTGAAAGGAATGTGTTGACTGCTAGAAGACACGGAGTGACTAAGGACAAATCATGACAAACTAACCTGACCTCCTTTTGTGAAAGCATTTTACTGAATTGATAGATCACTGGGAGTGACATAGATCTACTGTTTCTTGGGTTTACAAAAACACTTGGCAATATCTGACATGCCAAAATATCACTATGAATGATATAGCAAAAATACACATAGTATAAAAGTACTCTTGGGTGGCTGGGACCTGTTTGAAAACTTTGTGCTTAGAATGGGAGAATAAAAAATTCAATTCACAATGACATTTGGTCAGTGCCCATGTTGCCTCTCACAAATTCTTACTAGAGTTCCTATGGAGACATAGGAAAGAAGAAAACCAAAAGTAGGACTGACCACATTAGTGCTAGTATCAGGGAGGAGTTTCTACTAAGTTCAAAGTTGACGAAAATGACAATCAGTACTCTAAAAATGATTGCTTACATGTAGGTAGAGAGACCCCTTACTTCCTCCCCCACTGTTTAGCCCTTGTTTAAGAAATACAGAATGTATTAAAACTAGGAAACTGGACATCTATCTCCTTTGCATGGAAACAAAGACTACAGCTACAAGATCAATAAAACTTAGGAATATTTCTAGCAAGAAATAAATGGACCTATATGAAGAAAATTATAAAACTTTGCTGAGAGATACAAAAGAATAGGAATAAATGGAGAACCCTATTCTTGAATGGAAAGATTAAATATTGTAAATATGTTAATCCTTCCATAATTAATTATACATTTAATGGATTATAAATTAGACCGTAAAATTTTTTTTGAACTTGACAAAGAGATTCGGAGTGCATTTAGCAAAATAAACAGTAAGAGTGATTAAGAAAATTGTTCTTGGTGTATTTCAGAAGTTAGCATATGATAAAGAAAATATAATAAACCAGTGGAAAATGGATGAATCAACAAAAAATTAGTTTTGGAAACTATTTTCCGTTTGAAAAAAATCAAGCTAGAGCCTTTAAAATTATCATGTACTAAAGTAAAAGTAAGAATAAAATGCAAAAATTTAAATAATCAAAAGGAAGAGAATATAGATGAATATTTGAAGATGTTGGAATGAGGAAGGATTGCTAAACATATTGTAATGGATAAACCTGCAATCCAGAAAAATAGCCATTGATTTGAGCATAAACTTTGATTTTAAAATTTTTTGAATTAAGCTTTTCATTTTGATGTAATTTTATATTTACATTCATTTGTAAGAAACAATACAGAGAGATTGTATGTACCATTCAGTTTCCTCCAATGAGAACATCTTGCAAAACTATAATAAAATACAATACAGAACATTTTCATCACCATAAGCATCCCTCATGTGGACCCTCCATGGCCACTCCAATTCTCTCCTGGCCTCCCTTCATCCTTAACCATTCATCTCTTCTCCATTTCTCTAGTTTTGTAATTTCAATGCTGATATATAAATGGAATTGTACAGTTAGTAAACATTGAGATTGGCCTTTTTCTCTAAGCATAATTCTCCGAAGGATCATCCAAATTGTTGCATGTATCAATAGTTCATTTCTTTGTCTTTTTTTTTTTAAAGGCTGAGTCTTGCTCTGTCACCCAGGCTGGAGTGCAGTGGTGAGATGGCCCATTGCAGCCTCAAACTCCTGGGCTCAAGCAATCCTCCTGCCTTGGACTCCCAAAGTGATGGGATTACAGGTGTGAACCGCTGGGCTCAGCCAGTTCATTTCTTTTTATTACTGAATAGTATTCCATGATGTCATCTACCACAGTTTATTCACCCACTGGAGGACATCTGGATTTCTTTCAAGTTTTAGCTGTTATATATAAGGCTGCTGTAATACTTAGGCATAGTTTTTTTGTGCAAACAAAAATTTTTCATTTCTCTTGGATACATTCCCAAGAGTATAATTGTTAGTCATATAATAGTTGCATATTTAATTTTTAAGACACTGCCAAATGATTTTCCAGATGTTTTCCATTTTACATTCCCACCAGCAATGTATGAATGACTTAATTTCTTTGCATCATCATTAGTATTTGGTGGTGTCACTACTTTTTAAAATTTTAGCCATTTTGGTAGACATGTAGTGATATCTAAGTTATTGTAGTTTAAATTTGCATTTGCCTGTGGACTAATGATATTGAATATGGTTTCATGAGCTCATTTGCCATTGTTTATCTTCTTTTGTGAAATGTCTATGCATGTCATTTGTTCACTGTCTAATTAGATTGTTTTTTAATTATTTTGAGTGTTTAAATATATATTTTATATATATGTATATTAATTACTAGTCCTTTGTTGGAGATGTAGTTTGCAAATATCGTCTTCCAGTTTATAGCTTATCTTTTAATCTTCTTAACAGATATTTCAAAGAACAAAAAGTTTAAAATTTTGATATCTAATTTGTCCATTTTTAATTTTGTGGATTGTGCTTTTCATATCAAGCCTAAGAATTCTGTCTAGCCTTAGATCTCAAAGATTTTCTCATATATTTTTCTAAATGTTTTATATTTCATCTTTTCTTTTTTACGTTTAAGTTGGTGATTTGTTTTGAGTTGATTTTTATATAAGGTGTGAGACTTAGGTCAAGGTTCATTGTTGTCCCTTCGCTCCGTTTGTTGAAAAGGCAATATTTCCTCTATTGCATTGCTTTTGCTCTTTTGTCAAATATCAGTTGGGCATATTCATGTGAGTCTATTTCTGGGTTCTTTATTCGGATCCATTTTTGTGTCCATCCTTCCACTAATACCAAATATAATCTTAATTACTGCAGCTATATAATAACCCTTGAAATTGAATAAACTGATCTCTCTCTCACTTGACTGTTTTTTTTTTTCAAAATTGTTTTAGCTCTTCTAGTTCCTCTGCTTTTCCATATATATTTTAGAATAATCTTGTCTATATATACAAAAAATCTTGCTGGGATCTTACTAGGAATTGCATATAACTTATATATGAATTTTTGGGAGAATTGACATCTTTGCTATGTTGAGTCTTCCAGTCCATGAACATAGGGTGCTCATTATTAGTACGTAGAAATACAAATGATTTCTGTATGTTTATTTTGTATCCTAAGAACTTTCTGAGCTTATTAGTCATATGTGTTTTTGTAGATTCCTTGGGATTGTCTGTGTACCCAATCATGTCATTTGCTAGTACAGATGATCTAAAATAATTCTTTTCAATCTGTTTGCATTTTGTTTCCATTTCTTGCTTTCTTGCTTTGGCTAGAACTTTCATCACTGTGTTGAATAAGAGCGGACACCCTTGCCTTGTTTTTTATTTTACAGTGAAAGCATTCAGTTTTTCTCCATTAAGTATATTAGCTTTAGGTTTTTTGTAGACGCTCCTTATCAAGTTGAACACCTTTTCCTTTGCTCTCATTTTTCTAAGTGTTTTAAATTATGAATGGATGTTGAATTGTGTCCATTGTTTCTTCCACACCTATTGATATGATTATATTTTTCTTCTTTAGCCTGTTAATATCATGAATTACATAGATTCTTACATGTTGAGCCATGCTTGGGTAAATCCCACTTGAACATGGTGTATAATTCTTAAATATTGCTGAATGCTATTTGCTCATATTTTAAAAAGACTTTTTGCACTTATATTCATGAGAGAGAATCTATAATTTTCCTTTGAAAACTTTTTTTTTCCGGTTTTGGTATCAATGTAATGTTAGCTTTATAAAATGATTTAGGAAGTGTTCTATCCTTTTTTTTTTCCTGGAATAGATAGTAAAGAAGTTGCTGTTATTTCTTTGCTCACACATTTGGTAGAAAAAGTTACTTATTTGAACACAAACTATTGTTCAAATCGAGAGTGACCTAGGAGGTAGACTAAAATGATGGATCACCATGGTCTATCATTGTACATGGCATGTTTACCATATTTATAGAGAACTTAAAGCTGAAAGTTAGTTTCTACTCTTGAGGAATCAATATGTTACATTTATCTCATCAGATTGAAGTGCTCTACCTCAGTATTGATTTCTCTCTGTTCCAGCCACAGTGCTTTGGCTGTTTCCATCTCAAAGCCTTTTTCCTTGCTCCATTTACCTGAATGCTCTTATTCCATATGTTTACATGGTTTCCCTTTAATATAATTTAGTTACATTCAAATATCACCTCCTTAGCAAAGCCTTCCCTGGCTATCCTGCCTAAGTATGTCTTGTCCCACTCCAACAGTCTTCTGCCTTATTCTGCTTTACTTTTCTTCCTAGCACTTGACAAAATCTCATGTTTTCTTTTTCTCCTTCTCTTTCTTCTTTTCTTTATCCCTTTTTCCCATCCATCCAGTCATCTATCAATTTTTTTCCTTAAGAATGTAATCTCGGTGAATGCAGGGACATAGTCTGTCTTGTTCACAGTTTTATTTCTAGCGCTTAGAGCACAGTAGATGCTCAATAAATATTTTGAACAGATGAATGGATACATGCAGTATTCCTCATTTCAGTCACAATTAATTAACTATAAAAATTAGGGCCGAGCACAGTGGCTCACACCTGTAATCCCAGCACTTTGGGAGGCCAAGGCAGGTGGACCACGAGGTCAAGAGATAGAGACCATCCTGGCCAACATGGTGAAACACTGTCTCTACTAAAAATACAAAAATTAGCTGGGCGTGGTGACATGCACCTGTAGTCCCAGCTACTCTGGAGGCTGAGGCAGAAGAATCGCTTGAACCCGGGAGGTAGAGGTTGCAGTGAGCAGAGACTGTGCCACTTCACTCCAGAATGAGTGACAGAGCGAGACTCCATCTCTAACAAACAAAAAACAAACAAGCAAAATTAGAAGGGTTATAAATTGAACTGTTTTCTTTTTCCTTCAGCAAACATCTATTTGCCAGATGTTGGAGATGCCATTGTGAGGAAAATGGTACTTTCTTCAGGAAGCTTACAGATTAGCAGAAGAAATAGAAATACATTATATTAAAATATATGTATAGTTATAAATTGTGTTCAGAATCCAGAAAAATAAGGTGCTTTGAAAGCATATACTAGAAGGACTTGATATAGTCTGAGGTGTCAAAGAGGTCTTTCTTGAGTCAAAATCTGAAATGTGAAGGACACAAAGATATCAGGAAAAGAGACTCAGGACAGAGGGAACAGCATCAGAGAGGCCCCAAGATAGAAGGAACCACGGAGTGTCTACAGAAATCCAGAGTAGTGTGGAGAAGGAGGAGAAGAATCATACGACAGGAAACCGATGAGGTGGGTAGGGCCCGACTTGCAAGCCCTGAAAGCTGCATTAATGGTGTTGATTGATCTTTATCTAAACAGTCATGTGCAGTTATTATGGGTGTTTAAGCAATGAAGTAAAATTTTTAGACTTGAGTTTTTAAAAGCCCACTCTTTCTGCTGTGTGGAGGATGAACTGGAGTAGGACAAGATGAGAATAGGGAATCTAATTGATAGGCAATGACAATAATTAGATGATGTAGTTTGTACCAGCCTAGTGGTAGTATAAAGAGAATCATGAGAGAAAGGTGACATACTTTAGTTCACCATATGAAAGCCAAGGATATAATACAACGAACAGAATGTATTTATAGAAGGGTACTTCTTACTCTTAGTATGGACAATAGAGGAAATAAAACAGTTGTTGGTATAAAAAGATTTCAATTTAGGTAGTGGCTATAGCACATTCTAGCTGTATGACCTACAGCAACTTACTGAAACATTTCGGACTTGGTTTCTTCATTTGTTTGATGAGTTTATTAATGCCTGCTTCATGGAGTTGTAACTTGTGACTGACCCTGCTGATTGTCTCTAAATACCTTTTCTCCCCTTCCTCCAGAGTAAGATAAAGTTTAGTTGAGCTGATGACCATAAAACAAAAGAATACATTTCCTGGGCTCTTTGCAGTTAGGTGTGATACTGTGACAAAGTTCTGAACAATAGGATATGAGAGAAGAGTTGTGTGACAGCGACTGAGAACCTTCCTTGAGAGACAGCTGGCAACTTCTCTTTCTTCCTCTCTTTTTTCTTGTCTTTCTCAAAATTGCCACCTGGAAGGAAAATGCTTCTTCAGATTATGAGGGCAAGGGCCATCTGATAAAGATGGCAGAATAGTGAGCTGAAAGGGGCTTGATCTCTAAGGAATCCAAGAAACAGCCCGGGCCTGAATACTGTTTTTCTGTTTTCTCATTGCTTGCCCTTTTTACAAGAGAGATAAATCAACACAGAAAGACTTTCTCTGTTATGGACAGCCTAACCTTGTCTTCTTAGTTGTTACATGACAATTAAAAGATGTTATATGAAATGTCCAGCACATAGCTAAACGTGTTTTCTCCCATGCCTCTTCCATTAAAAAAAGAAAGAAAAGAAACGCCCTTAAAATTCTGCCCTCCAGTAATAGAGAATTAAATTGCATTCTCAAATTTTTGTTTTTCTTAGCAGAGACTCTGACACTCTGGAATATGCCCAGGAGAAAATGCTCAAGTTGGTGAGCAATCTTGGATCCACATTATACAAGGAACAGTTAGTTACAGGAGATGTGTTACATTTGCTATTTTAAAAATGTGTTCCTTTGACTTGGGCTTGGGAGTCTCAGGCAAGTGGAATCTATCTTGTAATTCCATCTACTCTGATGGGATTGGAACTGAATTCTCAACAGCACTGCTGGGGCCCAGAGCTGATGCTTTGACCAAAGAAATCTGGGGAGTTGAAGAGGGAGTTGGGGTGTCTGGGCATTTGTCTTGCACATCCACAGATTCAGCTGGGAGTGAGGTGCCGAGAAGATTATTAAGTAGCTGGGCTCTGTCTATTTGTTAAAACTGCAAGGGCTCTCAAACCAGCACAGAGACCAGTGGTTTTTACCGTGTCCACCAGGAAGTGGTGGTGGGTCAGCAAAGCTGTTTCAAGAGTTTCCAAGGAGAGTCTTGAGTAGGTGCAGCAGGATAGATATCTGTTGCTTCTGTGAGGTTCTAGACAATATAGCTTTTGAAAAAGCCTAAGTGACTTAGAAAATCTTGAAAAACTAAATGTAGAAAGCCATTTTGAAGACTTTAAACCTGAAACAGAGACTAAGAGTAAAGCAACACTGATTCCGATTCAACCTGTTCAGTTGCAGGCTCTCAAATGTGCCAAATCTGTTAAAATTTCCTTCAGACTTCAACTGGCCAACTTCAGAAAGGAGAGCTATGAACACACTTTAAGTAAAGATGCTAAAAGCTCAAATAGAAGAGTCCTTCTGAAGGAAGTACAGAAACTGCATTCCTAAGTGCATGTATATGTCCACATTAAAGGAAATGATATGGTAGGGAACAAGTCGTTTAATGTGTCTGTGTTGATGGTGGGAGTAATGCTTAGCAGAAAAATTGGGACAGTAGAAAGAAGACTCATAAAGAATAATTTTCAAATCAATGGCTTCTAGATTTATTCTTATCCAAGTGGCAGGTATCCTTGGGAAACACTGACCTTATAACTTTGCAGGGGCTTTCATGTTTCATGGTTGGCCTAATGTAGGTGCAACATCAGCCTGTGCTGTTTCTAGGGAAGTTGTTTTCCTTCTGTTCCTCACACAACATTGACTTGCTCCTTGTGATCCAGGTATTCTAAGTGACCTGAAGTTATTAGAAGAAGACAAACTCTTCCGTCTCTTCATGCTTTCCATTTGGAATGACATCCCTTCCCCACTTAGCATCCTGTGAACACACATATCACTGTAAGCCTGCTTGTGTCTTCTTGGTTGTTTTCCCTACTAGGTTATGACAGATTTCAACTGGTATGTTGTCAGTTCTTTATCCCAGTAATAGCCTGGCACCCAGAAGGTGCTTAAAAATGTTTGTACATTCATTTGACAGATAACATTATGCTTTTATCTTGTACAACATGATTTTTGAAATATATATATACACTGTTAACGCTAGTGAATTAACAAATGCATTACTTCTATAGTTATTTTTGTGGTGATAGCACATAACATTGACTATTACATAACATTAACTATAGTCATCCTGCTGTTCAACAGATCTCTTGAAATGTACTCCAGACTATAATTATGTATCCTTTGACCAACATCTCCCCATCTCCACCTCCCCCTAACCACCCCATACCCACCATCGTATCAACTCGTTTAGATTCTGCATACGAGTGAGAACATGTAGTATTTGTCTTTCTATGTCTGACTTATTTTACTTAATTATATTCACCAGATTCATCCCTGTTACTGCAAATGGCAGGATTTTATTCTTTTTTATGGGTGAATAGTATTCCATTATGTATCTATATATTCATATATATATATATGTAGATATAGATCACATTTTCTTTATCCATTCATCCACTGATGGACACTTAGGTTGGTTCCGTATCTTGACTATTGTGAATAGTGCTACAAAAACATATGGGAGTGAAAATGTCTCTTCAACATATTGGTTTCATTTCCTTTGGATATATACCCAGTAGTGGGATTGCTTAGATCATATGGTAGTTCTTTTAAAATTTTTTTTTGGGAAACTCCATACTTTTTTCCATAGTGGTTGTACTAATTAACATTCCCAACAACAGTATAAAAGGATCTGCTTTTCCCCACATTTTTGCCAACACATTGTCTTTTGTCTTTTTGATTATATCCTTCTAACTGTGGTGAGATATTTTATTGTGGTTTTGATTTGCATTTCCCTGATGATTAGTGATGTTGAGTATTATTTTGTATACCTGTTGCCCATTTGTATGTCTTCTTCAGAGAAATGTCCATGCAGATCTTTTGCCCATTTCTTTTTTTTTTTTTTTTGAGTTATTTGAATTATTTCCCTGTTTTGGATATTAACCCCTTGTTGGATGTGTAGTTTGCAAATATTTTCTCCCATTCTGTGGGTTGTCTCTTCACTCTGTTGATTGTTTCCTGTGATGTGCAGATGCTTTTTAGTTCGATGTAATTCTATTTGTCTATCACCGCTTTTGTTGTCTATACTTTACAGGGCTTTCCATAAAATCCTTGCCTACACCAATGTCATGAAGCACTTTCCCTATGTTTTCTTCTAATTGTTTCACAGTTTTGGTCTTACATTTAAGTCTCTGTCAATTTTGAGTTGATTTTTGTATGTGGTGAGAGATAAGGGTCTAATTTCATTTTTATGTGCATGGATATCCAGTTTTCCTGACCCCATTTATTGAAGAAACTGTCCTTTTCTCAAGATGTGTTTTTGATACATATGTTGAAAATCAGTTGACTGTAAATTCATAGATTTATTTCTAGGCTTTGTATTCTGTTTCATTAGCCTATATGGCTGTTTTTATTCCAATACCATGCTGTTTTGGTTACTGTATTGTGAAGTCAGTTGTATAATGCCTCTAGCTTTGTTCTTTTTGATCAAGATTGCTTTGACTATTCAGAGTCTTTTATTGTTCTATACAAATTTCAGATGGTTTTTCAACATAGAAAAATGTCTACTAATGTTTTTGAAATAAAAAATGTCTGTGGGGAGGAGCCAAGATGGCCGAATAGGAACAGCTCCGGTCTACAGCTCCCAGCGTGAGCGACGCAGAAGACGGGTGATTTCTGCATTTCCATCTGAGGTACCGGGTTCATCTCACTAGGGAGTGCCAGACAGTGGGCGCAGGCCAGTGTGTGCGCGCACCGTGCGCGAGCCGAAGCAGGGCGAGGCATTCCCTCACCTGGGAAGCGCAAGGGGTCAGGGAGTTCCCTTTCCGAGTCAAAGAAAGGGGTGACGGATGCACCTGGAAAATCGGGTCACTCCCACCCGAATATTGCGCTTTTCAGACCGGCTTAAAAAACGGCGCACCAGGAGACTATATCCCACACCTGGCTCAGAGGGTCCTATGCCCACGGAATCTCGCTGATTGCTGGCACAGCAGTCTGAGATCAAACTGCAAGGCGGCAACGAGGCTGGGGGAGGGGCGCCCGCCATTGCCCAGGCTTGCTTAGGTAAATAAAGCAGCCGGGAAGCTCGAACTGGGTGGAGCCCACCATAGCTCAAGGAGGCCTGCCTGCCTCTGTAGGCTCCACCTCTGGGGGCAGGGCACAGACAAACAAAAAGACAGCAGTAACCTCTGCAGACTTAAGTGTCCCTGTCTGACAGCTTTGAAGAGAGCAGTGGTTCTCCCAGCATGCAGCTGGAGACCTGAGAACGGGCAGACTGCCTCCTCAAGTGGGTCCCTGACCCCTGACCCCCGAGCAGCCTAACTGGGAGGCACCCCCCAGCAGGGGCACACTGACACCTCACACGGCAGGGTATTCCAACAGACCTGCAGCTGAGGGTCCTGTCTGTTAGAAGGAAAACTAACAACCAGAAAGGACATCTACACCGAAAACCCATCTGTACATCACCATCATCAAAGACCAAAAGTAGATAAAACCACAAAGATGGGGAAAAAACAGAACAGAAAAACTGGAAACTCTAAAACGCAGAGCGCCTCTCCTCCTCCAAAGGAACGCAGTTCCTCACCAGCAACGGAACAAAGCTGGATGGAGAATGATTTTGACGAGCTGAGAGAAGAAGGCTTCAGACGATCAAATTACTGTGAGCTATGGGAGGACATTCAAACCAAAGGCAAAGAAGTTGAAAACTTTGAAAAAAATTTAGAAGAATGTATAACTAGAATAACCAATACAGAGAAGTGCTTAAAGGAGCTGATGGAGCTGAAAACCAAGGCTCGAGAACTACGTGAAGAATGCAGAAGCCTCAGGAGCCGATGCGATCAACTGGAAGAAAGGGTATCAGCAATGGAAGATGAAATGAATGAAATGAAGCGAGAAGGGAAGTTTAGAGAAAAAAGAATAAAAAGAAATGAGAAAAGCCTCCAAGAAATATGGGACTATGTGAAAAGACCAAATCTACGTCTGATTGGTGTACCTGAAAGTGATGTGGAGAATGGAACCAAGTTGGAAAACACTCTGCAGGATATTATCCAGGAGAACTTCCCCAATCTAGCAAGGCAGGCCAACGTTCAGATTCAGGAAATACAGAGAACGCCACAAAGATACTCCTCGAGAAGAGCAACTCCAAGACACATAATTGTCAGATTCACCAAAGTTGAAATGAAGGAAAAAATGTTAAGGGCAGCCAGAGAGAAAGGTCAGGTTACCCTCAAAGGAAAGCCCATCAGACTAACAGCGGATCTCTCGGCAGAAACCCTACAAGCCAGAAGAGAGTGGGGGCCAATATTCAACATTCTTAAAGAAAAGAATTTTCAAACCAGAATTTCATATCCAGCCAAACTAAGCTTCATAAGTGAAGGAGAAATAAAATACTTTATAGACAAGCAAATGCTGAGAGATTTTGTCACCACCAGGCCTGCCCTAAAAGAGCTCCTGAAGGAAGTGCTAAACATGGAAAGGAACAACCGGTACCAGCCGCTGCAAAATCATGCCAAAATGTAAAGACCATCGAGACTAGGAAGAAACTGCATCAACTAACGAGCAAAACCACCAGCTAACATCATAATGACAGGATCAAATTCACACATAACAATATTAACTTTAAATATAAATGGACTAAATTCTGCAATTAAAAGACACAGACTGGCAAGTTGGATAAAGAGTCAAGACCCATCAGTGTGCTGTATTCAGGAAACCCATCTCACGTGCAGAGACACACATAGGCTCGAAATAAAAGGATGGAGGAAGATCTACCAAGCAAATGGAAAAAAAAAAAAGGCAGGGGTTGCAATCCTAGTCTCTGATAAAACAGACTTTAAACCAACAAAGATCAAAAGAGACAAAGAAGGCCATTACGTCATGGTAAAGGGATCAATTCAACAAGAGGAGCTAACTATCCTAAATATTTATGCACCCAATACAGGAGCACCCCGATTCATAAAGCAAGTCCTGAGTGACCTACAAAGAGACTTAGACTCCCACACATTAATAATGGGAGTCTTTAACATCCCACTGTCAACATTAGACAGATCAACGAGACAGAAAGTCAACAAGGATACCCAGGAATTGAACTCAGCTCTGCACCAAGCGGACTTAATAGACATCTACAGAACTCTCCACCCCAAATCAACAGAATATACATTTTTTTCAGCACCACACCACACCTATTCCAAAATTGACCACATAGTTGGAAGTAAAGCTCTCCTCAGCAAATGTAAAAGAACAGAAATTATAACAAACTATCTCTCAGACCACAGTGCAATCAAACTAGAACTCAGGATTAAGAATCTCACTCAAAGCCGCTCAACTACATGGAAACTGAACAATCTGCTCCTGAATGACTACTGGGTACATAACGAAATGAAGGCAGAAATAAAGATGTTCTTTGAAACCAACGAGAACAAAGACACCACATACCAGAATCTCTGGGACGCATTCAAAGCAGTGTGTAGAGGGAAATTTATAGCACTAAATGCCTACAAGAGAAAGCAGGAAAGATCCAAAATTGACACCCTAACATCACAATTAAAAGAACTAGAAAAGCAAGAGCAAACACATTCAAAAGCTAGCAGAAGGCAAGAAATAACTAAAATCAGAGCAGAACTGAAGAAAATAGAGACACAAAAAACACTTCAAAAAATCAATGAATCCAGGAGCTGGTTTTTGGAAAGGATCAACAAAATTGATAGACCGCTAGCAAGACTAATAAAGAAAAAAAGAGAGAAGAATCAAATAGACACAATAAAAAATGGTAAAGGGGATATCACCACCGATCCCACAGAAATACAAACTACCATCAGAGAATACTACAAACACCTCTATGCAAATAAACTAGAAAATCTAGAAGAAATGGATACATTCCTCGACACATACACTCTCCCAAGACTAAACCAGGAAGAAGTTGAATCTCTGAATAGACCAATAACAGGCTCTGAAATTGTGGCAATAATCAATAGTTTACCAACCAAAAAGAGTCCAGGACCAGATGGATTCACAGCCGAATTCTACCAGAGGTACAAGGAGGAACTGGTACCATTCCTTCTGAAACTATTCCAATCAATAGAAAAAGAGGGAATCCTCCCTAACTCATTTTATGAGGCCAGCATCATTCTGATACCAAAGCCGGGCAGAGACACAACCAAAAAAGAGAATTTTAGACCAATATCCTTGATGAACATTGATGCAAAAATCCTCAATAAAATACTGGCAAACCGAATCCAGCAGCACATCAAAAAGCTTATCCACCATGATCAAGTGGGCTTCATCCCTGGGATGCAAGGCTGGTTCAATATACGCAAATCAATAAATGTAATCCAGCATATAAACAGAGCCAAAGACAAAAACCACATGATTATCTCAATAGATGCAGAAAAAGCCTTTGACAAAATTCAACAACCCTTCATGCTAAAAACTCTCAATAAATTAGGTATTGATGGGACGTATTTCAAAATAATAAGAGCTATCTATGACAAACCCACAGCCAATATCATACTGAATGGGCAAAAACTGGAAGCATTCCCTTTGAAAACTGGCAGAAGACAGGGATGCCCTCACCGCTCCTATTCAACATAGTGTTGGAAGTTCTGGCCAGGGCAATCAGGCAGGAGAAGGAAATAAAGGGTATTCAATTAGGAAAAGAGGAAGTCAAATTGTCCCTGTTTGCAGACGACATGATTGTTTATCTAGAAAACCCCATCATCTCAGCCCAAAATCTCCTTAAGCTGATAAGCAACTTCAGCAAAGTCTCAGGATACAAAATCAATGTACAAAAATCACAAGCATTCTTATACACCAACAACAGACAAACAGAGAGCCAAATCACGAGTGAAGTCCCATTCACAATTGCTTCAAAGAGAATAAAATACCTAGGAATCCAACTTACAAGGGATGTGAAGGACCTCTTCAAGGAGAACTACAAACCACTGCTCAAGGAAATAAAAGAGGATGCAAACAAATGGAAGAACATTCCATGCTCATGGGTAGGAAGAATCAATATCGTGAAAATGGCCATACTGCCCAAGGTAATTTACAGATTCAATGCCATCCCCATCAAGCTACCAATGACTTTCTTCACAGAATTGGAAAAAACTACTTTAAAGTTCATATGGAACCAAAAAAGAGCCCGCATCGCCAAGTCAATCCTAAGCCAAAAGAACAAAGCTGGAGGCATCACACTACCTGACTTCAAACTATACTACAAGGCTACAGTAACCAAAACAGCATGGTACTGGTACCAAAACAGAGATATAGATCAATGGAACAGAACAGAGCCCTCAGAAATAATGCCACATATCTACAACTATCTGATCTTTGACAAACCTGAGAAAAACAAGCAATGGGGAAAGGACTCCCTATTTAATAAATGGTGCTGGGAAAACTGGCTAGCCATATGTAGAAAGCTGAAACTGGATCCCTTCCTTACACCTTATACAAAAATCAATTCAAGATGGATTAAAGATTTAAACGTTAGACCTAAAACCATAAAAACCCTAGAAGAAAACCTAGGCATTACCATTCAGGACATAGGCGTGGGCAAGGACTTCATGTCCAAAACGCCAAAAGCAATGGCAACAAAAGCCAAAATTGACAAATGGGATCTAATTAAACTAAAGAACTTCTGCACAGCAAAAGAAACTACCATCAGAGTGAACAGGCAACCTACAACATGGGAGAAAATTTTGCAACCTACTCATCTGACAAAGAGCTAATATCCAGAATCTACAATGAACTCAAACAAACTTACAAGAAAAAAACAAACAACCCCATCAAAAAGTGGGCGAAGGACATGAACAGACACTTCTCAAAAGAAGACATTTATGCAGCCAAAAAACACATGAAAAAATGCTCATCATCACTGGCCATCAGAGAAATGCAAATCAAAACCACTATGAGATATCATCTCACACCAGTTAGAATGGCAATCATTAAAAAGTCAGGAAACAACAGGTGCTGGAGAGGATGTGGAGAAATAGGAACACTTTTACACTGTTGGTGGGACTGTAAACTAGTTCAACCATTGTGGAAGTCAGTGTGGCGATTCCTCAGGGATCTAGAACTAGAAATACCATTTGACCCAGCCATCCCATTACTGGGTATATACCCAAATGACTATAAATCATGCTGCTATAAAGACACATGCACACGTATGTTTATTGCGGCATTATTCACGATAGCAAAGACTTGGAACCAACCCAAAAGTCCAACAATGATAGACTGGATTAAGAAAATGTGGCACATATACACCATGGAATACTATGCAGCCATAAAAAATGATGAGTTCATGTCCTTTGTAGGGACATGGATGAAATTGGAAACCATCATTCTCAGTAAACTATCGCAAGAACAAAAAACCAAACACCTCATATTCTCACTCATAGGTGGGAATTGAACAATGAGATCACATGGACACTGGAAGGGGAATATCACACTCTGGGGACTGTGGTGGGGTCGGGGGAGGGGGGAGGGATAGCATTGGGAGATATACCTAATGCTAGATGACACGTTAGTGGGTGCAGCGCACCAGCATGGCACATGTATACATATGTAACTAACCTGCACAATGTGCACATGTACCCTAAAACTTAAAGTATAATTTAAAAAAAAAATTAAAAAAAAAAATAAATAAATAAATAAATAAATACCTTGATTTCTATATGTAAAAAAAAAAAAATGTCTGTGAAGAATGCCATTGCTATTTTGGTAAAGATTGGATTAAATCTGTAGATCTCTTTGGGAAGTATAAACATTTTAAGAATATTAATTCTTTCAAACTGTCATTATGGGATATTTTTCCATTTATTTTGGTCTTCTTCAATTTTTCATTAATGTTTTATAGTTTTCATTGTAGAGATATTTTACCTTCTTGGTTAAATTTATTCCTAGGCTGGTTTTTTTGGTGGCTACTGTAAATGGTATTTTTTCTTGATTTCTTTTTCAGATAGTTTGCTATTAATATATAGAAATGCTACTGATTTTTTTTTTTTTTTTTTGAGACAAGATTTCACTTCTGTCACCCAGACTGGAGTGCAGTGGCATGATCTCAGCTCACTGCAACCTCTGCCTCCCTGGGCCCAGGTGATTCTCTTGCCTCATTCTCCCCAGTAGATGGGACTATGGTGTGTGCCACAGCACCTGGCTAATTTTTGTATGTTTTGTAGAGATGGGGTTTCATCATGTTACCCAGGCTGTTCTCATACTCCTAGCCTCAACTGATCTGCCTGCCTCAGCCTCCTAAAGTGCTGGTATTACAGGTGTGAGCCACCATGCCTTGCCAGATTTTTGTATGTTCATTTTACATCTTGTAACTTTACTGAATTTATTAGTTCAAATAGTTTTTTTGATGGAATCTTTAGAGTTTTCTGTTAATGGGATCGTATTTTCTGTGAACAGGGACAATTTAACTTCCTTCTTTCCAATTTGAATGCCTTTGATTTCTTTCTCTTGTTCTGGCTAGAACTTCCAGTATTATATTGAGTAGAAGTGGTAAAAGTGGGCAGCTTCATCTTGTTCCAGACCTTAGGAGAAAAGCTTTCAACTTTTCCCTGTTCAATATCATGTTAGCTGTGGGTTTGCCATACATTGCCTTTATTGTGTTGAAGTATGTTTCTTCTTTGAGAATATTTAGCATGAAGTGAAGTTGAATTTTCTCAAATCCTCTTCTTGCATCTATTGAAATAATTATGTGATTTTTGCCTTTCATTCTGTTAATGTGGTGTATCATATTTATTGATTTCCATATGTTGAACCATCCTTGCATTCCTGGGATGAATCCCATTTAATCATGGTGAATGATTTTTTAAAAATATGCTATTGAATTTGCTTTGCTAGTATTTTGTTGAGGATTTTTGCATTTATGTTCATCAGAGATATTGGCCTAAAATTTTCTTTTTGGTTGTTGTGTCCTTGTCTGGTTTTGATATCAGGGTAATCCTCTCCTTGTTGAATTAGTTTGGAAGAATTCTTTTGTCTTTAATTTTTTGAGAATAGTCGATAAAAATTGGTATTAGTTTTTCTTTAAGTGTTGCCTAGAATTTTCAGTAGTGAAGTCATTAGGTCCTGGGCTTTTCTTTGATAGGATATCTTTAATTACTCATTCGATCTTTTTCTTTGGTTGGATTTTCTATTTCTTCATAATTCAGTCTTTGTAGTTGCATATGTCCAGGAATTTATCCATTTCTTCCAGCTTTTCCAATTTGTTGACATATAATTGTTCATAATTGTTTCTTATGATAGATCCTTTGTATTCCTATGGTACCAGTTGCAATGGTTCCCTTTTCATCTCTGATTTTGAGTCTTCTATCTCTTTTTTAAAAGTTTCTTGATTGATTGAGTTATTCCTCTAGCCCACCAGCAAGTTTCATAAGGCTTGAGTATTCTTTACCCTCAAAGACTTTTTCTCACTGTGAGGGACACTAGTCTTAATCTGGCAAAAGTACCTGGAGCTATTCTGAATGCTCCAGATGGTCTCCAGTTAGTTAGGGTATGATTGCTTTGTCAGAACAGGAGGACTTGCAGATATACAGCCAAGTTTAGAGAAAGTATCCAGGGAAGTGGGGCCAGATACTTGGGTCCTGGTTTTGGTTTTGTTCCCACTTACTGTATGACTTTGAATAAGCTACATAACCTTTCTGTGCTTTACTTTCCAGACTCTGGTCTACCCCACCCTTATAATAAATCTCATAGTAAGTCAATGAAGCCATGTTCAAGTATCTGTGTCAAATATTATGGTAGGAAATATGATAGATAAGATAAACATATTTTAAGTGTTAAGGGGGATGTGGTTTTTCTCTGGCCCTATGTAGAGGAAATTTCATTTGGAAGAACTCATTAGAGAACCACTTCTGGCCTCTCCTTGCTGCCCCATGTACTCTGCAGGGCAGAGAAGAGATTGCTGTCACTGGGAGAAGGGACAGGACATGCTCAGGCCAGTCCATTCCTTTCTGAGCAAGTCTTACTGCAGGGGCATGAATTCTGGTGTGCCCTTCTGTATCCTACTCCTGTCTCCACCCCACAGAAGCTGTCTTGTGGAAGAGGCCTGTGGTAGTGCTGCCCATGAGTGGGTGGGTACATTGGCCTGATTGAAGGGCAAAGGGAAGCCTTTTTGGTTACTGCTGGATAACAACACTGTTCAATTGCCTGCACCAATAATAAAGCCAGTATTTGATCAGAATCTGTTTGACTTCTCTTATTTCTCAACAGGAAGGGAAGAGAGAAATGTTATGCATAGATACTCTAAAACTTCAACAAAAGGATGTGTCACAGTTATAAAGCAAGCTTAGTAAGGAAATGTGCTATGGTCAAAACCATGTTAGGTTGGAATGACTGCGACCTCATTCCCAGTCCAACCTCTGATGCTCACTGGCTTTGCTGTCTTAACCGAGTCCAGTGGTTTTCCTGGCCCTCAGTTTCTTCAACTTTAAAATGCAGATGTTGGACTAGTTGATCTCTCATGTTTTTTAGCTCTAAGAGCTTATGAATCATGCCTGTAATCCAACCTAAGAAGGTTCCAAATGGACTTGGAATTTTTCATCCCTTGGCAACTCACTGAGACTCTTAGTCAACTGTTTAAAATCCATCTACTCTTTCTTCCTGAGTAAGAATCTCAGCTTTTACTGCCTGGTAACAAAGATTTATTCTTGGTTCCTCCTGAAGCTGGAACTCTTTCTTCTCTGTCCCACATGAAATGTGAAAATACTGGTTGAAGCCCCAGCAGCCATCATGAACCTCAAAATCATATTAACAATGGAAGTCATATACAAAAGTTGGTAGAAAGATCAAAGTTACCTAGGTTGTTGATGTGATGGTTGAGCTGCCACCCATGCCCTAAATTGCTTGCCTCCAGATTTTTTTTATGTAAAAAAAATTTAAAAAGTCAACATTATTTCTTGGTTTTGTTGGCAGTAGTTGAGTTACATTTTTAAATGATACAACTAACTTGGGTTTCTCAGAAATGATAAATCCTTCAACAGGATGAAGAGTGTAAACCTGAAGAATGGTATAGCACACGTAACTCATCTTTAGATCACAAAGGTTTAATTCATATCCAGAAATATCTTTTTTGAAAGGTGAAGGAAAATGAACTTCTCCTTCACTTTGGAGCACTAGTGACAGTGTAGAAACTGAAGATTCTCAGTTTCTATTGACCCCAGACATCAGTTAAATATTTCAACAACCCCAATCTTAGTTTTTTTTAGGCATCTGTAATGGTTAACAACTGTGGATCTGAACAAAACCTGTTGGCCAAAAAATTCTTTCAGGCTGTGAAAATGTGCTAGTTCCTGCCAAACTTAAAATAACACTTAGTCATTTTCAATGAGCACTATAAGGCTTTGCAGTCAGGACTTCATGTGTTTTACACCAATATGAAGTAATTAGTGATAGGAAAATAGATTCTGTATTCAGCTAGACCAAGCAAGTGACATTCCTTTTGAAGCATCTCAAGACAACTTTACCAAGCTCCAGGATGTAATAATGATAACACTTGCCCTGAAGAGTTCTGCAAATGTGTCTTCCACATTGCTCTCAATGGGAACTGTGGCATGGTGGAAAGGCATTTGGACTTGGAATTGGGAGTCCTGGATTGGAACTTCAGTTTTTCCAAGTAGCTCTACGACTCTGGGCAAGTGATTTAGCCTTCCTGAGCCTCTGTTTCCTTAACTTTACAACTGGGATATTAATATTTATCTCACAAAGCTAAAATAAGGTTTAAATATCTATATATAGGTAAAACACCTGGCATAGGGTCTAATGAAGAGGACATGCTATTTAATGAACATTATATTGAAACTGACATTTAAGCCACCAGACTGGTTATCTGGTATCGGGGATTTCATCGTAGAGCATTTGAAGTGTTGATTAGATACATTAAAGTGCAGTCAGGCTTCACCAAACGCTCAATGTTCAAATAAATTAAACTCCCTTGCTGTTTGTAAGTAAAGGAAGTACCTGAGGGCATTTGGGTGATGTGACCCAGTAAGGCTCTAGGGATAACTTGCTGACAGCTCCAATTTGGGTGTGTGTGGGCAATAGTGTGAAGGACAGAATTGGAATTAAATATAAAGTATGACAAGATTAATAAGGAGCAAGAAAGTGTAATTCGTTTAGGGAGGAAAAGCCAGAGCCCAAGTCGCCCAACATGGGAGGGCTGGCTCAGTGCAAACTAGTAGGGGAGAAGTCAGGAAGAAGTAGTTATTGATAGCAGTCGCTCAGCGGGATGTGCATTAGTGCAGTCGGCCAGCGCAGCAGCAGGAAGTTCTCTGAAGCAGACCCCCTGCTTTGCAGCACAGGTAACAGCACTGCTTCTTGTTCCTACACATAAATTTTTATGGAGTGCATGAAGAAGAAGTTCCAGATGAAAACAAAAGCTCCGCAGGAATATTAAGCCCTTATATCACAGACTGCTCCTACCTGGGCACTCTTGTTTGATCCTCACGACCAGCTGTCCCCAGCCTTTTTGGCACCAGAGACTGGTTTTGTGAAACACAATTTTTCCATCGACTGGGGCATGGGGAGGGGAAATGGTTTTGGGATGAATGTATTCCACCTCTGATAATTAGGGATTAGATTCTCATAAGGAGCGCGCAACCTAGATCTCTTGCATGCACAGTTCACAATACAGTTTGTGCTCCTATGAGTATCTAATGCTGCTGCTGCTCTGACAGGAGGTGGAGCTCAGGCGGGAATACTCGCTAGCCTGTCACTTACCTCGTACTGTGCAGCCCGGTTCCCTAACAGGCCATGGACTGGTATGGGTCCCTGTCCTGGAGCATGGGGACCCCTGCTCAAGACAACTCTTGTATGCAGCTTGAGAAGGTAGTTGCCACCTTTTTAAGGGTGGGTAAATTGAGATATAGAGAAGGTAAATGGTGGACCATTTGAAGCTGAGACTAGAACCCAGTGGGAACTTGAGTGTCTTACGGAATTAAGATGTAATGTATGCAAAGCACTTAGCATGGTGCTTCAGATGGGCGCACACTCTATAAATGGTCATTATTGATGTGACTAAGAAAGAAAGATGGTCCTGGAGTTCTTCAGTTTGGTAATGAGGACATTCATGTGACTTAGGCATGCTCCTTAAGTATATGTGCAAGAAGCCAGCCAGCTGCTTCCCATCTTTTCTGAGCAAATGAGTTTCAGCCACATGTGCAATATGTACATTCATTCTCAAGTGAGTTCTCTGCTTTAAAAAAATATGTATAGCCTCAGGATGCAAGCTCTGCAAAATCAATCCATAAAATAATTAAATTAATGGCAGCAACAACACATTCTAATAAAAGCCAACACAATATGTACTGTGGAAACAGCATGTTTCCATCATGCTCAGCTGAGATTGAGGACATTTTTAAAAGTGGGGCTTTCCATCTAACACTTCACTTGCTCCTGCCCAGCTCCCCCAGCTCCTAGTGAATGTCATGGGACTTGCTGTCCTCCATATGAAGCGTCTGCCTTTGGGGGAAGGGATGTGTGTCTTGGGAAACCATTAACAGGGATGCAGGTATTCCTCTTAAAGTGATGGATTCGCAGTTAGGTCTCCGGGCCCTTTGTGGCCGTAATTAACACCTGCGATCCCAAGGTGTAGACACTCAGCTGGAAGCATCAAACAGCAAGCCCAAGTCCCTGGGATTGTAATCTCATAGACTGGTCTGTTTGTATTGATTCTGCTTATTCTCAGATCTCACATCTCTGGACTCTTCAGCCCTCTGTGAACCTATAGAATTGATTCTTCTCTCCTACCTTACAGGTTTGCTCAGATTTTACCCCTTGCTCTCCTAGATCCACAATGTCATGGAGATAGGCGCTTCACAAATGTTCATTCCCTGGGGAGATTTTTCAGAGTCTGATGCAGCGGACTGGTGGGGCCTGACACTCTGCATTTCCAACATGCTCCCAGATGATGCTGATGCTGCTGGTTCATGGTCCACACTTTTAGTTCCAAGGATCTGAAGTCCCCTGCTTGGAAAGAGAGCCTGTATCTCTGCCCTGAATCCTTGTGACCAGTTCAGAGGGCATGACACCGATGCTCCTATAAGACAGGCATATAAGAACAAAGTGACCAGACTTAGATCAATACAAACCTTTCTAAGGCTTATTTTGCACTGAAGGAAGGGAAAAAATTGCCTACTTTGGGAAAGTCTTAAAATTCCCTCTGTCTCTGCCAATTGGGGTAAGTGTTGATCTTGGCTGATCTTGAGGTGAACGCAGGGAAAGGAATGTCTCCTAGAAGTTTCTTTGAGCCTTCACTCTGTGGAACCCAGGAAACAATGGTCGATAGGACTAAATCCCCAATGGACGAATCATTGTTTGGTCCTCCTCAATCTCTTTTGATTTTAAAGCCAAGTGGCAAAAATTTTAAACCACAGTAACATTTTTGAACAGTTTTGCACTCTCAAAGTAAGGCTCCAGTAGGGGATACCTTCCATCTATACGTGGACGTCATTGGTACAATGACTTTCCTGTTTTACATGCAATCAGTGAGCCAAGAGAGTCTTCAAAGGCCTTTTTCCAAAACTGCATTTTCCCCCTGAAATATTCATTTAAGTAATTTAGCTACCTACCCCAGGCTCATGATGAATTTTTTAGATAATTACTTTAATTCTCTGCTTCATTTTGCTAATGTAGAGCTGGCCTCTGCCTGTAGATTTATTGCCAGCTTCATGTTTTTCAGGGAACAAGAATTACTAAACGGTTGATTGTTTCATTGAGGTTACTGTGGAGGCACTGGAAACAGCTACATATCTTCATATCCTACAATTAGATTCTCTTTATCATGAGTCTGATGATTGGAGACAGTAGATACAACTTGCACGTGGGAATGTGTGGTGAGGGAAGGAAACCTACAAACTCACTGGATAAAAGTCACTGTATGAAGCTCCAGATATTATTGTTTTTAAATATTGCATTTCCATCAAGCTGTCATGTTTAATTCTTCCAAAAATCAATGAAATATATATGTCTGTTTTTCAATGATTTGCTAAACATGATATAAATGAATGTTTCCTTCAGTGTGACTTGATACCTAATAAATGTCCACTAAATACAGCCAAGCATCTTTACCGAAGTTGTTCTGACTCGGGACTGACTCTTCTTCATTCTATTTAGCTAGTGTAATTTGATGTGACAGTAGCTGGAGGCACTGTGGATGGCAGCTGTGAAGAGGAGGAAAGCATGCAGAACCAGGACATGAGTGATGCCTGAATGTGGCTTCGTGATAAGAGTTAGTGATAAAAGGAATCCACATTGTAAAAATCCGGTGGCACCTTAGGTCCGTTAGTGAGATAAAGAAAGAAATATAACTAAGCCTCAGGAACATCAAAAGCTGAAACATAACAGTAGGATTATGGGCAAAGGACAAGAGAGAAGCCATATATTTCAGAAATTGTTTTGGGGCTCTGCATATTGCCTGAACCACATATATCAAGCTTTATTTGATCTCATCCCAAAACATTTATGCAATGTAAGTGATGGGAAGTGAGCCGGCTTTACATTCATTCTCATTTTTCAAAGGTACTTACCTCTTGAAATACACACCTGGAATTTCTGCAAAGGAAGAAGGAAGGGTTTCTAAGCCCCTAACCTTAAAACTGTTTAAATGGCCACATTAAAAAAAAAGTTAACAAAGTCTTTAAGAGACCCTAAATCTCATTGAAAGCAACACCCTGTAGAAATTGTAGTCACCACTGATGCCAACACAATGTTCTATTTTAAAGTTCCCAGCATCCTTAATTGAACTATTACTAAACCTAACAGTTGGTGCCTACAATTTTTCTTTGACCTTCAGTGACTTCCACCCTTTGGGTATAGCAACACTAGCTGGTGAAGCTGAACTTTTCCAGGCTCTTAGACTCTTTTGTGCTAAGAAGGCAAAGCAGACATTTGGCTTCTAAAATATTCGGTAATGCTTCAAATATTTTCTAGATGTCTGGGCCTGGGCTGGAGTCTCTTAGAAGGATCCAACCTGACCCCATTATCTGAAGTATTTAATTTGAATGCCACTCAATACAGTATTGTGGCAAGCATTTCTTTTCTTATTTAAGGTTATTGCTGAGCTATGGTTGTTTACATGCGGCTGAAAAAGATGATTTGTTTATCTGAAATTCTTTCTGCTACTACAGCCACCAGCAGCTGTTCCTTTGGAAGCAGATAGTGATATTGGACTTTGTTTGCAACTTTGCCTCTTAGACACCTTGTCTACATTGCAGCTTTTTGCTTTTATTCACTCAGTTGCCTAATCCAGAAAACTGGACACCATTCTTGACTTCTTCTCCTTTGCATTGCGTCTAATGGTCCATGTAGACAAGTGAGCCATTTCTTTCTCTTATCCTGTCCTAGTGACGTCATTTCCACTTTAGAAACCTGTCACTGTTAGGACTGTTAAATTAAGTTTAGCCTAAAGCTGCCTCCTTACTTATTTTACATTTGGCCTAATGTTTTATCCTATGTAGTGAACTATAACCTAACTAGATGTGTAAACAGACTGGAACCTACTTTTATGCCAATCATTGAGTTTTGGCTGATCAAGGATAGCCAACTGTTCAAACTGGGTTTGAATAAGGCCAATGCCGAGCTGTAACCACCCAGCTGTTTCTGTATCTCACTTCCATTTTTTTTTGTATGCTACTTGTCACTTTCTTTTGTCTGCCCATAAATTTTCTCATAAGGCAGGCTGGAGTTTCTCTGGACCTACTCTGGCTCAGGAGGCTGCCTGATTCGTGAATTGATCTTTGCTCAGTTAAACTCTGTTAAATTTAATTTGTCTGAAGTTTTTCTTTTGTTTTCCTTTTTTGGGACAGAGTCTCACTCTGTAGCCCATGTTGGAGCGCAGTGGCACGATCTCGGCACACTGCAACCTCTGCCTCTGGGGTTCAAGCAATTCTCCTGCCTCAGCCTATCGAGTATCTGGGATTACAGGTGCCTGCCACCACACCTGGCTAATTTTTTGTATTTTAGTAGAGATGGGGTTTCACCATGTTGCCCAGGGTGGTCTTGAACTCCTGAGCTCAAGCAATCTGCCTGCCTCGACCTCCCAAATTGTTGGGGTTACAGGCATGAGCCACTGCACCTGGCCTGAAGTTTTTCTTTTAACGGGATGAAGCCCAATTTTCTTAGCTCTGACTCTCCCCCAGCTTCCTTTGTTCTCACTTTCCTCCCTCTGTGCATTCCTGCCCTGCTGAGCTAATCTCGGTGTCTCAAACATGCTATGATCTTTCTTACTTTCAGGTCTTCAACTGTGTTGTGCCTTTTGCCCGCAACTTCTACTTTTTCCTCCCTTGGCTAATTTGTCCACATCCTCTAGGTCTTGGTCTAGGTGATTCTTTTGCCTTGAGGCTTGCTTTCACACTTCCCTAACACGCAAACATGCCTGTATCACACAGCTACAGTAAGAGACACAGATCATCTCTCCCCTGGGTTCATCTGAATCTAATGCTCTTGTCTCATCCACTGTGTCATTCTGCAGCTTCAAAGAAGTATAGCTTTGGTTTTTGTCCCCTAGGGAGCTTGCATGAGGAGGATGGAGAAACATTTGCTTGTCTAAATCCTGGCAAGGCCTGTCTTCTGTTTTATTGTCTTATACATCAGTGGTCATGCTCTCATTCCTTCAAATATGATTTTAAAAGTTCCTGCTATCTTTTCTTCTGCTTTTCTCTTTCTTGTGGTAACTGTGTTTGTCCATTCTCATGCTGCTAATGAAATATACCCGAGACTGGGTCATTTATAAAGAAAAAGAAGTTTAATGGACTCATAGCTCCACATGGCTGGGGAGGCCTCACAATCATGGCAGAAGGTGAAGGAGGAGCAAAGCCACATCTTACATGGCAGCAGGCAAGAGGGAGAGTATGCAGGAGAACTACCCTTTATAAAACCATCAGATCTCATGAAACTTATATCACAAGATCAGCATGGGAAAACCCACCCCCATGATGCAATTACCTCCCACTAGGTCCCTCTCATGACATGTGGGGATTATGGGAACTACAAGTCAAGATGAGATTTGGGTGAGAACACAGCCAAACTACAGCCAAACCATATCAGTAACTTCAGTTTCTAACATATTTGGAAAGGATGGCATTCACAGAACTTCCCTTTGCTCTATAGACCAAATGATAAGTAACCAGGCCCTTGAGGCTGTAATAGCTGAGCCCTTCATAATTTAAGTTTGTTTTATGAATATCGATATTATGACTTATATGTGTAGCTGATAACTCAGGTCTATTGCTGGGCCATGGCAACTGGATAGGTTAGTGTTTCCTAAACCAATATCCCAAGAAATAGATATCTCAAGCAACATTTAATTTTAAAAAACCTCTTCTGATCAAATATATTTGGCTGGAATAGTATACTGTAACTACCTTTATACCTTTCTAGGAGATATTTCTAGCATGGGAATTCTTCTAGAATAGAAATTGGCTTAAGAAAAATCTTGTGTTTTCCCCACAATGAAACAGCTGGTCAGTGACAAAGCTGATAAAAGCACTCAGGTGTTCTGTGACTATCACTGCAGCTGTTTATACAGATGAGGCCACTGTAACCCTGAATCTTCCTGGCTAAAAATTACAGAAGCTTGGAAGATGCAGTCACCCTTCCAGACCACAGGTATCAAAGGCAGGGGAGACAGACACTGTGACATCCTGAGCCAGTCCCTTAAAACATAATAGTCCAGTGAACAGAGGAGGATCATCTGGGAGCCAGTCTCTGGGAAAATGACTCTCGATACCAAATCAAGTTTCTTGGCTAAGACTCCATTTCAGAATAGAATTACTTTGTGTTTTCTTCAGCTGTGTTCTCAAAGTAATCACATTTTAAAAGAAGACACAATCATCCCAGCACCCATCTCATAGGATAAAACATTGAGATTTGAAGATCCGTTTCCGTCCCCCATCACCCATTATGACCATTGCACACATGGCCGACAGATGCCGTGTATTAATCAATGACATCTTAAAGGATGGTTTCTGTTACCAATCATCTCCCTTCCTGAGTTCCAGGACAGCACAATACTTTGCAACACCGTGAACTCCAGCCAATTTGATGATCTAGTACATGAAGGTAATAAATCAAAGGGTAGGTGCTTCTAACCATAATAAAATATGGACCCGGCTATTTATAGATATCACAATAAATATTGGGAGATATTAAAAATTATCAAAAATGTAGTTCAGCAAATGTTGCCACAACGACTAGCAATTTAGTTAAATATCTCTAGCCAAAAAAAGATTTAGAACCTCAAAGAGAAGGGATTTATAGAGTCTAGTAAGAGCAGTTATATATTTGCTGTCAAGGTTAGGATGCTCTACTCTGAGGCTGTGGGGTTTGTGGTGAAATGAAAGCTGTTGGCTTGATAGAACACAGGGATAAGGAATTATGCCCAAAGGTAGGACAGATATGCACATATACTGTACCTAAGGAGGTGAAAAATTTGCTTTCACTTAACATTTATTATATTTCCACCATGCCCTAGATTCCGGGAGAAACATACAAGATAAATGGGGTAGAGACTTTGCCCTCAAAGAATTTATTTCTGGTGGAGGCGAGACCACATGCACATAATAAAGGCAGGCAGTAAGAGGTATTAGAGGGAAGTGTGGGCTGTGGAAGTTTAGAGATGGGAGCAGTTACTTTCTTTTGGAAGGGAAGGTGGCTCTCATAAAGGAGAAGGCAGAGTTTGGAGAATGGGTGAGTTTTGATATGTGGGGGTGGGAAGAAGGGCATTCCAGATGGGGTAAATGAAACTGCCTTTGCAAAATTATAACTGAGGAAATTATGACAGTGAAAGAAATCAGACCTAACTGACTCCATCTTGGTTCTAACCTTTAGGCTGTCCCTGTTCATTCCTGGGTGTAGGCTGAACTAACTTTGGGAAGGAATTCTGTTCATGGTTTGATTCTGGAACAAAATTGATAACAGCCCCTTCCCCAAAAGACCCCTTCTTTCCTGGGAACCAGTCTGCCTTTGCATTAGAAATTACAATTTAGGGGTCATGCAGCCTATGGCTCCAAGAGTCTGAACCTCCCCGAATTGTTCCTGGGGATACCATCACTATTGTAAAACCTAAGATCAGTGCCTGAGATATTTTGCAGAACTTGCACTGGATGGATCAGCTGACACCACCAAGATGGGTAATCTGGCTCCTCCAGCTCTGCCATCCCACCCAGGAAGAGAAGATGGCAAGAAAAACTCATTTTGATCCCCTATGAGTCTATCTCCAACCTGACCAATCAGCACTCTCCACTTCCTAAGCTCCTACCCGCCAAATTATCTTTAAAAACTCTGATCCCTGAATGCTCGGGGAGACTGATTTGAGTAATAAAACTCTGGTCTTCCACACAGCTGGCTCTGCGTGAATTACTCTTTCTCTATTGCAATTCTCCTGTCTTGATAAATCGGCTCTGTCTAGGCAGTGGGCAAGGTGAACCCATTGGGCAGTCACAAAAATCTGTGGACATGGAAATGTGCAAGCATGAGCAGCAAGGCTGCAAATTCAATAAAATCTTAAAAATCATTTGCAGTGGCATAAAACTTAAAATGCTTAGGGATAAATTTAACAAAAGATGGGCAGGATTGCTTTATTGAAAACTATAAAATGTTGCTGTTCATGAATTGGGAATCTCAATATTGTTGACAGCATCAGTTTTCCCTAAATTGATCTATGGATGAAACACAAGTCCAATCAAAATATAGCATTTTGGGGTCAGACATTGACAAGCTGATTCTAAAATTTATATGGAAATGCAAAGGACCTAAAATTGTCCAAAAAATCTTGCAACATAATAAAGTTGGAGGACTTGCACTATTTGATTTCAAGTCTGAAAAACTATGGTAATGAAGACATTACAACAATGGCATAAAATAGATGATGAAATAGAATACGTCTAGAAAGAGCCTCAAATTTATGGTCCATTGATTTTGACAAAGGTGTCAATGCACTTCATGGAGAAAGGTGTAGGAACAAATGGATAAACTGAATAAATTGATGAGAAAATTGAAGAAGGTGGCAACAGAGGCTCAGAGAAGTTAAATGAATTACTCAAAATCACACAGCTGAGCCACAACTCCTAAATCAGAAGTTTGGATTGGTCTCTATGGCTCACAATGCTTCCCTTGACAGTATTGGGTATATTTGTCTTTATTTTGTATATAATGTAGCCTGAAGCTATGTGACTAGGTAAGTTTTACGTTGTGTTTCTGGGACCTATTTGACTACAAAGGAATATTGAGATTTAACAGTGGGTATTCCCCTAGAATGGTACACATCTAGCTAGCCACATGAGCTATAGTCTAATTTAATGAAAAGCCCCTAAAATGGGACCTCCCCCAAGCGTTGTCTTTACCTAGCACAATCTTAATGCCATTAGTATCTTTTTTTTTGAGTCTTTTACTTCTATCATGAAGCTCCTTAAATTAGCAATTAAAAACATCTGTCAACAAACTGTCCACCTTTCCTACTTTGATAATTAATCAATTACAGCAGGGTAAAAGTAGAGTTGAACATTGAGGAAGATGGAAAAGGATTGACTGACAATTTCAAGCCAGAAAGCACTAGTGTCTGAGCATTGCAGAGTTTTATGTTTTCTGAGAGGCTGAGTCCATAGGAGAATTTTATTTTCTTAATCTGGCTTGAATACCTTTTGATAATACTTCTTGAAAAGTCTTAGGTAGAAACCCATGTAAATTCGGCAGAGCATGGGAGAAGAAAATGTCGATAAAAGATGTTTGTGGAAGCAGAGGGGGATGTGTTTGGCAGAGAGGTTTTAAAAAACAGCACGAAGTGTAGAGCCGTAGGTTTGATAGGTTTGTGTCTTACATCTGCCTGGACATAGATTCTGACATGGCAGAAGAATACTGTGTGCAGCTCTCTCGTTGTGTGGGTTGGGACATTTCTCAGTACTATGGGATTATAGTCATATATCGCTTAACAAAGAAAATGCTTTCCGAGAAATGCATCATTGGGCAATTGCATCATTGTGCAAACATTACAGAGTGTACTTACACAAACCTAGATGGTGTAGCATACTACACACCTGGCCTATATAGTGTAGCCTATTGCTCCTAGGCTACAAAACTATACAGCAGGTTACTGTACCGAATGCTATAAGCAATTGTAACACGATAGTAAGTATTTGTGTATCTAAACACAGAAAAGTATGGTAAAAATATGGTATTATAATCTTATGAGACAATCATCATATGCAGTCCATTGTTGACGAAAGATTTTTATGTGAGGCATGATTGTATATAATATTTGCAGTGCCAATTTCATAGAAAAATACTATACTAGATATAAGAAAGAATTTTGAGATCTCTATATCCAACCAAACACATCATACAGATGAAGCAACTAAGACCTATATAAATTAATCAACTTGGTCAGGCTACTGCAGCCAGTAACTATTCCAGGGCTGGGGTCCAGATCTTCTATGCTAAGGACAATACTGTAATCATTATATCATGTCACCTACAACTTCAATGTTTTCCCTTCAGCACACAGGCAGTTTTAATGATGCTGTAATGGAATGTTAAATGGGACTTTTCTGGTCTTGAATTTTTAGCTGAGAATAACACATTCTAAAGAGAAGTCCCATTGGTAGGGCTTGCTAATAGGTGGCTAAGAGGATGGTGACAGCCCTGCAGCCACCTCCAGCTATGTGGTGGAAGAGCTGCAGTGCAGCCATTTCTACCCAGAAAACAGCAACACCTGGATACCTCAGCACCACCCCACAAAGACCCTTCATCCTCTGTCCTTTGACTCCTCCGGCTCCAATGCTGGAAGAGCCCCAGTAGATTCCGAATGAGGGAAATCACAGAGGGAGGAGAAAAATAATTCCTACTTCATGTTTCTGAAGTTCAATAAGCTCTGAGCTGTGGAGGAGGTGACAAGCTAGAGATGGGATCACAAATTAAATTTTAATATCTGATGATAGAATATTCATTCATCTTTACTGATGAATGCCTAGAGAAAATTATGCGTTCTTTCCATATGAAGGTGGGGAAGGCTTAAAGAGAGTGAAAGAGAAATGCAAGCACCTGTTGGTTCTAGTTAACGCAATGAAACAATAAAACTTTTAAATCTGACATCACTTAAAGGTTGACTGCAACTGGGGCAATCTCTGAGGTCTCTGATTCTCTGTTTTAAGTCTTTATTTGATTATTATTTTTAGTTTCTGGGGAAAGTGTATTTTTAGCCTTAAGAAAATGTAATGATTGCACAAATTCTTTTCAGCTCTGGTAATTTGTTTGGCAGCCTTTCTATATATGTGAATATAGATGGTGGGAGCATAGCTTTCTGAATTGTTCTCTTTTCCATTCTATAACAGGCTTTCAAATACATTATTGCTCTTTCTCCAAATAGAAGTGGGTCGTCATTTTCCCCTAAATTGTTAACTCAAAAAGATGAAGTCTTTTCCATGAACTATGCAGATCGGGCTATCAGCCTCAGGCATAAACTCAAAGATCTTTGCTCCTTGTTTTTTTTTTTTTCTTTTAAAACTCCACAAAGGCGCTACATGTTTAGAAAGCTAGGATTCAGGTCCAAGCTTTGCTACCTGAGGCTCTGGCCTGCTTCTTTGCTGTGCAGGACATTTATAAACTACATTTCTACCTTCCTGTCTGAATACTTTCAATTTGCCCATCCAGATTCATTTTCTACCCTCCTTTCTGTTATAAGAGGCTGGATTGTTCAAGCTACATCAACTGGTTCCTTTAATCTCTGGCTTCTGGTTGAGTTTGGCCAATAGGGAGTTCCAGCAAGAGATTAAAGGGAGAGAGGGAAGAGTGAGATGGAGGAGTTTATTTTCATGCTTCTTTCCAAACGCAGTCACAAATAGTGGGCTGCCTCCCTTCACTGGGGGCACAGTTATGTCTGTGATGCTCTCTGCGTATTCAAGAACCACTCTTTCCTTTTCCCCATTCAGGCCTAGAGGTGTTGATGTATCGTAGGACTATAATTAGTCCTGATGACTATAACGTCCTTAGTGGGTTCCTATATCTGCCCATGCTTTCTAAATTGTCCCTACATTATATTTTCAAAATACCCAACTTGAGGTCATTTTTTTCCCCTCTTGAGACTCTCAACCCTGGGGAATACAGGTTTGTTTGTTTTACATTTCTTCATGAGAGACGCAACAGCATGTATTTCAATCCTCCAATGACCTCTGTTGTCATTTACTTTGAAACTTTTTTTTTTTTTGAGACAGAGTTTTGTTTTGTCACCCAGGCTGTGTGAGCACAGTGGCACGATCTCGGCTCACTCCAACTTCCACCTCCTGGGTTCAAGAAATTCTCGTGCCTTAGCCTCCCGAGTAGCTGGGATTACAGGTGCCCACCACCACTCCACGCCAGTTTTTTTTTTGGGTGTGTGTGTGTGGGTGTGTGTGGTAGAGACTGGGTTTCACCATGTTGCCCAGGCTTGTGCTGAACTCCTGAGCTCAGGCAATCCACCCATCTCGGCCTCCCAAAGTGCTAGGATTACAGCTGTGAGCCACTGCATCCAGCCTAGTTTGAAACTTTCTTGGACTCTTCTGTGTCTCTACATGGCTTTCTATATTATTTTATTGTAGACCTTTGAGTGTGAACCATTACAGAGGAATGATTTATATTTCATTCTTTCTTCTTTTTTAGAGATGGGGCCTCACTGTGTTGCCCAGGCTAGTCTTGAACTCCTGAGCTCAGTGATCCCCTTGCCTCAGCCTTTCGAGTAACTGGGATTACAGGTGGTAGCCACTGTGCCTGGCTTAATGATTTATATTCTCTTAGTACCTTCTAGACCATGAATCCTTCCAGTCCAGAAACATCTATGTGTCCCCATCACTTTGTAAAGTGCTTTTATAAGACCATTTCCAATATTCCAACATACACATTTATTGAAGTGTTCACTGGAACAGAACTGATAAAATGCACACAAAGATGAAATGAAAATGGGCATCATTAGTTGCTTACTATGTTCTGCTATAGCAGTTTTTGTTTTAATGGGAATCAGTATATCATATCAATCAATAATCTCATCTGATCAACAAATTATGTCAATATTATGGAATTTAGAGCTCCAGAAATAAGCCTTCTGGTGACATAGTATGAAGAAAGGAAATTGTATCAAGGTCAATGTTTGTTCCAATATTGTGCCAATATCATTGTACATTGCAGAGTGGAAATGAACTCTGTGGCCACAGAGGAGGCCCAGGTCAGGTCTCAGATTTTTTACTTATTGATCTAATTGGCTTTGGGAAAACGATCTGTGTTCCACAGAGTTATTTTGAAAACAGGAAAGTAGTGAGGTTTTTTTTTTCTTCTTCTCCAGAAACAGATTTGTTGCTCAGCGAGTGTTATTCACTTGGTATATATTAGTTTATTTTCTCTTCTATTCTCTCAAACCAAATCATAAAAGCTAAGAAATGTTACCCAAAGCAACAAAAAGAATCACTGCAACTAAAAGTACCATGCGAGCCAGTAGTCACAGCAGTAAAGTCAAAACTAGCTCCATGATTTTCATTAATTCTGCAATGTAACTTCCTATGAATCGCCAAATATAAGCAGCTTCTTTGGAAGCCAAGTCTAAAAGCACGTTTGTTTAGCCCCAGCATTCACTTACTTGGATCAATAATTAAAATCTTATGACTCAGGTTTCACAAAAAGAAACTTCATCTTGGCTGGGCATGGTGATTCACGCCTGTAATCCCAGCCCTTTGGGAGGCCGAGGTAGGAGGATCACAAGGTCAAGAGATCAAGACCATCCCATCCAACATGGTGAAACCCCGTCTCTACTAAAATTACAAAAATTAGCTGGGTATGGTGGTGTGTGCCTGTAGTCCTAGCTACTCTGGAGGCTGAGGCAGGAGAATCACTTGAACCCTGGAGGCGGAGGTTGCAGTGAGCCGAGATAGTGCTACTGCACTCCAGCCTGGCAACAGAGCGAGAACCTGTCTCAAAAAAAAAAAAAAAAAATTCATCTTTAACTTGATATTTCTAATATTTGTTGGTATGAATCATAAGCAATGGCATATGTATTTAACCAGAGTGACACTGCTAAGTAGTTCAGAATCATAAAGTCAGAACAAAAATAAGGAAGAGGAGGCCTTCTCTTAGGTCATAGAGCTAGTTCATGGCAATGACCTGACTTGAATCATGTCTCAGCCCCCTTAATTAGTTCTTTCCAGTACATTGTTATTTTTTTGCCTGTGGAGAAATGATGATTGAAAAAATCGTTTATGCTTCTGGGCTTACAGAGTTTCAAGAACTGTAATGCGTTTCTTTTTGTTAGCCTGGCATGGCTGTATAAATTAACATGGAACGGTTTTATCTCTGGCATGATAAGGATGAAGAGAACGGATTTATGTGATACCAAAATAACCAGGCAGTTCCATTAATTCAGGGAAACAATGAGGAGACTGAGGGAAGCCATTAGCCCCAAAGGTTTATTTAACTGAGTGAGCTGGTTTCTTCTAAAAAGCTGTACCATTTGTCCTGGGTAGATTACATCCAGTTAGAGACTGTGCCTAAGAATGCGTCCATTGGCTGTACCATTACATTTATTTCAGTGAACTTCCCTTTCACCTTCATTCCTATCAGAAGGTTGACTATGTGAAGATATCTGCAGAGAGGTAAACATAGCCAGAGAAAATGAAGCCATCTGCTGCCATCTTCTTAGTAGGTGCTCAATAAATTTATATTGAACTGAGCTGGAGAATTATGACTTCACTTTCTGAATATGTGCTTTTCTTACTAAGCAGGAAAACCAAAGTGACATCTATGTATTTTCAACTCAGCTGCACCTGTGAGGGCGAAGGTATGATTATTTTGAGCTTGGAATTAAATATACAAGAGAAAATATTCTAAAGAAAATAAAGTTAAATTTACTATAAAGTGTTGTACTTCGTAGAAACTAAGGATATTGATTTATCTGCTTTTTGTTTTCAATTTTATGGTAATTAATAAAATAGTGGCACTGCTTTAAAAAATGTTCTTATGGGTCAATAAATATTAGCTTCATGAATTAATTCACTTTAGGGGTTCCTGAAAGAATTTGTGATTTTGAATTTTTAATTGAAAGCATCCAATTTGGTTTCTATGTTGATTCATTGCCATAGCACCAATCTGTTGAATTCATAACACACTCTGTCAATGGATTTCCTGGGTACAGCCTCTTCAGAAACATGCTATAAAGTTTGCTCTTCTGAGTTTCTTCCCCAGTGAAAATATCTTCACAATAATTTTGAGAATAATAACAGACTCCTGTGAATGGAAATCAATGAAGACAATGATTGCCTGGCTTCCTGTTCTGCTTACTATTGCTGCGTAAAAAATTACCTGAAATGTCAGAGATATGATGCAAACATTTTATTATGCTTGTATATACTGTAGGTTTTGCATTCGGAAAGTGGCTGTGGGAACAGCTTGTCTCTGTTCCACAGTACCTGCAACACCAGTGGGGAAGATTTGATACCTGGGAAACTAAGCTTATCTAAAGGATCATTGATTCCCGTGACTGGTGGTTGATGTTGCTGTTAGGTGGAATCTCCACTGGGGTGACTGACCAGAGGGCCTAAACACTGATTCTTCATGTGGTGGTTTTGGCTTCCTCACAGCACATGGGTTCCAAGAGGGAAATGCCCCAAGAGAACCAGGAAGAAGCTGTATCCTCTTGTATAATCTGGCCTCAGAAGTCACATTGTGTCACTTTAGCCCATTGAGAGCTACCCTCCAGGGGATTTTTCTTGTTAGTTGTTTTACTTTTTAACTCCAGAATTTCTGTTTGGCTGTAGAAAATATTTCTATCCTTTTATTGCTATTCTCTACTTAGTTAAATGTTGATCTCATATTTCTGAGACATGGTTTTCTTTCGTTCTTTGAACATAAATAAAATAGCTGATTTTAAGTCTTCGTCTAGTAAGTCCAATGCCTGGGCTTTCTCAGGGACAGGTTCTATTGAGTTTTTTTTTTTTTTTTTTTTTTTTTGCTGCATATTAATCACTCTTTCTTTTTTTCTTTACATGCCGTAATTTCTTAGTTATAGATTGAACATTTAAAATAATATAAATTGGCAGAGTGTGGTGACACATGCTTGCAGTCCCAGCTACTTGGAGGAGTGAGGTGGAAGGATTGCTTGAGCCTGGAAGGTCAAGGCTGCCGTGAACTCTGATTGTGTCACTGTACTCTAGCCTGGGTGACAGAGTGAGATTCTGTCTCAAAAAATAAAAATTAAAAAAAAAAAGGTGGTGACTTCCCTTCCCAGAGTTTGTTGTTGCTATTTGTTTGTTTAGTGACATTCCTGTACACATTCTTTAAGTCTGTATTCCTTTTCATGTGTGGCCACTGAAGTCTCTGCTCAGTTAGCTTGGTGATCAATGATTGGACAAAGGTGTCCTTATATTACTGAAACCAATAATTCTCCCATCTTTTGCTGAGGTCTCTGTGTGAGTGTTGGGGTACTCCTTCAATGGTCAGGCAGGCAGTTTACAACTCCACCTTAGCCTTTGCTTCCTGCTCATGCAGAACCTCAAGGTCAGTCACAGGTAAGAGCTTAAGGGCTTCTGAGTTCTTTTCTGGGCATGTGCACAGCCCTTCAATGCATGTGGTCTTTAGATTTTCAGGAATATGTGAAAGGTTTTCAAAGCCCAAATATGGACATGTCATTGCTCAACTTTTAAAGTTTTTTGGTGAGTTTCTTGTTTGCCCAAACTGTTATCACTCCCTCAGGAAACTGTTTTGTTAAACAACTGTCTCTGTTTTGTTGTTGTTGTTGTTTGTTTGTTTGTTTTTATCAAATGCTTATGGTGAAAAGATTCTTTTTACTGAGTGAGATGTCAGTCAGGCTAATACAAATGCCTTGTAATAGGATTTTCCAGGGGATTCCAAACAACTCAAATAATGCCAATTTTTGGGAATGGGGATTTGAAGGACCTGCAAACCTGAACTGTGCTGTCCAGTGGCTTTTAGGCTACTGTTTTGCCGTGACTGTAGGGCTCTTGTTTTTCAAGGCTACCTACAGATCTAGTAAGAGGGAGAAGGAGACAGGGCAAGCTAAAAAGCCATAAAACTTACTGTTATTATAGAGATTCTGCCATTTTCTTAAATGTCTACTTGCTAGATTGTTGCAAGCTTTTGCTTAATTTCTATAGTTCTAAAAAAGGTGATTTTGATAAATTTGATCTTATTGCTTTTATGGAGGACAGGATTGTTAGAGGTTCTTAGTCTACCATTCCTGCCAATATCACTCTCCATTTTTAAATGTTTAACCTATTTGTGTTTTTATATTTAATGTTCTGTTTTCTTTTACAGGTAGCATAGAGTAGGGTCTTGGGTATTTACTCAACCTGACAACCTTTGCCTTTCAACTGGAGTCTTTAGAACATTTATATTTTATGTGATTATTGATATGGTTAGGTTTAAGTCTATCAACTTGGTAGTTGTTTTCTATTGTTTCACCTGTTTTTTTCTATCTCCCTCCTTTTCTACTTTCTCTTGATTATTTGAATGTTTTTCCATGATTCCATTTTATCTCCATTGTTGTCTTATTAGGCATATATGTTTCCTTATTTTAGTGGTTGCATTTGTGTTTTCAGTGTGCATATTTAACTTTTGATAGTCTTCCTTCCTTCTACTATTTCATTGATAGTGAAGAAACTTACAGCTGTATATTTCCATTTTTTACCTTCTGGTCTTTATGCTATTGGTATCATTTATCTTACGTATACATATATTATAATTCCCCTGTACATTCTTATTATTTTTGGTTAATTGATTTTTTTAATGAGAATTAAATAAAAGAAAAAATTGTTTATTTTCACCTATGTAGTTACCACTTAAGGTGCTCTTCATTCTTCTATGTAGGTCCAGTATCATTTTCCTTCTGCCTAAATCACTTCTCTTAACATTTATTTTAGTGCTGATTTCCTGTTAGTGAATTCTTGCAACTCTTGCATTTGACAGATATTTTTTGCTGGTTATAGACTTTCAGGTTGACAATGTTTTCTTTCTTTCAGGATGCTGAAAGTGTTACTACGCTGTCTTTTCACTTACATTGCTTCTGATGAAAAATGTGCTCTCATTCTTATCTTTAGTGCCTCTGTATGTAGTGTGTGTGATTTAAAGATTATGTTTTTGTCACTAGTTTTGAGCCATTTGATTACAATGTATTTTGGTATAGTTTTCTTTATTTTTCTTGTACTTGGGTTTTGCTGAGCATCTTGAATCAGTGAGTTTATAGATTCCATCAAATTTGGGAAAATTACAGTAATTATTTCTTCAATTTTTTGCTGTGCCCTCCTTATGTCTTCTTCTTCAGGTCTTTAATAACACATATATTAGGCTGTTTGAAGTTGCGCCATGACTCACTAATGTTCTGTTGATACGTACATATTATTTTCTTCTCTGTGTTTAATTCTAAGTAATTTTATTTCTATGTCTTAGAATCACTGATATTTTCTTCTTTAATATCTTATCTGCCATTTTTCCCATTCACTGTTTTCATCTCAGGCATTATAACTGACATCTCTAGAAGTTTAATTTTTTATATTCCCTATGTCCCTACTTAATATTTTCATATAAGGAATACTGTTATAGTTAACTATTTTAGTGTCTTTATCTGCAAATTTTAACAAGTGTCATTTATGGATCAATTTCATTTACATCATTTCTCCTTGTTATAAATAATATTTTCTTGCTTTTTGAATGTCTGATTGTCCTTTGGCTGCCAGAGAGTGTGAATTTTACTTTGCATAATGTTTGATATTTTTAGGTTTCTGTAAATAATCTTGAGCTTTATCCTTGGACACAGTTTGGTCCTTTCAGGTCTTGCTTTTAAATTTTGTGAGACAGGTTTAGAGCACTGTTTAGCCTAAAGCTAGTTAGTCCCCATGACTGAGACAAAAGGCTTCTAAGTACAATATTGGATTCCCTGTGAATTATGTCTTGCAGTCCGACTGGTAGGAACAAGCACAATTATAGTTTTGTGTGTGAGTATCAGATATTGTTCCCTCTGTCCTTTTCGGTGTTTCTTTCTTGGCGTCAGGTAGCTTTTTCTGCATGCTTTGTGCTGATTAGAACTCTGCCGAGTTCTATAGAGGAACCCTCTGCAGCTCTGAAAAGTTCTTTCTCTGTGCAGCTCTCTCCACTGTGCTACTCTCTGTTCACATCCTAGGAACTCTGGCTGCCTTTGTCTCTCCAGACTCTCAGATCCAACTCCTCAATTTGTGGGGTTTACCAGGCTCTGATTGGGTTCCTTCTCCCTGATCCACTGTTTAGAATCACTCTCTAGGCTGTAAATTGGGGCAATCATAGGGCTCACCTTTTTTTGTTTCTCATCTCCATCTTGGGCAGGTGTCTTGGTACTTAACTGAGTTGAAGGTTTTCCTGGGCTGATGGCAGCTGTGAAGAGGTAGGAGGAGGCATCTGCAAACACAGGAGGGAGATAAACTGTAGAAATATGATGGAAGAATATTCAATCAGCCTGCTGCTTTCCTCTTATTCATGTCTGTTTGTTTCTTGTAGTGACCTAGCAGATTTACTTACCTAAAGTATGTTTTTAAACTTACATACATTCTTTTAATAAATATTTATTGACACTACTTACTATATGCCAGGGACCATTTGAGGCACCACAAAAATAAGAACATCAATATAGAGAATATTCTTGCCCTCTTTTAAGTTGAGGAGAAAAATAAGAACAGAAAAAGATAAAACAGTGTGACATTGTGGTTGTGATTGACACGACAAAGGAAGAATAGACAGGGTGTAATAGAAGGCAACATAATTGAGAGAGAGATAAAGGTATGGGGTGCTGCAAAGGACCTAAGGTGTGAAAGAAATGGGCAGTTTCTGGAACTGATAGAATTTCTCCTAGGTGATGAAAGAGGCTGACAATTTTCAGTGGTTTTCCCAAGGTTAAATACTTTACAGTTAGCATCAGTAGGATTCCAAAACTTTTCTCTCTTCAAGTTAGTGAACTTTACACTTGATTTATTGATCTAATTAGTTATTCTAAAAATTTTTAAAGAATTTAGTCTGTACAAAGCTGAAACACTGTAGTTACTTATTCTAGAAAACTTTGCCATATGAGAATTTTACCTCTTAACGTATCATTGCCTTGTCTGTGTTGGAACTTTAAAATTATGCCTCGATGGGGTCATTACTTAAACAATGATTATCTTTAATTCTACACAACTGTAGGAATACAATGATGAAACAATGATGAAACTTGCTTTAACCCTCAAGGAGTTTACAGTGTGCCAGTAAAAACTCATGTATGAGATGACTGTGATCAGAACTATGAGAGGAATATTCAGTTCCATTTAGAAAATATTCGCTAAATGCTCGTTATGTAAACCAGGCACTGGACTAGGCAGTGGGGGCTCAAAAATGAATAATAAATAATCCTTTCCCTGGAGTAGCTTATTGGTGAGCAGTAAAAACAAATTTATAGATATATCCTGTTAAACTAATGCAATTGATAATTGATACATTAAAAACAAAGGAAGACATATTAGGAGCACAGGGGAGGGACATTTATCCCAGATTAGGATTCATAGAGAAAAGGTCTTTATTTGAAAATGTTAATTAGCCCTCTTAATCATTCAGAGAGCTAGGGAAACAGAAAAAGGCTAAGCTTTCAAGAACAAAGTTCAAGAATTGGCCTATTGAGGAAACCACCAACCAGGGTGTAAATGCCATTGACTCCACTGCGACCACTACTGTTGCTAGTAACATGCACTTTTGCACCGGAAACTTCACTTTCCAACCACTCCTACTTGTATGAGCTACATATCTCTGCTGCCATGTACAATTTATAGTGAAAACAGAAACTCCACACAAAGCCTGTTTCTGCACCCAGCTCAGGTCTTGTTCAGGTACAAAAAGAAAAGGGTTGTTCCATTTAGCGTGATCCCTTGGGCAATGGTTCTCAACCCTGAACTTACATTGCAATTGCCTGGGTATTCTTTAAACATATTTATGTCTGGTTCATTCCAGAGCTTCTGATTTAATTGGTCTGGGCTACAAATTTGACATCCAGATTTTTAAAACCCTCAAGTGCTTCTAGTGTACAGCCTAGATTGTAAATCAAGGTGTGATGATTAATTTTGTGTGTCAACTTGTCCAGGCTGCAGAGTGCTTAGATATTTGATCAAACATTATTCTGGGTGTGTCTGTGAGGGTGCTGTTGGATAAGATTAACATTTGAATCAGTGGAGTAAAGCAGATTGCTCTCCCTAGTGTGGATGGGCCTCAATCAACTAGGTGAAGACCTGAATAGAACAGAAAGTCTGAATGTCTCTTGAGTAAGAGGGAACTCCTTCTGCTTAACTGCTTGAGCTGGGGCATTAGTCTCTTCCTGCCTTTGGACTGGAACTGAAACATTCATTTTTCTTAGGTCTCCAGCATGCTGGCTTTTGGACTAGAACTTACACCATCAGCTCTCTTGAGTCTACAGCTTACTGACTGCTGATCTTGGGACTTCTCAGCCAGCAAGCATGTGAGCAGGTCCTTAAACACACACACACACACACACACACACACACACATACACACCTGGAAGACCCTAATACACCAAGATTTAGGATCTAGCTTTTTGCCAGCTCCAGCAGTGAAGCACCATTCGGTACAGATTTTAGGCCCTACAAAATAATGAGGTGTTATTCCCCTAGTCCTCTCAGTTCAATGCCTTGGTCCTGAATATAGGGAATGGTATGGAATGATGTGGAATGGTGACAGTGTGGCGAATACATGAGAGAGAGTCACCTCAACCTCCACTGCTGTGGTGACAAATGACAGAAATCTTAGGATGGAGTTCTCCTTGGTGAAGGAGGTACTAGAGGACGTGAACCTACCTGATAATGAAGCACACCTCACATTAGCCTGGATGTGGCACATGTTTATAGGGGTCAGGATGCACTATAACTGGCTTGGAAAATGTTGAAGATTGAGCAAGTTAATTCTTCAAAAGTTTACCCTTCAGTAGAGGTCCTGTGATATTTGAGAGGCTGTAGTGATAGACGCTGAAAGATTATAAAGAATCTGCAAGATTAAAATGAAGGAATCTAAGCAAAGAATGAATGGGAAATCAGGATGAGCATAAATAATGTGAAATCAAATCTGTCTCTGGCAATGCAATGCTTTGCAATTTGTGAGGAGAACTAGCAACAAAATCCACACAATCAGCACACGGCTGTTACCCAGTTACTATTGGGAGAGGAAACAAGCACAGTGTGGAATTAGCTCCACTCCCTCTTCACTTATGCTGGAAGGGTTATTGACCTGTGTGCAGCATGTATGTTTATTCTCAAACTGGGGTTGATTTTGTACCGTTTGTCAGAGACGCTGCTCATAAACCATTTGTCATCTTCTGATGAGAGGGTTTGCATTATTTAAACAGAAAATGTAAATGACTTCTTTGGATTTTTTTCCCAGATGATTGAACAGTTGCAACATTAGGAAGGTTTGGCTCATCCTGCCTCATGCAATGAAACCACACATCCCACACACGCATGCACACACACATCCACATGCACATACACACACATACACACATGCAGACACACATGTACACACATGTACATGCACACAGACTCAAGAGCTCTTTCTATGATAATTAGCTGCTTATTTATGAGTATGGGAGAGGTAAGTGGGGGAGAAGGACATAATAAAAAACTGAGCATTTCATATTTTGGATGCCAAATTTGCTAAAAAACAAAATGTTGTCTCGGTGAGCTATGTGACAAGTTGACACTAGATGAACTCAGTTTTCCAGTCTGGGGTCAGCATCCAAATAGTGTGAAGGAGTTCTCTGAGGTTCATATGTGGCCCAGATAATCTGGCTTTCTATTCTTTGTTTGCTTGCTTGCTTGCTTGCTTTTGAGATGGAGTCTCACTTTGCCATCCAGGCTGCAGAGCAGTGGCGCAATCTCGGCTCATTGCAACCTCCACCTCCTGGATTCATGTAATTCTCCTGCCTCAGCCTTCCAAGTAGTTGTGATTACGGGCACACACCACCATGCTCAGCTATTTTTTTTGTATTTTTTGTACAGACAGGGTTTCACCATGTTGGCCAGGCTGGTCTCAAATCCCTGACCTCAGGTGATCCACCTGCCTTGGCCTCCCAAAGTGCTGGGATTACAGGCATGAGCCACCGTGCCCGGCTGGCTTTCTACTAGAGCAGTTTATGGAAAATTCATTCTCCAGCTATCAGTGAAAATATTTCACAAAATTAAAAAATTATACATAAATTATGTTTAAGCTGCTGCCTATAATCAACTTACTACCTAAGATTCTTTTATATTTTTCTTATTGAATGTTTATTTTCTAGCAGGTACGTTTATATGTTAGATTAGAAATTCAAGGGTAAATGAGTTTATTTTGAAAAGTTCTATTGAATTATTTTTGAATTTATTTGAATCATTTCTATAGTGATTTTCATAATTAGAAACTCCTCAGTTTGGTATTCTTTTTGCTGCTAAAATACTCCTTTGGCATTTAAAATTTTTTAAGCATAGAATATTCACCAGTCATGGGTTCTCCATCCGGGATACGCAGAGATTCATGATGAGCTACCTTGTGGACCAGAAAGTTAACTAACTGAGAAGACTTCCTTGCACCTGAGCAGGACGGTTGTGGAAGGAACACGAGATCAAAATCACTGGTGCTCTGTGGACTTGGGGCAGGGATTGTCCAAGGGAAATTACTTATACACATTTCCAAAGGAAATTTACCACTCCTCTTTTTCATATAGGTTTTGGGTTATTGGATAATATCTGCCAAGCTGTGCATCCTAAAACATGCAAACGTGTCTAACTTGCCCAGGAGATGTAAATGGAATATTCCACTGTCCCTGTCTTAGTCAGCTTGGGCTGCTTTAATGATATACCATAGACTGGGTGGCTTGAACAGTAAACTTTTTTTTTTTTTTTTTTTTTTTTTTTGAGACAGGGTCTCACTCTGTCACCTAGGCTGGAGTACAATGGCACTATCACAGTTCACTGCAGCCTCAAACTCCCGGGCTCGAACTATCCTCCTGCCTCAGCCTCCTGAGTAGCTGGGACTACAGGAACATGGAACCACACTAGGCTAATTTTTAGAACTTCTTGTAGAGAGGGGATCTTGCCATGTTGTCCAGGCTGGTCTCAAACTCCTTGACTCAAGCAGTCCTCCCACCTCAGACTCCCAAAGTGCTGGGATTACAGGCATGAGCCATCATGCCCAACCACAGCAGATATTTATTTCTCACAGTTCTGAAGCCTGGAAGTCTGAGATGAAGTTGTCAGTACCTCTGGTGTCTGGTGAGGGCTGGGTTCCTGGTGTGCCGATGACTGTTCTGTTCTTGTAACCTCACGTGATGGAGAGAAGTGAGCAACAACCTTTCTCCTGTCTGTTTTCATAAGGGCACGAATCCGATCATGAGGACTCTATTTTCATGACTTAATTATCTCCCAAAGGCCCCATTCCAAATAACACCACATTGGAGATTAGGGTTTCAACATATGAATTCTAGGGGTACACATTCAGTCCATACCAACCTCCTCTTGTTGACTTCTCTCTAATTTTTAAATATTACCACCAATGCTGCAATGAATATACTTGTACAGCTCTCCTTGTACAAATATAAAAGCATTTATTTAGAGTAACATCTAAAAGTGGAATTGTTGGTTTCAAAGTATGCATATCTTTAATTCTAGTAAACATTATCCTGCTGATCAGATCCCTTGTTTTAATTTGCATTTCTCCTATTGGTAGTAAGATTGACCATCCTTTATTTTATTTTTTTGCCATTCATAGCTCTTCTGTAAATTGACTGTTTCTTTCCTTATAAGTTTTAAAAATTATTTTAATAAACATTGAGTAAATAAAAATGTTTCAAACCTGCATGTAAGAAACAATGTGTAGGGATTTGAAAAATATATTTTGTCATTAGTGTTTTGTTAGATACACACATGATGTTTTGACTTTTATGGAGTGGTTTTTCTGAACCTATTGAGATAATGCTCAAAAATGTTTAATTTTTAAATGTGGTTTGTTAACATTGAATTATCTTGCATTCCTGGAATAAATCCATATTTGTTTTGCTACCTAATTAAAAGTATTGCTATATTAATTTGCTAGCATTTTATTTACATTTTTTGTGCTTATGTTTATAATTGAGTTTGATCTCAATATTTCCTTTTCTTGTATGATACTTGTCTGTACAGTCCTTCAAGTATATATCAGCCGCATAAAATCAGTATGGCAACTGGGCAGGAAGGAGTTAAAGTAGCTGTACTGTCATTCTTCCTCCCAGGGAAAGAAGATAGGTGACCTCATGTTCATAAATTTTCATAAATATACTAATAACTGGATATCCTGATAAACAGGTTGATGATAGCTGCTGAGAGTTCTTAGTTTTTATAATGCTCTTAGCAAGATGTTTGTAATTGAAGATCATCTGTAGTAAGAAAACCTAGAATCTACGGATTTGTGAGGCAGAGAGATTGTATGTAAACTATAGGAACTATCTGGTGATGTTTCACAACCTACATGCTCCCAGCCGTGGGAGGTAAGAATGTGTATACCTCATTAGTGGCTTCCTTAGAACTCTGAGCCAGAGAAGTGGGTCTGGGTAGAAGGCTCTGGACGGCAATGCGGGAAATCCAAGACCCTCCTCTCCTTGTTGCATGCTTCTTGATTACCTATGTTTTTGAAATTACAGTAAAGATTGATACTAATTAAGATTTTTACCTGGCACAGTGGCTCCAGCCTGCAATCCCAGCACTTTGAGAAGGCCAGGTGAGCAGATCGCTTGAGCTCAGGAGTTTGAGACCAGCCTGGGCAACATGACGAAACCCTGTATCCAAAAAAAAAAAAAAAACAACCAAACAAACAAACAAAAACAACAACAACAACAACAAAAGATTTTTATCTATTTTCTAGCATAGCATGTATAAGAGATTATCTGTTCCATGGGCATATAATGAAGTTTAACTTCAAAATGGCATATGTTTTCTATTTTATTTGTGGTTTTTAACATCGAATTTCATTAATGATTTTGGATTATTAAGATTTTAAAATTTCTTTTTGAGAATACGAGGATATATGGAATTCCATGAGGTTATTATTTTTATTAAAGCTTTGGAATAAATTTGCATAAAGTGTTAAAATGTGTCCTCTTGACACAAACAAATGGAAGAACATTCCATGCTCATGGATAGGAAAAATCAATATTGTAAAAATGGCCATATTGCCCAAGGTGATTTGTAGATTCAATGCCATCCCCATCAAGCTAATGAGTTTCTTCACGGAATTGGAAAAAACTACTTTAAAGTCCATATAGAACCAAAAAAGAGCCCGCATCGCCAAGACAATCCTAAGCCAAAAGAACAAAGCTGGAGGCATCACGCTACCTGACTTCAAACTATACTACAAGGCTACAGGAACCAAAACAGCATGGTACTGGTACCAAAACAGAGATACAGATCAATGGAACAGAACAGAGCCCTCAGAAATAATACCACACATCTAGAACCATCTGATCTTTGACAAACCTGACAAAAACAAGAAATGGGGAAAGGAGTCCCTATTTAATAAATGGTGCTGGGAAAGCTGGCTAGCCATATGTAGAAAGCTGAAACTGGATCCCTTCCTTACACCTTATATAAAATTTAATCGAAGATGGATTAAAGACTTACATGTTAGACCTAAAACCATAAAAACCCTAGAAGAAAACCTAGGCAATACCATTCAGGACATAGGCATGGGCAAGGACTTCATGTCCAAAACACCAAAAGCAATGGCAACAAAAGCCAAAATTGACAAATAGGATCTAATTAAACTACAGAGCCTCTGCACAGCAAAAGAAACTACCATCAGAGTGAACAGGCAACCTACAGAATGGGAGAAAATTTTTGCAATCTACTCATCTGACAAAGGGCTAATATCCAGAATCTACAAAGAACTCAAACAAACTTACAAGAAAAAAACAACCCCATCAAAAAGTGGGTGAAGGATATGAAGATAATTCACAAAAGAAGGCATTTATGCAGTCAACAGACACATGAAAAAATGCTCATCATCACTGGCCATCAGAGAAATGCAAATCAAAACCACAGTGAGATACCATCGCACACCAGTTAGAATGGTGACCATTAAAAAGTCAGAAAACAACAGGTGCTGGAGAGGATGTGGAGAAATATGAACACTTTTACACTGTTGGTGGGACAGTAAACTAGTTCAACCATTGTGGAAGACAGTGTGGTGAGTCCTCAAGGATCTAGAACTAGAAATATGATTTGACCCAGCCATCCCATTACTGGGTATATACCCAAAGGATTATAAATCATGCTGCTATAAAGACACATGCACATGTATGTTTATTGTGGCACTATTCACAATAGCAAAGACTTGGAACCAACCCAAATGTCCAACAATGATAGACTGGATTAAGAAGATGTGGCACATATACACCATGGAACACTATGCAGCCATAAAAAGGATGAGTTCATGTCCTTTGTAGGGACATGGATGAAGCTGGAAACCATCATTCTCAGCAAACTATCGCAAGGACAAAAAACCAAACACTGCATGTTCTCACTCATAGATGGGAACTGAACAATGAGGACACTTGGACACAGGAAGGGGAACATCACACACCAGGGCCTGTCGTGGGGTGGGGGGGGGGGGTAGGGGGGAGGGATAGAATTAGGAGATATACCTAATGTAAATGAGGAGTTAATGGGTACAGCACACCAACATGGCACATGTATACATATGTAACAAACCTGCACGTTGTGCACATGTACCCTAGAACTTAAAGTATAATAAAAAAAAAAGTCTACTCTTGATTTTTAACTCTCATTTTATCTTTGTCAATTCTATTTTTTCTCTGTCAGTATTTCAAGAAGTGTTTATTTGTAGATTTAGTGTTTTTAAAGAATCGTATTTCAGGTATTCTGATGTGCTATCTTTCTCATTTTATTAAAATATGTTCCTATTTTTAATATTTGTTTCTTTCTATTTTCTCTAGGTATACTCTTTTGTTATTTTAATTTTTATATTTTATTTTATGTGTTATTTATATACTATATATATTTATATTATTTATAATATAAATTATATATTACATATTTTTTATTTATTTTTCTAGCTTCTTGAAGTCAAGGCTTTCTTATTTTGTAATAGTTGTAATTAATGCTATACATTTATTTAGCAGTGTATCATTTTGGCTGAATTCCATAAATTTTTCTGTATAATATTTAATTTTCATTTACTCCTAAATATTTGGCCGGTTTAACTGTGAGTTCCTTTTTAAGAATGAGTCCTTTATAAATACATGTTTAAGTATCACTTTTTGTTTGGATTATAAATCTTTTATTTTGATTTCTAAATTAACTTCATTTTTTCTGACAATGTAATTTGTATGGTATAAATTATTTGAAATTTTTGAGACTTTATGAACTGGTACATGAAAATCTGGTGATATTCCATATGTTCTAGATAGGAATGTATATTATCTATTTTGGATAGTGTAGGCTTTTACATATATTAAGTTTTTACTTGTCTGTTGAAATCTTCCATGTTCTATTTTGGTCTTTTTAATTTATCAGTTTCAGATATTGTTATGGACTGAATGCTTATGTCCCCTCAAAATTCAAATGTTGAAATCCTAACTCACAATTTGACAGTATTAAGAGGTGGGACCTTTGGGAGATAATGAGGTCATGAGGGTGAAACTCATGAATGGGATTAGTGCTCTTACAGGAGACACAAGATAAATTATCTCTGCTGTGAGATAAATGTGAGGATACAACAAGATGGACACCTGAAAACCAGGAAGTAGGCACTGGATCTTTAGGGACCTTGATCTTGAACTTCCTAGACTCCGGAACTGTAAAAATATGAATGTTTATGTTTAAGCCACCTCGTCTATGGTAATCTGTTACAGCAGCCAGAACTAAGACAGGGAGTTAATGTTAAAATATCCCGCTGTGGCTATAGACTTGTTACTTTTTCTTTGCTGTCTTGTCAGGTTTTGTTTTGTGTATTTAGGGACTGCATTAGTAGGTGTATAGAAGTTTATAATGAATGTATTCTTTTGGTAGGTTTTCTTTATTATGTAGTATCATTTTATTCTTAATATTTTTGCCTTAAGTTCTACTTTGTCTAACATTAATATTGCTACAATAGCTTTTTTTCATATGTATTTGTGAGCTGAGCTATTTTCTATATATTTATTTTCAACCATTCTATGAGTTTTGTCTTAGTTGTATTTTTTTTCTTTTTTTTTTTTTTTTGAGGTGAAGCCTCACTCTGTCACCCAGGCTGGAGTGCAGTGGAGCAATCACTGCTGCAACCTCCGCTTCCTGGGTTCAAGTGATTCTCCTGCCTCAGCCTCCCGAGTAGATGAAATTACAGGCATGTGCCATTACACCCAGCTATTTTTTTTTTTATTTTTAGTAGAGACGAGGTTTCACCATGTTGGTCAGGTTGGTCTCGAAATCCTGACCTCAAATGATCCGCTCACTTCGGCCTGCCAAAGTGCTGGGATTACAGGTGTGAGTCACTGTGCCTGGCCATATTTTAGTTGTATTTCTTTATAAGCAGCATATACTTAAAAAAAAAAACAACCTATCTGATAGTTTTTAAATTAATAGTTTTACTCTGCAATATTTGGACTTTTTCTATTACCTTATTGTGTATATACAATACCCTTTTTATTTTCTTTGTTTTCTGCATGTTTTGACTGTTGTTGGATCTTTAATTTTTCTACATTCCTTTTTTGTTTCTATCAAATGATTTTGATAGAATATATTCCTGTTATTTTAGTGGCCGTTTTAACATACATATTTAACCATAAATCTTCTTACCAAAGTCTAAGTCTATCTCTTCTTTTTCTTTACATGAAATAAAACTTAAAATGATTCAATTGCACATTGAACAATTTCGCATTTATTGTTACTCAGAACAAAACTTACAACTACTGGACTGCAGATTGATTCTTCTCTAGCTTTGGATCATCTTGATACTTTCTGAGCTATTATGTAGAAGTCAGGAAGCTTTTTGGTTATAAGTAACAAAAACCTGGCTCAATCAGTGATAACTTTTATTATCACATAAAAAAAATCCACAGGCAAGGTGTTCCCAAGGTTTGTTTAATAGGTCAGTCATCACAAGGAACTTTACGTATCTCTTTGAGTGCTTTAAACATACTTAAAAGTCTTTGTTAACCTGTTCCATAAAATTGAGTTTCATCTGAAGATGGTGAAGTATAAAGTTAGAAATGTCTTCTTGCCATGCATCTTTTTAAAGGAAGCTAAAGATATGACTCAGGAAAACAAGAAAGTAAACAAAATAGAGAAAGACATTGATTTATGAAAATAGCATATCCAACCCAGGGGACCAGCAAGGAGAAGACCCAAAATGACAGGGTGCAGCAAGCTTAGGAAGCAACCAGTCTATTTTGAAGCAGGAGAATGGACAACTCCAGAAGAGAGTTTCCCTAGAAAAAAGGAGACACTGGGAAAGAAGTGTGTTATTTATGAGAGTACCTGATATAACAGATTATTTGGGAAAAATATACGAGTACTAATTAGACTTAGATTTTTTACAAAAGAAAAGCAATTAAAAACTCCAGGAAAAATAAAAAGCTATACAAGAAAGAATATGTAATCATAGATTTATACTTAACTTTGCAGAAAAATATTACATATACACTTTTATAAATTAATAACATAAATACCAGTTACTTAACTGAAAATAGCAATATAAGTGTAATGAAAGAATGGGTGAGGCATGATGGTGTGTCAGTAGTGTAAGAAAGAGAATTTTTTATCACAATAGTAGTTCATAATGTCCAACATTTAAAATTAAGATGCAAAAATAAAGCATAATATTTAGAAAAATGGGGGTTACAAGAAGAAATAACATAGGGATTTAAAAAAATCAGAAATGAGAACTATGCCTATGGGTGACATAGACTGAAAAGAATTGAAGATTTCTCCTACTCTTTGGTTATTTTCCCTTTGGCTAATAAGACTAAATCATGCAAATAAAATTTGAACTCTATTTGCTTATGTAAACTGAAAAAGAATGACAGTGTATCTTTCAGACAAACTGCTGCTAAGAGATATTACCTGATTGGCTTTTTGAATGGCATTTAAAATTAGGAACAAATGTAATCCAAAAGAAAGCAGGGAATACTTCAATAATTTAGGAGTAATTAATTTTACTTTCTACTGAAATATCAACCCTTTGGATGTAGTTGTAATCTGTTTGATGAACAAACTAGGCTTGTTTAGATACAAATCAGGAAACAGCTTATTTGTCACTCGTCTTTCACCTGTGCCTGCCCCTCTGATGTCTGAAGTAAATGTCACATGAAAACAAGTCTCCTCTGAGTAATTCCCTTTCCTTCCCTTCCCTTCCCTTCTCTCACTGCTTCTCTCCTCCTTCCTTCTTCTCTTTCTTCTCTCCTCCTCAGTCTCTTTCTCTTTTTCCTTCTTCTACTTCTACCTCTTCTCTTCTTCTTTTCCTTCTTTTTAAAATGAGTCCTGTGCATATCTCCATTTCTTATTAATTCTTGTGGCCTCCTGAATTAGCTCATGAAAAATAGTTTCGTGACCAAACTGAACTCAGTAGAATTAGAGCTATAAAATATTTTCTTAATGATATTCCCAGGATGATATCTTCAGTGATCTCACAGCTTTTTGAGTAACTTTCCATGCATTTATATAGAGTATTATTATTATTATTATTATTATTATTATTATTATTATTTGAAATGGAGTCTTGGACTGTCACCTGGGCTGGAGTGCAGTGTGTAGAGTTTTATTTCTAAATTTTAAAAAGTGCTGCCAACTGTAATAGAAAAAAAAATCTTTTATTTATCTTAACATTTTTCCTCTTCCTGCTCTTCAAATCCTTGTCAGATGTAGGATTAGAAGCCTGCAGTAGGGAAGGCACTGTGGTTAGCATTTCAGCATTACTCCTGGGTCTTACCCTCCCTGTCCTTCATTCTGCTGGTTCTGGCTCCTCCAGGATTGGGTGAAAGGGAAGAAAGATGGGTGAGAGAAAGAGTGCTGTAGTCTCAGATGGCTGCTGTTGTCTGCAGCTCTCCTTTGGGTTTCAAATGCCTTTGTTGATGGTAAACATCCTAGGGCTGGTTGTTCATCTCATCGCAAGCTTTGTTTCCCACCCCCTCCTTAAAAGAGGTTTCTATCTCCCATGCTGGCTTTGAAACTAGTTTGCTATGTTGTGAGTTTCCTCTGGAGAGGGCCATGTGGCAAACAGAGCAGCCTCCAGCTAACAACCAGTAAGACACCAAGAACCTCAGTATGATACTCACAAGGAAGTGAATGCTTCACACAACAACATGAGATTGGAAATGTACCCTTCCTCACTTGAGCTTCAAATGAGACCACAATCCAAGCCTCAGTTGCAACCTTTCAGGGAAGCCAGCTAAGCCATGCCTGGACCCTTGACCCACAGAAACTTTGAGCTTAAAAAATATGTGTTGTTTAAAAAGTTGGTGGTACTATTTTTGCACAGCAATATATGACTAATAACTAATAAAGAGTTCTTCAGAGATTCTCCCACTGGAAACATCTGACTGGAGATCTGCTGATGTACTCTGACTAATGTCGTCACTCTGCCTAGGTGTGCCTCTCAAGCCTCTTTACTTACCATGCTATCAGGACAATTCTAGCAAGTTTCTTATCTTTATACTTTCTCCAAGAGAGTATCAGGCCCAGTCTCTGAGTCACCTAAATGCAAGGGGACACATATCCCAAAATAACTGTCTCCACACTCTTCTGGGCCCCTTCCATAGGGAGGGTCCCATATATTTGTGCAGGTTGGCAAGCATTGAACCAGGAGATGTTTCCCTCCTGAAAAGCATCCCCACATTCTATGAGTGGTTCTCTGGAATCCTTCCTTGCCTGAAATTGAGGTGGGAGATGAGGGCTTACATTCCTCTGTCTGTTTGATTTTTATTTTTTATTTTTAAGATAAGGTCTTGCTCTGTTACCCAGGCTGGAGTATAGTGGCATGATCATAGCTCACTGCAGCTTCAACTTCCTGGGCTCAAGCAATCCTCCCATCTTAGCCTTCTGAGTAGCTTCCACTACAGGCACACACTGTAACTCCCTGGTAATTAAAAAAAGTTTTTTAGGCCAGGTGTGGTGGCTCACGCCTGTAATCCTATCACTTTGGGAGGCTGAGGTGAGCGGATTGCCTGAGCTCAGGAGTTTGAGACAAGCCTGGGCAACACAGTGAAACCCAGTCTCTATTAAAATACAAAAAATTAGCCAGGTGTGGCAGTGTGTGCCTGTAGTCCCAGCTACTCGGGAGGCTAAGGCAGGAGAATTGCTTGAACTCAGGAGGCAGAGGTTGCAGTGAGCTGAGATCACACCACTGCACTCCAGCCTGGGTGACAGAGCAAGATTCTATCTCCAAACAACAACAACAACAACAACAACAAAACAATTTTTTTTTTTTGGTCGATACAAGGTTTGACTAACATTGCTTAGGCTGGTCTTGAACTCCTGGCCTCAAGCACTCCTCCTGCCCTGGCCTACCAAAGTGCTGGGATTATAGGCTTCAGTAACAATGACCGGCCCCTTTCTTAGCTGTTTGTATTCTTAGCCCTGGGACCTTTGCCAATACTCTGTTGATGATCACACAATGTCTTGTCATTTAACACCCTGCTAGTGTCTTTACCTTTTTATTTTATGGTTGCTCCTCTTTCCCTAGCACCATAGTTGTGGGGGTGGGTTGGGAAGAGTGAGGTGAGAAAGTGTTATTTAAGAAAAGGAAAAGAATGCCAATAAGTTACCTATTGTTTCTAAGAAGAGTCTCCCTTTTAACACTTTTCACAGAAATTATTAATTTCACTTTCAAAACAAAGAGAAAAGAGAGACAGCCTCTTCAAATTGCTGAGCATAAGGTCTTGAGAGAGAATGAGACTGAAGAATTAGAAACTTCCAAAAGATTCACTGGGATCTAGAGTTCGGAAGATACCAGAGGGATCCCTGTGAGTTAATATTAAGAACGAGCAAGAGAAGAAAAGGACAAATATTCTGCTCTCCGATGCTTGCACAGGCAGAGGCCAGGCACGTGCACACACACGTCCTTAAACTGAAGGTTAATTATATGCGTTCTTACAGTATTTCAACAGTTCTTCCCAAATACCTCTTACTCCATCATTCATTTTTTGAATGGAAAATGTCCCCTAATTGCTTTTGTAAAGTAGTGTTTTATAAACCAAAAATAAAATTCTAAGCCCCCAGTTGACTGACAGACCCGGCTCTCAGCCAAGGGAATTCCAAAGTTAACCTGAAAAACTAGTTCAGGCCATGATGTGGGGGGTTGGGGGGAGGATCAGCTATGCTGCATTATTCCCTCCTCTCTTTTGGAATTCAGGCACAGATGACCAGCATTAACATCTTAGAGACCTCAAGACTGATAGAACACACTCTAAGTCTGATAAGAAACATTTACAATCTGTTCTCTCTGAAGCCTGCTGCCTGGAGGTTTCCTATACATAATGGGAACCTTGGTCTCCACAACACCCTATCTTAACCCAGACAGTCCCTTCTATTGATTCTACCTGCATAATAGGAACTCTGGTCTCCACAGCCCCTTATCTGTCACCCAGGCACTGGCATGATCTTAGCTCACTGCATTCTCAGTCACCTGAGTAGCTGAGACTACAGGCACCTGCCACCAGGCCTGGCTATTTTTTTTTTTTTTTTTAATTTTTAGTAGAGACAGGGTTTTGTCATATTGCCAAGGCTGATCTCGAACTCCTGGCCTCAAGTGAACTGCTTGCCTTGGCTTCCCAAAATGCTGGGATTACAGATGTGAGCCACCATGCCCGGCCCACAACCCCTTATCTTAACCCAGGCTTTCCCTTCTATTGATTCTAGGTCTTTAGACCGTAACTTAACTCTTTCAACCAATAGCCAATCAGAAAATATTTGAATTGCCTATGACCTGGGAGCACCTCTCCCTACTTTCTGTTGTCCTACTTTCGGGACTGAACCAATGTACATCTTATATGTATTGATTGATGTCTGCCTCCCTAAAATACATAAAACAAAGCTGTGGCGTGACCCCACCTTGGGCACATGTTCTCAAGATTTCCTGAGGGCCGTATCACGGGCCATTGGTCACTCATGTTTGGCTCAGAATAAATCTTTTCATATATTTTACAGAGTTTGACTCTTTTTGGTGACAGTTTCCATAGCCCAGTGACCCAGGTGGACACAAATGATTATCTAGTAATCCAAAGAATTGTTTCCAAACAGGTACATAAAACATGGGCTGGTGACAAGAAAACTTACACGGTGGTGCTCAAACATGAACCATCCTTGAGTTCTGGTGGGTGAGACAACTGTCATTGATTTGGAGACTTACAAGCATTCATTCTCTGTCTGGAACTGCAACATGGGACCAGAGGTGGGGCTATTGCTGATTGGGAGAATTAACAATATAATCCTCCAAATTTTCCACATGTCTGTATCCTGGCATTTGCTAAAGTATTCTCTGGCAGCCAGTGTGTCCACAGCAAGGCATGGTAGAAGTTATTCTAGAAACAGACGTTCCAGGGGACATTCCTGGCTGTTTTGCACATGTAGCACAGAGCGGTTTCAGGTCTTTCTCGTCAGTCACTTGCTTTAGCGTTGCTATTGAATATTGGTTTTACAGCAACACTCAAGCAAATAACTCTCCCAGGGTTGGTCCTTATCCTAAGCCTGCAGGAGTTGGAGGGGTGGGTGTTACATACCATTGTAAATATTGGTCTGCATGTTTCAACGATACTGACTGTTAAGTTCAGTCTAAGTCTGTCTCTACAAATCTTAAGTTCTGTCTAAAGTTTTCTCTGTACATACTGAACTATAACTTAACTGGATGTGTAAACAAATTGGAACCACTCTTGTCCCAGTCACTGAATTTCAGCCAATCACAGAGAGCCAACTGTTCAAACTGTGCTTGTTTTTATTTTTATTTTTTAAAATTTTTATTTTATTTATTTTTTGAGACGGAGTCTCACTCTGTCCCCCAGACTGGAGTGCAGTGGAGTGATCTCGGCTCACTGCAACCTCCGCCTCTTGAGTTCAAGCAATTGTCTTGCCTCAGCCTCCTGAGTAGCTGAGATTACAGGCGTGCACCATCCTGCTTAGCTAATTTTTTTTGTATTTTTAGTAGAGATGGTGTTTCGCCATGTTGGTCAAGCTGGTCTCAAACTTCTGACCTCAGGTGATCCGCCCACCTTGGCCCTCCCAAAGTGCTGGGATTACAGGCATGAACCACCTTGCCTGGTGCTTAAACTGTGCCTAAATAAAGCAAATGCTGATATGTAACAAATCTAGCTGTTTCTGTACCTCACTTCCATTTTCTGTGTGTCATTTTCCTTTTTCCATCCTTAAATCTTCTCTGATAAAGTTGCTCTGAACCTGTTCTAGTTCGGGGGGTGACCAATTTGCAAGTTGTTCTTTGCTCCATTAAACGCTGTTAAATTTAATTTGTCCAAAGTTTTTCTTTTAACATGGCGTTCACCTCTTGTAGCATGGGAAATGCATACTGGAATGTTCTAAGAAAGTTTCACCAGTTTGCATCTCATTATAAGGCTTCTTACTAAACGTGCCAGAAAAATCTCTTTGATTTTATTTGGTTTTAAACTTATCATGTGGAAGTCAGGGTAAGGATTTAGTAAGTTTCTAGTGTATTTTCTCTGTTTTTCTTCTTCACTGAATTTGCACTTTCCTTTTGATTGTTATTATTATTACAAAGAGATCAGAAATCAAAGAAAAGCAAAGTGATTTTTTCCTTGGCAGAAACTGTCCTGCCAACGATGCTTCTGGACTTCTCATTTCTGTGTTTCTCTTTGAGTCTTTCATTGTATGCAGTTGATTAATGTAGTTGACTGCTAATCAATATTAGCAGCCGTGGTAGTGGAGATATTACTAAATTATAAATGATCTTTAAAGGTACATTCCAAGAAGCAATTACTTTTAGGGCTGTATTTGTTATCACAACATTGACAATGTTGATATCAGGATTTTAATATCCGGTGGGATAATGAAATTTCTACCCAACACAGATTTTCTGTGCCTTTGTCCTAATAACTGAATATTGCTTCAGGTTTGTAAATGGCAATATTTTCTTGGCTTCATTTCATATGAAGTTTCTTAAGAGGGTTTTTTTTTTTTTCAAGCCATAGGATTTTATAGACATGAGGATAAAGTATCAAAGGCGAGGTGCCTATCTGAGAAGAAAAAATTTTGTTCTCTTAGCCTTCTAGTGAATCTTCTGCCCCAGGTAGATACTGCTGCAGGTTATATTTGGGCAGTTGGTCTCTCAGCAGCAGTTGACAGGAACAATGACAAGAATCTAGGGGAAGAAGTTGCCTTTGTTGAGGTGAACACTGAAGAAAGGCTCAGCAGGAACCTTGCTGATAAGATTGTTCCATGGGCACAGAGAGTATCACAGGATCTCAAATATGTATGAATTTCTGCAATTACTAGGGCCAAGAGTCGCACAATAGTCCTCACTCCATTCATTTTGCTCCTACCCTGTATAGGTACAAGTCTTTTATGGCTAATTTTTTCACTTTCTTTATTTTGTTTTATTTGTGAATTAAAATAAAAATAAAATAAAAATAAGCCACTTTTTTTTTTTTTTTTTAGTGGAGTCTTGCTCTGTTGCCCAGGCTGGAGTGCAGTGGCTTGATCTTGGCCCACTGCACCCTCTGCCTCCCAGGCTCAAGCGATTCTCGTGCCTCAGCCTCCTGAGTAGCTGGAATTATAGGCCTGCACCACCATACCCAGCTACTTTTTATATTTTTAGTAGAGAAAGAGTTTCACCATGTTGGCCAGGCTGGTGTTGAACTCCTGACCTCTAGTGATTTTCCCGCCTTGGCCTCCCAAAGTGCTGGGATTACAGGTGTGAGCCACCGTGCCTGGCCAAGAAGCCAGTTTTTACAGACTCTATTGGTATTGGTGGCAAGGTAAATACATGTTTACATTCTGAAAATTATCATCTTGGAATGCCTGTCATAGAATTTCTGATGTTATTTGTTGTAAGTTATTAGTGGTATTAGTTAATGAGCACTGGCAGAGAATCAGTTGTGTTCTTAGCCCCAAACTAGGCCCTTCTAATTTCTAGCTCACCCTGCTGACGATTATATTTCATCTTATGCTACTGACATACACTTCTGTGCTCTAGTCTAGTTTCCTGAATCCTCTTATAATCTACAGGAGTCAGAGACCAGGCTATCTTTTCTCCTGATTTTTCGTAGCACTGCCCCCAGTCACTATGGATCAGCTTTATGGAAAAGAAAAGCAAAACAAAATCTCCATTCTGGAGAAACTTACTGTGGGTAACAAGGGTTATTTTTCATAGTTTAATCTTGAAATGTTTTTCATTCTTCCAAATGGTCCACTTCACAGTAAGTATCAGAAAAGCAATGGTTCTATAAAGATGGGGCTATAGGAGAACTCAAGGAAGTTACTCTAACCGCAAAGGAAGGTACTTTAACCCCAAAAGTGTTCTAAAACACCAGGGTCCCTAAATACATCAATGAGAAGCCATTAAGGTGTTACTAAGGTCCTATTGATAAAGATAATAGCTAACACTTCCACCTGACAGGTCTGAGAACTTTATATGCATAATGTCTTTTTTTTTTTTTTTTGTCTGCACCACAGCCCTAGGCGGTATTTGAAGATTGAAGAGTTAATAATTTGCCTAAAGTCACACAGGTAGTAAGAGGTGAAGCCAGAATGCAAACCTATGAGAGTCTGCACTTTACTTTCTACATGTACTGCCTGTAAAACCCTGAAATGAGTCAGTCCTGGGAGACGTAGGGCCTCTGAGTGTGGCTGGTCTTTCCAGCAGCAGGTCCATGGCTGGACTGGGATTTGTCTTTTAATTCTGTTTCCATCCTACTGGCACAGAATATCCTGGGGTGAAAAGTCACAACTTAGGGCTCATGATGTCATTTATAGAATGGCAATTCGTCATCTCGTGTCAACTTGTAGATTCGAGACACAAAATCAGAAAATCCTGGTTAGGACTTTGAGAAACAAAAAAAGAACAAGAGCCCATAAGGCGCTCCATAAACATGTCTTTATACATGGCAGCAAGTGAGGATGTTATACTTAGTAGAAGTTCTTTTGGAAGTGGATTTAGAAGCAGAGTCAGCTTGGTGCACTAGAAAGAAGAGTTAAAATTCATAAGCACAGTAGAAACTTACGAGTATTCTAAGAGGCGGCATAATCAAACATAGTAGACTTTCTCCATCTGCACAGCAAAGTGAAGAAAAGTGGGACGGCCTTTATTGCTTCAGTCTGAACTTCTGAAAATCCCGTCAAAGCTTCAGAGATTAGGGAGAGGTCAACCTGAAAAGATTCATTTGTTAGAGAGCAACGAGGGTAAAATGTAGACATGAACTGAAGTGCTGACTGTGAGATTTCAAGAAATTAAAAAGAATTTTTCTGAAAAGATACCAGAAAGTTTAGGGAATACAGAAAGGAAGCTGCAAATGACAAGTGCTGTAAAGGAATAATGACCGCAGGGAGATAGACTTCAGACATAATACGCTTCTCTATTAGTAGAGATTTTAACGGCTCAGAAGGATGTTGAAGATATGAAAAGAAAATTCTGCTAAATGAACACGATGCTTTTCTACCAATTGGCAAGGACCAAAGTCATAGACGGGGATATGTTTCATAAAATCATTAATATAATAAGCTGCTGTGACAGGAAGGAACCATTGTCTATGAGGCTGTGAAAGCTCTTGAACCTGTTTTTAAAGACAAGTGGTTAACTCCATATCCCCAGGGGATAAATAGGCCACAGTTAATTACTAAGGCTCCTAAATTCCCTCCTGGAACACTGTGCCCTGCACCAGCTCTGTGTCCTTCTGTGTGACGGGAGCACAGGCTTCTATGTTACTGAGAAAGCAAAAGGAAACCAGAAGTGTTCTAGATTCCATACATGTTACTCATGCCACCTGATTTCCTTTACGCTATAATGGACTTTTCATTGCTGATGGAAAACTGGACAAAGTGAGCAATTTGGGCTTCTATACAGAACCATGTATAATTATCTATGGTTCTGAAGTAATTTAGTGTTTAATGCCCATGATGAAACATACAGAAGAAAGTCTGTTTTTCATGGTTCCTGTAATTGAATTAATTGGCATAGCTTACTTTCTGGCCTTAAATTTTTGAATTGATTTAATGTAGAATGAATTTGGGCTTTTGTATTCGTCCGTTTTCATGCTGCTGATAAAGACATACCCAAGACTGGGTATTTATAAAGAAAAAGAGGTTTAATGGATTCACAGTTCCACGTGGCTGGGGCGGGGGAGCCTCACAATCATGGTGGAAGGTGAAAGTCATGTCTTACATGGCAGCAGACAAGAGACAATTGAGAGCCAAGAGAAAAGGAAAACACCTTGTAAAGGCATCAGATCTCATGAGACTTATTCACTACCAGGAGAACAGTATGGGGGAAATTGCTCCCATGATTCAATTATATCCCACTGGATCCCTCCCACAAAACATGAGAATTATGGGAGCTACAATTCAAGAGGAGATTTGAGTGGGGACAGAGCCAAAGCATATCAGCCTTGGAAAGCTTGTGACCATATAAATGTCTTCCATTACTTATCATGTTAGAGTGAGTAACTGGTTTGCCTCACTCACTCATTTGTTTCTATCTGCTCCATTTTAACCCATGGGGAACCCTGATGGTCAGTGTGGTAGTATATGGTTCTCCGTAGATTATGAATTATTGGATTCCTCTTGGCAATTAGGGACCATGAACTTAAATACAATAGGATTGAGGTGAGGGAATAGAACAGAAGATAGAACAGAAGGTTGGTGTTCCAAGTCTGTATTCTCTTTAGCAAATCACCCTCCTGAAACCTTTCTTCACTGAGGAACATGTGGTAAAGTTTAAATGTACTCTACCTGTAAACTTCTCTTACCAAATGCTCTTTGTAAAACCCAGGGTGAAGTGTTTTTTTTTTTTTTTTTTTGAGATGGAGTCTTGCTCTGTTGCCCAGGCTGGAGTGCAGTGGCGCAATCTCGGCTCACTGCAGCCTCTGCCTCCCGGGTTCAAGAGATTCTTCTGCCTCAGCCTCCTGAGTAGCTGGGACTACAGGTGCACGCCACCACACCCTGCTAATTTTTGTATTTTTAGTAGAGACAGGGTTTCACCACACTGGCCAGGCTGGTCTCGAACTCCTGACCTTGTGATCCACCCACCTCAGCCTCCCAAAGTGCTGGGATTCCAGGCATGAGCCACTGCGCCTGGACTCAGGGTGAAGTTTTATCCTATTTATAGGAAGTTTTCTTTATCTGAAATGCTTAAAGTTTCATAACCAGATACCAGGTCTAGGACTGTAGCCAAAATCTCTAAATCCAACATGTTGAAGGTTGAGATTAGGAATCAAAACCCACATACATACCCATATTATTTTATTGGATGGCATCTTTGTCTCACATTTGTCCTGAATTTATAGGCTGGCCTAATTGGAAAATGCAAGCGTCCTGATCCCGAAAACTTTTACAGAGTCTCTCATTTTTAAATACCCTTCCAAGGAAAGTAAAGCTATTGTTATAACTGCTGGTTTCAAAGTGCTCTCCCTGCAACGGGTGTTATTTTATTTGTTCTTGCCCATTTTATAATACAGGGTTCATTTTTTATTTTTTGGAGCAATAAAAGAAAGGAATATAAAATGGAACAAAAGCTACACTGCCCTTCAACCAAAGCAATTGCTTTTTACCATTTTGAAATTTCTGTCTCAAATCCTGAAAGTGCCATTTTAACATAAGGACATTATATGAAAGTAGAGAAAAAGTGCAAGTTATAAATTAAAAAAAATGCTTAATAGCTTAAAAACTTAGAGCTCAATAGCACAAACTAGCAGCTTGGGGGTTTGTGATCGTTGTAGAAAATTAATCGCCAACGATTGAAGGCATCCAAAGAAGTGCCCGAAAGTCATCCAGAGCCATTTCTTAGTAATGTCTGGAATCGCTGCTCCCATGGCTCACGTAGGAGGCCATCCAGTTACTTTTTAAATAGAAACTCACTTTCTCAAGAGACCGGATGTTTTATTACTGGAAAGAAATTGTTCTTTCACTGAACTGCAATATGTCTTTTGCAACTTCCATATTCTTCCTTTAGTTGTATTACCCTCAATAGCATAAGTTGTCTTTCTGTTTCCCATCTGGGCCTTCAAGTAAGTCGGACTCAGAGTAAAAAATATATATTTTACATCACAACCTGTGACACACACACAAAGTTTAAATAAATGTCTCACTCATGTCAGAGGCGTTTGAACCAGAGCAACTCCATCTTGAATAGGAGCTGGGTAAAGTGAGGCTGAGACTGGGCTGCATTCCCAGACATTTATGGCATTGTAAGTCACAGGATGAGATAGGAGGTCAGCACAAAGTACACGTCATAAAGACCTTGCTGATAAAACAGTTTGCAGTAAAGAAGCTGGCTAAAACCCACCAAAACCAAGATGGCAATGAGAGTAACCTCTGGTCATCCTCACTGTTACACTCACATCAGCGCCATAACAGTGACAGATGCCATGGCAATGTCAGGAAGTTAGCCTATATGGTCTAAAAAGGGGAAGCACGAAAAATTCACCCTTTATTTAGCATATTATCAAGAATAACCATAAAAACGGGCAACCAATAGCCCTTGGGGCTGCTGTCTATGGAGTAGCCATTCTTTTATTCCTCTACTTTCTTAATAAACTTGCTGTCCCTTTACAGACTCGCCTTCAATTCTTTCTTGCGTGAGATCCAAGGACCCTCTCTTGGGGTCTGGATCCGGACCTCATTTCTGTAACACATTTAATACAGGTACATTTTTCTGGTATTTTCAATTCTCTTCTGTTTCATTAAGAAAGGTTCCTCATTAAGACGTATTGGATCCATCACAATCCACTAAGTGACTCACAGTACTGGGTTTGGGAGACACCGCTCTAGATGTTCCTGGTTTTAGTCCAAAAACTGGAACACAATGGTAGCTAAAATCCAGAAATGGAACTCTAAGACATTCTGACCTTGAAAGTGAAATCTGTAACGTATTTTTAGTGTGCATTTGACCTTGCAGAAGGGAGATCAATTGACTTATATTTTACTGATGTCTTCTAGGCATTTTGTGGGCATATGGCTGGCTGCAGTGGGGTAAGGCTGAGCAGATGTTGCCCAGAAGTTGAGTGAGAGCTCAAAGCAGCTGCCCATAGTTGTACTCTGGGGTGGTAGTTATAGTCCTGGAAACACACAATTTAAGAACTGATAAGTCTCCCTTCTTCATAGGCATCATTCCCACATCTCCAATTCCTAGGGTATGAGCACTGCCCTTGGGTTAGGAGCCACACCAGGAGCCAGGGGCTGCGGTCAGGGTTTGGAACTAGCCACAAGGTCCCAGTTCAGCGGCCAGTCCTGAAGTGGACCCAGGGGTGGTAGATGTCATCTTTGAAGTCCAGAGTTCAGGAAATGGCTGATACTCCTGGTGGCTTCATTATAGTAAAAGGAGATGTAATTGCTTGATGAGCCTCTCAATTCTTAACTGCTGCCTTCAGTCAGTGAACATTTAATGAAGTCTACACAAATTAATTAGTGTAAGTTGTAAATGCTGAATAAGCTTGAAATAAAGTGAAAGAGGTAAAGAAGGAGACAACTGTGCTTTTTAAGAAATAGAAGAGTCACTTTCATTAGAAATGGCTTTGGGGATGACAAGTATTATGTAAAGAAAAGATGAATTTTCTTCTTTTTTCACACATACAGTAATTATGTTTAGAAGTCATAGTTAAAAATAAAACCTAGCTCACTTAGGAAGACTGCTGTGTGGCACTTGAATTATGTAATATTTCAATATATCATGTGTGATGAATTATTAACATGAAAAAGTTGATAATGAAAAATATTGGCTTTCAACCTGTTATAAAAAACAGAAATATTTCTGATTTTTAATGTGTTAGGCCAAAAAAAAGGCAGGAAGGAGACCACACATGTGACAGATACAGGAGACATTACATATTATCCACTTCATCCCTTTTGGCAGTTGAGTAAGCATAAATCGTTTTCCAAAAGAGGTAGGAAGAAAAATTCAACTTTGTCAAAGAAACACCATTCGGGGCTAATCCGGAACAGAAACAGCCTCTTTTCATGTCTAGTAATGGTCCCACTTTCCCAAGTCACCTTGAAATCATCATTTCTTCCTCATATAGCCTTTAGGGTTTTTTGTTTTGTTTTGTTTTTACTTGACCATTTCACTTTTCTTTAAATAGCTCATCTAGCGGTATCAACTGGGTGATCCTAATTTGCCTGGCATAATTCTGGATTACACCAGTTGTTCTGTAGTCCCATCCAGGTTAGCATTTGTCTAAATTATTTTAAACATAGTTATTTTTAAAATTGATAATTGTGTCGACATGATTTTCAAGTTTTATTATGAATCTTACCATTAATAGCTGCGTTTAAAATAAGGCTAGAGGTTGTGTAGACCTTCAGTTTATCCTTCTGGTTTCTGCTGTGGGCTCTTCCACATTATGTTAAAGGCTTAGGTATAGAGTTCTCACTTTAATAACCTTAATACATGGTTACATCTTGTTTGTTTTTTGTGTTTTTTTTTTTGAGATGGAGTTTTGCTCTTCTTGCCCAGTCTGGAGCTCAATGGTGCGATCTCGGCTCACTGCAACCTCTGCCTCCCGGGTTCAAGCAATTCTCCTGCCTTAGCCCCCTGAATAACTGGGATTACAGGCATGCACCACCACGCCCAGCAAATTTTTGTATTTTCAGTAGAGAGGGGGTTTCACCATGTTGGTCAGGCTAGCCTTGAACTCCTGACCTCAGGTGATCCACCCACTTTGGCCTCCCAAAGTGCTAAGATTACAGGTGTGAAGCACTGCACCTGGCCAATACATGGTTACATTTTAATGCATGGTTAAATTAAATATTATATTGTAATTATATCTCTCTCTTTATGAGCCTTTCCAGACTGAAGATAACTAATATCTCCCTCCAGGGACAGTTTGCAGGGCATCCAATGATAAGACCGAGTGCTCTTGGGCACAAAAAGTGAGGATCAGTTAACTTGTTTCTGTTTAAATATTTGACACTGCTTATCCACTCCTGCTTGGTGCATCAGCTAGTTGTGCGATAGCCTTAGGACCTTCAAGGTGCATAGAAGCATCAGGCTGCCAGTCAGTTGGTAATGGGAAACGATAGGATATGTACGTTAATATGTGCATACATGGGTGTTTGTATGGAAATTAGTGTTGAGCATTCCTACCACAGAGAATTTAGGGAGTGATGTGAATGTTCTTACTACTGTCATTTATTCTATAATACCAATATAAACCTTAAAAAATTGTTTGGTAATTAAAAAAAATTGCAACAAACCATCCAGAGCAATAAACTGTGAAAAAAGGAAATATTTCATGAAAAATTAAATACTAGATTTTTATTTCCTCAGGTATGCTGATGGTGAATGTGTAACTTATATTTACGATGATCTTCTAATTAGATGATGGTGACCACATGAAAACCAAAATACACAAGTCTGCTGAAGAAACATCCTTATCTATTTAAAAATTAGTAGTTATTTTGAGACTATGCCCATAGATGACAAGATATCACATGCACTGCAGAAGATGTGTTTACATGTCACTCTGAGAAGCATAACTTTTCATTTAGATCAAATGACTATTCTAAATTTTTTTTTTGTGTGTGCCTTTAGAGTAAGGATCACCCTCTAGAGTAGGGTCTATTCCTTAGGACTAATGATAGGACTGAAGTAGACCTGCTTTAACATAGAATAAAATAAAACTTGACAGAATTGAAAAGGTCAGTGAGTAATTAACTGCCTACCAGAGTACAATTTGGTATCATTCAAAGGAAGACAACATAACCCACTCTCTACAATGTATCACCCACAGGGTTCAGCATATATTCACAAATTACTAGACAGTCAAAAGGCAGAAAAATATGATTCATAATTAAGAAAAAAATTAATAAAGCCCACCCTGAGATGACCTTGTATTATAATTAGCATAAAAACATATTAAAACTGCTATTACAAACATGTTCAAGGACTTAAAGGAAAAGATGAACATAATATATGAACAGATAAGAAAGCTCTGTTTTGTTAATTTCTTTAAAAACTAAACGAAAATAATATTTTTTGTGGGATTATATATGAGAGTAAAATATATAGTGTTGTGCTGTCAAATGTTTAATAACTGGCTCTTTGAAGAAAAAAAGTCAGTTGCCAAGTGACATGATGTAAATATCACTATTGCCAATTTCGAGTTATCAATGTTATGTCAATCAGCTGCAAAATTTCTGAAAATTTAACAAATCACATCTCTGCTTAACTCCAGTGCAAAACTGAAAATGTATGACAATGCTAGCAAAGAAAGAGGGGCAAATGGAATTACAATGTATTCTTTAAAGATTCTTGTATTTTTTATTAAGTAGGAGAATATTAACTTTAAGTAGACTGTGCTGTTATACATTTATATCATAATCCCAAGTGTAACCACTAAAAATAACATAAACATGTATAGCTAAATTATCAATAGTCAGTTTTCAAATGGAATACTAAAAGATAATAGAATACAAAGGAAAAGAGGATGGGAGGGGAATACGGGACAAGTTGATAACAACAGCAATCTGGTAGACTTAAACCTAACCATATCAATAATTACATTAAATGTAATTAAACACTACAATTATTAGATAGATATTGTCAGACTAAGTAAGATCTAAGTGAAAAGTAAGATCCAACTATACACTGTCTATACAAAATTTACTTTAAATACAAAGACCCAGATCAGTTAAAAGTAAAAGGATGAAAATATGTATACCATAAAAGAGTAAGCTTAAGAACATTGGTGTGACTAAATTAATGTCAGAAAGAATAGACTTCAAGACAATGTGTATTATCAGAGAGATGTTTCATAATGATAAAAAGTTTAGTTAATCAGGAAGACATTATAATCCACAATGTGTATGCCCTTATAATTAGTTGGAAATCTTTAATCAAAGCCCTCCATGAATAAGCATAAAAAAATTTGAGTTTTGAAGATATTAGCTGATTCTAATTATTAAAATAAAGCCTGCAAAGAAAAAGGCATTAAAATTTATCCCTGTAGAAGCAAGGGAGGAACATAACAACTTAAAAGATAAGAGCTCAAGTTGTTACTAGTTTTAAAGTTCTATAATTGTTCTGTGGAATATCTTGATTTATGGCAAGACTCTTGGAATATAGCTTCTACTTTTAATTGGCTAAATTTATATTATTCATAAGAATGAAGTAAAACTGAAAGGCCTAAGATTATACAGTATCTAAATGTAGCAAAATATTCAAAAGAATTAATAAATAGAGGCAATTCATTTGACATGTTTTATCTTTAAAAAGTGAAAGAAAGGTGCTTAAAAAGGGGTTAACAATACTTATGAGAATATTAGGGCTTAAATATTTACATATTTCTATCTGAAAAAATAGTAATGAGAATATTTTGTATTTAGTAGAATTTCCTCTGGGCTCCCAATGTACTTTAGCACTTTAGGGTGATGTAAGTATAGACAATTTCACATTTATTAACCATAAAATGAAACTTTGAACAAGTTTTAGGAAATCTTATAAATAAAAATAAAGAGATGATATAACATTCATTCATCAAAAAATTACTAGTAAAGAGTACTTGACACAGAAATGTCGACAAAACTGTTAAAAGTACACAAAAAAACTTGTTATTTTTAAGTAGTCAGATAATCATATAGAAGACATTTAACATTTTTAAAATATGCATGGTTGTTTTTGTTTATTAAAAAGTGATTTTATTTTTTTAAAAGGCATGCTATGTTTTAGGTTCATCAGTATAAATATTCATTGATTGATAAAAATGTATTTTAAAAAATTATTGTATTGATTATTTTCACTCTCAAAGTTGTCCTGGTTTAGGTGATAAGTTCAGGGTCATTGGCCCAGGGAACAAATTCACTCTGTCAATCAACCAATTGATAACTACTTCCTGATTACCTATTGCATGCCTGTTAATACCTTTAAAAGAGCAAATACATCTTTTATACTCTCAGAGAGTTTTTATCTACTTAGGGAAGGTTTATTCACTGGTATAGGTGAAGCAACTAGAGAATAATACAATCACATAGCACCACAGTTGGTCCTGCAGAATCTAAGCTATTTAAACTTGTTGGATTAGCAGCATGAATAAGAATGATGGTCCACAGTAGATGTTGACTGCCAATGATGTTTTGGTTAACTCTTCTGATGCCAATAATACATATCATTCTTTTCTGTTGTTATTCAATGTGACAAGAACTGTCTGTGTTTTGAATCCCTTTGGCTTGTTCATTAGCCCTGGAATAAGCAATATTTCCAGGCTTCCAGGCATGTGTGTATTCTGATGACCTAGAGTTTTAACAATGTGACTTATATTTTTCCATTTCTCTTAATGTATTACATATTTTGAAGACTTGGTGAAGATGGGATTAATTATACAAACTCATTTGCATATGAATACCAATTTGATTATAATAAGAATAAAAAATAATTTTTATTATCTTTGGGAATTTTTTCTTAGGCTATTAGTAATAATAATTTAAATAATTTCCCCATATATCTCTTCTTAAGTAATTTAAAAATCAAATATGAAGATTTCTGAGAGGAGGGGAATTAAAGGGAATGATTTTTTTTACAGAGGGATGGAAAATAGACAATACTTTATCTGATTCACACGTTTCCCATGGTTAAACCTGCCTTAGCTTTTGGGGGCTTTCACCCTAATTAACCCTACCTTTGAGCAGAAACCTCCCAACATGAGGACATTTTCCCATTTTCTATTTAACTACGCTAAATACTTTAAATATTATTCCAAGGATCTTAGAAATCTAAAATAGATTGCAAATTTTAGTGAAATGTGTACTGACCCTGAGCTAAGTTGTTTGAGATAAAGACTAAGAGAACTAGGAAAATCTGAATGCTTTCCTAATCACCTCTCATTTGCACAAGCTTTTGCATAAACACACCTGTGAAATATTCTTATTTTTATTGTTTCGAGTTTACAGATGAAGATACTAAGGAATAGAGACATCAAATCACTTGTATAATAATAAACTCCTGAGTCATAATTTGAACCAGGTCTTCTGACTTGAAAGACTGTTGTTTTCACCACTGCCTAATGATTATATCCTTAAATATCTCTCAGTATCAACCAAGCAAATTTAAAAATTCTTGAATGTTTCTAATCAGTAACCATTTAGTGGAAGATAAATATTTTGGGGAAATGCTCTATACTGTGTCTTGTTCTTGGGTATCACATGTTATGAGAAGTCCTGCTATAGTGACTCACAACTTATTTCAACCAGTGTTTTCCATTCAAACAATGACCCATGATTGTTTCATAGAACTGAGTTTGGGAAACAGTGCCCAATGAAGCAGGTCATAGTGGATTTTAAAAATAAAGGCCATAAACTTAATTTCTTATATTTATTATTAGTCTTGCCCTGTCTTTTCAGGGTTGATTTATTTTTCTCTGAAAAACTCATCTAAGAGTAAATTTTAAAAGTCAAGTATATAATCACCATTAATTTCCGTGGAAAAACATTTAAAGCATTTTTCGACCCTTAAATTAATACCCATTTATAGTAACATGGCATTGAATTTCATGATTGGCAATGATGGCATAGCAGGCAGGGGACCTTCTGTGATGAGTCTGCACTGTGGTGTCTTCCCGGCTTGCTGATCCAGCTTTGTGTAGATGACACATGCAGTAAGTAAAATGCAGCACGCAGGATGCTAGGACGATGCACACAAAAACTGCATACATATTGCTATGGTCTGAATGTTTACATCTATCCAAAATTCATTGTTGAAGCCTAACCACCAAAGTGATTGGTATTAGGAGTGGCCCTTGGCAGGTGGTTAGATCAGGCAGACAGAGCCTTCAGGAATGGGATTTATGCTCTTATAAAAGAGGTCCCAGGGCGCTACTTTTTCTCTTCCACCCTGTGAAGACACATTGAGAAGATGCCATTTAGGCACAAGGAAATCGGCCCCCCCGATACTGAATCTGCTGGTACCTTGATCTTGGACTTTCTAGCCTCTATAAATTTCAGTTGTTGATAAGTTACCCAAGCTATGGCATTTTTAAAATTAACATCCAAATAGACCGAGACAAAAATGATGCGCAATGTCTTTATAATGAAACATTTAATTTCAAAAAGAACCAAACAGAACAGTCGAGACTGAAGAAATCAGTGAGAGCAAGACACCCATTCTATAAGATTTTCATGACTATAAAATGGGCGAAACATAAGTATTTTGAAAGAAGGATTATGGGTGACCTGTGGCAACCATATAATTGGGAGCACGATAAGAGGTGGCTCTTGTTTTACTGGGCAAGCTGCTGACGTGTAAAATCTGAATTTTTCCTCATTATTGAAAGGTAATGTGTTGAAATTAGAACTAGGATTCAAATGAATCTTTTCTCATAATTGAATTCTTATAATCCAAATGGATTTATTCTAGAGAGTGATTATGATGTCATTCAATTTATATCAAGATTCTATTCATTTTCTCATTTGATCTTTGCAGTAGCTCTCAGGTGGCCCTGTTAGGGCTCAACACCAAATTTTCTAACTCTAAGTCCAGTCTTATTCCGTTGGTCTTTTGGGCTTATTGTCTTAGTTCCTAGACTCTCTGTCACACCCCATACCCCAGGCTTTAAGGTGTTAGCTTGAGATCCTAGACAATTCTCATTTCCTTTGAGCATCTTTTAAAAAGGCAAGATCAGATTCATATTAAAGAGAGTAAGGGCTCTGGAGCCAGGTGCCTGGGTTTCTTTACCTGTAAAGTGGGATAAGAACAGGACTCAATTTCAGAGAACTATTGTATTGTGAGGACTAAAGAGTTAACCCATAAAAAGTATTTAGAATAGCACATGGCAAATAAACAGCAGAAATAGTAATAATTGCTATCAGACCTCACAGTACAATTCAACAGATCCTTATGGAGCAGTCCATGAGCCAGGCCATGCCTTTGGAGGTGCACACCAAAACTGACATGGCTCCTTCCATGCTAGAGTTTATGGTCAGTGGTGGAGACAGACACAAAAAAGATAACTGTTGTATAATGAAGTACATGCAGGGATAGAATTATGCATAGAAAATGTGTGATTTTTTTTAAACAGCTTTTTTGAAGTACAGTTAACAGAATAAATTGCACATGTTTAAAGTGTACAATTTGATGAGTTTTGGCATATGTCTATACTCAGGAACTTCTCACCATGACATAGTGAACATTCCACAGTTCCGCAAAGTTTTCTCAAGCCTCTTTAGAATTCCTCCATTTAACCCTTCCCCCATATTCCCAGGTAACCATAGATATGCCATTCATTGTTTGAATTTTTTCCCAATTTTTAGAATTTTCCCCTGCATAATCATTTTGAGATTCATCTATGGTGTTATGCATATCACTAGTTCATTCCTTTTTATTGTTGCATAGTATTCCATTATACGGATGTGTCACAATTTGTTTATTCATTCACCAGCTGATGGAAATTTGGGGGGTTTAAAATTTGGGGCTATTAAAGTTGCTAAGAGCTCTTTAAAATAAAACACTTAAAGTATAAAATTTAGTGAGTCTGGACAGATGGATAAACCCACAAAACCATTGCTACAATCAAGATACAGAACATTTCTATCATCCTAAAATGCTTCCTTGTGGCCTTTTGCAGTCTACCTCTCCTTCCACCCAGATCCCAGGCAGTCAAGGATCTGTTTTCTGTCACTAAAGATAAGTTAGCATTTTCAAGAATTTGATATAAATGGAGCAATGAAGTATGCATGCCTTTGTGCCTGTTTTTTACTCAGCATAGATTTTTTTTTTTTTTTTTGAGACAGAGTTTTGCTTTTGTCACCCATGCTGGAGTGCAGTGGTGCAATCTCGGCTCTCTGCAACCTCTGCTTCCTGGGTTCAAGTGATTTTCCTGAGTCAGCCTCCTAAGTAGCTGGGATTACAGGTGCATACCACCATGCCCAGCTAATTTTTGTATTTTTAGTAGAGATGGGGTTTCACCATGTTGGCCATGGTTGTCTTGAACTCCTGACCTCAGCACAGATTTTTAAATTCACCGCTACTGTGGTGTTTATCAGCATTTCATTCCATTTTGTCGTTGCGTAGTATTCCACTAAATGTATATGCCACAATTTGCTTATTCATTTAATGGACCATTTGTTTGTTTCCCAGTTTGGGGCTATTGTGAATAGCTGTGAATAACTTTGTGATAATTTAAAAGTTGTACTTCTAAGAATTCTCTACAAACTAACCCTGCACAGAGGCCAGTTGGTTACTCTTCAGTGTAGTTTCTGAATCAGCAACTGTTCTCAACTTTCTGAACCCTGTGAATCTGTAACTAATTTTACTTTTCCCTTTGATTTGTTTCTCTGCACTGTTCAGAGGTAAATTTGAGGACCAGTTATAACAGTCATACAATTGTTATTGCATGTTTATTTTGTGTGCTGATATTATCCCTGACTTATTTTGCCTTCTATCATTTTATGTACCCTCACCCCTAATTTTATCATCTATTAATTTTTTGTTACATTGTATATTTTTATAAGACACCTCAAATTCATTTTTTTAGAGGAGAAAGAGTGCAAATGAAAGAAGTGTTAAATGTGGCATAATATGAATGGTGCCAGGAAGTGTCCCTCTGCCCCCAAATATCTTGCCTCTCTACTTATGAGGAATACTTGAAATTCTTCCATTAGGGAGTCATTCCTTTAGATTAAGAAGTATTTCCACCAAGGAGGAAATCATCAGAGAGAGACAACACCTTAATCTTAGGTCACAGACATGTTAATTTATTTTTTCTGAATGTTTCCAAGTAAACAGCTAGAGATTGAGGTCAATAGAAGTGAAGACAGTACATGAGGAAGGAGAAATCACTACAGGGTAAAAAATGGAAAGGTATGAGAAAAGAACTGGAAGGAAGAAACAGGAGGAGAAGACACCATTTTCTGATTTTGCTCATCTCCTTCTTGAGAACTGAGAATTTTAGTTTTTATTTATGTTTTGCTTTTTTTGGGGGAAGCATCTTCCCAAGGTAGGAATTTAGTTAAATAACAATGACAACTAATACTTCTTTGCTGTACTAGCTGGAAATCCGATTACTGAAGCATAGAAATAGAATTTAAAAGTGAATGTTAAGGGTCCCAATTTGAAGTCATCTAGTTACAGGGTAGAAATTGTTTATGTTTATTTTGTTCTCCTCAGTACTGAAGCAGGCATGTTGTGAGGTTGAAGTAAGGAACAGGCAAACTATAGACTGTGATGGAGAGAAAAATCTTATTTATGTACTACAAAAGGTAGGTGTCAGACACAATTGGCAATTGTAAATACACACCCCCAAATCAATAAACTCGAAAAAGAGTCAGTGTAGTACTTGAAAGCAATTCTGTAAAGAAACAGAAGAAAAAGGGAAAGACAATGCAATCTCCCTTCCCCTTCCTCCCTCCAACAAACCAACTAAACAAAGTCATGGGAATGTGAATGAAAAACTAGATGTCAGAAAAAGTATTGAGTGCGGGGAGCAATGATTCTGGCAGCAGAAAAAGAAAAAAAACCCATCAGCAAGCAGCTGAATTGTAGATTTAGAATACTTAGCAGTTTGCACATGACTTGCAGATGAAAATCTTGTTAATGGGAGCAAAATTCCTTACGATATCAAGTTCTTGCAAATATTTTACTCTTTAGAGATGCAAGTCTAAGTCCCCTCCATGGTTTGGCAAATTTATTTTAAATGACTGCATAGACTTGTCTTTGATTAAAAGTTCATTTTTGGAGCTACCAGGAGAAAAGTCAGTTAGGTTATTCTCCATTATAGACAACAGAAATAGAAAGGGAAAAATGAACGGTTGTAGGTCCTTTGGGGCAGTAGTTGATGGATATGCTTTCTGCATGAAGCCCAGGTTTCTTTTATTACTCAATCCTGAATCTTGATCGCAAATGGGAGGCGACATTTCCTTTTAGAGCTAAGCTATAAACATCGTAGTTAAGAAATCCAACTACAAAACATACAGGTTATAAACAGATGTACATTACAGCATTTTCTAGGAAAGGGGACTTGGGGGATAGTTTAACTGTACCACCCACACAGTGTGGGAGCCTGAAAGGATGACAGTAAAGTGCCTCATGAATATTGGTTAAAGTGGTAAATAAGGATGGCTGCATGGGTCTCTATATCTCAATACAACAACATCCTGGGAGAAGAAAAATAACGCCGGAACCTATAAAGTCCTCGTTGCCACCTGTGTCAGGGAATCACATTACTCACAAATAGCACAGCCAGGCTGAATTGTAGCTATTCTCTCCCAGATCACAGTTATATTTTATTACCCACTCCATTCTCATTTAGTTGCTACCACTTACTTTCATTGCCTGTGGAGTCTCCCAGTTATTTTTCCAGAGACTCGCAGATGGAGATACAGGGTTATATACAAGCTGAGCTTGGGAAAGCATGCCTGGGTCTCTGGTGCGTCATAGCCTCAGTGTACTAACATTTGCCATCGGCAATCATTTCTCATATGTTTTTGGATCCTACTTGAAGTTTTGTTTTTAAATTATCAGGGTCACAGTTTTAAATCTCTTTATCTTAGACTTCCCATTTTGCCTACTAGGCTATGAAGACATTGAAAATTAGAAAAATTATCCTGCAGGTAAATCTTGAGGTTTAATCTTGAGGACTGATTTATTTTTATTTTCCCAGATCAAGGCTAAGATTAGCAAACTCTTCTAAATCGAATTCATAGGTTGACCCTTTTGGACTGGATTCTTTTTTTTTTTTCTGAGATGGAGTCTCACTCTGTCACCCAGGCTAGAGTGTAGTGGTGCAATCTCAGCTCACTGCAACCTCCACCTCCTGGGTTTAAGTGATTCTCCTGCCTCAGCCTCCCAAGTAGCTGGGACTACAGGTGTGTGCCACCACACCCACCTAATTTTTGTATCTTTAGTAGCGATGGGGTTTTGCCGTGTTGGCCACGATGGTCTCGATCTCTTGACCTCGTGATCCTCCCACCTCAGCCTCCCAAAGTGTGGGGATTATAGGCGTGAGCCACTGTGCCCGGCCAGGAGTTACAGTTTTAAATCTCTTTATCTTAGACCTCCCATTTTGCCTTCTAAGCTATGAAGACATTGAAAATTAGCAAAATTCTCCTGCAGATAAATCTTGAGGTTTAATCTTGAGGACTGATTTAGTCTTATTTTCCCAGATCAAGGCTAAGATTAGCAAACTCTAAATCTAATTCATAGATGACACTTTTGGACTGGATTCTTTTTCAATCCATTTTAAATTAATGTGTAAAGTCCCCAAATGGCAAAATTTTTATTTTTCAAAGTGAAAGGATTAAAAAATGAAGGTGGGAATTCCTTACGTTTCAGGCTACGGCTCAGTTAGGAGTCTGGTTATTGCTACAATAACTAACTCATCTAGGCTTTGCTAAATGCTTGTTGAACTGAATTGGATAAAACTAAGAAGGTATATATTTGGATAATTAGAATTTCACATTGACACCTACTCTGTTTTCATGGGTTTTGAGATCATAGTGTTTTCCCAGCCACATCCCTGCCAAATGATGTGACAGTCAAAGTTCTGGGATCATGTTCCCGTTCCTGCATCTGTTTAGTATATTACCCCATTAGGTAATATAACCCACTCCATAGGCTCATTTCTGGTCTTCAGCTGTTGCCACAAGTGTGACTTTTCTAGCGCAGTCCCTCAATTTACAAAAGCTCTTAGAATTCAGTTTTGTGCATCAAATAACTTTGCTCTGAAATCTTCAGGCTTTCATCTGAGTCCTTCAAAAGCCACAGCTGTAGCTTCTGTCCACAACATCTTGAGGAGATATGGTTGGTAAACACTGTTTACACTGTCTGCTGGATCTTACCATGTGTAACTGACTAGGGTACAAGTCAACCAGCACCACAGACAGTTCACGTTGCTTTGCATTGCAATGCTACGACTTCCTAACTTCAAGAGACAGAATTTGTGGCGATCCAGTTTTCCTGGCATCACGGCCCTGTGTTTCAATCTTTGTGACCGTCTTCAGGATGTTCAGGGAAGGTTTAAAAACCATGCTTGTTGATTTCCGTACATGCCGTCTTGTGTTTCTGTTCATAAGCCAACTAGCCCGTCATAAGATAGGAGATATCATGAGCCAACTAGCCCATCGTAAGATAGGAGATATACAGGTTCCAGTAGGTGATGGCATTTTCCCCTCTGCTTTTTTAGAGGCACACAGCTACATGACATACCACGGGAGACCAAAGCCAATACTTCATTTTCACAGACTATTGAAATTTCGATGTACCCATAGGATATTTTTTATTCACTTTTTTTTCCTTCCACATTCATACTGGCAATTGTTGCACTGCGTCCTGGTTGATGCCAAATTATATACAATCTACTTATCTACTTTTACTAGACTTTAAGTGTAGACTGTAGTAAGGGAAAAAAATCCTATTTAAACCTTAGAAATGGAATTCAGCTGTAAGTTCTGGAAAGGCTGGCAAACAGGCATTTTCCTGCTTAGATTCGTGCATTCTATTAGTTTGAGAAAGAGTCCGTAGATGTTCTTGGGATAATTGAATGGGAGAAGAAGCTGAGTATGAGGAAACATTGACAACATTCAGTTCTTGCAGGGGCCTTATGACAGTTTTTAGTGATGTGAATTCCTAGAAAACAGATTTGAATACTCATGTTCAAATATAAATACCCAAATTTGCCTCAAGCTACATATAAATTTTAGAACATTATGCTTTTGCTGTGGTTAATAATGGCATGACCATTCCATTTCAACACATTGGAATTTGAGAATTGAATGAATATCTTTGTTCAACTTTTTATCCTAATTCTGGTTGCCAGATTTAGCAAACAAAGATACATGTCACCCAGTCAAATCTCAATTTTAGATATGCAACAAAGAGATTTTAAGTACAAGTACGTTTCATGCAATAATTGGACAAATGTTGCATGTGGCACACTTTATACTAAGACATTCTTTGTGGATCTTAAGTTCAAATGTAACTATGCTTTTCTGGCAACATTAATCTTAATGTAGCTAAGTAATCCCATCAAAACCAGTCTTCATTTCATTTTTATTTTGCCACTCTCTGATTTGGGACATCTGAATGAAAAGAAAGGTCTTCTTTTAGCATCATGCTGAGGATTCCACAAATTCAGTATTATTCACATCTGCAAAGAGAGGTAAAGGCCTTTAATAAGAGAGGCAAGAAAAGGAAATCTGACTTCTTAACTACAGAAATTCACATCTATAATCCTCTCCCAGTTCACCCAGCTCAAGTCATTAGCACATATTTTGCAGCTGGCTGGGCCAGCTGTTGTTACCGGGATTCAGGTGGGCATAAAAGGACATTAACAATTTTTATTTCAGAGCTCCCTTCCAAACCCAGATAAATAAATAACTAGCAGTAGGTGATGTGAAGAACCAATGAAAATAGTTGAAATCATGACAGAATGTCATGATTTGGACAAATGCAAAATGCAAAATCTAGCCTAGGGTATAAAATCCTGGAATGTAGCGCCTGCCATTTGCTTTCCCCAGGTGGAATATTTTATATCTTCAGTGTGCAGATGTGTGAGGTTTATATTGCCTCACAGCGTCATTAAAAATGGGCCATCAGGGCCCCTCTGAGGTATCAATTTGTCCACCAAAAATGGTCCAATTACTAAATTATTCTCCTGATTCTCGTGTTCAGCCCCATTTTCTGAGTCATAAGTTAGAGGAACATAGCCATTACTTTTGAAGTTTCCACTGTTAAGTGTCCAGACCTGAGGCATTCAGGACTGTTCCTCCAACTAATATGCAGTCTCTAATTACTTCAGAAACACCACTGAGGTCCTGCTCTTCTTGTATCAGAGGCTTGGAATATTACCGTGTTTCGCACTGGAAGGCTAATGACTATATCTCTTGGCAGGGCCACTCGGGACCAATGGTACAATTAAACCATTATTGTTGTAACATTTCTGGAACTGGGTTCAATTTCTAACATCCGCTTAATGATGTATTCTTTTTGAAAAGTTGCTCATTTGAAGTCCTTTCCAAAAGCAATAAAACCGTTTTTCAATTTCAATCTCAACTCAAAGTCAAGCAAACTGTTTTCTTTTTCTTTTGAAATCAAGCTTAATCTTTCTGAAAAGCTTGAGCAGCTCAAGAAGTATTCCTGCTGGGGCTTCAAATTGTTCACACAGCACACATGGGGTGGGGTGAATATCATGGAGCAAGTTTCCAAAGGCGTTCTTGGCCAGGGTGCTTTGATCCTCAGTGACACTTGAGAAGGATTAAGTGAGTAATTCCATTTTCATGGCCATTGCTACTTGGATTACCCCTGGGATGACCAGAGCCTCATAGAGAGGTGGAAGAGGTAAGGATTTGGTTCTCCATATATGTTGCTCCTGCTATGAAACCCTCAGTCACTCCCCTTAGCTACCAAACAATATTCCCACTCCTTAGCCTGACTTTGAAAGCCTTTAAGGAGATTCAGTTGGTCTCTCATGACATTTCAACTAGGCAACCCTGCACTGGGAGGGATTGGCCTGCACTTTGCAGAATGTTTAGGGTACATGGTTTTCCTGTCACTCTGCCAACCAGGTATTTCCAAAGATCCCTAGGGGTGGGTAATGTTCCTGATCAGAGCCATCCTTTCAGAATATGGCCCCAATTTACTTTTTCCATTTATACTTCCATTATTCCACTGGGGGGTGAGTACTATGCCCAGACATATTATTGGCTCTTTGCTACTGTGAGGATTAAATAGGATGTTAGTAAAGCAGCTCATACAGTGAATTGCCCCTTGCACTTGGGAGCAATGTCCTGTATGAGCTGCTTTACTAATATCCCATTTAATCTTAGGAAAGGAGCAATTTTTATCCCATTCATATCCCAGGAGAAATCAATATTCCATTTAATCCTAGGAAGGGAGCAAGGCACTGTACCTGCACTAGCTTCCATCCTGTATATCACTTTGCTTTCACCCTTATTCCATCCATCTGGGTGGAATGCACTTCGCTGACCTCTGAATATGCAAATCCTACCTTCTTTTAGATACAATTTGACTGATATATAAAATCTCTTATACTCTCCTTATTCTCTGTGTTCACTCACTGCTCAGAGTCTGGGATAGACATTCAAGGACTAAGTTGAGGAAACAAATGAAATTGTGTTTATAGTATGACAAGTACAATGACAAAGCCAAGCCCAGGCTGCAGAGGTGGCCCAGAAGAGAGTGATCATGGTAGGTTTTCTACAAGAGTGAGGCTTGGCATGTGTTTTGAAGGCAGATATTTGATTAGGTAAGGCCTGACATCATAGCTCACACCTGTAATCCTAGTGCTTTGGGGGCCAAGGTGGGAGGAGTATTGCTTGAGGCCAGGAGTTTGAGACCAGCCTGGGCAACATAGTGAGACCCTTACATCTACAAAAAATAAAAAAAATTTAGCTGTATATGGTGGTGTGCACCTATAGTCCTAGCTACTCAGGAGGCTGAGGTGGGAGGATTGCTTGAGCTCAGGAGGTCGAGGCTGAAGTAAGCTATGATTGCGCCACTGCACTCCAGCTTGGATGATAGAGGAGATCCTATCTTTTTATAGTATAGTATTGTATTGTATTTTTTTTTTTTTTGAGACAGAGTCTCGCTCTGTCTCCCAGGCAGGTGTGCAGTGGCATGATCTCGGCTCACTGCAACCTCCGCCTCCTGGGTTTAAGTGATTCTCCTGCCTCAGCCTCCTGAGTAGCTGGGATTACAGGCATGTGCCACCATGCCCTGCTAATCTTGGAATTTTTAGCAGAGACAGGGTTTCACCATGTTGGTCAGGCTTGTCTTGAACTCCTGACATCAAGTGATCTGCCCGCCTCGGCCTCCCAAAGTGCTGGGACTACAGGCGTGAACCTGGCAAGCTATTATCTTTAAAGAAAAAAGAGAGTTGATTAGATGAAAGGGAAAAGTTAGGTTCAAAAGCCTGCTGGTAGTAGTTCATTTTGGTCAATGCAAATGGAGCACGTAGGGAAGTGTCAGGCAATAAGACCAGCAATGGAGCCAGGAGCCAAATCATCAAGAGTTTTGTAGGTAGGCTGTGGGATCTGGACTTTATTCTGCAAGCTGTGAAAGTAGCTGAAAGATTTTGTTTCTCTTATCACCTTTTTTTCTACCTTATGCTATAATTCCTTATGGATACATGAATATTTCCAAATGACACTATCCTCCTCATAAGCAGCTATATTGTTTCATCTCTGTGTTTTCTACGGTGTTTATCAAAACCTTTTGCCAATCGCAGATTTGCTGGGACTATTTTGGATTAATAAAGGAAGTAATGAGCCTCTTGGAATCCTTTTCTTATCTAAAGAATGCATATTCGTGTGTTTCATCTTGATAAATTGACATGGGATTTGGATTTACCTTTAAATCTATTTAGCAGTTAGCATTTTTTTCTTTATAAGCAGTTGACTTCCAATTTCTTGGGTCACTGATGGCCAGCTGTGAGTGGAACCACTAGTCTTTTAGTTCTACTATTTGTTTTCATATTTATAAAACACTGTGTTGAACAGCTGGTGGTCACATGGGTAAAAATTTTTAAAAAAAGATAAATTAAAATCAGAGTCTGCAGCTACCCCCTCTTCCTTCTTTGGAAAAAAACCTGAACCCCAGGTCGTCCCATTTCTCTGTCCTGAAAGCGAGCAGGCCCCAGCCAAATGGCTTCAACAGAGGAAGAGAAGCTCAGAAATGTGGCTGGTTCATGGAAAAAGGCTTTTTCTTAAGTCTCCAAACTGTCAGCATTCACACCCTGCCTTATCTCAGTTGACAGAAAATTGGAGGAGAAATATTGAAAATCCTGCTGGGCCCTAAGGGCTGGAAAGCAGGCAGACTGCTCCATTCCGAAGGAGCTGAAACTCCGCGTGATGGATTATCTTTGTAGAACATGAAACAGAGTGCATTTCTGTCATCTTTCTGCTTCTACCCATTCATGGTCTGAATGCTCATTCTCTGATTCTTTATTGAGAAGGGGGACATGACTAGAAGGTCACGGGGTTCTAGCTCAGGAGGAAGGTAGTTAACTGATTAAATTAGCCTTACATCAGCCCCAGGGCTTATGGGAAATCCTATTGGGAAGAATTTTTATAGCTCTAATGGCTAAGATTAATTAAGCTGATTTCATGTTCATAATAAACCCATATAACGAGGTGACACTTTTACAGATGTGCCAAACTTTGGCCAGCCAGAGACTCATTTTACCAGCTTCTTCTTTTACAGTTTAAATGAATAGAGAGAAAAAAAAATAAAACGCGCATGATTTCTGTTTGCTTTTTGCACGTTGATCGGCCTTGGTTGAGGATCTGCCCGCAGATCTGGGATGAAGGGGATTGTCTCTTGCTTGTCATACTTTCCCCCTTGTTCTGCAGCCTGTGATGTGGATGGAGACGATGTGAGAGCGGCAGCAAAAAGAAAAAACACCTGATGAGGTAACGCGTGTGTTTTCTGTAGTGCCGTCTGGGCTATTTAAAATGTATGTCATGGCTTTTTAATGTGCAAGCTTTGAAAAGATTGGTAAGAGTGTGCATATGTCCTGCCCCAATCTGATCTCATTACGACAAATCATTACACCAGACTGACTCACGTATGATTCTGAAACATGGATGGTTTTCTGTTAATATTATGGCTACTATATGCCAACATTAATTTAAGGCAGAGTTTCTCAACCTTGGCACTATGGACGTATTAGTCTGGATAATATGTTGTGAGGGGGCGTTCTGTGCATTTTGGGACCTACCACAGCATCCCTGGTTTCTACCACTAGATGAAATAGTCCATTCTTGATAATTAAAATTGTGTCCAGATATTGCCAAATGTCATGGAGTGAAAGGTGGGCAAAATCCACTGTTCTAAGGCATATTGCATTTAATGGGTATTCACTAATAAAATTACAGCCTTAAATTCAAGAAGTCCACCTGCATAACTTGCATGTCCATGTATTAATAATTAGCCAGCACCCACTGTCTTTCCTACATAGCCAACGCTTAGCTAGATGCTAATTCTAAACAATGGAGAGCACTTGGTAATCACTGTTTTGAAGTGCTAAGAGCTCCTAGTGGGGATACTAACCCATAGTTAAATGAATAAGCTGTTACACTGAAATTAGAATATAAATGAATGAGATTCCAACTTGCCAATCACAGATGGACATTTGTCATAAGCTAAATGGGGCATCCCAGCAAGTACTGGGGCAAGTCTTGCTGGCTAAGCAAGGGCTGAATCCTGCCAGTTTTGGTTTTGTGGGATACAGTTTTCACCAAGCCTGTCGTAATAAATTATGAAGGGGTTAACAGATACTTGGAAAGAATTCAAGTTCTCCAAAAGATAAGGAAAGCATTGTGTTTATTTATTTGTTTGTTTATATCTTGGCTACTTTCAAAGACGACTTAAGATTTTTATAATAAAGTCATAATTGATTAATTTTTCTTTTCTGACTTTCCCTGGGGAAACTCACTCAAGTCCATGACTTCAACAATAACTTAGATGGATTTTTCATTTTTGATTGATCATTGATTTTTTTTTGGTGTCCAAAATTCTTTTTTTAATTGAGATATAATTCATACATTATAAATTATATATAACCTCAGAAACATACATTTTACACTTTAAAGTATATAATTTAGTGGTTTTTAGCATATTTACAAGGTTATACAACCATCACTTCTGTGTAATTTCCAAGCATTTCTCGCCTGAGAAAGAAACCCTGTGCCCATTTGCAGTCACATGTAGTCTCCCTGCCCTTTTCCCCACCTCCAGTCCTTGGAATTACTAATCTACTTTCTGTCGCTTTAGATTTCCCTGTTCTGGGCATTTCATTTCAATGGAATCATACAGTAAGTGGCCTTTGGGGTCTGGCTTCTTTCACCTAGCATAACGGCTTCAAGGTTCATCCTGAGCTTGAAATCTATTTCTCCAACAGTAAGCTTAATCAGCTTGTCTATGCCTCAGCTGATCTCACCACATTCCTCAAAAACGATCCCCACTCTCAGTCAGTGGTGTCCAGTTTCGCAAACTATAAACCTGGAGACCATCATAGGCAACTCCTTCTTCCTCATTTACAACTTCCAGTTGGGTAGCAATTCTTCTCCATCTCTGGTGCCACTGCCTTCAGAACCCCTGCTAGATTGGTTTAATAGCCCTTAACAGGTGTATTAGTCCATTTCCATACTACTATGAAGAAATATCCAAGACTGGGTAATTTATAAAGAAAAAGAGGCTTAATGGACTCACTGTGCCACATGGCTGGGGAGGCCTCACAGTCATGGCGGAAGGTGAAGGAGGAGCAAATGCACATCTACATGGCGGCAGGCAAGAGAGCGTGTGCAGGGGAACTGCCCTTTATAAAACTGTCAGATCTCGTGAGGCTTATTCACTATCACCAGAACAGTACAGGAAATCCTGCCTCCATGATTCAATTACCTTCCACCAGTTCCCTCCCATGACACATGGGGATTATGGGAGCTACAATTCAAGATGAGATTTGGGTGGGGACACAGGCAAACCATATCAGCAGGTCATTTTGTCTTCAGGCTCACCACACTCCATGCATTCTCCACACTTTTTTCTGTAGTGATCTTTTGACCATCTCTCTCTCCTGCTTAATTCCTCTGTGGTTGACCTTTGTCCTCTGGAGCAAGGCCATAAGTCTCAGCAGGGCATATAAGGCCTCTTCTGATCTAGCCCTTTCTACTGACTTTCCTGCTTCTCCAATCTGTTCTCTTACTTTTTCTTCCACCCTGTACTCACACTTCAGCTGTAACTCACTTTTTGAGCTCTCTCACAGACCCTGTGTGTTTTAACTCTGTCTTTGGATTAAACATGACAAAGGGATGTGCTGTTCTTTTAGTCTGGGATGCCTGGTTGCTCCTTCTTCTCCAGGAAGCCTTCTCTGATATCTCCCACCATTAATCTGGGCAGTGGCTTTTTCTCTCATGCTTATATATGTCAGGGCAATTGCCACTCTGTAATTTTCTGTTTCCTACCTATCATTCCCTCTAAATAGTGAGGCCCTCAATATAGATATTGTGCTTTTGCATTAGTCTGCTGGGGCTGCCATCACAAAATACCACAGGTGGTTTAAAGTCAGGCATTTGTTTTCTCTCAGTTCTGGAGGCTGGGAGTCCACGAGCAAGTTGTTGCTGGTTTGGTTTCTTCTGAGGCCTCTCTTCCTGGCTGGCAGGTGGCCTCACTTTTGCTGTGTCATGCCTCCTATCTGTACATGCCTGTGTCCTAATCGCTTCTGTCATACAGGATTAGGGCTCACCCTAATGACCCCATTTTAATTTATTTACCTCTTTAAAGAAGATTCTATTTCCAAATACCATCACATTCTGGGGTTCTGGGAGTTAGAACTTCAACATATGAATTTGGAGAAGACACAGTTCATCCCGTAACAGCCTTCCATTTTTACTTTCCCAACACCTAGTCCTTAAATAGGGTCTCAAAAACATGAGGATAAATAAAAGAATATGAGATTCAAGGTCACTGAGAGGAAGGTGATCAGAAAGGAGGGAGGAGGGAGAAAAGAAGGAAGGTACCAAAAAAACATAGCAGCAACCCAAGGCTTCATTGCTAAGTCTTCACATCAAATTTAGTGCTGGGCTCAATTCTGACTTCCTCAGGCCAGGAATGGGGGAAAACACTAAGAATTATATTACAATTTATAAAAGATTATTTTCAGTAAAGAGAGTTTATAACATTCAAAGAGACAGACATATTATATAACTTTTTTTTTTTTTTTTTTGACAGACTCTTGCTCTGTCATCCAGGCTGGAGTGCAGTGGCATGATCTCGGCTCTCACCAACCTCCACCTCCCAAGTTCAAGCGAGTCTCCTGCCTCAGCCTCCTGAGTAGCTGGGATTACAGGCATGCACCACTGTGCCTGGCTAAGTTTTCCTTTTTTTTTTTTTTTTTTTTTTTTTAGTAGAGATGGGGTTTCACCCATGTTGGCCAGGCTGGTCTCAGACTCCTTACCTTAAGTGATCCATCCACCTTGGCCTCCCAAAGTGCTGGGATTAAAGGCATGAGCCACTGCACCTGGCTGTATTTTATAACTTTAATTTTCCCTCTTTAAGAATATTCATTTCTGCCGTTTCTTTTTGGGTTGTGTTTAAATTTAGAAAACTAGAAAAACTTTGTGATCTAGGATTTATAAAGTTAATTATAAAATCTAATTTCATTCATTTACTTGGTCAGGTGGGGGAATAAAAATAAGTGGTATTTCAATTTCATTCGCTTCTAATAACGACTTTATTATGCTTAATATGAGCAGGATTGTCACCACATTTTCTGTTTCTGTCTTCAATATGATTAAGTCCTCCTACAGAGAATTTAGCACTGACATTTGAAGGAAATTGATAGAGAACTGGAAGCAGATAAGAAACAATTCTTTAGCCTGTGACTTATTTTCAGGAAAGATGGCCTATGCAAGGTTGTGTCTAATTTAAGAGTTCAGTAAAGGTCTTCAATTTTGGGTGCTATTGACATTATGAGAACCACAGGAGCTTCAACCTGGTCTCATGTGACCTTTGGCAAGACAGCCACTCCATCAGGTGCTCAGTTTTTTTCCTCCAACACAGGAGAAGGTTAGTTCAGGATCTCCAAGGACCAGTCTAGCACTATCGTTGTGAAATTTTATGAATCCTGGAAAGCTGCAGAAATTAGTATTTCTGATAGTCTCCCAATAATTTTAATCTAGTAACTGACATCACTATCAACCATCATTTTTGCCAAAGTTTATTAAATAATTAGCAGGTGGCCAGGCTGCGCTGAGTGAATGCTTTGTATACATTACTTATTTAACACTCCTCACAAAGGAGGAAAGCACTATTATACCTTTATTTTACAGATAAGATGACTGAAGTTTAGAAAAAATCTGAAACTTCTGCTAATAAATAGAGGTGTGGCCGGGTATAGTGGCTCCTGCCTGTAACCCTGGCACTTTGGGGGGCCAAGTTTGGTGGATGGATTTCTTGAGGCCAGGAGTTTGAGACCAGCCTGGCCAACATGGCGAAACCTCATATCTACTAAAAATACAAAAATTAGGCAGGGGCGGTGTCGCACACCTCTAATCCCAGCTACTTCGGAGGCTGAGATATGAGAATCGCTTGAGCATGGGAGGCAGAGGCTGCAGTGAGCTGAGATCATGCCAATGCACTCCAGCCTGGGCAACAGAGCCAGACTCTGTCTCAAAAAAAAAAAAAAAAAAAGTAGAGTTGCTTCCAACTGAATGCTAGTTATGTAATTTTTTGGTTTGGTTATAAGTTCTAATGATTGTGTTATATCACCCACGGGAAATAAGTATTTGGTTAATACTGAGCTTAGACCGGGCTTGTTAGAGAATAGTTTAGCAAAGCGTGGTGTGTGTACTATGACAGTATGTTAGAACCTCTAAAACGACATTAGAGCTTTTGGAGCCCAGCTGTCAAAGTCCACTGGAAACACATCTGAAGTTAGAGTTGAGATTCTTCATCTTGCTGCTGCATGGAAGAGTGCACAGAGCAAGTGAGGAACACCCAGTAGAAGAAGGTGGGAGCCACCTACTCTAGATGTTGGGCTTATGCTGAATGATTCTGAGAAGGGGTTGTCATGGGTTGAATTATGGCACCTCCTGCCCCCCCGCCTCCACACACACACACACACAAAGATGTTTTGAAATCCTTATCCCCAGCACCTCAGAATGTAACCTTATTTGCAGAATTTGACCTTATCGGGTCTTTGTAGAGGTAATCAAGTCAAAATTAGGTCTTTAGCGTAGACGCTAATCCAATATGACTGGTGTCTGTATAAAAGGAGTAACTTTGGACATAGAGACAGATATACACAGAAGGACGATGAAGTGAGGACACACAAGGAGAAGACAGCCAAGTGACTGGAATGAAGCATCTCCAGGCCAAGGAATGTCAAGGATTGCCCACAAACACTGGAAGCCAGAGAGCTAAGGACGGAGTTTTCCCTAGAGCTATCTGAGGGAGCAGGGCCCTGCTGACACCTGGATTTTAGGCTTCCAGCCTCCAGAACTACGAGACAGTACATTTCTGTTTTTATTTATTTATTTATTTATTTATTTATTAAATTGTACTTTAAGTTCTAGGGTACATGTGCACAATGTGCAGGTTTGTTACATATGTATACATGTGCCATGTTGGTGTGCTGTACACATTAATTCGTTATTTACATTAAGTATATCTCCTAATACTATCCCTCCCCCTTCCCCCCACCCCACGACAGGCCCCAGTGTGTGATGTTCCCCATCCTGTGTCCAAGTGTTCTCATTGTTCAATTCCCACCTATGAGTGAGAACATGTGGTGTTTGGTTTTCTGTCCTTGCAATAGTTTGCTCAGAATGATGGTTTCCAGCTTCATCCATGTCCCTACAAAGGACATGAACTCATCATTTTTTATGGCTGCATAGTATTCCATGGTGTATATGTGCCACATTTTCTTAATCCAGTCTACCATTGATGGGCATTTGGGTTGGTTCCAAGTCTTTGCTATTGTGAATAGTGCCGCAATAAACTTACGTGTCTAGGTGTCTTTATGGCAGCATGATTTATAATCCTCTGGGTATATACCCAGTAAGTGGTGGCTGGCTCAACTGGTATTTGTAGTTCTAGATCCTTGAGGAATCGCCACACTGTCTTCCACAATGGTTGAACTAGTTTACAGTCCCACCAACAGTGTAAAAGTGTTCCTACTTCTCCACATCCTCTCCAGCACCTGTTGTTTCCTGACTTTTTAATGATCGCCATTCTAACTGGCGTAAGATGGTGTCTCATTGTGGTTTTGATTTGCATTTCTCTGATCACCAGTGATGATGAGCATTTTTACATGTGCCTGTTGGTATTCCTATACACCAATAACAGACAAACAGAGAGCCAACTCATGAGTGAACTCCCATTCACAATTACTTCAAAGAGAATAAAATACCTAGGAATCCAATTTACAAGGGAAGTGAAGGACCTCTTCAAGGAGAATTACATTTCTGTTGTTTTAAGACACCCAGTTTTGGTATTTGCTCACAGCAGCCCCCTGAAATGAACTCAGGGGTGCAGGGAGCTGAGGTCAGTTCTGGGTTGTTTGCCATCAGTTCAACAAATAGATGTCTCAGTGAGCTTTGTCCAGAGGATGGGAGGAAAAAGGGGGCTCTGGGAATATTAATTGTAAGAATGCACTGATAGTTTAAAAGAAAAAATTGTTGGTCAGTTTGCAGCTGCCTCGTGGCTTTGTATGGGTTTTGTTAGAAATATTGTTGTTCTGTTAGGAACATCCCAATCTGACTATCAATAGGGTTGATTTGCACTCTCTCAGATTTTATCTTAAGAGTCATATATTAATTTTTTTTTTTTTTTCTGAGACAGGGCCTGGCTATGTCACCCAAGCGGGAGTGCAATGGCACAATTTCGGCTCACTGCAACCTCTGCCTCCTAGTCTTAAGCCATTCTGTCACCTCAGTCTCCTGAGTAGCTAGGACTATAGGTACACACCATCACACCTGGCTAATTTTTGTATTTTTTGTAGAGATGGTGTCTCACTTTGTTGCCCAGGCTAGTCTCGAACTCCTGAGCTCAAACGATCTGCCCACCTTGGCCAACCAAAGTACTGGGATTACAGGAGTGAGCCACTGTGCCTGCCTTAATTTTAATTAATTAATTCTTATTTATTTTTTAAGTAGCAATATACAGTAATAGACAAGGCAGAAAACTTTACCTTTGGTTCAAGTTTATTTATTTAAAAGAACCTATGTTAAACTAGATAAATTACATTTTCCTTCTGACCCAGCAATACATTTGTTTTGAATTATGAATACCCCTGGAAGAATCAAAAGACTCTTTTTGTTCTTTATATTTTAATGAGAAGCAATTTCATTTAAGACATTTCTGTCCTAAAACTTAGCTGGCAACATTGATGGGGAGGGCTGCATACCTCCGTATTACCATCTGTTAAGGATGGAGGTCTCTTGAAGGCAATGGTCACCTACGACAATGGCTAGGTGAAGGAGATTGGGAAGATAATTATGCAAAGGGTACAGGCCAAAGACTCAAGTCATCTGCTTCTAAAGCTTGCCTAGGACGGGCCTTGCCATGAGGAAAGGGTGAGTGAATCCTGATCCACTGGCTTCCTTCTGTGCACACCTCATGGCCGCTAGTTTACATTCTCATGCTAGAACCAAGGATTCCGTTATTGACAGGCACTGTGGATAGGCAGGTTTTGAAGGTCTGCCTATAAATCCACCTGACAGTTGTAACCTTTTTTTACGTTACCCGCCGTGGTCTGAATAATGCTCTCTCCCAAAATTCAATATTAAAAGCTAACCCCAAAGCAAATAGTATTGAGAAATGAGGCTTTTTGGAGGTGATTAGAATGGGATGGGTGACCTTATAACAAAAAGGCCTGAGGGAGCTTGTTCACCTCTCTGCCACGTGAGCATGCAACAAGAAGTTTCCATCTTTGAAGCAGAGATTAAGCCCTCACCAGGCACCAAATCTGTCGGCATTTCGATCACAGCCTCCAGAACTGTGAGCGGTAGATTTCTGTTGTTTATACATTACCTGGTCTAAAGTACTTTATTACAGCAGCCCCAACGGACTAAGACAATAACAAACCTTCCCATTTACAACTGTCCTTGGAGCATAGCCCATTCATAAGTGCAGCTCCACGTGCAAGCCCTGTCTGAAGAAGACAAGCTGTAAGCAGCCTGTGATGGTGAGCAAACACTGAGAGAGGCAGAAATTATATTTGCTTTATTTTTCTATTTTTTCCTAATTTTTTCTTATAACCTCTTGATCTCATTAGTGTTGAATCAGGTTTAGCCTATAGCTGCCTCCTTAAATATTTTAAATTTGGCCTACAGGTTTCTGTGTTACATTGTAAACTATAGCCTAACTGGAAATGTCAACGGACAGTAATCTACTCTTGTGCCAATCACTGAGTTTTGGCCAGTCAAATGTGGTCCAACTGTTCAAACCATGTTCAAATAAGCCAAACACCGAGCCAAAACCAATCTGGCTGTTTCTGTCCCTCACTTCCATTTTCTGTATGTCACTTTCCTTTTTTCTGTCCATATATCCTCTTCCACCACGAGGCTGCCCTGGAGTCCCTGAGCCTACTCTGGCTCAGGAGGCTCCCCGATTCGCGAGTCATTCTTCGCTCAGTTAAACGCTCTTACATATAACTTGGCTGGCGTTTTTCTTTCAACATTAGTAACATCCTTGAGACTTGGATGCAGTCAACCGCAGGTAAGTTAGATGTGGAACGAATCATATTTCTCTTCACTTCTCGTGTGTCCTAACCCTTATATTGTATTTCTCATTTTTTTTTTTTCATTTCAAAAGGAGTCCAGTTATTGATTTTTTCATTTTTAAAGGTATTAGATATATACCTTATAAAGGTATTATACATAAATATACATATGTTTTAAAAGTATTACATGTATATACATATATGTCACCATTTGACAAAAGCACCCCAGTGTATATTCAACACAATCAATAGAGAGCAGTTCTAGTAACCCCTCACGCTACCTTGTAGTCAACCCATTCCCTAGCTTCTGACAATCACCGAATTGTTTTCTGTTCCTATAATTTTGCGTTTTTCAGAATGTCGCATAAATTGAATCATGTAGCCTCTTGAGTCTGGCTTCTTTCACTTAGGCTAATGCATTTGAGGCTAATCCATGTTTTTGCTGGCTTCTGTAGTGTTAACAAGGTCATTGCTGAATAGTGTTTCATCATATGAAGGCAGAGGTTTGTTCACCCACTCCGCAGGTGAAGGACACTTGTGACAGTCCTAGTTTTTGGTAATTATGAATAAAACCACTATAAATATGCCTGTGTAGGTTTTTGTGTGAACATGAGTTTTCATTTTATTTATTTGTTTTTAATGTGAAATATGCTTAGGTCGATTAAAAACAGCAGAGAATCGCTAACTTAATGAAGTCTCTATAACAACTTATTTAGGAAAATGAGAAATAGGTACCTAGTTGACAAACCCCCTGGGGGAAACAGGGAAACAGGAGAAGCTAATTAATTTAGGCCTGCATTTCTTAGTTGCCAACCGAACCTGCCAGCATTTATTTCGGCAAAAATATTTTTGGAACTAGATTCTTGAATTAAAGCAATGAGAGGTGTTAGGCCAAGTGAAGGGAGCTCCTAGAACAGATGTCTTGTGTAAAGTAGGCAACCAAATGGTTTGGTAAAATATGTCTTTTTCACCTAATCCTCATCACTGCCTGATGCCAGTATGAGGTCAACTTATATAAATAAGAAGCAACACTTCCTATCTATTAGTATCTCTCGCCATGTAATTCATAAAAGCTAGAAGTTGATTGATTTTGATAAATGATAAATGTGCATCCCAAGAAGACAAGTGTGAAATGGTCCTAACCAGTTGGTACAGGCGGAGCTGTTTAATGATGTTACATGTCATTGGCAACTAGGTTTCCATCCAACGGGGCTCGTTGTAAAATCTAAAAGCCTTATGCAGTGATTTGATGCCCAGAGTAAGAAAACTCAGTGAACAAGATCCCTTCCAGAGTAACATATAGAAAAGATTTTTTGAGACTTTTTTTTATTTTCTTCTCCCCATTTTCTTGGGTTTCCATGCACCCTTCCTCAGCTTTTTTACATAGATCAATTTCTACAAAGGCATTTGCGAGCGGTTGAAAGCAGAAAAAAGCATTACCCATATTTCTTTGGAGATCAAAGACGGAGGAAACATTCCTTCTAATTCATGTAGATTAAATCTTAGTCTTTTGTTTTTATATCAGCTATAATGCATAGATTTGAGAAACTGCCTCAAGTTCCAATGCTTTTTTAATTTGAAGCACCATTGTTGTGATTACAAATTTGCTGGGTTCCAACACCACAATTTTGCTTCCTTTATCAGTGAGTGTTTTGTTCCTAAGAAAATGTGTTTGCAATTAATGGAATCTTGTGCCTTTAAGCTGCTTTGGCCACAGGCCTGTAATTTGCTTTCTTTGCTTTACCTCCAGGCTTTTGTTTGTCCTTTCTGTTTGCCTCTAAGGAAGCTGAAATGGATGCAAGTTGTCTTGCCGTCCCAGGATCTTTTTGAACATCTGTGTAGTCATCTGATCATCCATTTCCTCCTCCCACTCACAAAACCCCACAGAGACAGAACTTGCCCAGGTTTGCACATATGGTTGATGTTCACAGCTTGAAAGTGTCCAAGCTATTTAAGTTTGATTTTAATTTTAATGAAAGCTCATAGTTTTGCCCAGAGATGAAAGCAAGGTGTTAGAAATCCCCAGATTTCCAGGTCATTAGATCACTTAACAGTTCACCCACGGCTGATTCGTTTTCAGTAGAGCAGTGTTTTAATGAGCATAATTCAAAAATATCCACCTTAAAATTTTAGAGGGTCCGAAATGTACTTTAGGTGTCTGGTTTCGAGAGTTCCTTTGAACTTTGAAAATTCCATTTTAGTGGATTATATGGTTACCAAATAGTTTCTAAAAACAATCAGAAAAGCATTTTATGGAAACATCCAATTAGAGAAACAGTTTTTAATATTCACTGCCCATAGCTGAAGGAAGAATTCTCAAGCTGGGATGCTGACCGCTGAAATTGTGACTAATCTTTTGAGCTCTACCTGGCTTGTTAGGTAATATCTGGAAGGGGATTTGGGAATTGTAAAAAGATAAAAGGATTTTGAGGATGATTGAACTCATACTTTTCATATCTTCAGGGCCTATCTAGCATACACCGTGGTCCATAAAAGGTTTCCAGTAAATTTATTTGAAACAGAATTAAACTTGGAAATGAAATAATAGTTCATGATATAGTTAACTGGAACACGATTATGCATGAACCAGACATAATACATAATAACGTTCAAATATGAACTTCTAAACTTTTGATCTGTCCTCAATAAAAATTGATGATGTCCTCAACCCAGTGGGGTTGGGGAATTCTCCTATTTCATCTTATGTGATTCATGTTCTGATTCTCTTTGGAGAGTCCTGCTCCAGACTCCTCTTATGTTACTCTCTGTTGAAACTGACTGATATATATATACCTAGAGATTAAAAATAACTATTCTTTTTTTAAATTTTATTATTATCATACTTTAAGTTTTAGGGTACATGTGCACAACGTGCAGGTTTGTTACATATGTATGCATGTGCCATGTTGGTGTGCTGCACCCATTAACTCGTCATTTAGCATTAGGTATATCTCCTAATGCTATCCCTCCCCCCTCCCCCCACCCCACAACAGTCCCCGGTGTGTGATGTTCCCCTTCCTGTGTCCATGTGTTCTCATAAAAATAACTATTCTTTTAAACTGTTAAAAAAATTCAGAAGCCTTAGTTTGTACTTATGACCCTTCCGCCCCTCCCCCTCAAAAAAACCCCTGGAAGTTCACCATAAATACAGAATTTTTATCAGTTGCTTTCCAGGCGGTTTATTCTCCATTCAGCATTCTGCAAAAACACCCACAGCTATGATTTCTCACCTTGGCAATAGCATCCTTGATTTGATAGTATTGCAGTTCTTCTCTGTTTTTCTGGCTCTCTTGCTCAAAGGCATCATTGATTCACCAACTTAGCAGTGATGGGAGCAGTGGTTTTAATTTTTCTTTTCTGGGGAAGAATAACTTGAACTTTGAGACCAAGTGGAAAACATTTTCTGTGGGACAGGAAGCCATTTTATGACAATGCCCGTGCATCACTACAACATCATCTCTGGGCGAGGACACTTAACATTTTTCCTAATTTCACACCTACCATTAAACAAGCAACATCATATCCCCAGACATGGCTACTGTATTCTTCTCAAAATACGTGGGAGAGAATCTTAACAAAAGAGACTATGACGGCCTTGGAAAGGGTGGTATTTATAGTTACTTTTTTTTTCATCTGCCTTTGTTTTAATAGTATTAACCACAGAAACTCAAAAGTGACACAAAGCTTCTAGGCTGATGAAGATAAGATATAGTAAGAACTTTATTTTATTTTATTTTTTAAGTGTAAAGAACAATGAACATAATGGTTAATTTGTCAACACATTCTTTCTCTGCATTTCTTCTCATGGACTTATGTTCTGATAGGTTGGTGTAGAGGTCTTGAATCCCAACATAATCCCCAGAGTTTTGGCTCCTCTGTAGAGCAATGCTTCAAGCGTGCCCATGTTTTCCTGTATAATAACTTCCCCGTTCCACCCACATGACATATGCAGCTGGGAACATCTCAACATGCTTTAAGGGACATCCCCTGCTTCCTCCTTAATCCTGTGGGTCCTTACTGGGTTCCACGCCTTCTTACAGCTGTAAAAGGCATCAGACACGGAGTTGCATTTCCTCATGGGGAGCTGTGTCCAAACTCAGTGAGCCCGAAGTGAGAAACACATACCCACTTTTCAATCAGAAGATATTAAGCCAGCAGTTCCACATTTAACCCCATAAGTGGAGCTTCTGTGAAAGATGGTGACAGAATTTATAATAGGGAAAATACGGAAAACAGCCGGAGTCATTGGTGCTGGGGAAAGGAAATCCTTTCACTTAGGAGAGAGGGCTATTTCATGCCCTGTCATGCTTTTAGACTTTGAATTCAGGGGGCTTGAAATGGAATCAGAAACTTAGTGTTTTTGTGAGGGCAAGGGGCCAGATGGAATTCAAGAATTTCAGCATTTTTTTCATAGCTCTTTTAATAACTTATTTGATCTTGAGCAACTTCCTCTGAGATTCAACTTTCCCAGAATCATAACTGGGGTACTTATTAGGAAGGCAAATTACTTTGTTAGAGACCTTGGAAACATGTCCTATGGCTTTTAGACATTTTCTGACTTGCTGATTTGGTTTGGGCTGGTCTTCCTCTGCATTTGGTCTATTCATCTCCACGGCATTGCACCATCTTTTCTCCCAGAGCCATCTCAACCTTTCCATCTACACCTCCTTTCTCCTGTGCTGTCTTTTCTGCAGCAATGTGAACCATGTTTTAAGGACTTTGAAGGCATATCATATATTCATATCTTTCTTTCCCTTGACAAGGTGAGAGTGTTAGCAAATAGGCACTCATTCATGAAATTGATTTTGAAATAATAATGCTGCGAACTTACTAGTTAAAATGTCCCAGATCATCAGAGCTCTCAAAGGTGCTTTTAATTTGATTTGAGTTTATTGTGATTGACACTATGCTCATCTATGTCTCATTGTTAGTGCCAAATACAGTGAAGAAGAAACTGCATCCCTTTTTGTTCTCAGGCCACACTTTTCTGGGGATAAAATGAGGACAACAAGAAGAATCACAAGTAAGTGTTTTTCTCCGGCTCCTCCTTCACCTGCCCTGCCATTGCCCCTCTTTAAATTCCTCTAGACAAGTTAAGTTAGTTCCTAGATGATGGATCATACGGTGCTCTGAGCACAATTCTTCTTGGTTGCCCTGTGGCATAATGATTATCTGTCGCTGCAGGATTTGCTTGTCATTCCTGGTGCTGTTGTTGACTGCGGATGCTGCAGAAGCAGCTCCCTAATGCCTTCAGTGAGGCTCGTCGTGTCCATTGTCAGGAGTGCTGTGTCTGGTGAGGTCTTCCATTCCTGAATGCTTGTACCAATGCTCTTGGGTCTTGAGTTTTCAATGCCCCCAATGCTTTAAATAGTATTCCTGTATTTTATACTTTCTGCCATGCATCTATGGGTGAAGGTCTAGTAGGCAGTTTGCAAAACAGAAGATCCACTGTGCTCGAATGGTCCTTCCTTTCCAACGGTAGGCCACTCTCCTGTCACCAAATATATGCACCCTAACTCTCTGTCAGTAGGACAATAGGATGATTCTTCCATTCTCCCACAAATCACAGGAAGCTCCTTGGTTCATCTTCTGAAGATCCTGCCCTACCATGTCTCTTGTAATTCCAGATGCAAAAGTGAACTTAATTTAGGTTAATCTGCAAATCCTATGGCAGAAACTTCATCCAAGTGATAGCATTCATTTCACCCATCTTTTTAATATGGAAGTCTGGGGTCTATCTCTGCATCCATGGACTTGCCAGGGTGATCTTCTGCTTGCATATGGTCTACTTGGTCATGTGGCAGAGTACTCTAGCCAGTGAGAAGCTGCTCAGTGATTCCCACCCACCACCTGAGAGTTTTTAACGTGCACCTAGAATGAAGACCCCCTGGGAGGGGCATGGAGGTAATTCTGAGTTGGCTAAGGTTTTAGTGAGTAAGAAAAAAGTATAGTTTTGAAAGAAGGAGGTCTTCTAATGAAGAATATAGCAGTCCACAAAGAAGGTAAGTGTTGTGGGACATTTACAAGTTCCTTGCATTAGTCTTTTAGAGCTGCTGTGGCAAAGTGCCATACCCTCCCTCTGAAGGCCCTAGGGAAGCATCTGTCCCAGGCCTCTCTCCCAGCTCCTGGTAGGTCCTTGGCTGGTGGCTGCATAACTCTGATCTTGGCATGGTGTTCTCCCTGCCATGTGTGTCTGTCTGTTCCCATGGTGCTCTGTCATAAGGACACCAGTCGTATTGGACTGAGCCCACCCTATTTCAGGATGACTTCATTTTAACTGAAATAGTGTCATCTGAAATGACCCTATTTTCAAATAAAATCACATTCTGGGATACTGTGGGTTTGGACTTCAATGTGTGAATTTTGGGGTGGCACAATTCAATCCATAACCTGCCTCTTTCTGCTCTATTCCTGGATGTGGAGCCAGTTTAGACTTGAAGTCAAACCAGGATAAAACTATTGTCTCTGTTTGCTTGACATTGGCGTGACACAGATGTACTGTTCACACACAGGATTCAGACTCTGAATTGCTGACATTTTTCTCCCAGACAAATACGGTTCCTGAACAAAAGACAGGTCTCTAAAATACATTTGTCATGCAACCAATGGACTGCTTAAAAGCAATGACCCCGCAGAGGTAACTAAAAATGAGAAATCAGCAACACAAACCAAAAAAACCCAATTTCTAAAAACAAGTTTTACTTGCACTACTAACATTCGTGAATCAAATTACATTAGGTTAGACACTTCTATTAAGAACTGCAAAATATGAGAAGGATTTTTGTGCTTGGATCAGGACCTATTTTGGCCATAATGATAATTTAGAACACAGGATGTTACAGAGCTCTGTGTTCTACTGCTTGAAAAGAACAAATCTCCCATGAGCAATTAGTCCCTTTAAGTTACTTCTAATTTAATGATCAGACTTTAAATGGAAGAACCGTTTCTGGTACTGGCCACATTAAAGCAAGTACTCAGGAGATGAAGGAACCTACAGACTTAATTTTTCAACTTGCTACATTTACATTCAATGGGAAAAGCCTGTTTTGAAAAGTGATTTTGAGGGAACATTTAAAAAAATATGCTCTATTTCTTTCTTTTCTTTTTTTTTTTTGAGATGGAGTTTCACTTTTGTTGCTCAGGCTGGAGTGCAATAGCACGATCTCGAATCACTGCAACCTCCGCCTCCCAGGTTCAAGCGATTCTCCTGCCTCAGCCTTCTGAGTAGCTGGGATTACAGGCACCCTACATAATGCCCGGCTAATTTTTCTTATTTTTAGTAGAGACAGGATTTCACCATGTTGGCCAGGCTTGTCTCAAACTCCTGACCTCAGGTGATCCACCTGCCTTGGCCTCCCAAAGTGCTGGGATTACAGGTGTGAGCCACCGCACCTGGCCAAAATATGCTCTTTTTCTACCAACGTACTTGGCTATGTATTCAAAAGTGGGACTTTTCTTGTTTTCAATTTGTGCCATGTCCTGCAGCTTGGAGACAGAGGAAGACATATTTGGGGGCTGAATTTGGTGTGGAGAGACTGGGCCAGGACTTCTGGTCCTGTAATATGGTTTCTGTACTCAGGTCATGTGCTGTCTCACTGTCTCTTCCCCTATTTGCACAGCCACATATAATAAACATTGCCATCAGGGGATATAGTGACCAAACTTCTACTTTACAGGAGGGGTGTGTGTGGGGACTTCAACACCACACTGGTTCTTATGAGTAAGTCTTTCACATTAATTAAATCACCAGTGGATAGAGGTTATAACTTTGACTGTGGTGTCTTTAGCAGTTTCAATGAAAGATAATGGTTTCCTGTTTGATGACAGAGGTTTGGTGTATTAGTCTGTTCTCACACTGCTATAAAGAACTACCTGAGACTGGGTAATATATGAAGAAAAGAGGTTTAATTGACTCACAGTTAATTGGTTTAACTGGCTTAACAGGAAGCATGACTGAGAGGCCTCAGGAAACTTACAATCATGGTAGAAAGAGAATGGGAAGCAAGCACATCTTACCATGGCAGAACAGGAGAGGGAGTGTGAAGCGGGAGGTGCCACACACTTTTAAACAACCAGATCTTGTGACAACTCACTCACTGCCACGAGAACAGCAAGGGGGAAGTTCACTCCCATTATTCAGTCACCTCCCACCAGGCCCCTCCTCCGACATGTGGGGATTACAATTTGAGATGAGATTCGGGTGGGGACACAGAGCTAAACCATATCATTTGGTTATGCTAGTATTTACGGCTTTTCTTTCTCATACAACTAAAAGCGTCATTTGAGAATTGTATTTGAGATATTTCTACTTCTTATGTATAGCATTGTCTAAAATCAGAATGCTTTTGTTTGGGATTTACTGCTGTTAAACTCTCCTTTAACCTGAGATAGGAAAATGACACCATGAATTAAAAAAATCATTAATAGATTGTGGAATAGGGAAAGAGAAGGGAGAGAGATAAGCAGACATTTTTGTTTTCTCATTTTCCCTCCTCCTGAACTCCAGTCCATCAACAAATCCTGTCTTTCTACATCTAAAATATGTCTGAAATCCACCCACTTCTCCGTAACTACTTCTCTCCAGTTTAAGCCACCAACAGCTCTACCAGGGTGACTGCATTTCTACCTACAGCTCTAGCGTTGGTACATTGCATCCTTCAAACCTAGTCTCATTCTGGAAACCAGGGCACTCTTGCATGAATCTAACACCATCCTACTTACTCTTTGAAAATCCAAAGTCTGCTTAGCCTAGGAAGCGCTTTGTGAGCTGTGCCTTGTGAACCACACAGAGCTCATCTACTTCCTTGCTCCCCCCGATCCCTCAACCCCACATACGCTGGGCAATTGCTTTCCTTCCAGGGTCTGCGAACGTGCTGAGGAGGTCTCTGTCTTGAGGTCTTCCCGCATACCACTCCTTCTGCCTGGAGCACCAGGCTTCTGTCACCTGCTCCCTGCCAGTGCACACGCACACTTGTGCACACTCATACATGCAACTCACACACACAGATGCACACTCACATACACGGGCACACACACGTACACATTCATGTACACACACACACACACACACACACACACACACACAGCTGGCTCCTTCCTATCATTCAGGTCTTAGCCTCCGTGTCTGGCTGCTGTGTCTGGGTATGTTTTCCCTTCTGTGATTCTCTACCACTGCATTTTGTTCCTTTATTTCACATCAGCTCTGCAGTTTTGCTGCTGGGCATTTCTTGTTTATTGACCTCTCTATGTCTATTTTGTCCATGAGATAGGCATCACATCAGTTTTTAAGAAAAATCCAGACATACGTTGTTCTTAGCACTTGTTTGACAAATCATAGGCATTACATATTTGTGGAATGGATAAATGAATGAGAAATAGAGAAAGAGGAGAAAAGAGAATGGGAAGAAAATGAGAATAAATGGGCCTCCCTCGCCTCAAAATGAGAATGTTGGAAAAAGCTTTTGAATTTCAAAAGAAGGAATGAATGGACAATGGTATAGGTAAATGGTTATTATGCAGGACTATCTTTACTTGGTTCGTTGTATGCCATTTGTCTGGGAAATTTCCTGTTCAACATGTGTGTTTTGAGCAGAACTTCTACTACAGGTAGAATTATGCCACTATAAAAGTGCTTAGCCTTTAGTTGAGAAAAAATGAACTCAGAAATTATTCTATGGGAATCTCTGGTATATTTCATATCTCTGATAACATATCACATCTATATAGCTCTTCCTCACTTTCAAGATGTCTACTCTTTCCCGTACCACTAAATGAATCTTATTTCTCACCGTGGTCCCACTTCATTCACTTATTCAACATGCATTTTTGAGTACCTACTATGTTTCCAATACACCCCAGACTTGGCAATAATTTCCATCTCACTTCCTTTGTTTATTATTCCTAATTTAAGGTTACGACTTTACATTGAACAAGCCTTTCTGGCTTTTTCAGACTGGAAAATCACTTCTTATTCTTTCTCCTACCTACCGTTCAAAATCTAGCTTGATCCTCCTTTCTTCATAAAGTCACTTTGACTTTAACTTGATTCCTCCATCTCTAAAAACTCCTGTTGCACTTATGGGGTGTTATGCTAACATCTATTGATTTTCAATTTTTTTTTTTTCACATGTGATAGTTTGCCTTTCACCAACAGACGAAAGTATTTGGGGGCTGGGAGTACATACCTTTCCTGTGTACATCATTTTGCTTGAGTTTCAGGCACATGGTAGGTGCTCACTAATGATCCATTCATAGGTTATTTATTTAATTATTTTTGAAATGGAGTTTTGCTCTCATCACCCAGGCTGGAGTACAGTGGTGCGATCTTGGCTCACTGCAACCTCTGCCTCCCGTGTTCAAGCAATTCTCCTGCCTCAGCTCCTGAGTAGCTGGGATTACAGGTGTCCACCACACCCGGCTAATATTTGTATTTTTAGTAGAGATGGGGTTGTTTCACCATGTTGGCCAGGCCGGTCTCGAACCCCTGACCTCAGGTGATCCGTCTGCCTTGGCCTCCCAAAGTGCTAGGATTACAGGCATGAGCCACCGTGCCCAGCCCCATTCATAGGTTTATTAGTTGACATAATTGCTGCTGTGAGTACATAGGAACCACAGCAAGTAAGCCCTGTGCACACGTAGGGCATACAATACACAACCATCTCAAGGACTTGGGAATCAAAGGCAGCAGGTGGGGTTGCTTGCTGTGGTTGTTAAGGAGCAGAGCCAAGATACTATCCATAAGTGCATAAGCCAAAGGAATTGGTCTATAATGAAAGTATAGACAAAAGAAAGTATCCCTCAAGTCAATGCTCAGACATCCAAATACCATCCAGGGAGGAGGAAGCTTTGGTACGATAAATTGACATTATGGTTCCATCAGCAGAGATATTCCTGTGGCTGGTGAGAGGGCCTGAAGCACCTTGCACTGGGAGATTCATTTTCAGATCATCTCTACTCCTGTGTTCTGCTTCCATACACACCATGAAACCCTCTAATAACTTGGCTTCCCATATGCTTGCTTCTCATTATATCATCATAAGCAGGCATTTGGTCTCTGCAACTTGATTAAGGCAAGTGGTGCCTCTGAGGGGTGACAGAGCTACTTCCAGGGTACTCAGTAAAATCAAGTTTCTTAACTTGCCAGCTTGAGACCAGACCTTGGGGTGTAGTGAATTCATCAAGGTAGATGTAACCTTGTGGGAACCTTCTGTGCAGCCAGCCATACTATTTGAAACTTTGAAAAATCTCTCTGTATAGTAATTTTCACCTGCATCTTGTTACATTTTTTTTTTCTGAATAAAGGAAGAAACTCTCACACCTTTGAACCCTCTGCTTCTCTCTGTCCTGGCAGCAATGAAGAAATCTTAGTCTAGACACCTTCATTTCTAGAGAAAGGGCAGGTAGGGCCAGATTCTCCTCCTTGGGCTACTGTCTCCTGCCTTGTTATTTAAGGTCAGCCTTTCCTTATCTGCAAATTTTTCTCAACTAAGAAAGTGGGAGAAAACAAGCTCTCAATCTGTGATGCCTTTAGAATTCTGTGTAGAATTCCAAGACGTCAACTTACATTTATATATAATTCTGTTGCCTGTTCTTAAAATTCAGAAATAATTCTAGAAATCACTTAGACTAATTTTCCTATGACAAAGTTAATAGCACACATATTGGGAAAGTGAAATGGCTTTGACAGATGAATTGCAGTCAGCATTAGCAAAATAGATCGTGCTGCTTGTTGATTCTTGACTGATTATTTGTACTTCCACTAATGCTGCCACCCAAACTAATCTGGCGTAGTGAGTAGCCTCAAGCAGCAGGGGCTCCAACAAAAATATATGTGAGAATGATTATGCTCTTTTGGAAGAAAACTAAAATGACAATGACAGTCATGTGCCTCTTTAATTTTTTTTTTTTTTGAGAAAAGTTCTCGGCCTGGACTGGAGCACAGTGGTACAATCATGGCTAACTGCAGCCTTGACCTCCTGGACTTGAGCTATCCTCCCACCTCAGCCTCCTGAGCAGCTGGGACTGCAGGCATTGCACCACTATGTAGCACAGACCTGCATTCCCAGCTACGCAGGATTCAAAAACTTTCCTGTAGAGGTGAGGTTTCGCCATGTTGCCCAGTCTGGTCTTCAATTCCTGGCCTCAAGCAATCTTTCCACCTCAGCTTTCCAAAGTCCTGAGATAACAGGCATGAGCCACCATGCCTGGCCCTCTTTAATTAGGTACAGAGTTTTTGGGAAAAGTATATGTTTTACCATCACAGATGCTGTTTAACTTTCTTCTGTATTTAGATAAGAAATTTTAAAAAGGTCAGTGATGTTCCCTTTCCTTATTGAATTAGAAATTAGTATTTACAGCCATGTAGTCTGTCTTATGTTTCTATAGAGGAATACCTGAGGCTGGGTAATTTATAAAGAAGAGAGGTTTATTTGGCTCATGGTTTTGCAGGCTGCACCAGAAGCATGGTGCCAGTATCTGCTTCTGATGAGGGCTTCAGGGAGCTTCCATTCATGGCAGAAGGTGAAGGGGGAGCAGGTATGTCACATGCCAAGAAAGAGAGTGAGAGAGAAGGGAAGGAGGTGCAAGGCAGGCTCCTTTTAAACAATCAGATCATGCCTGAACTATAGGCAGAGAACATACTTGTTAACACAGAGATAGCACCAAGCCATTCATGAGGGATCCACCCCCATGACCCAAACACCTCCTACTAGGCACCACTTCCAACATTGGGAATCCAATTTCAACATGAGATTTGGAGGAGACAAACATCTAAACTATAGCAACAGTTCTGCCTTCAAACACAAACAGAATTATTGCCTCCTTAAAAAAATAGCGAGAAGGTTTTGTGAAGAAAAAGGGTGTCCTGGATGCCTACGTGTCTGTGGGACCGACAGACCAGTGATTCTGAAGCAATTCCTCTGTCAACATTTGGCTCTCTCACATCTGAGTCTCTGTGAGTTGGTAACATGGGTGAGAGACATTCGTCATGTCCTATTGTATAGTATTATTCCAAGGCCTTACCAATAATCTTCAAGACTATTCAAGGTACTAAATGTTAGACTAAAATTAATCTAAAAATACTTGCATTTAAAAAAGATATATAGACTATAAGGGTGAAGAAGCATGTGAATAGGCTGGTCGTGGTGGCTCACGCTTGTAATCCCAGCACTTTGGGAGGATGAGGTGGCCAGATCACCTGAGGTCAGGAGTTCTAGACCAGCCTGCCCAACATGGTAAAACCTCATCTCTATTAAAAATACAAAAAAAATTAGTTGGGTGTGGTGGCATGCGCCTGTTGTCTCAGCTACTCAGGAGGCTGAGGCACGAGAATTGCTTGAACCCGGGCGGTGGAGGTTGCAGTGAGCCGAGATTGCACCACTGCACTCCAGCCTGGGTGACAGAGGGAGACTCTGTCTCAATAAAAAATTAAAAAAAAAAAAAAAAGAAGAAGCATGTGAATGAGTGATACTTACAATAGAAGAATGTAAATTATGTGACAGAGAGGATCCCACTTGCTTTGATTTGCAGTGTTGACCAAATATCTCATGCTATGTTCCTTTATATGTGTTGTTTCATATTAGCATACAAATAAACATCTATTCTTTAAAAGCAAACAATATACATTAAAGTGATAAGACTAAAAATATCTTTGAGGTCAGGTGTGATGGCTCGGCTCACACCTGTAATCCCAGCACTTTGGGAGGCCATGGAAGGTGGATCACCTGAGGTCAGGAATTCAAGACCAGCCTGGCCAACATGGTGAAATCCTCATCTGTACTAAAAATACAAAAATTATTCAGGTGTCGTAGTGGGTGCCAGCTACTTGGGAGGTTGAAGCAGGAGAATCGCTTGAACCTGGGAGGCAGAGGTTGCAGTGAGCCGTGACCACACTACTGCACTCCAGCCTGGGCAGCAGAGAGAGAGAGACTCTGTCTCAAAAAAAAAAAAAGGACAAGAAAAGAATAAAAGAAAATTTTGAGTAGCTCCCATGACAAGGTCAAGGGAGCAATTACAAAGCTAAACAATGGAAGGGCTTTTGATGGGTGTGGTTTTGCAGCAGAAGGGCTGCCCCCTATGGTGAGGCATGATGCTGGATTTTCCAGAGGTCAGAGATTTGGATTTCTCCACCAAATTGTAGAAGCTTTAGGTAAACAGACTTGTTCTAAAAGAACATGATGAGCATGAAAAATGTTTCTATGAAGATATTACCATAGCTTGAGAAAGAAATAGAAAAGGTCTAGTATTTCTTATATTCTCAAAAAGCAGGTAAAAGAAGGCCTAATGTTGACGCTTACCCCTGGGCAAACTCAGGCATGAACAGGTTGCATGAGGCTCCTGCTCTGGAAAAAGAAAAAAAAAAGAGGAGGTTGAGGTGAAGTGAAGAAAATTGAGCAAGGTCACATGAGCCAACTTGTGGTTGAAAGTGGTAGAGTGGGGAAGGGTGTCCTTTAAGATAATCATGCCCAGACTTGATCTGCCCCAATGCTGGTCTCTAAGAAGATCTGATCCTGGCATGGGATATGACAGCTGGTGCTCCAGTCTCGGGAAGGGTATCAGTTAGTGTTAGTTGAGGATGTGTGTGTGGCATGGGGAAGGGACAGATCCCATGCAATTTGGGAGGATTCCTGCTTGTAGCTGAGTCAAGAACCCAGTGGCCAAGCAGGGGTTTAGGGATGTAGTCAAGCTGACTGGAGTTTTGGGTGGGTCCCCCTAAGAATTTAGGCAGAACCCTTGTTAGATAGACTTGGACAGAAGAGCAAAAGTCATCTGATGGTCGAGGTGCGATGGGCAGATAGACAACCTGGGTTTGCCCTGGCCTTCCTGGATGCTGGATTTCCTAGCAGTGAGTAGTTTCAGTTGGCACCAGGTGGTAAATCAAAGCCTGCTGATCTCTGCTCACTTTGGTCAAGATTGATTTAGGAACTAGATGATTAGATGGGTTAAACCAGCACAGTGGTCAGAGGTGGTAAGAATAAATATTGATTCCAACAGATTTTTTTTGTACTCTTATGTAAAAACCAAATATGAAAGCCAAACATTGGACACCTATATTAGCAGAAGCGAAGACAAAGTTGATTTGTTTATTTGAGCTCAAAGACTGCTCTGCCGAATTGATCTTTACAAAGGCAGGCTGGCCATCAGGTTCTGAAGTATTCAGGAAGGTCTGTGCAAAGCAGAGACCTGGATTTGAGCTAAGTCCCTGTATTTGATGCTTTCATTGTAACAGAGCTCAACAGATACTGTGCTTTCTGTGAAACATTTCCCTCCAAACAGAAATATGAAGCTTGATAATTGTCCTCCATCACTTGGCTTGGCTCTGAATAAAATTATGGGTGTGTAACTCACATACTATCAGCAAACACTCTAGCCTCTGAGATCCAAAGAAAATAGACTTGTCTTCACACCATAAGTCCTAAAACATCAGTGTCCTTGAAATATCTCTGAAGATTTTTTGTTCTTTCTTTCTCTGTTTCTCTCTTTCTCTCTTCTTTTTTTATTTTTTATTTTTTTTGCAGAGGAACATTGGAAGAGGGAAGAGATTGTTTTCTGTGATCTCTGCTGCTCTGAGCTTTACTTTACTGAACTATCTCCATCTCTGAATGGTCTTGCCAAGTTTGCATGTTCTTTTTCTTCTGCCTTGTGCACATACAGCCCCATTCTATGTCTTCAAAATGCAACAAATACAAAATTGTAAATGCAGCACAATTTTAATGACATTTTATAGCAATGGGGTAGTCTCTTATAATACTGTTTCTAGGTGGTTGAAAATAGAATATTAACCTTCCTCTTAGAAGTCATCATGCATTTTGTCACTGAGAATTTCTCCCTGGCTAGTTTTTCTAGCATCTAACCTCTGATCACGTTCCTCAGTTTTCACTTGTCTTTTTTCTCATTTTCCCCATTCCTCCTTTTACCGCCAAATTCCTGTCAATCCTTTATTCACAGCAGGTTAGATTTCTGTTTGTTTTGCTGATTTCTTCTAGACCATTGCTTTTCAAGTTGCAGGTAGTAACCAATTAGTGGATTGAGAAGTTTGTTCCATGATGCCTTAGTCCCTTTGGGCTGCTATAAAAATAGTGCTAACCTGGGTGGCTTATTAACAACAGAAATTTGTTTCTCATTGTACAGGAGCCTGGAAAGTTCAAGATCCAAGGTGCTGACAGATTCCATGTCTGGCAAGGGCCTGCTTCCTTCATAGACTGAGATCTTCTTGCTGTGTGCTCACATGGTGGAAGGGGCTGGGAGCTTCCTTCCCCCAGCCCCCTGTCCTCTCTCTTTCTCTCTCTCTGTCTCTCTCAGGTCCCTCTTTAAAGGGCAGTAGTCCCATCATAAGCATTCTACCTTCATAACCTAATTATCTCCCAAGGATTCTACCTCCAGACACCATCCCATTGGGGATTCAGGCTTCAAAATACGAATTTCAGGGCAACACAAATATTCAGTGTATTGCATGTGGGTAGAAACAAAGCATTGAAAAAAAAAAAGAATCAAATAGGGAATATTCAAGTGTGTTGCTCATTGTAAGGTGAAATTTTGTTGTAGATTCCATTATGTTGTAAAACATGTTACTTTCTGTAGATAACAGTCAAAATACTTTGAACTCCACTGTTGCAGGCCGTGGAACACAGACCATCTTTCCATCCATATGTGCCCTGTATGGTACTTTCCAAAACAAAAGACAGTTCTCCACTACATAGGTGCTCAAATATAAAATCTGCTACTCATGGAAAATTGTGCTATCCCATTGCTGCTGTTGAAACAAGTGTGGCCCCAAAGGCTTTAAAAGCTGCCCTCAGTGAGAAATGTCAGAAATCTTTACACAGCAGAAGCAAAGCCTCCTGCAGGGATACCTTTCTTGATAACAATCTTTCTTTAGATGTATGCTGAGCTTTGTTTAGTACAAAATTCAGACTGATGTGTTAATATTCAAACTACTCCTCTGTTACTAAATACTTTAAAGAGGGAATGAAGAGTGTGGCCAAGGAAACTGAGGGAAATGATCTCACTTTCCAAACTCAGGGACTCCTCATCTAGGGTATTGGTGTTAATATTGCCCAACCAGTGCCTGCCATACTATAGTGCTGAGAAAGAGTATGTGTGTGTGCTTGTGTTGGCTGGGAAAGTTGCTGATGGGTAATTAGGGTAAAGGACTCCAATTAAATAAGCCGCAGAAGTTAATAAATAAGAAATTTTTTTTAACAATTTCTTTTTCTTTTTTCTTTTTTTGATCATAGACCAAGAATTTCCATTTAAAATGATGACATCTTGGGAACGGTATTTTTTTTTCTGCCATCAATTCCTAGAAGATCAATATCCCTAGAATGCACACAATTTATTTTCCAACAAAACTAAAACTTTCTTTGAACAAATTCACAAAAATAATTCTGAGACTGATTCAGCTAGTACACACAAGTGTCATGGAAAGAAGTCTTCATCTATGACAACCGTTAAAAAAATTGTATTTTTCCTTGTTGAGGGATACTATATGATTGATTAGTCATGGACATGCCAGGGCAAGAAAGCATTCTCTCAGACTAACGATGCTTTAAAATGTTTTTATGTCCCAATCTAGTATTCTGATACAGAGAAACCACCTCTTTTAGCTCCATCCAGCTTGGGGGAGGAAGTACTTTGCTGTTGTAGTGGCAAATTACTCCAGATGACACTCTTTCAAGAGAAATACTCTTGAAAGAGTATTTCTAAACCATAAAGTATTCAGAGCTATTTGTGAAACACACTGATAGACTGATAACCATTCTGCATTTACATTAAAATCCATGATGCTAATGCAAACTAAAGAAGGAGAACTTTGACCAAGATGGATTATAAAATTTTAGAGCCCATCCCATGCATTCTACATCTGTGGTTATTTTCAGTTCATTGACCAAAAATCTTCATGAAAGTTTGATTACAAACAGTTACTGCCTATAACCAACTCTATTTACAGTAAATGCTATTTTAATACATAACAATAGAGGTCTCTACTTTAGGCAGATGATGTAGCATTTCCAGTGTCAGCAGCAGCAGTGTAGCCATTTTTCAATTACTAGAATGCAAGACAGCATTTATTCCTCTTTATTTGTCTTGAAAAAGTACCACACGTCATTTTTCTCCCTTTGTGAATATGGTTCTTGTTACTAAAGCACACTTGGTCATTTAGGAGGCTACAAGGAGTAAATTACACATCATCTTCCCTACACTAAATTTTAACCCATTATTAAGAACAATTGGTTTCCACTTCGGGTTAAAATGTAGGAGTGTGTGCAAGACCTGTGTTCCTGATGAAACAAGAAATGTTTCTGTATACCAAAAAATTATACTTTTCTTTAAACTATGAATTAGCTGTGAATGCAAAGAAATCTAAAAGAACTAAATTCCCAAAAGATGAGTTTGTTATCCAGTGTAAGGACTATATGACCTAGCTGAATTTCTACCCTGCCTTAACTCTGCTTATCTTTAAGTAACAGAATGCTTGTAGTCAGATGATCCTCCTCGTGATCAAATTGGCTGAAATCGTGGAATCCAAGATGGCAGCTCATTTGACATATGAAGAACCTCTGACGTCATTATAATCTAATTTCTATGCTAAACAACACTTCCACTATTGCCGTAACAGTTGAAAATCACAGTGACAAAGACTGGAAGAAACTACAAAAGGACAAAAAGAAAGGCAGCACTCCAGTTCCAAGAAGTCCTCTGCCTGTTCCCAGAAAAGTCATAAATGAATATTCCTCCCTTTGCTGTTAATGCCTAGACCCTTCATTGAAGATGCCATTTATTTGTGGGCTCCTGGCTCTCATGACCTGAGAAGTTGATTTATGAGCCTGATGCTTCTTCTGAATTCCATGGCCATCGAATAAAGCCTGCACTGCTTGACACTTTTGGTATTGTATATTGCTTTCATGACACCAAAAGGGAAAGATCCTATTTTTTAGGGGACCAGCTTTGTCAGTAACAAGACCTTCCTGGTAACCAAGGGACAGAGGATACTTTCATATATGGAAACAGTTGGGCAGAGAAAGCCAGCTGGAGAAGGATGATTTTTATTCAGCTTAGGAAAAAGCAACTGGTCTTTGACAGACCTGCATGATATTGTGTTAGATTTGGATATAGAGAGTTCCAAACTCTCTAAGATGACTTTCGCCATTAAGCAATGGCTGAAAAGTGGAAAACATAAGATAGGTGGTTGCCAGGGGTTGGAGCTAAGGAGGGTAAAGAGGGTCACACTATTCATTAGGCAGAGCACAGAAGATTTTTAGGGTAATGAAAATATTCTATATGATACTATAAAGGTGGAGACACGCCATTATACGTTTGTTCAAACTCATGTAATGTACAACATTGAGAGTGAACCCTAAGGTAAACTGCAAGCTTAGGGTGATAATAATGTGTCCATGTAGGTTCATCAATTGTAACAAATACACTACTCTGGTTGGGGATGCTGATAGTAGGGTAGGTTGTATGTGTATAGGGCAGGGAGTATATGGGAAATCTCTGTACTTTCTGGTCAATTTTGCTGTGAATCTAAAACTGCTCTAAGAAAGAAGGTCTATTTTAAAAAATGGAAGGCAATCTTATGATCTCACATTTTCACAGTCTCAAAATCCCCTACTCTTGAACACATAATTCTTCACCTTCCTGATCTGCATTCTCACAGCCTTGAGGCGTTAAGTGGTCTTGGAGTTTCATAGTCTTATATTCCTGCAGTTTCACAGCCTCAAGTTGTAGCAGGCTAAAAAGTTCGCGTACTTGAAATCTTGAAGTCCTGCAAAATTTGGCCCCAGGATGCTACTAGAGGGAGAGGCCTAGACATCTTCAAAGTGTTTGTAGGTAAATGTGATCTGAGTCTAAAAAAAGCTGTAACCAAATCCCCACTCAATTCAACTCATGCTAAGATCAAAGGCAACTGTCTTGTGACAGTGCAGAAATATAAGGGGTAGTCTGAAAAACAAAGACAGTTCTTAGACTCCTGGACTTCATATTCAGAAGCTGTGCTAGTAGAAATAAAGCCATATCCCAGCCCCAGATTTCAGCCTCTACTGGTCCTTCGACATAAAGTCTGGCTGCAATTTAAAAAAGAGTTATATAAAAACACAGAAGTCATCCATAGTCAAGAGAAAAATTACTCAATAGTATAGTCACAGACTATTTAGACACTGGGTTAGCAGAACTTAAAATAATCATGATAAATATTTAAAGAATATATAGAAAAAGATGGATATAATGAATGAAGATACAGTCAACTTTCCTTCAGAAGTAAAGTTTAGAAACTAAAAAAGAACAAAATGGAAACCCTAGAACTGAAATAAAAGATATTCAGGGAATTCAATTGATAGACTTAACAGCAGATGGGACACAAGAGAAGAAAACATAAATGAATTTGAAAACAGACTAATGGAAGTCAAAGTACATGGAGAAAAAAAGATGGAAAAATATGAAAATAACCTTAATGACCTGTAGGGCAATATGAAGCACTCAAGCCTATGTGTAATTAGAGTTCTAGGAAAAATGGAGAAAGGGAATGGGTAGAAAAACATTTAAAGAAATATTGCCTCAAAATTCCCCAAATTTGATTAAAAATAAGAACTCAATGACAAGTGAAGGCTAAGTAAGATGATCATGATGAGCAATATACCTAGACACATCCAAACACCAAGACACAACTAGGAAGACATCCACACACCAGAGCCTAACTTCTGAAAACCACGTTAAGCTCTGGGGCAGGCGCACATCAGCTATGGCACCAGAAATCACATCAGTGGTCACCTGAATCTAGGGGATTGACTGGAAAGGGGCATGGAATTTTGGGGAGATGGTAATGTTTTGGATCTTGATGAGGGGCTATACATTTGTCAAAATGTATCAAAGTATACACTAAGTCTGTGCATTTGATTGCATAGAAATAATAATGTTGATAAAAAAGGAGATACTGAATCCAGAATAGTAGAGACATACCCAATCATTTATTTACCTATTGATTATCTACTATATACCAGGTAATTTTCAACCCAGAATTTCATATCCAGCCAAACAAAGCTTCATAAGCGAAGGAGAAATAAAATCCTTTACAGACAAGCAAATGCTGAGAGATTTTGTCACCACCAGGCCTGCCTTACAAGAGCTCCTGAAGGAAGCACTAAACATGGAAAGGAACAACGGTACCAGCCACTGCAAAAACATGCCAAATTGTAAAGACCATCGACAGTATGAAGAAATCGCATCAACTAACGGGCAAAATAACGAGCTCTTGGTCTCATTCTGTATCAAGGCATGGGTAGAGTACTAGAGCAGAAAAGTAACAACATAAAAGAAGTGCCCAATAAGTAAAAGCTATGAGCAGCTACAGATACTTTCCCTTTTGCAGCAACCCAAGGTGAAAATATCTATTAAAATACATTAAGCTTGGTTTTTGGAAAATTTGATAGTGGATTTTGAAACATGATAGCTGTCCATGAGGAACAATTTCTTCATACTCAGCATGTCATATTTTAGAGCTATTGACAAGAAAACTTTGCTGTGATGAAGTGCAGGGCTTAATATTTTTTAGAAAGATCTAAAATAGACACCCTAACATCACAATTAAAAGTACTAGAGAAGCAAGAGCAGACACATTCAAAAGCTAGCAGAAGACAAGATATAACTAAGCTCAGAGCAGAACTGAAGGAGATAGAGACATGAAAAACCCTTCAAAAAATCAGTGAATCCAGGAGCTGGGTTTTTGAAAAGATTAACAAAATAGATAGATGGCTAGCCAGACTAATAAAGAAGAAAAGAGAAGAATCAAATAGACACAATAAAAAATGATAAAGGGGAGATCACCGCTGATCCCACAGAAATACAAACTAGCATCAGACAATACTATAAACACCCTTACACAAATAAGCCAGAAAACCTAGAAGAAATGGATAAATTCCTGGACACATACACCCCCCCACCAAGATTAACCAGGAAGACATCTAATCCCCAAACAGACAAATAAAAAGTTCTGAAATTGAGGCAATAATTAATAGCCTGCCAACCAAAAAAATCCCAGGACCAGACGCATTTATAGCCAAATTCTACCAGAGGTACAAAGAGGAACTGGTATCATTCCTTCTGAAACTATTCCAAACAATAGAAAAAGGACTCCTCCCTAACTCATTTTATGAGGCCAGCATCATCCTGATACCAAAACTTGGCAGAAACACAACAAAAAGAGAAAATTTCAGGCCAATATCCCTGATGAACACTGATGCAAAAATCATCAATAAAATACTGGCAAACCAAATCCAGCAGCACATTAAAAAGTTTCTCCACCATGATCAAGTCAGCTTCATCCCTGTGATACAAGGCTGATTCAACATATGCAAATCAAGAAATGTAATCCACCGCATAAACAGAACCAATGACAAAAACCACATGATTATCTCAATAGATGCAGAAAAGGCCTTGATAAAATTTGACACCCCTTCTGCTAAAAACTCTCAATAAACTAGGTATTGATGGAATGTATCTCAAAATAATAAGAGCTATTCATGATAAACTCACAGCCAATATCATACTAAATGGGCAAAAGCTGGAAGCATTCCCTCCGAAAATTGGCACAAGACAAGGAGGCCCTATCTCACTACTCCTATTCAACATAGTATTGGAAGTTCTGGTCATGGAAATCAGGCAAGAGAAAGAAATAAAGGGTACTCAAATAGGAAGAAAGGAAGTCAAATTGTCTCTGTTTGCAGATAACATGATTGTGTACTTAGAAAACCCCATCATCTCAGCTCCAAATCTCATTAAGCTGGTAAGCAACTTCAGCAAAGTCTCAGAATACAAAATCAATGTGCAAAAATCACAAGCATTCTTGTACACCAATAACAGACAAACAGAAGCCAAATCATAAGTGAACTCCCATTCACAATTGCTACAAAAAGAATAAAATACCTAGGAATACAACTTACAAGGGATGTGAAGGACCTCTTCAAGGAGAACTGCAAACCACTGCTCAATGAAATAAGAGAGGACAAAAACAAATGGAAAAAACATTCCATGCTCATGGATAGGAAGAATCAATATAGTGAAAATGGCCATACCGCCCAAAGTTATTTACAGGTTCAATGCTATCCCCATCAGGCTACCAGTGACTTTCTTTACAGAATTAGGAAAAACTACTTTAAATTTCATATGAAACCAAAAAAGAGCCTGTATAGCCAAGACAATCGTAAACAAAAAGAACAAAGCTGGAGGCATCATGCTACCTGACTTCAAACTATACCACAAGGGCACAGTAACCAAAACAGCATGGTACTGGTACCAAAACAGATATATAGACCAATGGAACAGAACAGAGGCCTCAGAAATAACAGCACACATCTATAACCATCTAATCTTTGACAAACCTGATAAAAACAAGCAATGGGGAAAGGATTCCCTATTTAATAAATGGTGTTGGGAAAATTAGCTAACCATATGCAGAAAACTGAAACTGGACTCCTTCCTAACACATTATACAAAAATGAACTCAAGATGGATTAAAGACTTAAACATAAGACCTAAACCATAAAAACCCTAGAAGAAAACCTAGCCAATACCATTCAGGACATAGGCATGGGCAAAGACTTCATGACTAAAACACCAAAAGCAATGGCAACAAAAGCCAAAATTGACAAACGGGGTCTAATTTAACTAAAGAGCTTCTGCAGAGCAAAATAAACTATCATCAGAGTGAACAGGCAACCTACAGAATGGGAGAAAATTTTTGTAATCTATTCATCTGACAAAGTGGTAATATCCAGAACCTACAAGGAACTTAAGCAAGTTTACAAGAGAAAAATAACCCCATTAAAAAGTGGGTGAAGTATATGAACAGACACTTCTCAAAAGAAGACATTTATGCAGCCAACAAACATATGAAAAAAAAGCTCATCATCACTGGTCATTAGAGAAATGCAAACCAAAACCCCAATGAGGTACCATCTCAAGCCAGTTAGAATGGCGATCATTAAAAGTCAGGAAACAACAGATGGTGGAGAGGATGTGAAGAATAAGGAATGCTTTTACACTGTTGGTGGGAGTGTAAATTAGTTCAACTATTTTGGAAGACAGTGTAGCAATTCCTCAAGTATCTAGAACCAGAAATACCATTTGACCTAGCACTCCCATTACTGGGTATATATTCAAAGGATTATAAACCGTTCTACTATAAAGACACATCCACACGTATGTTTATTGCAGCACTACTCACAATAGCAAAGACTTGTAACCAACCCAAATGCCCATCAATGATAGACTGGATAAAGAAAATGTGGCACATATACACCGTGGAATACTATGCAGCCATATAAAAGGATGAGTTCATGTCCTTTGCAGGGACATGGATGAAGCTGGAAACCATCATTCTCAGCAAACTAACACAGGAACAGAAAACCAAACACTGCATGGTCTCACTCATAAGTGGGAGCTGAACAATGAGAAAACATGGCCACAGGGAGGGGAACATCATACACCGGGGCCTGTCAGCAGACGGGGGGATATGGGAGAGAGAGCATTAGGAGAAATACCTATTGTAGATGACGGGTTGATGGTGCAGCAAACCACCATGGCACGAGTATACCTATGTAACAAACTTGCCCGTTCTGCACATGTATCCCAGAACTTTAATAAAAAAAAGAAAGTGCTCAATTAATGTTAGCTTATTGAAATAATCTTTAATTATAACAACAGAAATTGTTGGTACTAGTATCTCCAATGAGAGGATGATTCACACTTGGTGTCGTTTGGCTGAATTCTGGTTTTATGACTTGGACATAGTTGTAAAAGGCTCAAGGATAATTATGTTTTTGTAAATTGTCTTAAGGAAACAACCAAAAACTATGCTAAAATTTAGCCACAGAGTTGTTCACGGCAATATAGTTTATATGATTAAAAACTGAAAATAGTATAAATCTTCAACAATAGGTGTTAAACTGCTATATATTCAGTCAACATTAAAAATAAAACTATAGATTAGATTAATAGAAGTGTTTATTACTAATATATAGGTATAAAAAACAGAGTCTAAACAAAAAAGAGGTTGGAAGGACAAAATCTGGCAGCAGCAATGGTGAGTGATGAAAACTACGACCTCACCTCCAGGCTGACAGATCTACAGGTGTGGAGGAGAAAGCAGTCTACACTTAGGAGGGCTCTATGGAAGCATGGTTCAATGGCTGTCATTGGAAAGGAATGTTCTAAGCATAGCTGAAGAATTGGCTGATTTTGCTGTACGTTACAGAGGGTCTGGCAGAATGGTTTCAGGAGTTAGGGAAGAGTGGTAACTCGTATGGGGTGGAGTGGTATGGGAGAAAGTCACCGTTTGCACGAGTGATGTAAACCCATTGGGGCTCTTCCTAATGGTCTTCTAGTATGTAGTTGTGGTGAAGATTTGAGGATTTGGGGTAAGGAGGTACAGCAGTGTTATCAGGATCACACGGCCTTCTGGCACTCCTTGTGGATGTAAGAAAGGCACATGAAGATCATATATCTCTAATGTCTCACCCACGTGACTGGGATCTAATAAATACTTGCTGGCTGAATGAATGAATCAAAGCTAGGGCTAAAATTAAATAATTCTGAAAAGGAGAAAAAAACAGAGTGATTCCTTAACCTTTCAGGATTCAGTGTTGTGAAAGAGCTCTATATAAATCCATAGAGGAAATGCCAAAGAAATATAGGACATAACCTTTGCCCTGGAACAACTTGGAGTTCAGATTTAAACACAACTCATGTTTGTCATAGAACATTGCATTGTTTTGGTGAGGTACAAAAACAAAATATAATACAAATGAATGTCCTTCTAGTTTTAGCATGAAAGACAAATACATTTGACTTCTTGAGTCAGGAATGTAGACTTCTTTGCATACGGAGGCACAGGAGACAACTGGATTGTGAATGACAATGATCAAAAATGACCTTCATATTATTCTTGTCTAGGCCAATTAACTGTCTGGGATCCTGGGAGATTCACTTTCTCCCTATGGCTCAGGTTGTTCTTTCTGAAAAACAGGGTTGAGAATTTCTGAGTTTTAAAGTGAGAAATGCTAAAAGATGACCAAATACAATTTTGGCTGGCCTTTAGAATAAGTAGGAGTTTGCTATGGAGAGAGAAGGCATGAATGAAAGAGCAGTAGCCTGGTTCCTGCTGTGTCTGGGGAGTCTGTGGGCTCTGTGAGACCTGACAAGAGAGGCAGGCTAGGTCTAGGTGTCCATTGAATGGTAAAGACCAGTTTCCCAGCCACTGGCAACTTGGGTTTGGTTTAATCAATTTGTTTATATCACGAGGTTTGGGACATAAGGAAATCATTTATAATTGTGTTTCCAAGCTGCTAAACTGTTAAAAAATGATTTTTAAAGGCTTGGAAGGGGAAGACAGCTAAGTGCCTTGAAGAATTCAAATTTGATAATCTGTCTGCTATTTCAAAACTATCTTTTTAAGCCATGTTTGGTATCATACACAAATTAACTTGGTCACTCACCTCTCTTTGAAGCTCATTACTATCACAAAGATTTTTCTTTATATATATAAATTATACTTATCAATATGAAGATAACTTTTACAATGGCAGATGTTATTAAGAACTCTCAAAGTCTTAGCCATTGCCTGTATGACAGTGTTTCTCAAAGTATGTTCCAGGAAATACAGGGTTGGGGACCAAGATCCTTTCAGGGAGTCCACAAGATCAAAACAATATTCATAATTATTCTACTTTTCTTCTCCACTGTCTGTCTTTTATGAATGAATAACACTGTTGTCTAGAAAGTATGAGTTATATTAAAAATATTTTATTTAACTTATTTATATAATATTTACATACATTAACGTGTAGTGAGTTTATTATCGTCATCTTAAAAATAAATCAGTAAGGCTGGGTGCGGTGGCTCATACCTGTAATCCCAGCACTTTGGGAGGCTGAGGTGGGCAGATCACCTGAGGTCAGGAGTTCAAGACCAGCCTGACCAATGTGGTGAAACCCCGTCTCTACTAAAAATACAAAAATTAGCTGGGCATGGTGGCAGGTGCCTGTAATCCCAGCTACTCAGGAGGCTGAGGCAGGAGAATGACTTGAACCCGGGTGGCGGAGGTTGCAGTGAGCCGAGATTGCGCCATTACAATCCAACCTGGACAACAAGAGTGAAACTCCATCTGAAAAAAAAAAGTCTCCATTTTAATTTTGAATATTGTAATTGTTGATAGGTGATCCTTGTAAACAAAAGCACTTGGAGGTTTTCAATAATTTTTAAGCCCATAAAGGGGTCTTGAGGTCAAAATCATGCAGAACTGCTGCTCTGCAGTTACCTGCTTTCATTGACTTCTATGGAGCTCAGCCTTTCTCTACCTGCAAAAACACCCCAAAACTGTTACCTCCCTCAGATGGCCAAACGACAAGATTTGTGACAGAAAGCTTTAGGATCTGAAGGTACAACCCTGTTTGCCTGCACTACTTTCCCTGGCCAGCGTGGGCTTCAGGTTCTTGTTGATGTACCTGAACTCATGGTAGACCCCAACCCTCCCTATCTACCAATGAATTTGTCCTCCCCATCTGGAGTTTTGCAAACCTTGGATCTTTTCCTGTTGTCTGCTGAAAACTGTGGTCCTTGCCAGGTGATTTCAACTGGTAGAGACTTTTCCAATCATGGGTAAAGAGAGAACAACCTGGTTTTGATACAGAGGTACCTGGGGAGGGAGTCATGAACTCCTGTGGTCCTAATTTGTTTGGACCTGTCTACTCTCTTTCTTCCTTAGACATCACTGGGTCTTCTGAGTACCTAATCTGTCTCCAGGGTGCAGGTTTTGGAGGTAGGTTAAGATATACATTTTTTTGAATGAATAATATGCATTCTTATCCACATTCCATCTATTTGCTGACCTGGAATATCTGCCAAATAATTCTTCTATTCAGACCCAAACTTACTGATCTAATGTTCCTACATAATGTTGAGGCAGGAGAAGAGGGAATTAGGGAAACCCAGAGTTAAGGCATAAGGAAGAGAGCAGCAGGTGCAGCCAGTTCACATAAGCAAGAGAACAGCAGGTGCAGCCAGTTCTAGGCAAGAATGGGCAGCATACAGGCCCCATCCTCACCCCTGTGACAACAAGACAGAGGTTTCCACTTCAGCCTCTGATTGGCCATGGGTCAAGTCTCCACTTCAGCCTCTGATTTGTTCTGGGCCAATCCTTCATAGCATGTAACCAATTGGAGGCCTCTAAAGGTAATCTAGGGGTGTTACCAAATTCTTTTAGGCTAATAAAAACACTAAAGGAGATTGTAATTGGGAAGATCATGAGCCACTTGCTTCAGCCTGCTCCTGCTCTGTGACGTCTACTTTCACTTCAATGAATCTGTACTTTCATTACTCCATTGTTTTGTTTCTTTGTCTTTCGTTGCCTTGTTCTTTTGTTGATTTGTGTGTTTTGTTCAATTCTTTGTTCAACATGCCAAGAACCTGGACAACTCACAGTCAAGACCTTCCATCTGACAACAATGTGAGCTAATCACTTATGAACTCACTGGAAAATTGTTTGCTGTCTGGTTTGATTTGTGGCTGGTGAAATAAGCCTTTTTTGGTTGATAAAATTCAGAATGGTCATTCTTTCTTAACTGATTTTTCTCCCCCATCATTTAATTATGAAAATGTCCAAATATAAAATTGGAAAAAAGTTTATAGTGAGCACATTTTTCCACAGCCTGGTTTCTACCATTATTCTATTTGATTTATTCCTAATTTATTCATCTGTTCCTCTATCCAGCCATTAAACGTAATTTTAATTTAAATCTTACCAACTAACTCAACCAAAAATGAAGACAATTTTTTTTAGCTAACAGTTTTCATGTGGGAAATCTAATGTAGTGAATTTTTTTTTCTGAATCTCTTAAATCTTTCAAAGCAAAATATTGCTGTGAAAACATGCTGTTTAGAAACTCAGTGTGAAGATGGCACAGTTTGGCATCAGCAGTGTCTCTTTTTCTTGGTGTACAGTGAGGATCTTCACATTTACTGAATTTTTCTGAAAGCTTCCCAGATGCCTTAAGAAACCAACATTAAAAAGTTATTAGGAACAGCTGAATCAACTTTAGGCAAGAGCTGAGGCCATTGGATTTTCCTAAAGAAAAAAATTAACTCTTTCAAACATTAAAAAAATATAGAGATCTGAACTTTGGTTTTACGGTAAGAGTGAAGTTTACAGGAAAAAAAATAGCTTTGCTTGGACCCTTCTAATTTATTTTTCACTGTACAACATTTAAGTTTGAGAAAATTTTTAAAAATCAGAATAATTGAAGCCTCTTTAGTTCATTAAGGTTTATCTTCTGTTAATACTCCAATTCCCTTGAAGACTTCAGTTATAGTGACTGCTTCTTGAAAGGTCTCCTAGTGTTTAAGTTTCGCTATCTTTTCCTGGCAAGTTATTGTATAGATGAACTCCTGATTTTTCTATAATTAAAACAAAGTAAGGGGGGTGGTTTTATGACACCTGTTTCAAATTTATTTTGCTTTATTTTGCAATTAAGCTTAGAGCTTTCTTATCTATCTTTTGAAGAAGTAGTCACTGTGTTTGGCATCCTATATAGGCTGGTTAAGACTTTATATGCCAAAATTAAATTTCCTCTGAACTGTCTTTTATAGGTTGTAAGTTTCTGTTTTTATGGTTTCTCCTTATAGCTTTTCTTTGCCCTTGTATCAATAGCCTTGTGTTTTTAAAAACTTTTAAAAATGAGGTAAAATCCAAAAGAGATAGTGGCCAGGATTGACCATCAGTTCTTAACCTTTCCTGTTAGGAATATAATCTAGCGTGCACCTTCAGTCTCACTTTTGATCTTTTTCTCATTGGGTCTTGACATTTGAGGGACTCACATTATTTTCTTCATTTCATTGCTATAATTTCAGATGCCAGTCACCACTGGATCCTTAGATGTATTTTTATATTATTTGTATGAGACATGCTCAACTTTATTTTTTTACTATTCCATTTCCTAGAAAAGTAGTTTAAATGGAAATAAGAAGTATTCATCCTTCAATAATTGTGGCTTAGAAGACATACCAGCAAGAATTTCCCTGTCAAAAGTACTGACTTCAAGATTCTATTTGTGTTAAAGTGAGCTTACTAGATAAGAGTGGATTTCGATTTCTCTTCCCTGCTAGAAAATCTTATATCTGAAATAACTTAGATCTGGCAAATACTTAAACAGGAAAGTCACAAGATATTCATTTAGGTGGCCTTGTTATTAAATCTAACCTACAATGCAAAAGAAAATAAATTACCAAAAGACATGAAAATTACAGTGGCTATTTAACTTTGTAATAAATACAAAGAACACATTCAGTTGATATTTCTTAAAAATAAAAAAGCACACTACCATTGTCGGTGCTTTTTAAAACCATTAGAATATGGCTTTCTGATTTCTTCCCTCAGAACCGATATTCAATCCCCATTAAGAGGAATGATTACCATCAGACCACAGGATATGAGAAGTCTCTGACCACTCACATCTCCAAGTAAGCAACTTCTTGTTGATAACTTAATATTCTCTATCTGCTCCATTGTTGCTCATTTGCAAAGCAGGATATTGTATTATTTGATGGAAAATAAGTGCTATTAAAGGAGAAGTACAGAATAAAACTCACTGAACTTTGAACATGGGGACCTGGGGAAAATCTTCATTCTGATGTGGCTTGACACAGAATGTAGTCGCAGCTTGACTCTTCATTGGGTGACTCTTGTCGTAATAGATTCACAAATTTCAGCAGAAGTAGAGAGAGGAAGAGACTTGGCTTTTGGGTCTGTTGAGTTTATCTCTGACAGTAGGGGTAAATGCTTCCTCTCTCACTTCTTTAGCTCTCCATTACTTCTTCTGAAAAAATAAAGTGGATATAACTAGAAAATCCCTTCTAGTTCTAAAAGTCTTTCGTTTTTGGCTTATTCAAAATGTTGCTTTATAAATACCACTCAATCTGGGCTTATGTATGATGCATTTTATAAAGAGATCATGTTATTTTTTGACTGTTAGTGTAGATAAAAGGATCAACCATTGTCTCTTTGAAAACACAAAGCACCTCTCCATATTTCCTTTAGTTAGACCTGGTGACGTATTTCTAGATGTATTTCTGTAAGTATTTCTAGGTGATCTGTGTTTATGAACTCTGATTTAAGTAACCAGTGTTTCCTACATGGTATTTCTGAAGTTAACTTGATTATGTGGTTGATGAAATATGATGAAGACGCCTCTTCCAGTTAAGCTATACAAATTGGACTAGATGTCTATGACTTTCAAGAATATGCCTTTCAAGTCTTGGTAGACACAGCCGTAGAAAGTATGCGGGCTGAGAAAAGGAAGATAAAACCCTCAGTAAGCTTTAAAGTCTAATTTTACATCTAGGTCAAACTTCCAGTTAAAAAAAAAGTCCTGAGGTAAATAGATACTCCTTTTCTGCTTTTATCTGAGTCTCCATATGACTAAATTACCTCTATGAATTCTAAGAGCTTAACTTCCAGTCTTTTTGAACTTGAGCTTAAATGTCTCTATTACAAATGATTTATGCGTAAAATCAAAAGTGTTAGCCCTTGGGGGAAAGGAATCTATGGTGTTGGGAAGATGTTTCATTCTGGGGTGGCATGTGGTCATGGCATTGACTCTTCATTGGATGATTCTTGTCAAACAGCCTCATAAGTTATCAGTGTAAGTAAGTAGAGGCAAAGGCTGTTGACTGTTGAGTCTGTTGAGTTTATCCTAAAAAGTGGGCTTAGAGATTCCCCCTTGAATGGAGAGTTGGAGAAGCAGTGGAGTCTTGGGCTGCTATAGAGAACTAAAGATCACTGCAGTTTGGAGCCATATTATTTAATGGAGATTTAAAAATTTCCCACTTACATGACTGAATGTTTTGCATGCTATTCTCCAGAATTTCTAATATACAAACCTAAGTAATTTAAGCAATCATTCCCTATCCTTTCCGAAAATAACAGAACCAAGAAGAAAAGGTTATATCTGTCAGGCAGGATGGCACTTTTTCTGTAGTACTTGCTGAGCGTGTCGGCTTCTGGGTTATGCGAGATGCTTTTGTGCCTTCGTGTGTCACCTTTTTTTATTGTGGTATTTGGTGAAGGAGAGAACCTGGCACAAGATGCCTGGAAACGACGTTAACTGTGGATCTGTAACATGTGTCAACAAATGTGTCTCCCTTTTCGAACACTGTCCTAAAACCACTTTCCTGAATTTGATAGTTTAAATCTTCCCAGATGACATACTTTAGCTGAGCAAGCAGGGTGAATAAGTAGGCGTGCAGCCAAATGTACTGTTGAGCAAAAATAATAGCAAAAATTGTTCCATTGGGACAAGAGGGCGTACATTCCCTCCTGGAATTGCTCTTAGCGGTTTGGGTATGTGTGGTGGTTGAGGGGGCGAGGCAGAAGGGTGAGGACAGGTGAGGAAATGGTCAGGGAAGAAGAAAAGAGGATCGCTGTGAATATAAATGTGGCCTTATTTCATGGAAAAAGCTCATACATGGTGAAAGTGATATATGAACCATGTGGGTCAGCCAGTAGCATTTAAAAAATATATCATAGAAATGACTCAAGTGTATTATACTCAAGTGTATACTCAAGTGTATTACACAAAGTTCTCAGAGAAACTCAGTGGTGAGGCCAAGAGAGGCTATTTTTGAGGAAAACAAATGGGTAAGAAGGCAACATAATGAGCTCTTTAACAGGAGGCAGGGAAGGTGATTGGTTAACTGAAAGAAAGGCAAGTTTAGTCAGGCGTTATGCCTCCTTGAAAAAGTTTCCAGTTTTGAGAAGGCTTACATTGGAAGGTGAACGAAAGGGCATCTGAATGCTGCTGGATTCAACACTGAGGTTTCTATAAGGACTAAGAACCTGTCATTTCAATCTGCATGGTGCTCTCTGTTCTTTTTCTATAATTACATTGTTCTTCAAAGAGGAAGCCAAGTATGCTATGGAGATGTCTGAGGAAGAAAACCTGAACAATCTCCACAGGAATGAACCATTTTAAATGAAAGGATCTTTGATCCTAATTTTCAGATCATTTCATTCCTATCAAAATATTCTCTGAAGAGGTGACATGAGGTATTTAAGTGCTTCTCTTGAGGTGGTGTGGCTCCTTTCCAAGAGGAGAGTTGAGGTGGCGAAGGTAGTGGTGGCTGGGTTTTGCTAGCTGAGGCAGAGAGGGAAAGACAGCAGGGCTAATCTCTAGTTTGAAGGTGGGGAGTAACCTCCCTGATAATGGTTTGGCTGTGTCCCCACCCAAATCTCATCTTGAATTTCCATATGTTGTGGGAGGGACCCAGTGGGAGGTAATTGAATCATGGGGGCAGTTCTTTCCTGTGCTGTTCTTGTGATAGTGAATAAGTCTCACAAGATCTGATGATTTTATAAGGGGGAGTTGCCCTGCACAAGCTCTCTTCTCTTGTCTGCCGCATGTGAAATATGCCTTTCATCTTCTGCCATGATTGTGAGGCCTCCCCAGCCATGTGGAACTGTAAGTCCATTAAACCTCTTTCTTTTATAAATTGCCCCGTCTCGGGTATGTCTTTATCAGCAGCATGAAAATGGATTAATACACTCCCCAAAGGGGCTTCGCTAGGGGCTCAGATGAGGGGATACTTGAGGACTAAGGCAAAGAACTTCTGAGGGCTGTTTCTAGACTCTGAGATGAATATGCATTCTTAGAAGCTGCCCTGGGGTAAGAAAGTGAGGATAGAAAAAGCAAGAGTGGAGTTGGACTCTGTAACCAGAGCATCTCCGCTTGACTGGGCTTTATATTGGACTTCCCTGTGCAGTTTCTTACGCTAAGGGTTGACAAGTATAGTGGATGCTGCGGTGTGCTGCCTAGACTCTTGCTTTTTGGGTCGGGGCACTCATTTCCCCAGCTGCTATGGATGGGCAATGCCTGATGATGGCTGAGATCCCATTTATAGGGGCAGCTCACATCCAGTGACAAAGATCTAGTCCCCAACCTCAATTCAGGAGATCACTGAAGGGCCAATCCAGCTTCAGAGCTCCCCCAGGGACTGGCAGAGGCCTGTGTTAAAGCTGTCTCACAACCTACCTTCCTCCTCTGCCCAGCCCCGCTTCCTTTATTCCCTTCCAGGTGTTATTCCTGAGTACCTCCCTGTTAAGCCACCTGCACACTGATTTCTATCTGAGAGTGTTTCCCAGGACATCGGGGGGTGGTGGTAGAGGGGATGCAGCAGCTGAAACACATGAAAACGACTGGACTAAGAATGCTGCAGTTTTTTTTCACACTGAGTATGTTCTTTTATTCAAGAGAAAGAATTTTTCTTGAATAAAATGTTTAACAAGAACCCATTATGTGCTAAGAACTATATGATCTGTTAACACTGACAGAAGACTCAGGGTGCACTGACTAAACTTGAATTTCTCCATGGTCTGTTTGGAATCACCACCCATATACAGCCTTAGAACACTGAGCATTGGTAACTGAAAGTCAAATCTGCCTACAAGTGTGTTTTTATGATCCATGCAGTGGCTTTAATATTTTGATTTGGTTACAAACTTTTAAAATGAGCAAATTTCACATAAAACCAAGATTCTGGGTGCTTTCAGAAATAGAAAAGTCTTGTGTGGCCAGAAGACCACACAAGACCTGCACTTGTGGAAGAAACAATCACCTGGAGTTAATTCATGGCTGTCCTGAAAATCAGTACCCATTCTAGTTTGCTGCAGTCCCCACCATGCCCTATTACGTGATAGCTGGCCTACTTTATTTCTAGGCCCCTGTAGGCGTTCCAGTTTGTGGCCTTTCTCAATCACTAGGTTCATAAGTGTTTCTCCCAAGCTCCAGACTTTTCCTAATGACCTTGGTTGAAGATTTGGGACTTCTTCCGCAGAGCTCACCTGTCCATGTGAGATGGTCTCAAAACTCTCTAACATTCTTTTGAAGTGGAGCACAGCATTAAAATTATCTTCATTCCTTACCCATGCTTTTAAGGAAGTTATCCAGTGTGTATAGCACATTAAGCACAGGTACCATTACAGAATTTTTATGTTGATTCTATTCTCACAGCTCAGCGTTTACTTTCAATAGCAGGAAACAAGCTGAGGGAGAGGTGTGGTGTTCCCCTTGTGACAAAGGCAGGATCGAAGCCCATTTCCTCTGACCTCCATCAGTGCTGTGGCTTCCAGTTTGGCCTGACTCTGGAATTTTATCTCGGCACGCATGTAGATGCAGCAGGAGCTGAGATTGGAAATAATTCTTCTGCTGAGAGATATACACTTGTTCTGGTAAAGTTAAGGCATTGGCCATTATCTGGAATATTCACAGAAATCTTTGGCACTGGGTCCAAGTCAAGATAGGTTAAGACACCAACAAGAGAAGAAACAATTTCTACTGTAAATCTAGCACCTGCTAGCTTTCCACATCACTCCCTCTTGTATCCAGATTTCAGGGATTCCTCAACCCCAACAAGACCCACCATCCATTGATCATATCCTTTTTGGTGTCCTTCATCACCCTCCTACTTCCTGTCTTAACCAGTTTACATTTCATGGCAGGTCATTAGAACCACCCTGTTGTGTGAACTGTAAATCCTTCACCCCTTTCTACTCTCGTTGTCCTTGCCTGCCAAAGTCCCATGGTCTGGTTAGTTTGAGCTCTTAGCCTTTTCTACCCCTACACAGGTGCAGCTGAATGTGGCTGCAGGAAAACAACCACTGAGAACCCCTGAAGTTGAGAGTGAGCTGAGAGAGAGTGAGGAATTCAAGGATGACCCCTCTTCTACCCCATGTCACCAAAGGCAGGAGTGGAGGTGGGCTTCAGACTCTGCCCCTCCTGCCCAGACTCACCTCCTGCCCTCAATATAAATAATACAAACAGTAGTATATAGAATTTCCTAATAATACATATGAATGATATTAACCATCTACCTTGAGAACATCAAGGCTATTGTCATTATACCCTGTACCCATCCCCACAAGCAGCACACAATTCCTTATCCCCAGACTCTAATAATAAGTTATTTCCTTGCACATCACGTGCTTCTGTCCCCAGCTCCTACCATCATTCTACTGCCCTCTGGATCTCCCAGCCAATCATCTGCAACCTCCTCTCTGACAGTGACTGTTACCTGCTTGCTCTATGTGAAATCTGGCCCAGCCCTGAGATCATGGCGTCCTCCCTGACAACCTCCTCAGGTGGTGGCCATTTCCTTTCCCACAGCCCTCTTCTCAGTGGGCCTGGATTTGGGAGTTTTAATCCTTTTGTCACTTCCAGATCGTGCTTTCTTCCTTAAAACCTTTCAATGGAGTGTCAGCTGAAGAATGGCAGGGTTCCGAAATTTGGAGAAAAGACCTATATTTCTCATAAGGGGTTGCAGCCTGCAGGGTGGCCATTCTGACAGGCTGGGGAGCAAAGCCTGCAGCCAGAAGCCAGAAACAGATACTTTAAGGGAGGTGCAAGGGGAACTGGCATGTATGCTGAGCAGGGTGGCCAAATATACATATTCATGAAGCAATAGGAGTCATGAATGTTTATGAAACGAGAAATACGCACATGTGTGATGGAGCTTCATGGCCCTTCATGGGTCCCAAGTACAAAAAAGCATTAGCGTGATTGGAGGGTGGAGTTTTCTACCCTCTGGTGTCAAAAGGTGAATCAGAGGATGCCAAAACCCTCACTGTGCATCCTTTGTAGACTGGCAGAACCACTCTGGTCTGCTCCTTTATCAGGCCAAAAAGATGGGGCCATGTCAGGCAGTTGTTTAATATCAGCAGTAGAGTCTTTTGAAAGAGCTGCTCTCTTTTTAGTCCTTAGGGAAGAAAGCTCAATCGTGGTAAGCCAGGGAGGGGGTATAATGAGCTGTGTCTGACACCCCCATCTAATTACAGCTAAGCTTTCAAGGTTATTCCGGGGTCCCCTTGGCCAGGAGAAGGCCAATTCACTTGTTTGGGGGCTTAGGATTTAATTTTCATTTTTCAGGAGTTTGAGACCCCATGTCTGCTCCAGCCTATGGTGAGGGGCAGGCAGGGATCATTCCATGAAGTGTGTGCACCATGTTTTCAGACTATCCAACCCACAACCCCCAGTCCACTTCCCTTGACTCTCAGAGATTTCAGCTCCTGACTCACTGTCATTCTTCAACTGTGTTCTTGTCAAAATTATGATGATTTTGATATCCACGGAATCCAACCATGTCTCATCACCTCTGTTGCTGCTCCCCTATTGCGAGGTTCTGCCATCTCTGGGTGATTTCAATAGCCTCCGATTTTTTTCTTCGTTTCCCCTCTTGTGCCTCTATGGTTGTATTTTCAACATAGTGTACAGGGTGAACTCCTAAACTACCTAAGTTAGACTATGACACCACTCTGCTGAGAACCCTCCAATAGCTTCTTGTCTCATTCGGGATGAAAGCCTGCACTCATTGTCACTTTCCAATTTTGTTCTTGTCAAAATTATGGGGATTTCAATATTTTGGCTATTTGAAATCTTTGTCTCCTCTCCCCAGATGATCCTGTCCTCAGCCATGCTCACTTTCGAAGGTACCATTGTCAATAAAACATCTCTGTAGTCTCAACTTGAGTATTCTCCAGCCATCACCTGCTAGCTTTCTAGTTCACTCCCTCTAGCATCCATATTTCAAAGATTCCTCAGCCCCAACAAGACCAACCATCCATGCTGATCCTCCCAGCTTTTTGCTATCCTTCATCACCCTCTTACTCGTTTTCTTAAACAGTTTAGATTTCATGGTTTATCATTATAATTACTCTCTTGAGTGAACTCTCAACTCCTTCATCCCTTTTAACCCTTATTGTCCTTGGACAGCAAAGCCCCATGGTCCAATTAATTTATGCTCTTAGCCTGTTCTGCCCCTGCAATGGTTCACCTGAACATGGCTGCAAACACACACAACCATGCAGGCTGATCACACCTTAAACTCATAATAATGAATGTTTACAGGTCCTTCCTGAGTGTTACCTGAAAACTCTGTTCAATTTCTTGTCTATTCAATTCCATATTGTACTTGATAAAAGTTTTGTCTTTTCTTGGATCTTCAAGCCTCTACTACTTCTCTGTCCTCCTTACCCTTAGCTGGTGACTTTGCTTCCTATTTTGTAAGAAGATATAAGCATTCAGAAGATAATGTTTTAAGTTCCTGCTGACACATCGATGTAGCCATTTTCCTGGAACATGGAAGACTTTCCCTGGCTCCTATCAAATACCACCCCTTCTATTCTTCTATTTGTGCATAGATCCTAGTCCTCTCACTTACTCAAGAGCATTGTTCTTGCAATTCTCCCCTCTCACTTCTGAATCATCAGTTTTACCTTCTCACTTTCATTGCTGTTAGCATAAAAACATACTATTATTTCTCTTATTTATTATTATTATTTTTTTGATGGAGTCTCAGTCACCAAGGCTGGAGTGCAGTGGCACAATCTCGGCTCACTGCAACCTCTGTCTCCCGGGTGCAAGCAATTCTCCTGCCTCAGCCTTCTGAGTAGCTGGGTTTACAGGCACATGCCACCACGCCCGGCTAACTTTTATATTTTTAGTAGAGACGAGGTTTCACCATGTTGGCCAGGCTGGTCTCAAACTCCTGACCTCAGGTGATCCTCCAGCCTTGGCCTCTCAAAGTGCTGGGATTACAGGCATGAGCCACAGTGCCTGGCATATTTCTCTTATCTTAAAAGTAATTTCCCCTCCACCTACTGTCCACCTACTGCCCAATTTATCTCTTTTCTACACACACACTCTCTCCTGGACTTCTCTAGGATGGTTAATTTTACGTGTCAACTTAGCTAGGCCATAGCATCCAGATATTTGGTCAAACAGTAGATATTTCTGTGAGGGTACCTTAACATGAGATGAACATTTAAATCAGTAGACTTTGAAATAGATTATTCTCCATAATGTAGGTTGGCCTTTTCCAATCAGTTGAGGGCCTTCAGAGAAAATGACTGACCTCTTCAGAAGAAGAAATTCTACCTGCAGATGGCCTTGAGACCTGAGCTGCAACAGCAGATCTTCCCTTATCTTCAGCCTGTTGGCCTCCACAGTTACATGAGCTAGTTCCTTAAAATAAACTTTTCTCTCTCTCTCTCCATATACCTCCTATTGGCTCTGTTTATCTGGAGAGTCCTGACTTATACATTGTCTGTCTTATTTCTAGTTTTCTCCTCTTATTGTCACTTATTCCTACTGAAATTGCCTTTGGCCCTTATCACTGCACCAAAACTGCTCTCACCAAGGTCTCTGATGATCTTCATATGGCTAAACCCAAGGGTCAACTCTGAGTATTTTCTCACCCTATCAGTAACTATGCTTACACATGCACTAACCACCTCCATCTTGAATATTTTCCTTATCTCACCTGGGACTCCTTAGTCTTGCTTTTCCCTCGGCCACACTAGTTGCTTCTCCTTGTACTTCTAAGTCCAAGTGACCAAGGGCTTGGTCCATGGACCTTGTCTCTTCATGTCACCTCCTAGGTAATCTCACCCTACTTGCATCTGTATATTGAAGACTCTCAAATGTATTTCTACATGCTGGACCTCCCCCTGGCCTGCATACTTGTCTATTTAACAGCCTAATGATGTCTTTTTGTGGAACTCTAACAAGGATCTTCAAAGGAACTTGCTTAAAATCAAGCTCCTTGTAATCCCTTTACACCCACACTGTTCCTTCCTGATAGCTTGATTTTAGTTAAGGGAAAACCATCTTTTTAGTTACTCTGGACATAAGTTTAGATTTATCCTGATTCATTTTTTTTCTTATGCCTTACAGCCAACTAATTAACAGATCACATTGTCTCTACTCTTACAAAATATACAGAATGCAGCCGTGTCTCACCACCTCTGTTGCCACTACCCTAGTGTAAGCTTCTACCACCTCTGGGTGATTCCAGTAATCTCTGAATTGTTCTTTCATTTTCCCCCCTGTGCCTTTATAGTTATATTCTCAACATAGTGTACAGGGTGAGCTCCTAAACCGCGTAAGTTATATGATGACACCACTCTGCTACTCACCACCCTCCAACGGCTTCCTACCTCACTCAGGATAAAAGCCCACACCTTACCATGTCCTGGAAGGTCCTATATGACTCTACAACTTCTTACCTGACTTCTTTCCCTACCTCCTTCCCACTCATTCTCTTCCTCACACACACCAGGCTGTCTCCCAACTTAGTCTCTTTGCATGTGCTGATCCTTCTAGCTGAATGCCCTTCCCCCAGGTATTGGCATGGCTTGCTTCCTTATCTCCTTCATGTCTCTGCTAAAATATTCTCTCATTGAGGCCTTCACTTACCACACTTCATAAAAGAGCACGTGTATACCAACCTCCCTCCCTTTATGTCTATCTCTTAACACAACTTGATACATTATATATTTGCTCACCTTGTTGCAGATCCTTCGCAACTAGAATATAAGCTCCATGAGGACTTTTATTCACTGCTTTAACTCTAGAACCTAGAACAGTGCCTGGTACACAGCAAGTACTCAATTAATATTTGTCAAATAACAAATGAGTGTAATTTCTATGGCCTGTTAACCAAAGGTTGCTAATGATCTGAAAATGACCTGACTGTGGTTATCATTCATCTACATTAGCAGTGCCATGGAGTTACCTACAGAACACATCCCAGAAAGTATGCATACATCTTTATTTTATCTTCTTCAAATCCAAGTCAGCTCTTTTGAGGGATTTAAACCTTCCAGCATGTACCAATTACCTTGTGTCTCAGTCAACTACAGTGTTCTTTATGGATCCTTGTAAATTTTTTCTTTTTTTTCTTTTGATGATCTTCTAACACTTCCAAGAGAGTACATTCATAATTTTGATCTAGAGTCATGTTAGGTCTGAAAAAAGTAGTACTTCGGACAACAAACAGATGTTATGTTTTGAGACCTTTTATCTAGGTCAATTGATAAATTGTCAAGCTCTCTAAACAAATATCAGTGGGGACAAAAGATCTTCCCGTAACCAAGGAGTAGCCTTGGGAACATAATGAAATGAACAAGCCAGGAGCCCTAAAAGAATGGGGTCCAGTCTTAGACAAATGCCACCAAGGCCAAAAGTAAACAGAAACCTCCCAGAGCAAGGACATCCTCCATGCTTAGGAGAGCCATTGGTTAAGGCATTCCAGTAAGACAGGCTTAGTGAAAAGGAGGTGACCTAGTCCTGGCAGCTCTCTTCCAGAGGTCAGCAAATGCAGGATAAATCCCAGACACACTAAATTGGAGCACTGACAAACAGATACATTTCAAATGGAGATAAGCCTGCAAATTGATGAGATGCAATGAAACTCATAATTAGAAAAAAGGATGAATAGGCAAAAGTGCCTACTCCCTAGAGGAGAAAATTACATTGTCCTCCTTAGGAACATTTATTTGGACATGATTATCTTCCAGAAATGGGTTTTCTGGAGCTTGGGTAAAGGCTTTACTTGGCTTGATCTCTTAGAGCTAATCTTGAGCTATTTTCAGCTTCCTTACTGTCTCTGGGTGGAAACGTTTATTTTTAAAACATGGAAGAAGAGTCTCTTTTGTCAGGACACAAATAGCTACCCCAGGTACCCCTGGCATGAGGGCTGACCTTTTCTAACAAAAGAGAATACAGACATATATTTAATTACAGAAACTAAAAAATTTAATCAGTTCTTAAAGAATTAAGTGATCTCACCTGCTTATTGACAAATTGAATCCTGACTCCTGTTCATTTCCTTTATTCCAGCCTTTCCCTTAAAAGATCTTAAAACAACTACAAACTCCTTAATCTGTAACCCCCTCAAACAGCCGTAGACTACTTATTCCATCTTTTCATTGAAGCCTTTCAGAACTGCAGGCTACATATCTTGTCTCTTCATAGCACTTTCCCTTGGTTGGCAATAAACAGCCATTTGGATCATGGTTTGATTAATGACTAGCTTCTTGCACTGGAATGCAAGCATC